>NC_000005.10:146328659-146953659 GCF_000001405.40 Homo sapiens
AAAGCCACAGAACAATGGGACCATGCTGTGTGGCAAGGTTGATGTCCATATTGGCCACTCACCTTTGATACCTCCTAAGACCACAAAAAAATCTATGTGACCTCCCCGGTCAGTCATGGGGACCTGAAAAGGGGATATGGATGGAGCTAAACTTTTCAAAATATATGCCTCACTGATGGTACAGACAGTGACTCTCTTCATATACAAAATTCTGATATTGTCGAAGTTCAACTCAGGTTAATTGATTTATTCAGTATATATTTATTGAGCTCTAGGCAGTTTTTGTGGCAGTAAGCATACAGAAATGTCTAAAGCCAAGTCCCTGCTCTCATCAAGCTTATATTCTATTAGGAAAATAGACAATAGACTACTAAATAAAATATAGCTATAAGGTATATAAGATGATGAGTGCTTTAGAGAAAAATAAAACAGGAGAGGAAATGTGGGAAGGTTTCACTGAGAAGGTGACATTTGACCTGACACCTGAAGGAAGTGTGACAGTGAGCCATGCATCTATCAGGGGGAAAAACAAACCTCCCTGCCACCTGCCTACGTCTAGTCTGAGTTCTGCCTCTTTTATGAGACTTTTCTCTCTTTTTTTTTTTTTTTTTTGAGATGGAGTCTTGTCTTATTGCCCAGGCTGGAGTGCAGTGGCATGATCTGGGCTCACTGCAACCTCTGCCTCCTGGGTTCAAGAGATTCTTGTGTCTTAGCCTCCCAGGTAGCTGGGATTACAGGCGTGTGCCACCACTTCCAGCTAATTTTTGTTTTTTAGTAGAGATGGGGTTTCACCATGTTGGCCAGGCTGGTCTCAAACTCCTGGCTTCAAGTGATCCACCTGCCTCAGCCTCCCAACGTGCTGGGATTACAGGCACCTGGACCTTTTTAATAAGACTTTTAATCAAAATACTTATCACTGTCCTGCTTAAAACCTTGCACTGTACTTAGAACAAAACATAAATTGCTTACCATGGCTTTTAAAGTCTTATTTAATCTCTTCAATTCTCCAAACTCATCTCCCTTTCCTCTCCCTCTTGTTCTGTTGGCTCCAGCACAATGGCCCTCTTCCTGATCCTTGAGCATGCAAACCCATTTCCATTTTGAGGAGCAGCCCTAACTGTTCTGTCTGCCTAGAAGACTCTTCCTAAAGATTGCCTTATGGCTGGTTCCTTCTTCCCATTCAGGTCTTCTCAACTCAAAGGTTTGCCTGACTCACCCAAGCCCTTTGGCCCCTCTCCACCACATAACCATCCCCCACTCATAGCAGTTATCAAAATCTCTCTGATCAGGAAGAGTTACCACTTATTCACAAATGATGCAGTCATTTCCTTCGGCAATGAAACTGGCCGGTTATGTATAATGTGCTCTTTGGAGAAAAAGGAGGTTATAAATGTGAAATGAAATGTAACAGAGTACCTATCTACCATATTGTGAAGTTTACAACCCCTTAGAATATGACATCCATTTCCAGAGCCTTCTATTTACCACCAGACTTGGTTCTGAATTTTAAAAGACTCAGTTGCAAGTGCATGCAAAAGTTTCTACACTGCTCAGGAAGATGCAAGAGCAGAAAAAATGGATAAATTACCCTTCTAACAGAAAGAAAACAAAGTCTGAAAAAATCATAGAGAAGAGCTTCTAGGTTCTTCATATTTGTAATTTACTAGAACTTAGAGGCTAAGCCCCATGAGTGGGTCAGACTTTCATTGTCTTATTTGTTAGATTTTTAAAAAATTGTTTGAGAAATATAATAAATTCTAGAAAAATATACATGGGAAGAAACAGAGTGGGGTGGTATTTGCTGTAAGTATTTTGTTTTGTTTGTGAAGTGATGAATAGTAAGGGGACAGCAAGTCTGAAAAGCCCCTCTGGGCTAATGTGTTAAAATATGTCAAGGTCAAATCATGTCAAAAGCTGACATAATCTTTCACTCCAGTTCACCCCAAATGGCTTAAACCAGACAGAAGACATGGGCCTTGGAATATGAGGTGTCCACCACCACTGCCACCCTCACCAACAATCCACCCTCTTCAACTCCCACACAGGAATTCACTAGGTCAAAATATCTTGATTCCCCAGGCTGGCAACTTTCAGTAGTGCTGTGTTTAAGGCTACAGGACAAGCAAAAAACAAAGCCAGAAACAAAAAACAAAACCCCACAGATGATAGTGAAATAAAGAGGTAACTGTATAAGTTCCTCTTAAACCTACTTTTTGGTGATACATTACCAGAGGCTGGGAAAGGAAGGAGCTTTAAAAAAAGAGAGCTGTTTAGTTTCTCCTTCGTAAGGAATGCCTACCACCTCTGGCCCCCCAAGGAAGAGAAAGGATTGTGTTTGTGTGAAGAAGGCTTTATCTGCCCTACATCCAACTGAGATGGCCGCTCAGTTTGGCCTGCTGGAAGGAACTCAATGAAGCAAGAGCGACAAGATGACTGATCTTTGTCCCCAAGCCTCTCCACCCCTAGCCCACCAGGTGAACACACTCTCCCTCCATTTCCAAAGGTTCAACCATGAATGAGTCATCACTGTTATTTCCAACTTGGTGCATTTTTTTCCTTTTCAAATTCAAGAGACCCATCAATTATTTAGGACTCCATGATGATCTCAGGCACTGACACCTCCCTCGGTCTTTATGGCTTTTCTGAAGGGAAACCATCTGGCCTTCCTTAACTTGTTCGTCCCTGGGCTTCTCTCCCTGCTCGTTAAGGTGTGGCGGCCACGGAGAGAGCCAAAACCATCAATATTTCACAGCCGTAATTAAAGTAAGCTGAGAGCTGTCAGCCTCTTGCAACTGACTCCCTTTTCCAAAACAAGCACGTGGCATCTTGAGCAGGGGGCACAGAGGGAGAAATGGGCCGTTTGGCTAAAATTGGGGTGGAGGAGTGAGAGAGCCCAGCATTTCATTTAACAGGACCTCCTGTGGTTATAAACCTGCCAGACTGGAGCAGCAAATTCCTTGGCCCTGCAGGGCTGGCAGAGAAGGGGGGCTGGCCTCTCAGGCTCTCTTTTGACAACTCTTGAAAGGGATTAGAAGTTGGGCAATGGGGAACTGCTGCAGCTGATCTGCATCTACCAGTCTAGTGGGAATTAATCCTGGGACCTCAGCAAATGCTTCCCAAATCAAGGGGCAGGGAATGGGTGGATGAATTATGGTGCCCATCTCTTCGAGACTGTCTGCCCCATCTCACGTGGTCCCCTAGTACCAAGACCCACGCCACCATCCAGCCAGGCAGGCAGGGGAGCCGGGAGGCCTGTGATTTATACATCTATTAATTACCTCCAGCATGGAAGAACTGCCTATAAATACAGTGGCACTTTAGATAAAACTTTCATGCAGCTATTTAGATCCTTTAAAATATAAATGATTTCCTCTAAATTTTTTATCATAAATCAGGGCATGGAGCTAGGCGACAAGACGCCGATTTCCCCCCGATGCGAGCAAAGCCTTCACTTGTTTTCTCTTTTTCTTTTTCTTTTCTACCTTTCTTTTTCTTCTTCTTTTATTTTTTATTTTTATTTTGATTTTGATTTTACAGAGGCTGGTTAATGGCTCTGCTTCTCTTTGCTGAGTCCAGGGCTTAAGGGGGAGGTCAACAAGTGGCAAGAAGTTTTGCTTCTTTTTCCTGGAGACTGTGTACTATGTGGCAAAAGCCTGTGGTCTCTGATCAGCAGACCTGAGTTCAGATTCTATCCCTACCACTTATTCAGTGTGACATCTTGGAGCTCACTTCACTTCTCTGAGCCTTAGTTCTTCCCTCTGTAAAAAAAAAAAGGGAGTAACAGTACCTACCTTATAGATAGGGTTCTGTGAAAATTAACTGACAGAATGTACAGAACCAGCACCTGAATAAGAGCTCATGAAGCAATGAGGTGTGTACTGGTAGACAAGTCACTTCACCTCTCTGAGCTTCAGTTTCCTTATCTACAAAGAAAGGCTGAGGGGGTAATGTTCACTTCTAGGGAGTTATTGCGAGGGCTGAATAAGACAACAGCAGACTCTCCACTTCTTTCAGCAAGAATCATGTGGAACTCATTCATCACTGTATGTCCAGACCTAGAATGTGCTAGACATAGAGGAGGTCAGTGAGTATTTGATGAATACATGAGGCAAGAGAGCTTTACTTGTAGAAGACCTTGCAGAACCATCAGAACTTGATTTCCATTTATGATGATGGGTTTGGCTTCCATCCTCTTTCCCAGATCCACACTTAGAATGTTGACTTACCTCCACCAGAGGGGACGATGGAGCCTGTCTCCCTAACCCTCTTGTAGTGATAAGGAAACTGAGACTCAGAGCCCATGAGTGACTTGTCTAGGGTCACCCAGCAGGTTAGCCATGTACCCATATTTGAATCCACACCTCCAGTGCTCTGTCCACCACCTCTTAACATTCAAGCCGGCTGGGTAAGAGAAATGGCTTAATTCTTTGGCCATGGAAGAGATGAAAACCCACTAGGTCACATGGGGAATTGACCTTACGGCTTTGAACTTTAAGATGTCTCTGAATTGCAGAAGAGGAGAGCAAAACCAGTTCTCATCTTCCAGGATGGACTCATTGAGTCCAGATAGCACAGAGCTAGCCAAGCTGCTGATGACACAGATATTCTCAAGTCTAGAGCTCAAAGATGAACACACAGCAGGACCTATGGGTGGAGGGGGGAGAATAAAACAGCCAAGCACTGAATGTAGGAAATGATTAGAAATAGTCTCCTCAGCAACGGCACCTCAGATCCAAACAATTGATCCTGATTCTCCATGAAGCGGTAGAATAAATCCAGAAAAGTTGGGAACCTTTTTCTTCCACTCTGGATCTTGACAACCCAATTCCTGCACAGCCATCAGAAAGCTCCCAGTTCACTCACTACACTCCAGCCATTCGAGCCTTCTTGCTCTTCCTTGAACTTCCTGAGCTGGCTCCCACCTCAGGGCTTTTGCCTGTGTTGTTCATTATGTCTTCCATTTTATCCTTCAGGCCTTGGCTCAAAGGTCACTCCTTCCTTTTCTACTCATATATTCTCGATTCCAGCGCTCTGGTTTATCTTCTCTGTAGCAATTATCACTATCCAAGGCTATCTTTTTTATTCCTTACCTTCTGCAGAAGCCTCAGCTCCATGGGGGTATGAGGGGCTGAGGTGAGTGGGAGGTGGGAGTGAAGTGAGTGGAGTGAGGGGTTGTCTGTCTTGTTTATAGCTAAATTCCTATCTCCTATCATGGTGGCTGCCTTATAGTTGCCCAATAAATATATGTTCAGTGAAAGAATGTAACTGGGAAGGTGTATCAGAGATCCCTCGGCTGGGTCCACTCATTTTTTCAGATGGGGAAACTGAGGAGGCAAGAACCTGTTTGGAGTCCTACTGCCTGAGTCCCAGGGCTGTGTCCATGGCGGGGCATCTAGGGGGAAGGGGAGGGCTCCTGGCACGTGCCGAGCCCTCACGGACGCTCGGCCTCTGGCCCCTGAATCCCTCTGGGCGTCTCGGATCCTCTGAGCCACTTTGCAGACAATGCAAGGCAGCGGCCAACAGACGAGTCCCGCAGCAGCTGCGCAGGCGGCGAGTACATGTGAGAAGTTTGTGAAAGGCGACCAGAGAAAGGGAGAGGAAGGCAAGTCAGGCGGCTGCGAACACCTGGCCAGGCAGCCCCGCCAGCTGCCTCGCTGCGCGATGGCATCTTGAGTTCGGGCCCTCCTATCGGGGCCATATCCCATTCCACCCTCCCTGCCCCTTTTCCAACTCTCCAATGTGGGGCTTGGGAATGAAGGTGGGTGGGGGTAGCTGCTGGCTTCTCCAAGTGCAACCTGTGCCCGGAAGCATGCCTGGAGCCTGGCCAGCCTCCGGAAGCAAGAAGAGAAGTAAAACCTGCTCACCCTACTCCCTCGGACCCTGGGCTTGGGAGATGGGATAACTAGTGCCAGCCCAGGATGTTAGTTAGGACTAACCTGAGCTCCAGAATCAGATAAACCAAGGCTCCCTTCCCCATGCTACTACTGCCTAACTGTGTGGCCTTGGGCAACTTACTTAGTCTTTCTATGCCTCCTTTTTTTCATCTGTAAAATGGGGATAATGATATCAACCTCACAGGCTTGATTTGGAGACTCAGTGTACAACACTTCCAAAGCATCTAGCTCAGAGCCTTGTACATAGGAACCACTCCATAAATGGCCCTTCTTGTCACCATCATCATGGACACCCCCCTGGCCAGAGTTCATTAATTCAACATGAATTACATCAAGCTCTTAATGTTGCCTGGCCTGTAGACATGGGCACTGGAAACACAGACAGTTCTTCAAGGAGCAGAGATCATAAAACACCACGTTCTTACTAAGAGATAATAAGGGAAGATGCAAAAGACATTGGAAGCTCAAAGAAGGAAAACTCTCTTTGAGTCTCCATGAAGCTTACATAATTAGGGCAGGATTTTAAAATAATAATAATAATAATAATAATAATAATAATAATCCAAGTGACAAGGGTATAGACTAAGTTTTTCAAGTTCAGAGTCCCAGATCCTCTGCATCCAAAATCATGGATGTCTATTAAAAAGCACGTTAGTTTTTGAGGTCAGCATCTCTGGGTGTGGGCCTGTGGTGCTGTATTTTAAGAGGTTGCAGATGATTCCTACACATACTAAAATTGAGAACCGCTGGCACACAGGAAAATGCATCTGCCCCCAGGCCCCTACCCCCTTTGCATCTCTACAAGGCTAGTCCTTCTGGAGGATATGGTGCTTTGTGCCCTGACTTCACCTTACATGTGGCAAATCTATGTCCCTACTAGACTCTGAGCTCCTGAAGCAGTGTCTTCTGTATCTTCAAGGCCTTCCACAAGACTCTGCTGTTAGTAGGTATTTGGAAATGCTTATCGAATGGGGAAAATTCTTCCTTCAATGCCACTTGCATAAATGCCCACATAGTCCTTACATGGACCTTCACATATTTTGTTTGGCCCATAAATGGTATGAGTGTGTGTGTGTGTGTGTGTGTGTGTGTGTGTGTGTGTGATTGTAATTTAATGCCATGGTGGTGGGGGGGGGGGTGGGTAAGTGCTCTCTAGTTTACCACAGTTTCAATCTTTCCTTTTATCCACCCAGATAAAGTTGCTCAATTTTATTTTACTAGTTTTGCACCTTATAGAATTTAAGTTTACAAATTCTGGAAAGCATAGAGGCTGTTACAAATTGCCGTCTAAGGCTGTCCTTCCAATTGCTTTTTCTATGGTCTTTTCCCTCTTTTCTTCTCCAGTCTCCAGTCTGTTATCTCCAAGGCCTTCTCAAAAAGACTGGTCCTTAAGGATGGGTGTTGTCTTACCGCTGGCTGCCTAGAACTGCCAGTAGACCTTCTTAGAGGGGAAGATGGGAAAAACCCTAAAACACATGGGACCAGACACAGGTGTGTTTCTTGATGTGTGATCCTAATGCCTGGGGATGCTGGAGTAGGGGCTGGTAAGGTGAAGGTCAACATTGGAGGCATGTGAGGACCAGTTAGTTTTGCTCTGTTTCTGACTCATGCCTGACCTCTATGCTGGCCAGTATCTCCCAGACCCCTGAGAGGACAGAGCAGAAAAAGAGAATGGATATGAATCCTTTCTCTCCCAGTTTCTAGGGGTTCAGCTTCACAGACAACTAGGGTATTATGGAATGATTATGGGTCTCAGGGCATCATGGGACCAGGCAAAATACAGACCAGTGTATCCCTGTGTTTCATTCCCCTTTTCCCTTTGGGCTTCCAGCATTGGGAAGAAAACAAAGACTGGTCTTAAATCCTAGTGAGTGATAAAATACTGCATTCAGCTCTGGGGAGTTGAGTGTCTCTGGAGATAAATTCCTGACATGCTCAAAGTATGTTTCATTCAAATTAACCAGAATGATAGTCTTGTTAAAGCTGGAAGTCTTGTTAAAGCTTAGCAATCATCTTATACAGCCCACTCCTTGTAGGTAAACTGAGGTCCAGTCAGGGTCACCCATACTCCGTGTCAGAATGCAGCCCCAAATCCAGCCCTCCTGCAGCCCATAGTTCTGATGTGTATTCTGCACTTCTAGAATCCTGCCACCCTTATGCTCTGTGTCTTGTTCATGAATCTACCTCCCTTCTACTGCTTGGCAAGTTTAGAGTTAACTTTCTGAAGTGAATATTAGACTGGTGACTCCTTGAGTGCCAGGATGGATTCTGATTCACATCTGTGTCCCAGCCTTTGGCATGGGGTCTGGCACAATGCAGATGTTGGGTGAATGGAGAGCAAGGATCCACAGTATGCACGTGCAGACAAACCGGGTTCCAGGAGGATGACTTGGCCCACCCCCACTCTCACATGCTTTCTCTTTAAGTTGAGGAAGAAGAGAGGAACATGTATTCAATGATATCAATGCGCCAGGCACTGTGCCATGTGCTTATCCCAGTGCATTCCTCACAACAATCAATGGGAAATAAATGATCACCCCCATTTTACAGATGGGGACACCGCAGTACAGAGAAGTTGAGAATATCTCGTGGTCTCAGCCAGCAAGAGGCAGAGGCGCATTTTGAATCTGAGGCCAGGGCCTGAGCGCTATGGCACCAGGTTGTGAGGGAGTTTACTGAGCACCAATTTCGTGGCTCAATGCTTTTCTTCTTACCCTAACTCTGAACGTCTTCACCAGAATCCAAGGAGGCAGACAGTAGTGCAATTCCATTTAAGAGCCGCCGAAACCGAGGCTCAGAGGGCTTTAGCGAAAGGGTTGCGCTTGGCTCTAGGCACCTGGGCTGAGTCTTTTTCCCACCATCGCAGGGCGGGAACCAGCGGAGGGGGCTGGCTCGGATGGGGAGAAAAGCAACTGGAGGGCGCCGAGGGGAAGAGGGAGCCCGGATCTGTCAGGGCGTCCTCTTGGACTAAGGGATGTTCCCCTAAACCACACCACCCCACCTCGTTCAGATTCTGGGAAACCCGGCACGCACATACCCTGCACAATAACAGGCAGGGTGAGGTCTCTAAGCCCCGAAGATCGCTCTCTCAGCGGAGGCAGTGGCCCTGACGAGGGGGTACAGCTGCACGCGCGGGGTTTCTCTCCGAACCGGAGTGCAGCGTAGTCGAGGTCCAGGATTCCCCATCCATTATTCACGATGTTTACTAGAGCGGGGCAAGGGAGAGGAAAGAAGAGGGAAGTAGAGAGAAAAAGAGGCTAGGGGAGGTGGAGGCGGGCAGTGCTAACCTCGAGAGCCCTCAAGTTCCGAAACTTTGAGAAGGAAGACCAAGAGGCTAAGGCGCCTGGGAAGCAGCAGGCCGTCAGTAAATATTTGTAAGATGGATGGATAACTGGGTGAGTGAGTGAATGGGCTAATCATTAGCCCCTCTGATCCTTGTTTTCCTCATCTGTAAAACGGGATAACATCACCTACTCCATACGGTGGGTATGAGAATCCCATGGGCAAACTCTAAATTGTCTAGCACATATTAGGAACTCTTAAACGGTAGCTGTTGTCACGAGGAATGGGCTTGCAAGCTCTGGCTGCCCAGCAGAAATGCACTGAAGGACTCCCAGGCCTGGAGGGCCATCCTGAACAGTCGCTATTCTAAAAAAAATACTCCACAAGCTTCCTTAGACGGGAGGGTTGGAGGAAGAGTGGGCCAAGTTACATCCCTCAAATGAAAGAAAGAAAGGCAAGCGTGGGGAGGAAGCCACCCCGGACTGAGAAGGCAGTTACTGCCCCTACCTCTACCCCGGAGCGCGGTTGAGGGAGGTGGGGCAGGGGTCACCTGGGCCTCGTTCTGGCAGCCCCTCACCCTCTCCAGGGCCCGTCTGGGCGCTTGGAGGCGCCTCCTCGCTGCGCCGCGGGACCGGACTCTGGTGGACAGCTTGGGCGTGAGGCCAGGAGCGCCCTGGAAATGGGCAGTTTGGCGGCAGCCGGGCCGACGGAGTGTGTGTGTGTGTGTGTGTGTGTGTGTGTGTGTGTGTGTGTGGTGGAGAGGGGAAGTTGGAGTAGGGTCAACTTCCTGCCCCAGCTCAGCCCAGGGCTACCCTTTTATCCAGGCAGTTCGAGCTGGGACAGGACGGAGAGGTTGGGACTTTTGGGGTGGCATGGGGGAAGGGAAGTCCACGAAGAAGAAAGAATCGGAAAGGTCTGGCGGGTTGGAGCCAGCGGGGCGGGGCGGACTGGGAGAGGCCAGGCCAGGCCCGGGTATAAAGGCTGTGGAGGGGGCGGCCGCCGCGGGCGCAGAAAGGCGCGCCGCTAGCTGCTGTCTCTCCTCACCTCCCGGGCCGCCCCTGCGAGTCCCCGGCGCGTGAGCACGCCTGCGCGCGCCCGGGCCCTTCCTGGCAGGCTGCTTGTAAGATGAGTGAAGAAGCAGGTGGGGGAGAGGGGAGGCAGCGAGCGAGAGGGCGAGGGGAGCGCGGGCGCTGAGCAGCGCTCACTTGGAGAGCGGCAAGCAAGCTAGACAAGCCTGATTCCATGTCACCCGCTGCCACCCTGCCAGGAGCGCGAAGATGATGGCCATGAACTCCAAGCAGCCTTTCGGCATGCACCCGGTGCTGCAAGAACCCAAATTCTCC
The DNA here is from genome assembly GCF_000001405.40 of Homo sapiens. NCBI lineage: Eukaryota > Metazoa > Chordata > Mammalia > Primates > Hominidae > Homo > Homo sapiens. Next base: position 146,339,179 of record NC_000005.10, read on the forward strand.
AGTCTGCACTCTGGCTCCGAGGCCATGCGCCGAGTCTGTCTCCCAGCCCCGCAGGTACGTAGTGGAGCATAATTACCGCTCTAAGGCACATTTTTTGACAGGCACTAGCTTCATGTTTTTTTCATGTCGCCCAGAACAATCGCCGCTGTCTGAACCCCTCTCCTTGTCTCCCCCGCGTTCTCTCCCGGCGCGCTCTCTCTCTCATTCATGTCTCTGATCCACACGTCTGTTCCAGCAGAGCCGCTGCCTCCGTATTAATTTTTATGACCTGGGCTTTGAGGAGAGGCATCTCGGTTGCTTGAAAATGTGTTTTAATCCTGTGTTGACAGTATTCCCTACTGACCGTGCTGTGCGCCTTCTCGCTTGCAGCTGCAGGGTAATATATTTGGAAGCTTTGATGAGAGCCTGCTGGCACGCGCCGAAGCTCTGGCGGCGGTGGATATCGTCTCCCACGGCAAGAACCATCCGTTCAAGCCCGACGCCACCTACCATACCATGAGCAGCGTGCCCTGCACGTCCACTTCGTCCACCGTGCCCATCTCCCACCCAGCTGCGCTCACCTCACACCCTCACCACGCCGTGCACCAGGGCCTCGAAGGCGACCTGCTGGAGCACATCTCGCCCACGCTGAGTGTGAGCGGCCTGGGCGCTCCGGAACACTCGGTGATGCCCGCACAGATCCATCCACACCACCTGGGCGCCATGGGCCACCTGCACCAGGCCATGGGCATGAGTCACCCGCACACCGTGGCCCCTCATAGCGCCATGCCTGCATGCCTCAGCGACGTGGAGTCAGACCCGCGCGAGCTGGAAGCCTTCGCCGAGCGCTTCAAGCAGCGGCGCATCAAGCTGGGGGTGACCCAGGCGGACGTGGGCGCGGCTCTGGCTAATCTCAAGATCCCCGGCGTGGGCTCGCTGAGCCAAAGCACCATCTGCAGGTTCGAGTCTCTCACTCTCTCGCACAACAACATGATCGCTCTCAAGCCGGTGCTCCAGGCCTGGTTGGAGGAGGCCGAGGCCGCCTACCGAGAGAAGAACAGCAAGCCAGAGCTCTTCAACGGCAGCGAACGGAAGCGCAAACGCACGTCCATCGCGGCGCCGGAGAAGCGTTCACTCGAGGCCTATTTCGCTATCCAGCCACGTCCTTCATCTGAGAAGATCGCGGCCATCGCTGAGAAACTGGACCTTAAAAAGAACGTGGTGAGAGTCTGGTTCTGCAACCAGAGACAGAAACAGAAACGAATGAAGTATTCGGCTGTCCACTGATTGCGGCAGGGCGCAGCGTCGGGAGCCGGGAGAGCCTAGTGCTCATCCCTCCCGGGTTCGGGGGATGGTTATCGGGAACTCCAAGGCGTTTCCTAGGCAGGTTAGGCTCTCTCCTCCGAAGCCACAGACTTTCCCCCTTTGTCCCGCCTGGTTGCCTCCGGCCTTCTCTCTCTTTCCTTTCTATTCCCACCAAAAAAATTTTGGCGCTGGGAAAATATTGCAGAAGGGCGGGCCTGAGTGTACTTGTGCTGTCCGTGGTGCTGAAATTTGCCCTCGCGCAGGGGCCGCACGACTTCAGAGCAGGAGCCCCAAAGCAGAGGACAGTCAATTGGCCCAACCGCCCGAAGCTAGGGTGAAAATGCCACTTTGCTAAGCGCGATTAGGCAAAGGGTGAAGGGATAAAAAGGAAGTGATCAATAATAACACAAAGTCTAGGATATCTAAGGGGGACACAAACATGCACTGGAGATTTATTAGAGTATATAAAATACATGTATGTTTCCAAAGGATAGCCTTATACTCCCTTCCTTGCCTAAATTCTATTCACCTTATCCTTTGGTTTGGCGTAAATTCTCATAAGGTAGCATGAAGATTAGGTTCAGGGAAAGTATGCAGGGAGTTGCGGGCTCCAAGTTGCCATTTTTTCGTGGTAAGTAGGGCTCCAAAACAGGTGGGCCCAGTCTGGCGACTGAAAATTCTGGGATCGCTTGGCTGTTTGTAATCAGCTGCCAGCACCAGCTCTGGCCATCTTTCACTACCTACTGGTGTTTGAGGGGTAATTACTGCTTGCTGGAGAGCGGGAGTTTGTAGTATTCATAACCGTTGAGGACTCTCTGACCCCAGCTCGCTGCTCTTGCCAGATTGCCAGCTCAGCGTGCAGTCGGCTGCTGGAAAACGACTGTAACTTCTCTGCATTATATGCAAGTCCTTTCAACACGTCTAACCTCCTTGCACTTTTGTTATTACTGTTGTTGTTAACATCGTTCATTACTATTATTTATTTAATTCTGCTTCTTTCCATTCCCTTTATGTGGGTGTCTTTCGGTGGAAGTTCACTTATAGTTTTGTGAGGGAAGAGGAGTGGGACCATGGGCCTGAACCCTTCTCACCCTGCCCCTCTAGCCCAAATTTTATTTTATTTTTTCGTTGTTTCATGTAGTTTGTGTGTTGCTGTGTGACCTTTGGTTTCATTCTCTGAATAGATACAAATAAAATATTAAGTTTTCTTTTCCCTTTACCCCTTGAATTAACTTCTAAAATAAATGCTTTATTTTTCAACCCGAATCAAAGTGGTTTTATTTTTTCTCAGAGGCTAAGGGGTACTAGCTTTGAAAAGGATTTAAAAAGGAGAACCCCAAAGGGTTGGGCTGTCAGTTTCTGCTGCCCAGCCCCCAGCCATCCCTTCTCCCCACTCCTCTTCCATGGCAGACTCACTTGGAGCTCCTCGTGGGAGACCCTGCGGCTTGTGTCTGAACTTGAGGTTTCAAGGCACTTCCTTCCATGCTTCCCTGCCTGCCATCATGAGACTCTGCTCAATTTGACTTAGCTAGTAAACTTTGAAGCCGGACTAATAGAAATTCGAGCCTCCAATGCCTCTGCTCACTGGCAGAACCATCCTGAGGCTAATTTCTTAATTTCTCTAAGCCTTCTCCAACAAGATTGCTTGTCTGCAGAATGAAGGGACCAACGCTTATTTCACAAGGTTATTGTCAGGACTAGGTGAGATTGTTTATTTAAGACGTCAACTAGTGCTTGGGTTTTGTAGGCAACAAATTATTTTAAAAGATTCAAAGGGCTTGAAAGGAGGTGAAATAATAGAGGCAAAGAGGGAGAAAAGTGTTCGCTGGGACACTCTAGTGGGACCCACTCAGAGTTCCAAATTCATCTGAAATTCTCATCCAGGTTGTTATTCACTCTGGGGTCCACCTCGGCTTCTTTGTGGGGGTACTGCTATAACTGCTGCAAAGCGCCTAGCATAGTGCCCTGTACATAGTAGGTGCTCCATAGACGCCAGCTCCCTGTTCTCTTTACGCTCCCTCTTTTTATTTGCGAGCTGTAGAAACGCCTTCCTGATTTAAAATTTAATGCTCCAAGTCCAGGAGTCATCTGCACATTTCCCTGCTTCGTCCTCAAAGAGTTGCGGGTCATCAAACCACGGGGCCGAAATTCGGAGCAGAGTGGGTTTGCCCTCCGCGCAGTGCGACACCCCCTACCGCATAAGCTAACTTGCGGATCTCCCCCAGCTCCCTGGGCCTCAGCCCTTTACCCCCGCCTTGCACAACAGCCCCAGCGATTCCTCCACCTCCCTCTCCATCGGGTGTCCTTTAATAATAAATGCCCTTATGCCATTACATTATATTGTGGGTTTTGAAAATTTAAAATACGGCTGATGCAATATTAATTGCCTATAGTGGTATAAAACACAGGGCAGGAGCCCAGCCGGGCTGCAGAGGAGACAACCGTGAGCGTCCCGCGCCGAAGCGAAGCGCTCCAGAAGGACGCGCTTTTGCGGGCTGCAAGGTTTCCTGCAGGTAAGAAGAGCCTTCGCATGTTCGGGCTCTGGAGAGAACCGGAAATCTGCCTCCATCCTCTTTTCGAAAAGTTCTCTGCCGTTATTTATTTAGTCTTTTTTTTTCTTTTAATTGACAACTGCAAAAGTTTGGGAGACTTTTACGGAGAGGATGAGAGGAGCTGCCTCCTGAGCGCAAGGTCTGCTCCAAGACGGTCCAGTAGCACTAGGTCCAGTCTCCGAGCCATGCCTCTGAGCCTAGTCTTCTTCAGGCGCCTGAGACGGTGATGCGCAGGAGTATTTTCACCAGTTCCTACGTGCAGGCCGGAGCTGCAGCCCGGTCAGCGAAGCGCTCCACCCTTTCCCTCCTCCTGAGTGCGCCGGAACGGCGCCGTCGCCTCACTCTTCGGCTTGCTTCAGGAAGCAACTGGAGATGTGGTTTCCCCAGGATTGTGTAGTCGCCTTTGCCACTCGTCTGGCGGAGGCACAGACCTCTCGGGGGAGGGGAGGTGGTACTAGCAGGTCTGGGGTTTACACAAGGCTAGTATGCATCCGAACCGTGTGACCTTGGACAAGTCATATCGCCTCTCTAAGCCTCTGCTGCCAGCTGTAAAACTTCCCCAAATTTATTTTGAAGAGTAATTGAGGGTGTTTCCTAAGATCACCTGGAGCAGGTTTTCATTTTCCTAATTCTGTCAGCTTGCAACACGTACGGTCCAAGACTCAGCTGAGAGTTTCTTTAACTTGTACCAAGAGAAAGTGAAGTCAGTATTTGGGGGTGTTTGCATGGAAACCTGCATCGGGCCTCCGGAGGGTGGGACTTTGAGAACTACCTGGCTGGAACAGGGGCTTCATCTAGAATGAGCTAGGCATACACATTCCAGCATGACTAAAGCCCTGGTAGGCAGAACTTGGTGGCAGGAGTCCTGGGCTCCTGAACGGTGTTATCTCTGGCCAGCGACTTCCTCTCTGTGTGCCTAAGTAGTCTCAGTTTTGTTCACTACTTCATGTCCAGCACTCTGCTCAAGGTCTGGCCTAGAGTGGCAGACACTAGATGTCTGTTGAATGAATGAATTAGGTTTTTGTTTTGTAAAATGAAAGCACCCCTTCCAGCCGAATCCCCTCTGGATTCAAGGGACTGTAGGGAGGAACAGAGCCATCAGGGATAGGCAAGTCTCCCTGGGAATGGGGATCGGGGCAAGGCGGTGGTCTGCATCACAGGCTTTCATTCAAGGTAGCCAGTGTCCTTCTTGTTTAAATAGAAGAGACTGTGCTTCACCCTTTGGTGGTTATGGGTACACAGGGGATGCTCTGTGACATGGCCCTTGGAACCTAGAGGAAGAGCCAGGGAGGGGGGACCAGGGAGTGACCGCTGCCCTGCCCAGTGTGCCTGACGTTTGAGTTCCAGTTCTTTTACTGTCCTCCTGAGATGGAAACAGCTCCGGCTCTGGAATGGACACACCTGGGGTGGAATAACTGCTCCATCTCTTACTTAAGTGACCTTACTGCTCTGACCCTCAGTGTCCTCATCTGTAAAACTGGAAAAACTGGAAAAAAGACTCTCTCAGGATTGCTCTGATGATTAAATGAGATCACGTAAGGCCAGGGCCTGACACATAGTAGGCATTAATAGATATTTCGTTGCTTTAAAACATTTTTTGTACTCAGAAAAGTGAAGGCACTGTTGTGGGGCAAGTTCAGGGCTTGGAGTCAAGTGGAATCAACATTTTCCCTCTGTGAGCCACAGTCTGGTCAGGGTAGCAGTGCCTATCAGCTCTCGGAGTGGTTGTCACGGGCAAGACGGAAGCTTAAAAGAAACCGCTTTGCACACTGTGCGTCCCAGCTACGCAAGGAACGAAGTATTCTCTCCCTGGGAGTGCCTGGTGCGAATACATAGCTCCCACTGAGAAGCTTGGCCCCGGTCAGCGGCTCCAGGAGCCCGGAACCTCCTCCCTGGCGGAATCCCGGGCACCATTCAGCCTTTTCGAAGGCTCCAGACTTCGCGCTGCTCCTCCTCCCGAGGAGGGGCGGGGCGCCAGAGGGCAAAGGAGAAGCAAGGGTCTTGGACTCCTCCTCCTTCCCAGCGAACATCCCTTCCCCGCCCTGTTCCCACTTTTTGGCCCCGGCGCCAGAATGTTTGAGCCGAAGGGGCAGAACGCCTAAAAGCCGTGTTTGTTTATTTATTTATTTATTTATTTATTTTTATTTTTTAAATCGAAGAAGGCAGTGAGGCCTAGAGAGCAGGACGGACTTAGCTGGCTCCTTTTACCTAAAACAGCTCTTCTCCAATCACGTTATCACACCGCCCGTTTTATTTCTTTCCTAGTCTTTAAGACTGCCTGATAGCACCTACCCAGTTCACCCCTGCCTCCCTGAACTCAACGCAGGGCCTCGCACAGAACAAGCGCTCTACAAATGTTTGCTGGATAAATGACTAGTGATGATATCTAAAACGTATGGCGGGATTCCCCTATGCGAGGTACTGTTCCAAGCGCTTTAGCGCATTCGTTTGTTAATTCCTAAACAACACCATGAGTAGGTACAATTTTTAATTCCATTTTACAGATGAGAACATGGAGGCATGGAGAGTTTATGTAACTTGCCCAGGACAAGTCATGAACACAGCCATTTAGTGGAGAGACCTGGCAAAAACCCGGTGCCTTTGCTTCTTCCGTTCTCAAGTGAGATCACCTCTGGCTGGGGTGGGGAAGCGGACCGCCTGGGAGTGAAGGAGGAGCAGGTGAGTCCGATTTGGCACCAGATTAGGCAGCGCGAGCAGAGGAGGTGGTGGGAGCCGAGAACGCCCGCTGTCCTCGCCGGGCTTCGGAGCCTCCACGCCTTTGTGTCCCGCGCGCCACTCGCGTCTCCCGTCCTGTCTGTGTGCGTCTGTTCGCGTGTCTCTCACTCAGCCCCTCTTAGCTTCCCTCCAGCCTCGCGGGCGCGAAACTCTGGCCCCCATGTGCCGGAGCGAGGGGGCCCGCGTCCCCGGGCGCGCGCAGAGTCGCCTTCCCCTCTTTCCTCTCTTCCGCAGAGCGGCGGGAGCCCCCGCGGTAACCCCGCCCCGGCGGGCAGACGGAGCCAGCGAGGACCCCGGCGGACAAATTAGTCTCCCCTTCGATCGCTCTTTTCCGATCAAGTCAGGTTTCCCCTGTTCCCCCGACGGCGCTTCCGCACTAGCGCGACTCCCAGGGCTCCCCGGCTGGGTCAGGGTTCGCCCGCTCCTCCCGGCGCCTCCGGATAGGGGCTTCCCTTCGGCTGCGTCCCGGCCTGAGGAGTCCCCTGGACCGCGGGAGGGGCGATTGCCGGGTCCGCGCGGCTCAGAATCCTCCCCACGCGTTGCTTATACCTTTCTTTGTAAACTGTCAGATTTCTGCCCCCTCCCTCAGTTCAGCCCTGCGCAGCCTTGCCTGCCACTGGAGGCAAACTGGGACAGAAACTGCGCTCGCTCTCTTTTTATAGACTGTATATGTAATTTAATATTTAAAAGATTTTGAGTTTTAGGATTACACACACACACACACACACACACACACACACACACACACACACACAAATTCAAGTGTTCATCCTGGGAAAAGTCAGATTTTTGTTGGACTTCTTTATAGATATTTAGCATTTAATATTATTTTTACTTTGAATTAAATGGGGTGGGAGGCACCACCGTAATTTCATTGGGGTCTCTGGCCGAATCCCTTCTCTAATTTCACCATCTTTCTTTCCCCCACTTTCCTTCCCGCTCCCTCCCAAAACACACATCAGTCCTGCTCCAAATCCCAACATCCGTGCCTGTGACAGAGCCTCCCCCAAGGCCTGAGGCTTAGCTAGGCTGCTCACCTCTTGGCAGATATAGTTAATGTCCAGCCCTCATAAATCAAGACCATAAAAAGCTTACTTTCATATGCACTCAATTTCTACCAAACCTAAACTAATTGCATAAATTCCTTTAGGCCACTCAGAGCTGCTCTCTGGGTTGGGATCTGATCAATTAGTCATTAGGCACTCCATTAGCTGGGGTTTAAGCTGCCTCATATAAATGTCTCCTGTCAATTTGCTTGTAATTGAATAAATAAAAAGGGTATAATTATTAGCACAGAGGATCAAAATAAGGAGAGGTCAATTTTATTCAAATATCCTTAAAATGTCTTAATCTAATAATCATCTAATAATAATAATTAGAAGGCATTTACACACCAGCCACTCCAAAAGTCCCTGACCATGTTAAGGAAAGCTCTGGGCTGAGACACAACCAAGTGTGTACATCTAAAGTCTGTCACCTTGATAGTAGTATCTCCTCCCCTTGGAGCCTCAGTTTCTTTACCTGTAAAGCCAGTTGGTTAGAGGTGATTTTCTTTTCTGATTTTATATAGATGCATTTTATGTATGGTCAAATTAATTTATGCATGTCATTTAAAAATGGAATAATACAGAAGGGCAATTTGACCATCCCCCACCCTCAACCATTTTTAGTTGCTTCTTCTGGTAGTGAATTGCATGTCTAAATAATGTATCTTTGGCACTATTTCTTTTCTCAAAATTCGAGGTTTGTTTATTAATACTTTAATTAAATAATACATGATTCAAATTCAAAAGAACTAAAAGATTTGCCATGAAAAGTCTTTCTTCTTCCTTGACCCAAGTCACTCAGTTCTCTTTGTTGAAGGTAAACAACATTGTCAGTTTCTTATGTATATTCCAGAGATATTTTATTGGCTGCCATTTCTTGATTTGTCATTCTTAGTCATTCTGTTTTAACTTCTTGCTATGATATCAGAAAATTAGGGATATAATAATCTTGAATATTCTTTCCACACCAGGGATCATAGGAAGTTTTATATAAAATCAATAATTAAAAAAATGAATTCAGTGGGCAGTTGAAAATTCTGATTTTTTTTCTTTGTTTTTTTGAGACAGAGTTTTGCTCTTGTTGCCCAGGCTAGAGTGCAGTGGTGCGATCTTGGCTCACTGCAACCTCCATCTCCTGGGTTCAAGTGATTCTCCTGCCTCAGCCTCCTGAGTAGCTGGGATTACAGGTGCACGCCACCATGCCCAGCTAATTTTTCGTATTTTTAGTAGAGATGGCGTTTCATCATGTTGGTCAGGCTGGTCTGGAACTCCTGACCTCAGGTGATCCACCTGCCTCGGCCTCCCAAAGTGCAGGGAGTCACCGTGCCTAGCCAAATTCTGATTTTTTTTAACTAACAATTAATTTGGAGGTGCAGACGTCATAATGTATAAAAACTGCCTACTCATAAAGAGGGTTTATATGTTGATTTGAGTTCTATCCCACCTCCTTCTGAATAGAATTCAAAGCAGCCTATCTGTTATTGCTATGGAATTAGACACTATATTTATAGTGGAGGTACCTTTATCTACTGGATGCTTCAGTGCATATGGTACTTAGTTTAACTACATTTCCTTAAAAATCTCTTTGCTCCTTCATCTCCACCAAGTAAGCCCACTTCTCTAGTGAGGGGAGTTTTCCTTTGGTGTACACAGCTATGACAGGGCTGGGGAAAACATTGATGACATCACTTAATAATTCACACCTAGGTGGCTGGGCGAGGTGGCACATGCCTGTAATCCCAGCACTTTGGGAGGCCGAGGCAGGCGGATCATGAGGTCAGGAGTTTGAGACCAGCCTGGCCAACATGGTGAAACCCCGTCTCTATTAAAATTACAAAAAACTTAGCTGGGCGTGGTGGCAGGCGCCTGTGATCCCAGCTACTCAGGAGGCTGAGGCAGGAGTATCACTTGAATACGGGAGGCGGAGGTTGCAGTGAGCTGAGAATGCGCCACTGCACTCCAGCCCAGGTGACAGAGCAAGACTCCATCTCAAAAATAAAAATAAAAATAAAAAAACAAATAATTCACCAAGGGTTGGGATTGAGCACCAGACTCCAGACTGCAGAAACTCCAGCTGAGCACCCACGTGGGAGGGAGCCGAGGGCCTCGGAATCTTTGACAGAACTCCAAGGTGGTGATCTTGACTTACTGCTGGGAGAGATACAAGGAGCCACTGTTCCTGGGCTTGGGTTGATTTGTTTTGAGCCCTACATACCCCTTCAGTGAATTCCTCTTGTAGCAAAAAACATGGGTTGGAAGAGAGTGAGCTCAGGGAAACAGAATCATGTCGGATGAGAATACAAATACACAGGCCTGCTGGTGTAGTGAGAAAGAATATAGAATATACACAAAGAGATCTGAGTTCTAGGCTTTACTCTGTTCTGTTTGATCTTGGCAAGTCTATTCACTTCTCAGTGGCTCAGTTTCCTCAACTCTAACTTGAAGAAATCGAACTAGATAGTTCAGTAGTTCAAAGTTGGTGAGGACTCATGGAATCCCTTGAAAATTTGAAGAAAACTGTGTCCCTAACCCAGAAATAAATGCACCTTTGTGCACTCAAAATTTTTGCTAACTTGTAGAAGTCATGGATCCCCTGACTCAACCCATAAATTCCTGGGTCCCAGGTTAGGAGCCCCCAAAACTAGGCAAACTAAAGGGCTTTCTTTATGTGACCATCCAAATTTAGGGTCAAATACTTATAAGCACTGAACCAGTTTAGCAAACAGGGAAGAATTTTACTGAAGGCAAAAATAAAGTGCCAATTAGATGATGAGCCAATTGCCAATAAGGACTCCAGATGGCTTTGACAAAATTATTTTTCAGATCAATAGTCTCCGAAGAGACAGCATGGTGGAGTGAAAAAAGCACCACATCAGGGGTCATAAGCTAGGTTAAAATTTTTTTAACCGGTTCTGCCAACAGGCAGAATTGAGATTTTGAGCTGGGACTTCCCTGCCCTAGCCCTTCTTTCCCTAATGGTAAAATGAGAGGGTTGAACCAGACGATCTCTGAGGCTGCCAGCTGTAGCATTATGTGAGCTAATGAGCATAGACACTGGGATGTCTTATGTTTATATTTATTTTGGCTTATTTTATTTTTCTATTTTGTTTGTGAAAAGATAGTTGTACAATCCAAGTAGAGCTGGGAGAAGGGCTATCAAGTATGCTATCTCTTGGGTTCCCAGAATTCAGGCTTCTAAGATCATTGGCAGAAACGAGATCCCCCAAATCATTACGCGCCATTGAAAAAATAAAAATACTCACAGTTTGTAAGTTTAAAAATAAATGGCAGGGTGGGTAGGTGAGGTGGGGTAAAATTAAAACATTTTGTTAGACTAAATAGTCCTGGCTTAGCCAAGCTGGTTTATCAGTAGGTCTAGAGAGACCCAGCCCCATCAGTAGGTCTGGGGGCAGAGGGACTGTGGTTTGTTGTGGGCTGGGCAAAGTAGTACCCAAACCTGCCCCAGCTCTGGCTGGAGTCCACAGACAAGAAAATGCTGGCTGGGCGTGGTGGCTTACGCCTGTAATCTTAGCACTTTGGGAGGCCGAGGCAGGCAGATCTCTTCAGGCCAAGAGTTTGAGACCAGCCTGGCCAACATGGTGAAACCCTGTCTCTACTAAAAAATACAAAAATTAGCTGGGCGTGGTGGCATGTGCCTGTAGTCCCAGCTACTCAGGAGGCTGAGGCAGGAGAATTGCTTGAGCCCGGGAGGCGGAGGTTGCAGTGAGTTGAGATCCTGCCACTGCACTTCAGCATAGGTGACAGAGTGAGAATTCATCTCAAAAAAAAAAAAAAAAAATTAAAAAAAAAAAAAGCTAACCAGACCACTTGTTCTCTGCTCTCAGACCTTCATTTTTCTATCCTCCTGACTTGTGTTAATATTTGCAGCTGTGAGCTCATTCAGCCTTTGGGGTCTGAGTTACTGGTCAGATTGCCCAGGTAAAATGATTAAAACTTGGATTACCTTCAATTCTTCCATCCCCAACTCTCCAGAACTTCTGTCTGTTCTATGCTTTTTACTTCTTAGTTGTTTTTGCCTTTGGCATTTTACTACCGCTTATGGCTTTGTGTAGGATGGCCCAATCTCTTCTATTAATTGTGTTAGGTTAATGAGGGAAGACCTGTATTTCTTGGACTGTAACAGTAGGGTTTTTCCATCACAAGAGGGGCTTTAATAATATTGACTCAAATATTTTATGTTATCACCGTTAGACGTATGAAATCCTAGCATGTGAGCTGGGAAGAGTTCTTAGAGATCCTCTCACTGGAAAATATGACATTGCAGTTCTAGGGACCCAGGTATCTATATTTTTCACAATCTCCCTGCAAAAAATTATGATTTCTTGCCCAGAGTGAGGAAAAGTTTTCTTATAAGTATTGTTTTTTCAACCAAAGTGCCTTACATTGGAGTCTGGGTATATACTCTGAAACACAAATCTTATGTCAATTTTTATTTCATTAAAGGTGGTATATATTTTGCATTCCATGTCAACAACACATCTCTGACTGTTTTGCCAAACATGGACGTGAGCTTGACAGCTTGGACTGCTGTAACAAATAGCACAAGCAAGGTGGCTTAAACAACGGTTTATTCCTCACAGTTCTGGAGGCTGCTAAGTTAAAGATTAAGGTGGCCACATATTCGATGTCTGGCAAGGGCCCTTTTCTTGGTTTACAGATGGCCACCTTCTCACTGTGTCCTCACGTGGCCAAGAGAAGGAGAGACCATTTCTCTCATGTCTCTTCTTCAAAGGGCACGAACACAATTCATGAGAGTCCATCCTTATGACCTAATTACCTCCCACAGGCCCCAACTACAAATACCATCACACTGGGGATTGGAGCTTCAACATATTAATTTTGGGGGTACACAAACATTCAGTCTACGAGCTTGTGTGTGTGCACATCCACACACTACTGTGTGTCATGGAGTAGATTGATGCAGTATTCAGAACCTTTGGTTACAACCGCAGTTCTGCACACTGACATGTGGCTCATAAGAACAAGTAGCCCAATTTGGAAATAAATTCTAATGCAACAGTTTTGTTGTAGGGCAAAGATGATAACTAAAAGGAATTTAGTTAATATGTGGTAAATAACAATAAAACGACTTTTCTACCAATCACTTTAGGAGAACAGCTATTTAACAAATATTTGAACTTGAGTCAGTGAATGAGTTGTTCTTGCTTACTATCCTCCTCATGACACCCTGTCCCTCAAAAGGCGAAGGAAAGAAATGAATTTTATTTCATTTTTCTTTTGGAGACAGGATCTCATTCTGTCTCCCAGGCTGGGGTGTTGTGGCATGATTGTAGCTCACTGCAGCCTTTAGAAGAGCTGAGCACTTCTAAAGATCTTTATTTGACCCAACATAAAATAAATAGAATGACTAAAATGATTATGAGGCCGATCATGCTTGTAATCCCAGCACTTTGGGAGGCTGGGGCGGGTGAATCACCTGGGGTCAGGAGTTCAAGACCAGCCTGGCCAACAGGGCGAAACCCAGTCTCTACTAAAAATACAAAAATTAGCCAGGCATGGTGGTGGGCGCCTGTAATCCCTGCAGTGCATAGCTCACTGCAGCCTCAAGCTCCTGGCCTCAAGTGATCCTCCCACCTTGCCCTCCCTACGTGTTGAGATTACAGGTGTGAGCCACCGTAACTTGCCAAGAAAGGAGTTTTAAAAGGTATGCAGTGTTCATATATTCAAAATACTTCCCTTTCTAAAATGTTTTATATACCTATGTAAAGTGTATGTATTATATTACACATTTTATAAATTAGGCACCAGGAAGTTAAATAACTTGTCAAGTCAAACAACGAATAAATGCTAGAACCTAGGAGTTAAAACCAGAATGGTCTGCCTTGAGAGTGGTGTCAAGCTTACTCCTGTAGAAGAAAATGGACTTGTGTTTTTAAGGCCGAAATCTGAAGGGCTTTTATGTGAAAGAAGGCTTACTTTTGTTTTATGGGGCCCCAGGGGTGTAGCTAGATAGGAAATAAGTCACAGAGAGAAAAAGATTTCAGCTCCTTTCAAGGAAGAAGGCTCTGGCAGTCGACACAGTTGAAGGCGAGGGCCGTGCTGTGAGCCCGTGTCTGAGGATTTGAGCAGAGATTCTAGTGAGTTATACTGTCAGGGAGAGTGGGGGCAGCGAGATGACATCTCTTTCCATCCTGAGAGCTGATGCTGCTATAAATGATTGTTCATTCCTAGAGCCCACTGGTGTAAAATATAAAGGTACTAGCTCATCAAAAAAACTTACAACTTCCTTAAAGTAGCATGGAATATAAATATTATTTTAATAGTTTTACTTTTTCAATTTGTCTTTGGAATACCAAGATATAGATTTAAAGTTGATACTGATAAAAATATTAGGTTCTGTTCCTTTATCAACTTACTATATTAGAAAAACTCAGGCCAGGTGCAATCGCTCACACCTCCTTTGGGAGGCCAAGGCAGGCAGATCACTTGAGTTCAGTTCAAGGCCACCCTGGGCAACCATGTCTACAAAAAATGCAAACATTATCTGGGCATGGTGGCGCATGCCTGTGGTCCCAGTTACTCAGGAAGCTGAGGCAGCAGGATTGCTTAAGCCCGGGAGATTGAAGCTGTAGTGAGCTGTGATTGTGCCACTACACTCCAACCTGGGCGGCAGAGCAAGACCCTGTCCCAAAGAAAGAAAAAAAAAAGCAAAGCAAAACAAAAAAATTCAAATACTTTTCAGTCTATAGTGTTAGCATAGGGAGAACTGAAGACTTCAGAGGAAATGTCACTGTCATTTAAAAATGGTTTTGTGGAGTAGGAACTAGATTGAGGGCCTTCATTGCCTTTTGTCTGCTGGCCTGGCTTTATCTTCTCTCCCACTTTTAGCCGAGGCAGGCAAATTGCTTGAGCACAGGAGTTCAAGGCAAGCCTGGGCAACATGGTGAGACCCTATCTCTACAAAAAATTTAAAAAATAAGCCGGGCCTGGTGGTGTGCACCTGTCATCCCAGCTACTTGGGAGGCTAAGGTGGAAGAATTGCTTGGGCCCAGGAGGTTGAGGCTGCATGCAGTCATCATGTTTATGCCACTGCACTCCAGCCTGGGTGACAGAGTGAGACCTTCTGTCTCCTCAGTTTTGCCCCCTTGTCTCCTTTTTCCTGATCACAGAGTGTCATAGTGCTTGCGAAGCTTACTGACTATTTTTAGTTTTTCATTTGAGCCTTTGAGTATCCAGAAGCAACAGGCTATACAGAAAGCTCTAAAATAGGCCGGTCGCAGTGGTTCATACCCGTAATCCCAGCAATTTGGGAGGCCGAGGCAGGCAGATCACTTGAGGCCAGGAGTTTGAGACCAGCCTGGCCACTATGGTGAAACCCCTTCTCTACTAAAAATACAAAATTTAGCCAGGTGTGGTGGTGCACACCTATAGTCCCAGCTACTCAGGAGGCTGAGGCATGAGAATTGCTTGAACTGGGAGGAGGCAGAGGTTGCAGTGAGCGGAGATTGCGTCACTGCACTCCAGCCTGGGCAACAGAGTGAGGCTCCGTCTCAAAAAAAAAAAAAAAAAAAAGAAAAGAAAAAGAAAAGAAAGAAAGAAAGCTCTAAGACAGGGCTTAATCACATAAACTCAGCCTAAACATACACTTAGGGTACTTGCAAGGCGAAAATACCCAAAATAAGAAAAGGTGCTTTGGAAGTCTTCACTATTTGGTGTTAAGAAAAAAAGCATCCTAGTAATCAAATTCAGAATTGTGCTGGGCCTCCTCTCCTGTATTTTATGTTGTAGTATTTTTGTTTTTAATTACATACAGGGGAAAGGATAACAAAGTATTTGATGCTGAGCACTTCTAAAGATCTTCATTTGACCCAACATAAAATAAATAGAATGATTAAAATGATTATGAGGCTGATCATGCTTGTAATCCCAGCACTTTGGGAGGCTGAGGTGGGTGAATCACCTCAGGTCAGGAGTTCGAGACTTGGCCAACAGGGCGAAACTCAGTCTCCACTAAAAATACAAAAATTAGCCAGGCATGGTGGCGGGCGCCTGTAATCCCAGCTACTCGGGAGGCTGAGGCAGGAGAATCATTTGAACTCAGAAGGCAGCGGTTGCAGTGAGCTGAAATTGCGCCACTGCACTCCAGCCTTGGTGACAGAGTGAGAGTCTGTTTCAAAATAAATAAATAAAATGATTATGAATACCCTGAAGTGCACATTTATTTATTTCTTTTAATTGGCCCCCAGATTATAGATATGTATGATGTACGACGTGATATTTTGAAATATGTATGCATTGTGGAATGGCCAAATAGAACTAAATAATGTCTGTGTGACCTCATATACTTACCATTTTCTGTAGTGAGAACACTTTAAAATCCACTCTCTTAAAGAGATTTTCAAGAATAAAATACATTGTTATGAGCTATATTCACCGTGTTGTACAATAGATCTCTTGAACTTATTTCTCCTAACTGGAATTTTGTATCTTTTGACCAACATCCCCGCCAACCGCTCCTCCCCAGTAACCACCCTAGCCCCTGATAACCACCATTTTACTCACTGCTTCTATGAGTTCAACTTTTTGAGATTCCATACGTAGGTGAGATCATGTGGTATTTGTCTTATTTCATTAACATAATATCTTCTATGTTCATTCATGTTGTTACAAATGACAGAATTTCCTTCTTTTAAAGGCTGAATAGTATTCCATTGTGTAGGTATGCCACATTTTCTTTATCCACTTACCCATTGATGGACACTTAACACTTAGGTTGATACTGGGTCTCATTCTGTCACCTGAGCTGGAGTGCAGTAGTGCTATCTTGGCTCACTGCAACCTCTGCCTCCTGGGCTCAAGTGATCCTCCTGCCTCAGTCTCCCAAGTAGCTGGGACTTCAGGCATGCACCACCACACCCAACTAAGGCTAATTTTTAAATTTTTTGTAGAGGCAGGGTTTTGCCATGTTACCCAGGCTGGTCAGGAACTCCTGGGCTCAAGCGATCCACCTCGGCCTCCCTAAGTGCTGGGATTACAGGTGTGAGCCACCACGCCCAGCCTATTCCATATTTTGGTTATTGTGAATAATGCTGCAGTGAACATGGAAGTGCAAATAGCTCTTTGACAAAATGATTTCATTTTCTTTGGATATATACCCAGTAGTGGGATTGCTGGATCATATGGTATTTCAGTTTTTAACTTTTAATTTTTTGAGGAACTTGTGTTATTTTTTTTTCTAGCACAAGTTGACTGAAGAACTGAAGAAAAATGGTTTGCTTCTGATTTATGTGTAGATAGCTGGCTTCCTCAGAAACAGCCATGGTCTGGAAATATAATGAGTTAATTCAATAAAGCTTACATTACTCTGCTCTGTGTTAGGCCCTGCTCAAGGTGCTGGAAACTCAGAGGAGAATTTGATATTCAGCCTCTGCCTGCATGAAGCTTATACTCAAATTGGACACTAGTGGTACCTCATTTCCTAGGATTCAGCACCAATTTATGTGCTGATCAGTTAACCTTATCTTGACCTCTCTATAATGTTTGGGAACGAGTCCCAACCTTTCTAAATATGCCTGTTAGCATACTATGTAACCTATAGTGATATCCTCCTTTCTTCCCCATTTCCTCTTCAGGGAGAAAAGTTATGGAGCTAAAGAGACAGAAAATAGTCTCCAAAGCCCTGTGATTTAGCGTAACATCAGGTGACACCAAGTTATGGAACTTGACTTTTTTTTTTTTTTTTTTTTTATGACAAGAGGAAGTTAACAACTGGAGAGGAAGGTGTGTGTTCCTGGCAACCAAACTAGACCACTTCACTAATGGAGCCACTCCCTCTGTCTCCCTGCTGGCTACCAACTGCATGGATGAAGCTTTCCCATGGCCTTCCTCTTTGTACATGGAGTGTTAAGACAGAAGCACATCTTCTCCAGAACAAACCGATTGCTGACCTGTATGTAGCTGGACTCCTCAGAGTTGAAACCCGGTCCCCTATGGTTTCAAAAGGTGGGAGGGGTATAAGAAGAGCTGCCTCTTCTCTGAAGGATGAGAGATTTGATGCCAACAAAGGAATGGTCACAGGCTGTGTTCTCCGACCAAGAAGGATATAGAGTTAGAAACTAGGCCATGCTTGTGTTATTCCCAAGAGTCAGAGCAGGACTCCTGTATTTTTAATTTGTTTTGAAAATCGACGTTATATGTCTACAGAGTTTGAAGATTCGAATAGTTTAGCAAGGCTTGGTATGAAAAAGAACTATCCTTCAGCCTTCCTCCTCTCATCCCTGGATTCTTCAAGGCAATCACATTCGACTATTTTAGCTGGTTCTTTTGATATTAATCTTATTATCACTAAATGTCATGTTTATGTCATTACTTCTTGATCATTCAGTTGTAGGCATTTTATTCACTTTCCTTTAATAAAGATGAGGAGAGTTCTCTCTTTCATTCCCTACCCTGATTCCCATCTCCTCACCATTCCAATATAGTCAAATCTTAATTTTGGTTATATTAATATTCAGTGTTCATGTTTTCTGTGCAAGCAACATTTACTGCTGAGTCATGTAAAATGCTATAGTTGCTTTTCCTTTGCTGCATGATATTTAATTTTTCTGGGAATTAATAATTAGGGCTTTTAATATTTGTTTTGTTTTTTTTGTATGCTTGTTATTAATTAACCCCAAACACTCACCATTTATGTAAATCTTCTCTCAAGACTTTCTTTCTTTTTTTCTTTTCTTTCTTTTTTTTTTTTTTAGACAGAGTCTCACTCTGTTGCCCAGGCTGGAGTGCAGTGGCGTGATCTTGGCTCACTGCAACCTCTGCCTCCCGGGTTCAAGCAATTCTCTCCCTCAGCCTCCCGAGTAGCTGGGATTACAGGTGCCTACCACCATGCCTGGCTAGTTTTTTTGTATTTTTAGTAGAGACAGGGTTTCACCAACTTGGCCAGGCTGGTCTTGAACTCCTGACCTCGTGATCCACCCACGTTGGCCTCCCAAATGCTGGTATTACAGGCATGAGCCACCGCGCCCAGCCAAGACTTTCAAACACACAAAGTGTTCTATCAGTTTAATCTTGAAGAAGCCTCCATTGGAGCCTTCTAACCTGCTTCAGGCTAAACTAGTTGCATTCTGGGCCTGCTGACAGTCATTCTCATTCTTGATTTTTGCAGGAAAAAAAAACTTTCTGGAAGCTTATAGGGTATATTCTTTTTGTTTATTCTGCTGAGCAATTTTTTAATATTGAAACTCACAACTTTCACTTTGAGAAATTTTCTTGCATGATTTCCTTGAAGTTTTCTGTTCTTAGTTCCATATTTTTATATTTCTGGAATATCTATTATTTAAGTTTAGACCAACTGGGTTGGTTCTCTGAGTTGCTTATATTTCTGTACTCTTTTTCTCTTTTTGCCTTCTTGTTATTTTGTGTTTTCTTCTGTCTTAGTCCATTTAGTGTTGCCATAAAGGAAGACCTGAGGCTGGGCAGTTTATAAAGAAAAAGTTTATTTGGCTCATGACTGTGATGTCTAGAAAAGTTCAAGACTGGGCATCTGCATCTGATGAGGGCCACAGACTGCTTCCACCCAAGGCAGGAGGTGAAGGGAGTCAGAGTATGCAGCTCACAGGGGAGAGCGGAAGCAAGAGAGAGAAGGGGAGTGCCAGGATCTTTTAAACAATCAGCTCTTGTAGGAGCTAATGGAGTGAGAAATCACTCGTTACCTCGCAGATGGCACGAGGGCTCTGCCCTCATGGCCCAAACACCTTTCATTAGCCCCCCTCCAACAATGGGGATCAAATCTCAACATAAGATTTGGAGGGAGTCAAATAAAGCAAACTACATCACCCTCAATTTTATCTTCCAAACTTTCTATTGGGTTTTTCATTTCTCTTATCATTTAAGAAGGTTCTAGCAGATCTTTTTGCATGTTAAATTTAAGAAAAAAATTTTTAATTCTTTTTCTTGTTTTTTTATTTATTTTTTATTTTATTTTAGACTGGGTCTTGCTCTGTCTTTCAGGCTGGAGTGCATTGCAGAAGTGTGAACACAGCTCACTGCAGCCTCGACCTCCGGGGCTCAAGTGATATTCCCACCTCAGCCTCCCAAGTAGCTCGGACCACAGGTGTACACCACCACACTCACCTAATTTTTAAGTTTTTTGTAGAGATGGGTCTTGCTATGTTGTCCAGGCTGGTCTCAAACTTCTGGGCTCAAGCAGTTGTCCCGTGTTGGTCTCCCAAAGTGCTAAGATTGGAGGCACAAGTGAGCCACCGCACTGGGCCCAGAAAAAAATATTTTTCTTGTTTCGTGAATGCCATATCTTCAGTAATACCTCTGAGAATGTCACTAATAGTTTCTTTTCAATTTCTCCTTCCATCAGTCTTCTTTCTCCCCGATGCTTTTCAATATTTTCAACATATCTATTTTGGTTCCTTGTATTAGATAATGTTTAGTTAACTGGGTAAAAAAGTTTATTGGAGGCTGTGTGCACCTGTGTTAGGTTTGTTTATTTTGGTTTTCTTTTATTTTTTTGAGACAGAGCCTTGTTCTGCAGCCCAGGCTGGAGTACAGTGGCATGATCTTGGCTCGCTGCAACCTCTGCCCCCTGGGCTCAAGCAATTCTTGTGCCTCAGCTTCCCGAGTAGGAGGATTACAGGCATGCACCACCACTCAGCTAATTTTTTGTATTTTTAGTAGAGACAGAGTTTTGCTACATTGGCCAGGCTGGTCTCAAACTCCTGGCCTCAACTGATCTGCCTGTCTCGACCTCCCAAAGTGCTGGGGTTACAGGTGTGAGCCACCACATGCAGCCAACTTTGGTTTGCTATTTAGGGTGAACCAACTGGGCTCTTTCCTTGGGGGTTCCCTAATGGTAGTATTTTTTTTTTCTTTTTTGGACTGGTTAGATTCTCAGAGAAGACTCTTTCAATTTCCTGTTTGGAGTATGTTTGTCTGTCTGCTCATGTTCAAGATACTGTGTGGAGGAAGAGGAATGGGGTTTTCAATATTTAGAATGTATAATTTAAGTAATCCTTCTGTTTTCAGTATGATTTCCCACCCTTAACTATAGTTGGTGTCCCAAATACAATGACTTTTTAAAAAATGTTTCCAATGAATAAATTGCCAGTATTCTGCCAATTTTCAGGAAAGGCAGTTGCCCACTGTGCCAAGCAGGGGAGGTAACCTGGGATCTAACTGCTTCTTAAACAGACTCTCAACTAATCTGCCCACGTGTGGCCTTATCTTCACTCCCACTTCCAGAGATAGTAGTACCGTCTCCACAAGTGTTGTAGACAATCTGCTGTGCACGTCACACTGCTTCTCCTAAGTCCCACTGCGGACTTAGGATTCAGCTTTCTTGAGTCTATTATACCAATGACCTCGAGTCTATTACACCAATGACTTCTTATCTATTTACTTTCCAGTGTCCAACTTTTTTTTTGGCAGTTGTCTTCTTTCTCATTTTCTTTGTCCCTGTAGGCTTATGCTTTAAATATTCTTTTATTATTATTGTAAGATTAAGTTTTGGGAGAGAATGGAGCTGATGTAAACAACCAATCTCCTATTTTAGGGGGAAGTCTCCAGGGCAGGGATTCTGAATGAAGATCTGAGGACTCCTCGGAGAGCCAGGGATGTGCTGGGGGCGAGGGGGTGTCTTTGTACCCCCGACACTGTATGTAAACATTTGTGTCTTTATGTGCATATTCCCACCCTTACTAAGTCTACAGCTTTTATCAAATTCCCAAAGGCATCTGTGACCTCTTCTAAAATTAAGTACCATTTCTCTAGATGCCAAGTAATATGTTACATTGGGAAGAAATATCACAGGCTTGAAGATATTCAAGTTTAGGAAAACAGCAGACCAACCCCACACTCATCAAGCCTGCTAATAAATGCAGGTTCCAATCACAGGGATCAAACAGCCCTTGAAAACCAATGTATTCCCATTTATTGTGCCACATAGTACATAATTCTCACACGGGTCCAAAGAAACACTGCAATATCCTTGAATAGCCACACACTGGGCACTGGGCAGCAGAGTGGTGCAGATTGAGGTGAACCAGTTAGTATGTGCCTGGCTTTAAGGGGGCAGAAGTTACTCAGCATCAGCTGGTAATTGCTGTGTGGAGACATAAGCAGAAAGTGAGCAAATCTGATTTTTCCTGAGAAGCTGGCAATTTAGACTTCTAAAATGTGATATCACCTTATCTCTCTTACCATAAAATAAAAATTTAAAAATCACGTGGGTCAAACTAAACACATATATGAGCCAGGTGTAGCTCACAGATCACAAATATATGATATTTGATCCAATGCAATCTTTTTTCTTTTGCACGTTGGGAGCCTGCAGCTCAGAATGAGGAATTGCCCATGTTCAGCCTTTGCCATTCTAATAGGTTCTAGGCTGGCTCTTGGGTCCCTGAAGGCAGCTCTGGATCTTTCTTGTATAGACCAAAGGGTAGAAATCCATGGCATTGGAGTACAGGGTGTGTGTGTGTGTGTGAGTGTGTGAGTGTGTGTGTGTGTGAAAGAGAGAGAAAGAGGGGGAGAGAGAGAGAGAGAGAGAGAGAGAAGTAGACTATTTGGGGAAGATGGTGGGCTCTGGTGAGGAGATAAGATGAAGAAAGAGTATTGGCTTTGGTCCTGATAGCTAGCCTTCTCAGGGTTTGCTGGAAGAGTTATAAACAATTCAGTAGGGGTTGGGGACAGTGAGGGAAGCAACAATGGTGAGTAATTTTAAAAGATTCCAGAGGCCAGGCACTGTGGCTCATGCCTGTAATGCTCTAGCACTTTGGGAGGTTGAGGTGGGTGGATCACCTGAGGCCAGGAGTTGGAGACCAGCCTGGTCAACATGGTGAAACCCCATCTCTACTAAAAATACAAAATTAGCCAAGCATGGTGGCACATACCTGTAATGCCAGCTACTCTGGAGGCTGAGGCAGAAGAATTGCTTGAACCCAGGAGGCAGAGGTTGCATTGAGCCGAGATCGTGTCATTGCACTCCAGCCTAGGCAACAAGAGCAAAACTCTGTCTCAAAAAAAAAAAAAAAAAAAAAGATTCTAGAAAGGCCTAGTGCTGTCCAGTAAAACTTTCTGAGATTATGGAAATGTTTTGTATTTGCACTATCCAGTATGGTAGCTACCAGGCACATGTGGCTATTGAGCACTTGAAATGTGGCTAATGCAACTGAGGAATTGGATTTTTAATTTAATTTAACTTATCCAATATATCTTAAAGAGTGTTATGTCATCTTCTATGGGTAGTATGTAGATAATTAAGTGGGTATGTAGAATAATATGTCTATTTTTATAGCTCTACCCACCCGCCTATATACACACACACATGCTTGTATCTTGAGTGCATAATTTCATGGATATTGTTGACTGGTTGAGACCAAGTTTTAAAAGGGAGTAATTAAAGAAAAATGTTTAGTAAATACATTCAATAAATAGTATGTGGGTTGTACATACAATTGGCAAATATCAAAAAGGTCATAAAATGACTGACATTTTGGAATAAATGAGCTATATAGATATTTATCAAATTGCATCCATGCACCACTGGTAACTCTAGACATACTGTTTTACCACAGAAAATATCCCATGGACAAATAAAATAAACTTGGGAAATTTTCAGAGTACTTTTTTGGTTGTTGTTGCTGCTTGTTTTAACTGCAAAACTTTTTAGTCTTTTCAAAATGGAGCATTTCTCAAACATATTTGACCAAACGGTAACCTCTTCCCCCCTCTTTTTTTTTCTTAATAACCATGATTCCAGGGATGCTAGTTTTTCTCAGAACCCAGTTTAGGAAACAATGTGGCAAACTTTTTCTGTAACCAGCTAAATGGTAAATATTTCAGGGTTTGTGGCCATAAATTTTTGTTGCAACTACTTAAGTCTACCATTGCAGTGCAGAAGCAACCATAGACAATACAGAAATAAGTGGGCAAATGGGCATCGCTGTGGTCCTGTAACACTTTATTTATAAAAACAGGCAGCAGGCCAGCTTTGGTTGTCAGGTCATAGTTTGCAGACCCTTGATCTAGATGTCTTCCAGGGGTCTCCCAGGTTTTCTGGGTCTTTTCTATCCCAAATCTTTCCTGGTCTTAGATGGTTCTTAGATCTAAGGCTTCTAAAGGCATCCTGAATGCTTTGCCTCTTGTTCCTTGAGTCATATATGCCCACTTGGGTGATCTTTGGGAGAGAACTTAGCCCTGGATGGTGTGGAGGTGGAATCTTGATTTCCTTGTCTTTCTGACTTTTCTCTTAAACAAAACAAAACAAAACAAAACAAAACAAAACAAAACAAAACACATCTGTGGCCTACAGACCTTCCCTCAGCAAGCTGTGTCCCTTCTGGTTTTTAAAAGCCCCTTCAAATGGAGATCAGCATGTTCTTCTACAAGAGGAGTGGGACAGACTCTTAGACAAAACTCTGGGTGAATGAGAAATCTCCATGTAGCCCAGGCAAACTGTCATTTGAACAATTGAAGAACCATGCTAAATTTTACAAATTGTGTACCAATCCCCTAATGGACTCAGTGAGGAGCAGAGCTGTTGAAACTTTCCTGTGACTCATGGTCTGTGTAGGGTTGTCTTTTGACAGTACCGTGCCCTACTGAGACCGAGGCTAAACCCAGTGTGGAGTGGCTAAGATGGCACTGGGCAGCTCCAGGGCCCTGGGAAGTGGAGGAGAATGTTCTTTTGAGGACTGATTATTCAGTTAGTCAGAAACACTTGCTAAGAAATGTAGCCTCAGATCTCGGTTGGCCACTGCCAAACTATAAAAATAGATTTAAAAAGGGAAGAGGATGTGGCAGAGGGAGAAGTGCTGCAAAAAACATTTGACTAGTTTCTAGTTTTGCCAAACACTAACCTGAATTTGATTTCGTGGCAACGTGAAAGTTGGGGGAGTGCAGCTGGGTGCGGTGGCTCACGCCTGTAATCTCAGAACTTTGGGAGGCCAAGGCAGGTGGATTACTTGAGGTCAGGAGTTTGAGACCAGTCTGGCCAACATAGTGAAACCCTGTCTCTACTAAAAATATAAAAATTAGCTAGGTGTGGTGGTGCATGCCTGTAATCCCAGCTACTCCAGAGGCTGAGGCAGGAGAACCCAGCAGGCAGAGATTATAGTGAGCAGAGTTTGTGCCACTGCTCTTCAGTTTTAACTGAAGCATGCGGAGAGATGAGGCAGTTCCCAAATAATCTAGAGAGTTATAGATCATAATGCACAGAAGAAGGAGATGAAGGGTGGTATGACAGAAAGTCACTGCCAGGGTTAGAAGTACCCACTGTAGCTAGGGTTAAAAGAGATGGGCTCTCTGAGGAAGTGACATTTAAGCTGGAGGATGAAGGAATAAAGGAGCCAGCTTTTAGGGATTCAGTCTTTACCATAAGCCACAGACGCCTACCCTTAAATGCAGGGCCTCATATGAGGTAAGCAGTAAGGTTATCCCAATTTTACAAATGAGAAACTGTGGCACAGAGAGGTTAAATATCTTATCCAAGGTCACATATCTAGGAAGGGACTAATAGGGACTTTAACCAAGACTTTCTGACACCAAATCCCTTACCTACCCCTCCCTCCCTCCCTCCCTCCCTCCCTCCCTCCCTCCCTCCCTCCCTTCCTTCCTTCCTTCCTTCCTTCCTTCCTTCCTTCCTTCCTTCTTTTTGCAGGGAAGGAGGTGGGGTCTCGCTTTTTTGCCCAGACTGGAGTGCAGTGGTGCAATCATAACTTACTGCTGCCTTGACCTCCTGGGCTCAAGTGATCTTCCTGCCTCATCTTCCCAAGTAGCTGGGACAGCAGATGTGTGCCACCATGCTCAGCTAATTTTTGTATTTTTAGTAGAGACAGGGTTTTACCATCTTGGGCAGGCTGGTCATGAACTCCTGAGCTCAGGTGATCCACTCGCTCTGGCCTCCCAGGGTGCTGGGACTACAGGCATGAGCCACCATGCCCGGCTCCTTGCTCCTTTCTTTATACTCATTTACCTCACACATATTTGTGCTGAAGCTCAAATATGAATATAAGCAAAGCACTCAGCCTGACTTGACATACAGCAGATGCTTTTAAATGTCAGCCCTGCTCTTAGTCCCACTCTCCCATGTCTGATCTTTCAGGGTGACTTCCCTGGAGTCTTCAGGGCAAGCCACTAGAGAGCAGGCCCCCAAGCCTCAATCCTGAAGGGTCTTATGGGTTTCTACATTGAAATAAATCTATATGAAATGGAAATGGTTCTGCAGCTGGAACTCCACCCCTTCATCACGGCAGCCTGGCAAAGGGGCAAGGGAAGTAGGGATGAGATGAGGGCAGGAAGACATGAATCCTTACGTAGACTTCCAGGAGAGCTCAACAGAATGTTGGAGGGATGAAAAGTGATTCCACAGGCTAGGACTCTTAAGGCAGGTTTTTAACCCTGCTCTGTCCTCACCTCCCCTTCCCACTCTGGCATGCTCCTAATCCCATCTCCTGCTCTGCATCTCCCGAGAACTGATGCCTCAGAGATGAAAGCCAAGAAAACTCAACAAGCCATCGGCGGTGCTCACTCAATTGATTTTTACACAAAATTTGCCTTCATGCACGAACGATGGAAAAATGATCCCATAAATAATGAATAACAAATACAAATGCAGGGAGGAAATCAATAGTCACACACTTGATACTGCAGGGAGATGGGAGAGGAAAATATGGAGCCCATTCCAACTAAACGGCACCCCGGGGAACCCCTTTCTAGCTCTTCCTGCTGAGGAGGGAGAGGCACATCTTGCCCTGGCAAGCCCCCAGAGCCAGTGAATCGAATCCCTGCTGGGGAGACTGGAAGAATTGAGTCTTAGGAGCCTCTGGCTTCAGTAGACCTTAGGGAGGCCTGGACTTTTCCCAGTGTTGGAGTAGATCTCAAGACATTGGAACCACAGGCCCCTCAAGGGGTGCTCTAAATTCTAGCCCACAGACAAAGATACATACCCTTTCTCAGAGCCATCTATGACCTCAGGAGCTAGAGCAGTCTTTCACAGCTGCCAAAAGGCTTCCATGCTCTCTCCCGGGTTCCTCCCTTTATCTAATCACAGCAGTTGCCCCCGGATCTGGTTACTCACTCAGCTGCAACAAAGGCCCCCAGTGTGGTGTGGGGGTAGGGGTTTGAACCCATTTACTCTCCCTATGTGACTTTTGGTAAGTCACTTAATCTTTCTGAGCTTTAGTTTCCTCCTCTGTAAAATGGGACAAATAAAATCTCTTTACTATGGGACTTGTGAAAATAAAAAAAAATACACACACACAAAACAAAACCCCCCACAAAATCTCTTGTGCTAGTAGGAGGAATAAAATGGCTCCTGCCTTGGCTATAGTAAATGGTCAAAATAAGCTAAGTAAAATCACCCCCAAATGATATCTGAAATCTGTGGCCTTCCTTCATGCCCGCTGCCACTGAGTTCACCACCTCATGACTGGTGTGGGCAATAGCCTCTGAATTAGTCTCTCTGCCTCTGGTCTCTTTCCTCCTGGTTCTTGATCCTCACAGTCCTCACGCTCCTGAATAACATGTCTGATTCTGTCATACCTCTTTTTAAAAAAGTTTTAATTGTATTCAATTTCTTTGACTAGGTGTTACATTCACATAGTTTAAAATTGAAGAGATGCATAATGGAATACAGCGAAAATTCTTCTTTCTACTCTTCCCATCCACCCAGAGCTATTATCAATGTCTTTGTGTATCTTTCCAGGGATGTTTTATTAATTATAAGAATATATTTGCTCATATACATGTTTATGTATGTGTATATAAATATATATTTATGCATTTGTGTTTTCATGTTTTCTTTTTCTCTCTAGATGGTAACAATCTATGCATACCATTCTATACTTTCCTTATTACACTTGTTATATCTTGGAGTTTATTCCCTGTCAGTATATAAGGAATTCACTGATTTTTTTGACAATTACCCATTGTATTCCATTCTACGGATGTACCATAATTTATTTAACTAATCCCTGTTAATAGAATTGAGTTTTGTTTTTTCCAGTCTTTTGCTTTTGTGAGCAATGCTATTATAACTATTCTTGTACCTAGGTACTTTTACAATATATCGATAGGATAAATTCCTAAATGTATAATATAACTGCCATGTCAAAGGGAATGTACATTTTTCTTCTGGTAGATATTGCCAATTTGTGCTCCATAAAGGTTATGCCTTGAGTGCACTCACCAGTAATGTGTGAAACTGCCTACTCCCCCCACTCTGGCCAACACTCCCAGGAAATCTGAAGCATGTTACACAAGTTCCTTTACCTATCTTTTCAGCCTCCACTCCACTTATACTTGGCAGGAACTCTGCTCCAAACACTCAGAAGTATCACTGTATCCCCATTGTGTCATACTCTCCAGCTGCTCTAGCTCACATGCTGTTCCCTCCAACCATCCTTCAAGTCCTTGCCTAAATGCAACTGCCTGTGTATTACTTCCCTGTCTTCCCTAGGCTGAATCAGTCAGTAGCTCCTTTCTCTGTTCTCCCACAGTCTTGTGTACATGCGATTTCTATAGCACTTAGCATACTTGTAATATTTGTTTACCTGCTTACATTCTAGGTCTTATTCTTCTCTGTATGTCCTCAGTGAGAACTGTAAGCTCTGAATTAATACACACTGGATGGACATGCAAGGCACTATACTAAATCCTGTTGGGGCAACAATGATGAAAAAGGTAGGATCCTTGCTCTTGAGGAACTGGCAGAACTTTTAGAACTCCCTGGCTCTGAATAAGCGGATACCTGTTCATTTTAATAATTTCTATAGCTGTCACAGAATTCACATGAATCTTGCCATAAATTATATACAGAGGTGAGAGAATGCATCTGCACCCTGGAGAGAAGAGATCACACACCCAAGCCTATCGCAATCTTTGTTTTTTTTTTTTTTTGAGATGGAGATTTGCTCTTGTCGTCCAGGCTGGAGTGCAATGGCACAGTCTCAGCTCACTGCAACCTCTGCCTCCCAGGTTCAAGCGATTCTCCTGCCTCAGCTTCCCAAGCTGTTGAAACTTTCCTGTGACTCATGGTCTGTGTAGGGTTGTCCTTTGATGGTACCATGCCCTACTGAGACCTATACTGAACACAGTGTGGAGTGGCTAGGACAGCACTGGGCAGCTCCAGGGCCCTGGGAAGTGGAGGAGAATGTTCTTTTGAGGATTGATTATTCAGTCAGTCAGAAACACTTGCTGAGTAGCCAGGATTATAGGCACCCACCACCACGCCCGGCTAATTTTTGTATTTTTAGTAGAGAAGGGGTTTCACCATATTGGCTAGGCTGGCCTCGAACTCCTGACCTCAGGTGATCTACCCGCTTTGGCCTCCCAAAGTGCTGGGATTACAGGCATGAGCCACCACACTGGCCTCCCGATGTTAAATAAGCCAGCCAGCCTTCCTTCCTTCCTTCCCTCCTTCCCTCCTTCCATTTTACTTTCTTTCCTTCCAAACAGGTGAGGAAAAGAATGACTTTGCCAAAGCAAATAGGCAACTTTGAAATGTCAAGTGCATGACAATAACACATTGTTCAGCTCTCTGCTTCTCAGAGGACGTATTTCATCATAAGGCCAAACCAGTTAGTCAGATGCCAAGAAGTGATAGCAAGCACAGTTTATAGTTCAAGAAACCATGCAAGGAAGGAGAAAAAGTTGAGATGAAAAAGAAGCAAATACTGAAAAGTTAAGCTTGAGTATGCTGGGACCAATCACTGAACTAAGCTAGAAGAGAATTTTGAGCTTCTCATTCTCTTGACTACCTGATTTGAAAGCCCAAACCTATCAGAGGAGCCTGATCCTTAATGTGGATTATTATTTTATAAATTATTAAGAAGGGCAATATCTCTCCATTTACTGAATGTCATAACAAAAGAGATAGGAGGGAAACCAAGACATTGTCTACCCAAAGAGCCCCGCATTTGGACAGTGTAAAGTCACTAAATAATTCAGCAGCTATTTGAAAGTATAGTGTTTTGTAATTTCGACAGAGCCATCTTAGTCTGGCTCTCTGTAGTGCAGAATTTTAAAAAGATGCTCGTCTTCGTGAAGATCTATTTCTAGGAGAAATGAGGGTTGGTAGAAACGCTGGTCAGGAGAAAGAGGGCTGTCTAATTAGAGAGGTTTGTGTTTACTCTGATTTTAAATTTTCATGCAACTGCTGAGTCTAACCATTTTCTAGTAATATCTTTTATTTCTTTCTCTGTGCCCACACGTTTGTGCTATGACGGTACCTGTCTGTGTCCTGTATGCCCATGGAAAGGGAAACCGTTGTGTATGAGGTGACTGTTACTTGCTGACAGAAAGAAGAATGGAGCAAACAAGTGTAGCCATGAGGAACTGTTGCAGTGAGGTTGATCATATACTGGTCTGGCTTATTCAGAAACACCACCTGGCCAGGAGCGGTGGCTCATGCCTGTAATCCCAGCACTTTGGGAGGCCAAGGTGGGTGGATTACCTGCGGTTGGGAGTTTGAGACCAGCCTGACCAACATAGAGAAACCCCATCTCTACCAAAAATACAAAATCAGCTGGGCGTGGTGGCACATTCCTGTAATCCCAGCTACTGGGGAGGCTAAGGCAGGAGAATCGCTTGAACCTGGGAGGCGGAGCTTGCAGTGAGCCGAGATCGCGCCATCGCACTCCAGCCTGGGCAACAAGAGCAAAACTCCATCTCGAAAAACAAAACAAAGCAAAACAAAAAGCAGAAACACCACCTCATCAATGTCTGGGAGAGGGCACATCCTGCTGGAGCTGGGGTGGAAAGAAGCAAAGCAGAGAAGGACTGATGCTAAAGGAAGCCGCCATGCGTTATTATTATTTTTTGTTTATTTATTTCTGACCTCACTATAGAGAGGATTTCATGCAGTTTACCATGGGACAGAAAAACTTATAAAATTCTGAGTATGACTGGAAGACGGTATAGCATTATAAATAAGAGACCACTGCATTGGTATCTAGGCTCTACCACTCACGGGCTGCATGAACTTGGGCAGATGACTTAATCTGTGTGCTTCAATTTTCTAATCTTTAAGATGTGAATCATAACCACGCTTACCTCCCAGGGTTTCTGTGAGGATTATGCCAGAAAGTAATGTGAAATAGCAGAACAATGCCTGGCACATGGTAAGTTCTCAGTACTATGATGATTCCTTTGTCCTCAGCTCCTCTGGCTCCAACACTTAGGGTAAGTAAGTAGCTAGTTACAGGGAACAGAGCCCTGTGTTTAATGTGTCTATTGAGTGAGAGCCTTCTGCAAGTACTTATTGGCAAGACAGACTTCTGTGGATGAGTTATGTAAGTGGCATCCCAGAGGTCCCGGCATGGATGCAAACCAATTAAGTTAAGCACCTACCGCAATCACAAGTGCAACCCATAGGTTTAAGAGTGGGAAGAGAGTACATGTGAACTTGGCTCTGTACTACTTTGCTTTGTCAAATCTATTAGAAATATAGCCAATGAATTCTTCACTCTAGTTCTAAATTTTGGAGCACTTTTTAATCTAATTGGCATAGAGTTCTTGATCTACCTCTTATTAGCTGGACAACCTTTTAAAATACTCTCTAAGACGCCATTTACTCATCTGTATAAAAAAAGTTTAATGCAGGAATCAGAAATCACCATAGGAATTTTGAGGCACAAAGGGAGTTAATACTGGAATTAAGTACTTTAAAAATTATTGGAAGGGCTGAAGGCAGGACTCTAGATTGAGTATGTAGAAATGACTCCTGAAACATCGCAGATAATCATGTGACCTTTGTCACAATCAGGATGGTGAGGAACCAGCAGCTTGCCACTGGAGTACCTGAGGTCCAGAACACACCATCTCAGGGACTATTCGGACTATTCGGACATCAGCCTCCACTGCCACTCCAATTATCTGGACACTGGACCACTGAAATCAGTTGCCAACACTGCTACAAATGCCTCTGAAAGCTGGAGATGAGACATTAGTATCTCCATAATTTTTCTTGCAAAGTGAAAAACAACAAACATAGCAGAAAATTGCCCTTTCTCTCATTTCTACCTCCTGAATCTTGCCCAGATGCTTTTACTTCATGGAATCTATCTCACATCTAGACCCTAGCTGCAAGGAATTCACGAAATGAGCTAGTTTTCTAGCCTTCAGAAAACAGAAAGTTCCCTCAAAGAAGGTGGAAATTGGTGCTAAGTACCAATTGACCATATCCATCCCAGAAAGTCATGATTGTAACTACCTTATAGAATTATTGTGGGGATTAAGTAAGATAATAAAATACATTGAACACTACCTAGCAAGTGGGTAATCAATAAATTAATTATTTCTACCACTACTACTGCAGTGGGATTCAATACTTCATCTTCTAAAAATACACAAAGGCAATCGTGCTTTCTTCACCTGCCAGGCTAATTTTGCTGGGGTGGGAGAATTCTCTACTTGGCTCAGAGGCCTCAGTGGCCTCAATAGCTCCCTTCCTACCTGAGGTCATGCTACAGGTGGCTGTTAAAGCCCTCCTTGTCTATGTGCTAGAGCCTTGGAGAATCCTTCCAGGCCATGCCTCCTCTCCCTCATTCAAAAACCCCTCTCCCTATCCTGAACTCTACAGTTCCCATCCTGTTGCTTCAGGCCCAATTTCTGATTCTTTGCTTGCCCCCTTCCTAGTGACACTTGAGCCAAATGAATTGCTTGGCTTTATCCCAATTTCATCTCTGGCTGGTGTTATTCCCGCCCCATATGCAGCCTAGGCCTTGGAACCCTGCTCTAGGAATGCAGCCTAAGATTCCTAGGACGGGAGATCAGCCAATAAACTACATATAATCAGATATAAAATGAAAGAATGACAAAAAAAGAAACGAAAAAAAATTAACCAGGAGTGGTGGTAGGCACCTGTAGTTCCAGCTACTTGGGAGGCTGAGGCAGGAGGATCGCTTGAACCAGGGAGGTAGAGGTTGCAGTGAGCCGAGATCGTGCCCACTCCAGCCTGCTGGGTGACAGAGTGAGACTCTGTCTCAAAAAAAAAAAACAAAAAAAAAAAACGAAAAGTCCCCAGAACTCCAAGATAAAGCTCTAGCAAACCCAGTTGGTCCAAGGTAAACACATGTGGGAAATGGAGAAAACGGATTTTCAACACCTTTCCACCCCCATTTTGTTGTTGTTCTTTAGTGTTTCCCAATTACATGTTGAGCTTGGGAGTTGCCCTTTTACTCAGAATCTTAATAGACATTCTCAACAAAGCTTAGTTATTCTATATTTCAATTGTTTTCAAGATCTTATAAAGTGATAGAATGCTCAGTTAGTTCAGGAGTTCTCAAGCCTGCCTGTGCCTTAGCTCAGCTCAGTTGAATCAGAATCTCAAGGGGGCAGGTGAGGTCTGGCAGTAATATTTTCAAAAGCTGTTGAGGAAGAATAGTTACAACGTGTGGGGTACATTGTAGAGTCAAGAACCATAGAGTTAACTAATCTGACAACCTAAGTAGGGTTGACGTATTAATGTGGGCAAATAACTTTTTTTAAAAAATTAATTTTTTTTTTTTTTTTTTTGAGACGGAGTCTCGTTCTGTCACCCAGGCTGGAGTGCAGTGGCACGATCTAGGCTCACTGCAAGCTCCGCCTCCCAGGTTCAGGCCATTCTCCTGCCTCACCCTCCCGAGTAGCTGGGACTACAGGCACCCGCGACCACGCCTGGCTAATTTTTTGTAATTTTTAGTAGAGACGGGGTTTCACCGTGTTAGCCAGGATGGTCTGCATCTCTTGACCTCGTGATCCGCTTGCCTCGGCCTCCCAAAGTGCCGGATTATAGGCGTGAGCCACTGCGTCCGGCCTTAATGTGTGCAAATGTCTTAATATACTGCTCCTACTAGGACAGTTGTATTTCTCTTTCAGGACTGTCTGCAGACAGTACCATAAGTCAAAAAGTAAATTAATTATGGCATCTCCAGGCCCCATGGCAGTATAAAGCAATAGGTAAAGTTTTGGGGTGGGACAATATTTTAATATCCCTTGGGTAATATCATTTAAGCAGGTCACTTTTCCACATATGCAGAGAAGCAGTCTTGGAGGTTAATAGTTACTTATTGATAAAAAATATTTTATTCTGTAAAATGAAATTACACTTCATTCTTCTGTGTAATCCTGAGCAAGTTACTTAACCTCTCTTAGTTCCCATTTCTTTCTTTATTTAATATGAAGAATAATAGTAGTGACCTCAGAGAGTTGTACTATGAAAATTATATGTAAAGTACCTGGCACCTTAGAAGTGAAAAATAAATTTGACCTATTACTGGATGATCATTTATTTATTGGCACTGTGTTCAGAAGCCATTTGAAAACTAGGTGATGTGAGCAGGTAAATAAATTGGATCTTCTCATGTCTGTGATCAATGGAAGAAATTAAAGTGTTCCCTTCCAGGAACCCCTGGAGTACTACTCAGCATGGAATAACCTTAAAGGAAATTTCCAATAAGGATGACAAGTTTAGGATTACTTACTGGGTTTGTATATCCAAGTCGAACTGCCCTGCTTGGAAGTTGCAGAGTCAATGGAATAGGTAACATGTTCCGAGTTATTTGCTCCACCACTTTTCACATGAACAAGATTGCCAAGGTTTGTTATATGAATAAGGCCAACATAGATGCAGAAAGGTGAGGGGTGATGGGAAATCCAAGATGTTCTAAATGCCATACATTCGCCATGGCACGAATGGCAATCCTGAAAATTTAGAAACAGCTCACATACAAAAATACCAGGTAGACTATGAAGTGTTTGCTCATTGATTTCATGAGCTATAATGAGCACTTACTGTATGCTGGGCACTGAGGTAGTGCTATGAAGAAAAAGGTAAGACATAGACCCAGCCCTCAAGAGGACAGGGACCCCTGGGAGACTGACCAAAAAAGAGATAATTATTTTTATTTATTTTGAGACAGGGTCTTGCTCTGTCTCTCAGGGTAGAGTGCAGTGGCATGATCACAGCTCATTGCAGCCTTGACCTCCCGGGCTCAATCCTCCCACCTCAGCCTCCTGAGCAGCTGGACTACAGGCACACACCACCATGCCCAGTTAATTTTTGTATTTTTTTTGTAGGGGCAGGGTTTTGCCATGTTTCCATGTTGCTCAGGAGATAATTATTAAACAATGAAGTTGAAAGTAATAGTTTCAGGCAGGGCGTGGTGGCTCACGCCTGTAATCCCAATACTTAGGGAGGCTGAGGTGGGTAGATCACTTGAGGCCAGGAGTTCAAGACCAGTTTGGCCAACATGGTGAAACCCCGTCTCTACAAAAAATACAGAAATTATCTGGGCACGGTGGCACATGTCTGTAATCCCAGTTATTCAGGAGGTTGAGGCATGAGAAATACTTGAACCCAGGAGGTGGAGGGTGCAGTGAGCTGAGATAGGGCCACTGCACTCCAGCCTGGGTGATAGAGTGAGACTCTGTCTCAAAAGAAAAAAAAAGTGATGGTTTTAGGATGATTTTATAATATTGAAAGAATAAGAAGACATTGAATTAAAATGTAGGATACAAGGTGGTATATAGAGTGTAATTCTCTTGATATTGAAATATGCCTAGAAAAAGATGGAAAAGAAATACAACATGTAAAAATGCCAGCTAGTAATTTTATCAAAGTGGTGGGATTATGGCTAGATTTATTTCCCTTCAGTTCTATCTATCTATCATCTATCTATCTATCTATCTATGTGTTTTGTGTTTTGTGTTTTTTGTTTTTTATTTTTGAGACAAGGTCTTACTCTGACACCCAGGGTCTCACTCTGACACCCAGGCTGGAGAGCAGTGGCTTGATCTCAGCTCACTGCAGCCTCGACCTCCCTGGGCTCAGGTGACCCTCCCACCTCAGCCTCCCGAGTAGCTGGGACTACAGGTGTGTGCTACTGTGCTTGGCTAATTTTTTTTTTTTAATTGTGTAGAGGCAGGGTTTTGCCATGTTGCCCAGGCTGGTCTCGAACTCCTGGACTCAAGCAATCTGCCAGCCTAGACCTCCCAAAGTGCTAGGATTACAGGCATGAGCCACCAAGCCTGTCTCAGTTCTGTACATTTTTTTATGTATTATTTTCTTAATGAAGAACTTCACCATAAATATTTTTAAAATGAACACTCATTTTAAAAAGATGTCCTGAAATGAAATCAGAAGTGATCTAACTCTCTATCTCTTTGCCATATCTGCCCCAGTTTAGGTTTCCTGAAAGCAAAGACTGAGATACAAATTTGGGTCAGATGTTTTCTTTGGTAGGTGATCCCAGGAAGCCTAACTGAAAGAATGAGGAAAATGAGACACAACTCAGAAAAGCTAATAAATAGATTTGATAACCTTGGGCTGGTTATCACTGGCACAACTGGAGCCCAGCCTCCCTGGGGACCCTCTGAGGAACAAGGTACACTGTGCCTCAGTGGAACTGTCCCTTTGAAAGATGGGAAGCTGGGCATTTATCCACTCACTCCTATGCCCAACTATGGTGTTCCTGGCCTAGGTGCCATCCTTAGCCTTGGAGAAAGCCTGAAGGCAGACTAGCTGACAGACAGCAGAGGGGGCACATGAATTGACCCTGTGTGAAAAGTTACCCACCACAGCGCTGAAATCACGCATAGGCGGGGCACAGAAAGCCCCTGCAATATCCAAACAGGTCTCCACTGAAGGGTTCTGTCCTCATGTCTCCTGTGCGGTGTTTATCAACAACTCAGAAACCTGGAAGGCTGGCAAATTCAGGAACAGCACAGAGCTGGGAAAAAAAATTCTATGAGTACCAAGTTCTGAATGATCAAGAGATTAGAATGATGAACTAGATTTAAGGGTGGAATTTAAATAGGCAGGAATGCAGATTAAAAATTTATATATAGTTCCAAACAAATGCAAAGGGAAAGGATTGGAAAACATGGCTTAACAGATGAAAATTTTAAGCAACCAAATACATGTGGGTTTGAGTTAAACCTGAACATAATATGTGTTTAGGTTTCTGTTTCCAACAGAAATTTTATTCCATCTCACATTGCAATTTCTGTTCTGAATGAGGGGATTAAAGACCCATGGGACACTCAACTAGTTACTTAGGAAGTAACTAGTACTTCCTATGTACTTCCTATGGGCTCCACCGTAGAAGGTGGTACTCCACCTTTGGGTACCTGGTTGGTATCACAGTGAAATGATGCTTGACATCTCTGGGTGTGTAGACTAATCAACTGGAGCAGGGTACAGGAGAATCCCCAGTGTTGCCTATGAGTGATAGAGAGGCAGAAACCATGTTCTTTTGGCTGAAGGGACTGAGGGAGCTTAGCCCAGAAAAGAGAATCCTCAGAGAGGCAAGAGGGGAGGCAAGACAGGAGCGCGTACCTCAGATATCTCAAGTACTGAGCATGGTGGCTCACGCCTGTAATCCCAGCACTTTGGGAGGCCAAGGAGGGAGGACTGCTTGAGCTCAGGAACTCAAGACCAGCCTGGGCACATACCACAACCACATCTCTACAAAAAAGTACAAAAATTAGCCAGGTGTGGTGGCACATGCCTGTGGTCCCAGCTACTTGTGAGACTGAGGTGGGAGGATGGGCTTGAGCCCAGCAGGTCAAGGCTGCAGTGAGCTATGATTGCGCCACTGCACTCTAGCCTAGGTGACAGAGTAAGACCCTGCCTCAAAAAAAATAAATAAATAAAAAGAAAAGAAAAAATATCTCAAGGGTGCTTGAGAGGAAGCAGTGAGAGGGAGGAGTCATTATGGTCGAAAGCATGGGATGTAGACTTAGACACACTTGGGTTTGTGGGAATCCTATTCCGGTGGTTGTTGGCCCCCTAGCCTTGGTCAGCTTGTCAGTAAAATGACACACTAATGATGCCTATGTCATGTGGTTGATGTGTGGATCAAATGAGATTTATACCTAAGTTGCTTAGCACAGTATCTACACACGTATAAGAGATACTCAAATAATAATGATAGCTAGGAACTTACATGAAGAGGAGTTTGACTTAATCTCTGTGGCCACACATTGTTGACCTAAGACAACTAGAAGTGAGTTATTTGAGCTCAATCTACAGAAGGCCTCTGACACCATCAGAGTGGTCCAAAAATTGGATAGACTGCCTTTGGAAGAATAAAGTCCCCAATACTGGTCATAGCCAGTCAGATGGCTTCTGGCTGAACCCTTGGAGGAGATTCCAGAGCTCTTTAAGTCTACATCTGGACTCTTCACTAGGCCTTTGCCATCCCCTGTGTTCAGCTTGGAGTCACCAGTGGTGAAGGTTTCCATGGGAACCACGAGGGGTTCAGAATTCTGTGTCTGAACACTGCATCCCAGAGGGAAGAGACAAGCACTGAAGCAGTCTCCCCAGTAATAGTATGCATTTTTTAAACTGTCTAATTAAATATTAACCCCAGAGACAGAGAATTAATGGGTCTCCTATGTAAACTGTGTGCATCTCATAACCATCCGGGAAAGGGCTTAGGTAGATAGAACACTCCAAGGAAATTAAACCTATATACACATCTCCTTACTCCATGCCATCATGACAAATGGCACAGAGGGCTGCCCTGGGGTCACTGCCCTCTTTGTATCTCCGTTATTGATGACAGCTGCCCTTCCACTGGTGCTTCAGGTGAAAGTAGGGTGGGGGTGTCATGAGGAAGGGCCTGGAGCAAACTTGACATCTTTGATCATTTTCTGCCTTCTCTTCTCACCTACTTTTTCTTCCATCTCTGGAATCTCAAAGTATTAGATTCGCTAGAGGGGATGGAGGCAAAGGGTGAAAGAAGTAGAGGGGTGGTTTTGGGATTAAACATAGACGTGGTAGGAAACAGTGGAGTAACTGGGAATCAGAAGACAT
The DNA here is from genome assembly GCF_000001405.40 of Homo sapiens. Lineage (NCBI taxonomy): Eukaryota > Metazoa > Chordata > Mammalia > Primates > Hominidae > Homo > Homo sapiens. Next base: position 146,377,587 of record NC_000005.10, read on the forward strand.
AGGTTTTTGCCTAAGCTTTGTGATCTTGGACAAATTAATTGATCACTCTGGGCCCCAGGCTCATTTCTTGAAAAAGAAAAATGAGGATCTGAATGACAGCTCATTGATTTACTTCATTTTTAGAGACAGGATCTAGCTCTGTTGCCCAGGCAGGAGTGCAGTAACATGATCATGGTTCACTTCAGCCTTACACTCCTGGGTTCAAGCGATCTTCTTGCCTCGGCCTCCCAAGTAGCTGGGACTCTAAGCACAAACCACCACCCCCAGCTAAGTTTTTTAATTAATTAGTTTTATTTCTTGTAGAGAAGAGGTCTCGCTATGTTGTCTAGGCTGGTCTCAAACTCCTGGCCTCAAGCAGTCCTCTTGCCTCCCAAAATGCTGGGATTACAGGTGGGATCCACTGTGCCTGCCCAAGCAAACATTGAAGATCTCCTATGTGCCTGGGTACAGTGATGAATAAGGCCTAGTTTCTACCGTTGAGGAGCTCACTGTATAGATACACAGAGTCCATGTATCCTTAGGTGGTCAAAGCATGGCCTTCCAGGAATCTGTGAAATCTTTGCATTTGCACATCAAATTTGTGTGTATGTATTTTTTTTGTCGGGGAGGGCGGAGACTTGCTTTCTTCAACTCCAGGTTCTTTTTATTTTGAGACGGAGTCTTGCTCTGTCTCCCAGGCTGGAGTGCAGTGGCGCGATCTCGGCTCACTGCAGCCTCCACCTCCCAAGCAATTCTCCTGCCTCAGCTTTCCAAGTAGCTAGGATTACAGGCATCCACCACTACACCTGGCTAATTTCTGTATTTTTAGTAGAGACGGCGTTTCACCATGTTGGCCAGGCTGGTCTCAAACTCCTGACCTCAAGTGATCCACCCGCCTTGGCCTCCCAAAGTGCTGAGATTACAGGCATGAGCCACTGTGCCTGGCCTCTTCAAGTTCTTATAGGGATTCATGACCCTCCAAACAATTAAGAATCCTTGGCCCTCTTTCAGTTCTTCCCAAACCTCCCTCTGTCATTTGTGTGCTCTTTAACATCTTTGCCATATCTGCACATCACTTGGGCATAATTTAATTTTTCTTTAAATAAAATTGGATGCAAGATATCTACTTTGACAAAACCCATGAAATTGTGAGTTGGTGATACATAATGCAGATATATAAGACAAACACAAATCCATTAAAATAAAAAATGTCCTTTAGCATGCCACCCCAAATAACCCTCCTTCACCACCGATGCTACACATCTCATAAGCAGCAGCAAGCACTGGTCTGCTGGTTCCCTCAAAACCCTTCCAGCTGCAGGCACATTAGGAATTTTCCACCCACCTTATATCCACCTCTCCTCAACCTCCCCTGTAACCAGTCAAGGGGCAGATATGAATGTCATGCCTTTCCCCATTGTCTAACTTTGTGATCAGACATCGTGTGAGGCAGCTGCCGAATCCCAGCGCTGTCCCTGCACCCAGGCCGGCAGCAGGGGACCCCGCGTCTCCACCTTGAGCCTCCCCTCCCTGCTGCGGAGGCCTGCGCTCCTGGCCTTGCCACCGCCTGGCCGACTTTCTCGTGAATGACAGGGCCTGGCAGAAGGCTGGCAGTGAATGGAAGCAGTCCTGACACCCGAGCTGTGTGCGGCGCGCTAATTACACTGATGTGGGGTCTGGGCCGCGCAGTCCTTTGCTCAGAGGAAGGATGCGATGCAGGCGCGGGGAGCGAGCGGCACTACAGAGGAAACGCGGGAGCAGCAGCACCTAGGCGCATCCATAATTTATAAAATGCCAGCAGCAACAAAGGCAAAGAGGGACCAGAACCAGGAGAACAGAATAGCATAAAGCTTTTTAATGGTCTTTTTCTATTAATATCAGATGGGCGACCGTTTTTCAAGTGGGTGGAAGGGTTCCAAGGCCCCACAGTTCAGTCACAAAAGCTAAATGCTGCCATTTACCCCTCCTCCCCAAGCTTTACCGAAGAGCTTAGTTGTCCTAGAAGCCAAACGTAGTATTTGAGGTTCATGTGGGCATCTGATTCTTCTAAAGGAGCTGCCTACTCTTTTAAAGGAGTTTCTAGCAAGACAATTGGAACTGCTCCTTTTTTTGTGTGTGTAATAATACTTTTACTGGCATATAACTAGTTCTTTTGTGATTAGTTATTGTTCAGGGTAACTGAGAGCATCCATCTCTTTCCTCCTTGATTTGTAAGATTATTTTTCTACTTTTAGTATTCAGTGACGCAGGCTACTCATGTAGAGGATGCATTAGGCATCAGAGATATTCTTCATTCCAAGGTGTTCCTGGATTCAAGAGGAAACCCTTGGAGAAAATTTGCCAATAAAGAATGTACAGGAAGAAAATATTGGCCCAGGACATTATTTTTCTACTTCGAATGTCTACGATATGTTGATCCAATGGGCAAGATACTTCTGGAGCATGATGATGGCTAGTACAAGTGTTTTATGATCAAAGAAAATTCCGGGTTCAGTGGATGGAATTAGGCCTAAATAACAAAACAGCAAGGCCAGGCACAGTGGCTTACGCCTGTAATCCCAGCACTTTGGAAGGTCGAGGCGGGCAGATCATTAGGTCAGGAGTTCGAGACCAGCCTGGACAACATGGTGAAACCCTGTCTCTACTAAAGATACAAAAAAATTAACCAGCGTGGTGGCGCATGCCTGTAATCTCAGCTACTCGGGAGGCTGAGGCAGAAGAATCGCTTGAACCCTGGAGGCAGAGGTTGCAGTGAGCCGAGATCACACCATTGCACTGCAGCATGAGCAAGAGGGCAAGCCTCCATCTCAAAAACAAACAAACAAACAAAGAAAAACAAAACAAACAAACAAACAAACAAACAAAACAATAAGCAGCCAAAGAAGAAATCATCCAGGCTGGGCGTCATGGCTCATATCTATAATCCCAGCACTTTGGGAGGCTGAGGTGGGCAGATCACCTAAGGTCAGGAGTTTGAGACCAGCCTGGCCAACATGGTGAAACCCTGTCTCTACTAAAAATACAAAGATTAGCCAGGCGTGTTGGAGTGCACCTGTAATCCCAGCTACTCGGGAGGCTGAGGGAGGAAGAGGATTGCTTGAACCTGGGAGGCAGAGGTTGCAGTGAGCCAAGATTGTGCCACTGCACTCCACCCTGGGTGACACAGTGAGACTCTGTCTCAAAAAAAAAAAAAAAAAGAGAAAGAAAGAAAGAAAGAGAAGTCATTCAGAGGGACAAAAGGAAGAGAAATTGATGCCAAAGCAGATTTGAAATATTCACCAACCTCAGATCACTGATGCTTAATTTGGATGCCAGGATGACTCATTCCAGTGTGTATTAGTTTCCTACGGCTGCTGTAACAAGGTACTTGTTAGCAAAAATTTCTTGTCTAGCCAAATTTTCTAGACAGGTGGTTTAAACAACAGAAACTTCTGGAGGCTAGCATTCCTTGATAAGGTGTCGGTAGGGTTGGCTCCTTCAAGACTCTGAAGGAAAATCCATTCCTAGTTCCTAATGCTTTCCTGGAAATCTTTGGCATGCCTGGATATGGAGATACATTACCTCAATCTCTGCCTTTATCTTGGCATTCTCCCTGTGGGCACGTCTCGGTTTAAATTTCCCATTTTAATGAGGACACAGTAATCTTAACTTGACCATCAGCAAAGATTCTATTTCAATTAAAGTCACAATCACAGGTACTGGGGGTTAGGGCTTCACTATCTTTTTTTTTTCGGGGACACAATTCAACACATAGCAGAGTGTACATTGTATTATTTTTCTATCTTCCCACAATTTCCCTAGACAAATTCTTCCATTCAGTCCATGTTAGAAACTGGATGAGCCCTACATTCAAAGAATTTATAGTGTAAACCAACAACGTTGACGTAGCTAGCACAAGTGTGCCCCAAAGAAGGAAACTTGACTTTTGAGAGCAATTTGGCAAAATCGGTTAAGGTTGAAGATGTGCATGTCCTATAACTCAGTCATTTCACATCTAGAGACACAAGAAGACATGCACAGGGATGTTCACTGCATCACTGTTTACATTAACAAAAACCAAGAAACAACCTAAAGTTTCAGCAGTAGGGAAGTGGGTAAATTGATTGTGTGATTTTGTATGACAGATTAAATAAATACAACAGATCTATGTGTAGCAACACTGATAAGTCTCAAAAATATAGTAATGTTTAAGTATACATGCATAATAAAAATGCCTTTTTTTTTTTTTGAGACAGGGTCTTGCTGTGTCACCCAGGCTAGAGTGCAGTGGTGCCATCTTGGTTCACTGCAACCTCCACCCCGCCAGGCTCAGGTGATCCTCCCACTTCAGCCTCCCAAGTAGCTGGGACTATAGGTGCACGCCACCATGCCTGGCTAATTTTTGTATTTTTGGTAGAGACGGGGTTTCGCCATGTTGCCCAAGCTGGTCTCGAACTCCTGGGCTCAAGGGATCTGCCTGCCTCAGCTTCCCAAAGTGCTGGGATTATAGGCGTGAGCCACCATGCCAGGCCAAAAATGCCTTCTTAATTTACATTAAGATAGTGGTTACTTCAAGGGGCTGGAAGGAAATGGAATGGTGGAGAGGTTCAAAAGTTATATCTACTGTAATATTTGGGTCTGGGACAAATACTTTTATTTATTTGTTTATTTTGAGATGGAGTCTTGCTCTGTTGCCTACAGGCTGGAGTGCAGTGGCAGGGTCTCAGCTTACTGCAACCTCCGCCTCCCAAGTTCAAGTGATCCTTCCACCTCACCCTCCCCAGTAGCTGGGATTACAGGAGCACATCACCAAGCCCAGCTGATTTCTTTGTATTTTTAGTAGAAATGGGGTTTCACCATTTCGGCCAGACTGGTCTCGAACTTCTGACCTGAAGTGATCTGCCTGCCTCGGCCTCCCAAAGTGCTGGGATTACAGGCATGAGCCACTGCACCCGGCCTGGGACAAATACTTTAAAATATTGATTTGTTAATTTGTGTGGTATGTCCTTGGTTTTATTAAACTATTCTCTGTGCTTTTTTCTTTCATTGAAAGTAACAATAAATTTAAACTGCCTTATGAAAAACATTTTAGAGATCTACTATAGATTTTTTTTAAGTTTTTACTTTTTAAAAGAATTCACTTCTTATGTTTACACAAATGTGTACATGAATTTTCATAGCATCATTATTCATAATAGCCAAAAAGTGTAATCAACCCAAATGTCCATCAACTAGAATGGATAAACAACTTGTATGGTGCCTATAAAATGGAATAAGGCCAGGCAGCGTGGCTCACGCCTGTAATCCCAGCACTTTGGGAGGCCGAGGCAGGCAGATTACCTGAGGTCAGGAGTTCGAGACCAGCCTGGCCAACATGGTGAAACCTCGTCTCTACTAAAAATTAGCTGGGCATGTGGTGGGCACCTGTAATCCCAGCTACTCGGGAGACTGAGGCAGGAGAATCGTTTGAACCCTAGAGGCAGAGTTTGCAGTGAGCTGAAATCGAGCCATTGCACTCGAGCCTTGGCAACAAGAGTGAAACTCCGTCTCAAAAATAAAAAAAATAAAAATAAATAAAATGGAATATTATTCAGCCCTAAAAATAAGTGAAATGCTGATACATGCTACAAAATGGATAAGCCTTGAAAACATCATGCTAAAGAACATAAGATAGACACAGAAGAACACATATTATATATGATTCCTTTATATGAAATGTACAGAATAGACAAATCCACATAGAAAGTAGATTAGTAGTTGTCAAGAGCTGGGGAGAGTAAGGAATAGGGAGTGACTACTAGTGAGTTTGTGGTTTCTTTGGGTATGATGAAAATATTTTGAAATTAGTTAATGCTCATTGCTGCACATCTCTGTGGATATACTAAAAACCACTGAATTGTACACTTTTAATGGGTGACTTGTGTGGTATATGAATTATATCTCAATAAAATTTTTTAAAAGGATTCACTTATAGGAGCAGGGTTCCTTTAATTAACAGTTCTCTTAGTACTTTGCTTTCGTGTTTGTTTTTGTTTTTGAGACAGAGTCTCGCTGTGTTGCCCAGCCTGAAGTGCAGTCGGTGGTGTGATCTCGGCTCACTGCAACCTCTGCCTCCTGGGTTCAAGCAATTTTCCTGCCTCAGCCTCCCAAGGAGCTGGGACTGCAAGCACCCAGCACCATGCCCAGCTAATTTTTTTTGTATTTTTAGTAGAGACGGGGTTTCACTATGTTGGCCAGGCTGGTCTGGAACTCCTGACCTCATGATCCACCCACCTTAGCCTCCCAAAGTGCTGGGATTACAGGCGTGAGCCACTGCACCCTGCCTCTCTTAGTACTTTGAAAGACTGAGTACAAAAAGAGCATCTATATGCACAGATAAGATCAAAATATTAGGGATTGTTACCTCTCAGTGGTTGGATTAAGGGCAATCTTTTGGTCTTTTTGAAAAATTATTTTTCTGTATTTTGTAAATGTTCTACAATAAATATTCTAATTTTACAATAATTTTTAAAAGAATTGTGTTCAAGATATTAATTGCTTAAGTGGAATGCACAGAAATTTAGTTTTTTTTTTTTAATTTTTATCATTTTATTTTTCCATAAGTTATTGGGGTACAGGTGATATGTGGTTACATGAGTAAGTTCTTCAGTGGTGATTTGTGAGATTTTGGCACACCCATCACCTGAGCAGTATACACTGCACTCTATTAGTAGCCTTTTATCCCTCGCCCCCCTACCACTCTTCACCCCAAGTCCCCTAAGTCCATTGTATCATTCTTATGCCTTTGTGTCTTCATAGCTTAGCTCCCACATATTAGTGAGAATACATGATGTTTGGTTTTCCATTCCTGAGTTACTTCACTTAGAATAATAGTCTCCAATCTCATCCAGGTCACTGCACATGCTGTTAATTCATTCCTTTTTATGGCTCAGTAGTATTCCATCGTATATATATCTACCACAGTTTCTTTATCCGCCCATTGACTGATAGGCATTTGGGTTGGTTCCATGATTTTGCACTTGTGAATTGTGCTGCAATAAACATGCATGGTGCACAGAAATTTAGAGCTAAAAGTAACAATAAGTGCTAAAATTTACTGGGTGCTTACTTTGTGCCAAGTACTGTGCATTGTTGTGCATTGCCCACAAAGACGAGGACAAATCTCATTTTAAAAACATCGATTATGGGGCTCAGAAACATTAAGAAACTTGCCCAAGAGAATATAGCTAGGAAAAAGTACAGTTAAATTCCATCTTGGGCTAGCTGCCTCAAAAGCCATACTTCTTACTGCCACACTATCATGCCTCAAAAGACTGAAGCTCAGGCAAAAATGAGGCCATTCCAAACTTGGGAGCCCAGAGAAAAATGGGTGTTTGTTAATTGAACAACAACAAAATCCCCAAATCATTTACATGTATCTTTCCAGAAACACACCTGTTGTTTACTTTGTCATATTTGCTCATAACCTTTTTGCAACTCTTTCTCTAGAGTTAAGTTAAAAAGAGAAAGATCTTGACATTTCTTTTCGCATACAATTAAGCAATCACTGGGATACATAAAGGCTAATTCTAGTCTGGGATAACAAGGAAGTGTACAAGGTTATTTAACTACAAAGGCATCAGAATTCTCAGCCTGCTACATGTGCCCAACACAAAGAAAAGTGGGTATTTGATTGCTCTCCAGTTTCTCTGTCTAGGGATTCAGCCAAATGGAATCATCCAGACTCAAAACATACTTTGGGGCCTGAATTTCCTATTTCAGCTGTCTCCACTAATCAAATGAGCCAGGTAGGGGAGATGCACAGCTCACATGCTCCATCCATCAATGTCCCAGGCTGAATTTTGGGATTTGAAACTCTAATTCAGAGGAAGGAGGAAGATTGGCCAGAGGGAGGGCAACAGCATGTTCTGTTGTAACACATGGAGATTTGTCTATATATTTATGCCCAGGAAGGAGATAGAGAATGAAGAGGCAGGTAGAAATTATAGCCAAAGAATGGGTGTTGCTGCCAAGAAAAGCTACACTGGAGGAAATCTTGGTTTAAATGTTTATTATTCAAGGCCCAACTGCATAAGATCTTGCATGCAGCTTAACACTCCGGTACTTGAATCTCCTTGGGGATGTGGTGAACGTCCAGTCTCTATTCCCTCTTCCGGCACCTCAGTTTTCCTTGGGACATATCCACTCCCCCTCTTCGTGGGGCTGTCAATTAAGACATCCTTCTTTTCCCTAGACAAAGGTTAGTTTGTGACCCAAGCAGGCTGCAGCCTGAGAGTGCTACCTTCAAGAGAGAGTTCTTAGCAGTTCCTGCCACACAGGTGCCCAAAACTGCTTTGGTTCCTGTCCTTTCTGGTAATTTAGTTTCATGTGTTTGTTTGTGTGAGCTCTCTCATAGCCTTTGGATAAATCCTTTTTTTTGGGGGGGGGGTTTGTTTTTGTTTAGCCAGTCAGTTTCCTATCACCTAGCTGATGAGTCCCCCTCCTATATTTTATGTTGCTGTGTTTCCATTTCATGATGTTTCAGTGGTTAAAGAGAAACTTGAATTTAGAAACTGTTCTGAGGATAGCCACAAAAACAACTAGTGGGTAGTAGATTTTTGGAGCCTACTTAAGGAAATATAATTTTTTCCAAGAAAGGAAATTTGAGATGAGTTAGTATAACTGTCTTTGGCTGAGTTGGTGCTCTCAAATAACATGGAATGTTGAGGAAATTATCATGGAAATTCGGCTGGGTGCAGTGGCTTATGCCTATGATCCCAGCACTCTGAGAGGCCAAGGTGGGCAGATTGCTTGAGCCCAGGAGCTTGAGACCAGCCTGGGCAACATGGCGAGACCCTGTCCCTAATTTTAAAAAATAAATGGGAATTATCTTGGAAATTTGGAAATTCACATGAAAATGTTTTCTCTGAGATATTTTGACACCTGGGATCAATGTGTCTTTTAAGAGAGAATTTGTGTGAAGATTTGGGCCCAATTCTTTTCTAATTCCCCTTCGCATATAGATATAATGAGCTTCTTCAAATAATTGTTTACATTTGTTGTCTAGAATTTTCATCTCCTAGTTACTTCTTAATTCACTGCAGTCTGGTTTCTGCCTTCTCAGCTGCCATAGTTAAATCCAGTGGGCCCTTTCCAGGCGCTATTGTTTGGCCTTTTGGCAATATTTCACGTTGTTGACCATTTCTTTCTTCTCAAACACTTTCTTCCTTTGACTTCCATGACTTCACATTCTCCTGATTTTTCCCTCCTACTTCTTTGGCTGATTTCCTCTCAGCTTCTTTTGGAGGTTCCTTCTTCTGCCCATCCTTTAAATGTTGGCATTTTTCAGCGCTTTGACTTAAGTCTTCCCTTCTCCATACCCAACACAGATGATGGCTTGTTTCATTCCCATGGTTTCAATTACCATATATTTGCAAATAATTCTTAATGTGCCTCTCCCCACACCTCTCTCTCTCCTTCCTAAGTTCCAGATCCTGTGTATAGCTGCTCTTTGAAATACACTTTTGGATATGTCACAGATCACCTGAATCCCAACATTTCCAACATTTATTCTTCCATGTACCATATTTCAGTAAATGGTATCATGAGCCACTCAGTTTTCAAAGTCAGAAACTGGAGCATCCTCTTTGACTCTTCCCTTTCTTTGACTCTCCCCTTTCTTTGACTCTCCAAAGCCAATAAATCACTCAAGACCTGTCAATTCAACCACCTAAAACATCTTGTGAGTCCATTCATTTCTCTCCAGCTCCACTGCCATATGCCTAGTCTAGGCCACCATTGTCTCTCACCCCCATGACTGCAACAGTCTTCCAGTGAGTTTTGCTGTCCCTAGAGGTGTTTTCCTCCAACTTTTTATCCACATCAAGCTGCCAGAGTGAACTTTTCAAGGCACAAATTAATGATGTCTGTTTAAACCTAACAATGCTGCCCCTAAGATGAAGCCCACATTATTGATATAATGGCTAACCTTCCAACACGCTCTTGCCAGCCTCTCCAGCCCCATCTCCATCTGTTTTCTCTTGCCTCTCTGTGCTCTAGGCACCATGAACTCTCAAATAGTGCTCTCTGTCTCCACCAGGCTCTCACACATGTTCTTACTGCCTGGAACACTTTCATCCTTCCTTCTTTCCACCTAACTCCTTCTAAACTTCTGCATCCCTTTCTCCTGGAATCCTTCCATGAGTTTTCCCTCCTTCCTTCTTCTCCTCAAATGGGTTAGGTGCCTCTGTTATGTGTTCACGTAAGACTCTCTTTCTCCCCAATCATATCCCTTGTTATAGCACATTGAAATCATCTGTATTTAGCCACATGACTATGAAATTGGGGGAGATCAGGGACCATGGTTTCTCACCATTGTATACCTAGTGTCTAGCTGATAGTAATCATTCTGCATTTGTTGAATGAACTAAAATTAATTACATAAAAGAATAGTTGCTCCTTATCACTACTAAGAATGCAAGAAGAGGAAATAATTAAATAGAAGCATGGGAAGTTTGATTAAGCTATTTGAAAAATATTTCTGTAAGTTTGAGCTAATAAACGCTAGTCTTGCTCTTCTGGGGAATGATGTCATCTCCTCAGGAGACATAAAAATACAACAACAGCAAGAGTCTTAGCTGCTTAGCAAAGCAGCTAGAAGAGAAGACTAGATGACATCTCCAGACCTGCATTGATTCTATGAATTCATGAAAAGCTTGCCAAATTTGGGATCTGGCTGATTCAACAAAGTGCTTTTAATCTACTTCTATGTGATAAGATTATATGCACATTATAAAAATGTGCATTATTAAAAGATGAATAGCTTAAATTCTGAGAGGAATTATTATAATTTTCCTTTACATATATCTTGGACTACTATGTTTCCTGTTTTCACTTCATCATACTCAATGAAAATCATCTACCTACTCTGAACTTGTATCCCTGCAGCTGAATGTGCTGGAGAAAATCCCACAACCACATTGGCAGGTCTTACCTTAAAAGGATGGCTTTGAAGCTCAAGTGTCTCCTTATGCTGCCAAGCAACCTCTTATTTGCCCTGGTTTCATTCACTCTCCTATAGCTGAGGCAACTATTTTACACATTTTTCTCTCCAAGTCTCCAACGTCTTCTCTGCAATCCTCATTTTTAACTGGTGAGTCAGTTTTATACTTCATCAAAAAAGCCGAAGCAATCAGCAACCAAACCTAAACCTCTCATTTTCCTCCACCTACTCTGCCTTCCTGTTATTGTTGATGAACTTTCCATACACTATCTAAGCTGATTCCTTTCCTTTTGAACTAAATCCTTTTCTTTCTCACCTACTTCAAGACATAACTCCAGCAAATCTGTCCTTTCTCCCCATATAATCAATTTTTTACTCTCTACAACACATTTTTTGCTCTGTTGTTCCTACCTTACAAAAACCTTCACTTGACTCCATTCTCCCTGCCAGCTGCTACCCTAATCCTTTGCTTCCCCTTTCATCAAAACTTCTCAAGAGTTGTCTGTGCTTCCTGTCTTCAATTTATCTTCTGTCAGTTTTCTCTTTTTAAAAAAATTTTGTTTTCAAAAAATAGAGATCAGGTCTTGCTCTGTCGCCCAGTCTGGTCTTGAACTCCTGGGCTCAGTAATCCTCCTGCCTCGGCTTCCCAAAGTGTTGGGATTACAGGTGTGCGCCACCGCATCCAGTCTCTCAATCTCTCTTGAACCCAATTCAGTCAAGTTCCTTCCAAACTGCTCTCATCCTGTTTACTGATAACCTCCACTTGGCTAAAGCCAATGGTTAATAATCAGTCCTCATCATTCTAAACCCATAAGCAGCATTTGACCAATGGATGCCTCCTTTCTCTTTGGTAAACTTTTTCATTTTGTTTTCAGGATAACACATTCTCTTTATTTTCTTCTGTCTCACTGCTTAATCCTTCACAGTCTCCTTCTCTGGTTCCTCCTCTTCTCTCCAAGCTCTTAACTGCAGTGTCCTGGGCTCAGTCCCTGCACCTCTTCTCCATCTACACACACTTTATTGGTCATCTCATCATGCCCCATCTCAATTCTGTTGACTCACACATCTTCATTTCCAGTCTTCATCTCCCTCCTGAATTTAAGACTTATATATCCAACTGCTGATTCAACATCTCCATTTGGGTGTCTAATAGACACTTGAGACTTAATGGGTCCAAGGCTGAACTCCCAGTCATCCTCACTAAACCTGCCCTAGCCCAGCCATCCTTTCCCATCTCACTGTATTGTAATTCCATCCTTCTAGTTGCTGAGGCCAAAACCCGTAGTGTTATTCTTCACTCCAATTCATCAGCAAATCCTGTTAGCTCTGTCTTCAAAATATATCTGCCCACTTCTTACACCTCCACGGTTACCACCCTAATCCAGGATATTGTCATTTCTTACAATAGCCACCTAACAAATAGGTTCCCTTGCTTCTACCCTTGCCCCTCTTTGTTCTGTTCTCAACAGAGCAGCTAATAGAAGTCAGAGTATGTCTCAAAATCATTGCTCAGAACCATTCCCTCAGGGTAAACACTGAAGTCTTTGCAGTGGCCCACAAGGCCCTGCGTGGACTGGATTCTTGCCCACTCTCTGACTTCATCTTCTACTCCTCTTCCCTGCTCATGGCATTCAAGACACTGGCTTCCCTGATGTTATGTGAACATGCCAGGCCACTGTGCCTTAGGATCTTTGCTGTGGCTCTTCCTTCTGCCTGGAATGCTCTTCCCACAGGCATCTATTTGCCTATCTCTGTCACTTCCCTTAAATCTGTGCTCAAATCTCACCCCCTCCCCTTCTGAACATCCTCTATAACATTCCCCAGGCCCAGCACTCATACTTTTTACCCTGCTTACCTTTGTGTTTTTAAAAAAACAAAACATCACTTTCTAATTTACTTATCCTTTTTACAGTCTATTTTCTGACTGTTTGTGGATTTATATTCTACAAAAGCAGGGAATTTTGCTTTCAGATATAATTTTCCCAAGCCTCTAGAATGAATAGGATTTCTCATCTTTGACACTACTGACCTCTGGGCTGCATAACTCTTTGACATAGGAGGCTGTTCTGTGCATTGTAGGATGTTTAGCAGCATCCATGACCTCTAACCACTAGCTGCCAGTAGCACACCGCCTCCTAGTTGTGACAACCAAAACTGTCTCCAGACATTGCCCCATGTCCCCTGGGGGGCGCAAATAGTCCCCAGTTGAGAACAACTTTTCTAAAAGAGTGTCTGCCACTAGCAGACATTCAATAATTATTTGTTGAAGGAATGAAAAAAGAATGAGCAATTTTTAGGTACCTTTATTCTTCATGTATTCCCCCAGCATTCATCACTTACCACAGTCATCACCAGGAGCAGCTCTCAATCTAAAGAAGTGAAAGGCTAAATCTCAGGCATTCGTAGGATACAATGGCTCTCTCTATTATTGTTTTGTGAAAGACAACATGTAGGGGAGAAAGATATGATGGGAAGGGTAGTAAAATAAAATCAGGATAAAGACACTCTGAGAGGCATGCCACCTAGCAAGGTATTGCTTATGAGAATTGTGTGGATTTGCTCAATAAGATTTGTAGACCTTGAGACAATAAGCTTTCTTTCACACTGCTTCCTTTCTGTTTTACAGCCATTGTTCTTCCCCAACACACCTATGGATCAGTTTGAGGTTTCAACATTTGTTTATCTCCAAAGATAGTTGTAATAAAAATAACATTAATAATAAGAATGGTGTTTGTTGAACACTTACTGTGTCAGGCCCTAGGCAGTATCATTTAACTCATAACAACCTTTTGGGGCAGTTCCTACTGTTAGCACCCGTTCTACATATGAAGAAACGAAGGCTCAGAAAGGTTAAGTAATTTGTTCAAGGGAGCACAGCTAGTAAATGTCCAAGGCAGCACAGCTAGGATTGAGAATGAGCTAGAATGACATAGTAATGAGTATATAATATATATAATATTACTCATATATAACAGGTATAGCATAAGTAATATAGTGACAATCACAAGACTTGTGCAGAAGCCAGTCTCATTAATTAATAGCCACGTATGCCATCTGAGGCTATCACTTCTTTTCCACGGTCAGAAAATACATAGCACATTATTATAAAGACAATAATAATGGAAGACTTTTGCTGGTTCTTTGATTTGAATGCTCTTTTTTATTTTTAAACAAAAAGTACTCTATAGGAAAGAATGAAGCCATTAGTGCTGTTCAGTGAAAAGACTTAGTGGACTTTAGCATGATTTCACACATAAGGAAAGGCTGTCACTGCCAAAGAGTATTTTTCCTAAAGAATGTTTCCAGGGCCCAAGAGTCCTTTAAGCTAAAGTACTTATTTGTTGATTCATTGTTTTTTATGCTGAAAGGTACATCAGATACATGGTACAAAATGCAGAAGAAAGGAAATGATCTAGAGTGAAGAATAAGTGTCCCCTCCTCTGCTGCCTCCCAGCAACCCAGCTCCTCTTTCTAGAGGCAATTCTTGTCTCCAGTTCCACATGAGTCCTCGCAGGCCAGTGCTTAAAGAAGCATATAGAGGACTTCAGGGCTTCATCTGTAGAAAGCTTCCCTGTTTCCAGAGCATGTCCACATGCATTTTCTCATCTGAACTTCTCAGCAAACACCCCAAATGCATGAAAGAAATTTGTTGATAAACTCCATGCTTGTCCCCTTCATGTGATTCATCCAGGGTCCTAAGATGAGGACTGGCATTTAACCTCTGGAAAGTACGTGGAGCCCCTATTTTCATTCTCAATTGCATTGTTTAACAAGGTCTGACCTTTCTCTTGCAAGTTGCTGCAATCTCTTCACCCTTTTGCAAAAATCTGATCACAAAATGCCCCATGGGCATTAAGTCATAAAATCCAAATAAAATGGGTAAGACTTGACGATGTCGGCTTAAAAAAAAAAAAGTAGTGATCGTTGAATTTCCTTTCACATGCATGTTTCTCCCCTCCTTTGCTGGGCTCAGATGCCAGCTGTACGTTGCCATGGTCTGAAGAAGGACCTGTGGGTCTCCCCTGGCAGATGCTGCCACTGTTTTAGCCTGAGGGCCCTGCAGGCAGCCCCTGGCAACATTTTTAATTCAACATCAAACTGCAACTTGAAATTTGAAAAAGTGGGGGAAAAATGACAAGATGTCAATGTCTCAGAACCTAGCAAGTGGGGCTTGTAAATATACCCGATTTGGATTTCTTTGAGCTGGGGGAAGTTTCTCATTTTTTGTAGCCACTGGGAGTGACTGAACCCCATCAAAGAGACCTTAAAGGATGCTGAAAGAGCTCAAAGGGGATGCTATGTCTCAAGAAGAGAGCTCCAGACCTGGTCAGAGAGCCTTTTAAATAAGTCAGGTGGCAAGCTGGCCAGGACACATTCTTAAGTCAAAAAGGCAGATTGTAAAACAATAAAGGTCCCATCTTTTGGGGGAAAAAATATGTGTGTGAATGCACACCAAGAAGTTTGGAAGGCAATACTCTGTAATATTTAAAATCTCTTCTTATATCTTTATTGTCTGAACTTTTTGTTTACAAAGATCCTATATATTACTTTTAGAACGAGAAAAAAATACGGTTTGTATAAAATTTGAAAATAAAAAAGATAACAAAGCTGAGTTCCTATTCCCTCAGTACCCACAGGCTCCTGGAACAGAACGTAGCAAGTCCACCATTGCCCAGGCAGCTTGGCTGAGTGCTTAAATCTCCAGATACAGTTCCAGGGGCTTGTTCATCCAAAAAGGTACCTGGCACAACGTGAGCAGCAGTTCTGCCACAGCTCCCAACTTCCATCTGAGTAGAACTTCACAGCTACCCTTGCTTTCATCATTTCCTTTCACACCCACAGCACGTCTGGAAAGTATATGGAGCCACTCTTTTTAGTCTCAACTTGCAGATAAAGAAACTGGGTGTCAGAGAAATTTAAGAGGAAAGCAGTGCATTTGAATGGAAACCTTGTCTTCTTGAAGTCTACAGCGTTTACTGCCACATGCTTTAAGATGTGTATGCATTGGGGAACGATCTTGTGGATTCCTGACCATACACTGCTCATTCGGGTGGTGGTGAAAAAACTTTTCTCTAGAACCAGAAATGTAAACTTGGGACTCATTCAGGGCTGATGCATCTCAAGGTAATACTACATTATCACCCCTGAGAGTGACATTGCCAGATAAAGGCCTTGCTGTTCACTGAATGGTGCCATCTTACCTGGCCACCAAAGTTGATTTTGCAGGATTTTAAGGGGCTGAAATTCTGGCAGGGTCTGTTTCTTGTTCACCAACCTAGCTCTGGTGCCTAGCACAGTGCTTGAAGCATTGTGACTCTCTTTTTTGATGAACAAATGAGTTTGGATCAGAGGTTTAGGAGAGGGAGCATCTTCCTTCTCTTCTCTAAGCTCTGAGTCTGGTTCTCCCTATGGCTCACTTTTGATCCTCTCTGCTCATCTTCTACCACTGACAAAACCTGTCTGCTGATTAGAACTTTGACTCAGAAATAAGTGGAATGGATAATAGAGGTGAGGATTTGGGAGGAGTAGAAAAAAAAAAAGCATTCTAAGAAGAGAGTGGTGGGTAGTAAAATCTTATATATATATAAAAGAGCCCTTTGCTCCCCCATCCTCCTGAAAAGAAACGCAATTTCCCCTCATTTCTAGCTGCTCTGAGCACTAGCTATAAAAATAAAAAATGAGAAATAGAATCGGTTGTTGTCATTTCAAATACAAATGGGCATGTACATTCAGCCTTTATGGCTAGATAACTTCCACTTCCAGTGCTCGGTATTTATTGGCTTTGACTTATTGATAGAACATCCTGGGGCCTGAAGTCCTCCTTCCCACAGAGCAAAGACACCATCAGCAACCGCTTTCTCCTCTCAACCCATGAATAATAATGTGAATGATGATGACGGTGTTATTATTATCATTTGGTATTTAGCCAACGTCTTTCCCCGAAGTACTTAAAGCACTTTATAGGCATTGCCTTATTATTCCTCACAATACCTCCCTGGAGAGAGGGCAAGAACAGAGATTTGATTTCCATTTCACTGAGAGGAGAAGCAGAGACCCACAGCAATGAAAGGGCTGCCCCAAGGTCACCTGGAGAAACTGGGCTGAGGTTAGGACAAGAATCAAGGTCTCGTAATGGCTGTTTAAGGGCGCCTTCCCATCCACCACCAGGGAGGATGAGTCATTAGCTCATTCTCTGAGTTCTAAGTGTAATAAGACATTAAAAGGGAAAATTTGGCAGAGGTACCTTCTAAAGGGAGGTGCTGGAACAAAATACAAACATTTTCAAAGTAGGTACTGAGAAATCCCCCACCTATCTCAAGGGTGTAAAAGAGCCAGGAGTTGGCACTCAGAGGGTTTTTGAAGAAGATTTCTTCACCCCCAAGGAGAGGGGTGGCAGCTGCACTTTATCTCAAGCCTAAGGCAAATGACTTTAAGCAGATCTCTCAAAGAGCTTAAAATGAGTCCTTTGCTGTTTGTGGTATACGGTGGACAGGTGTGAGTTGTGTCTGAGAAATTTAAGGATGGGAAATGAGGTTGGCTAGAGTGGCCTCTGGCCCCTGACCAGCTGGCCGCGACTTGGAAAATAATTCCTCTCCTGGAGTTTGATGGAGTAAAGAATGCATGAGTGTTTCCCATGACCAAATATGGACCAAGCGCAAAAGAACGCCAGTATGGAGCCATCTTAGATGCTACCCAAGAGGACCACCTGAAGAGGCAACGGGACCTTGATAGACAGAAGCTGGAAGTGGAATCTGAGATGCCCGGGGGCTATGGGTGGAGCCACGAGCAATCAGCCAGAATAGGAATGCATTCATTCGTGTCAAGGAAACTGAAGCGAGCAATCTGCATTGATGGGGGCCTCCCAAGAACCCATGAAAGCCCCTGAAGAGAAACAGTCAGCTTCATGCTTCTGCCCTCTCTAGGGAGCACTTAGCACTACTACTGGGAGAACTCTACTGCTCCCTTACCCTGAGGAGTCAGGGATGGGGGTGGGGAATTAGAAGTACTTAAAGAAGCCTAGCACAACCCTTTCCCCAAATCCAGGCCTAAATGGGGGCAGGGAGGTGAACATAAGCCCTGTCTAAATTGTCATCCAGAAGCCAAACTCTCTCCACAGGGCAAATTTAAATGGATAGAGGAGGCAAGAATTAAACTGTACATTTATGAGACATGTTCATTCAACTTATACAAGTTTTCAGGGGGCTGGGTTGTGCCACGATACACTGAAATGTAAACCTGTGTTGCTCACTGTCTTTTATACCCAATTTTATCTGCTGTCACAATAGCAGCTACGTTTTTTGGTGGTTTTTTGTTTTTGTTTTTTTGAGACAGGGTCTCACTCTGTCACCCAGGCTGGAGTGCAGTGGCGCAATCACAGCTCACTGCAGCCTCGACCTCTCAGGCTCAAGCGATTCTCCCACCTCAGCCTCCTCAGTAGCTGGGTCTACAGGTGTGTGCACCACAGCCAGCTAATTTTTTAAATGTTTTCTAGAGATGGGGGTCTCCATATGTTGCCCAGGCTGGTCTCAAACCCCAGGGCTCAAGTGATGATTCTGCCTCAGCTTCCCAAAGTGTTGGGATTACAGGCATGAGCCACTGTGCCCTGCTCAGCTACAGTTTTTGAGCAATGACTATGTTGGGCACTGACAAAGCACTTCACATACACCATCTCATTTAATGCTCTCAGTTACCCTAAGAAGTAGCTATTTTCTCCAATTTTCTAGATGAAGAAACTGAGGCAGAGAGAGGAAAATAAATTGCCAGTAGGACACAACTAGTAAGTAAAGCTAGAATTAAACTCAGGTTTTCCCACCTCCAAAGCCTTGCTTCTAAGCCATGCTGTGTCCGCTGTTTCAGAATCACACAATCTGGTCTGTGCCCCCTTTAATGCCCAGTGCTCCTTCCAGTCACAACTCATATGTGATTTTTCTCTCCTCTTCATGTCTATCTCACAAAGTCTGATCAGCTCTAATTGAGTACCCTGAGCTCAGTACACTACCTTGGTATACAGGTGACAGTCAATAAGTAGCTATTGACTGGCTGATGACACTTACATAAAAATGTGAGCTTTGGAGTCACACCAATATCCACTACTTATTAGCTGTGCGGTCTTGAGTACATTACTTTACCCTTTCAGTCTGTTTCTTCATCTGTGAAATATGGGTTGATAACGTCTCCCCAGGAGGGCAGCTGGGTGGACTGAATAAGCCCACTATCACCCTGTATACCTTCAAGAATTATTTGTTGAATGCATCACTAAGTTGAATTATCTTTTATGTTGTTTCTTATTCATACACATAAAGCCTCATTTCCAATCAGATCCGGGGCTTCATAATGACATGGGTCAGCTCTTAGCCTCTGTACAAGCGTTAGCCAGGCAGTGCTGGATGGATACTAGCTACTGATTGACATTATCTTTGTCATGGAAGACTGCATGGTCTGAAGTCTCTCCTGTGGATGTAAAAAAGTATACAATCAGGGGGAAGTACATTATAGGGAAGTAAAGTAAGGGCACATGGCTAATATCAGTGCTTAATTAAGTTGTTTGATGATAGATAAAAAATATGTTATGAGCCAGTGCATACTTTAAGTGGTTTATATATCATCTCATTGAGTCGTCATGCTACCCTATAAAGTGGACTTTATTATTGCATCTTTTTTTTTTTTTTTGCTTGAGGAAATTGAGGCTTAGAGAGGTTAAGTAACTTAACCATGGTCACACAAGTGTTACAAGGATGGTGGTATTGAAATCCACTAACTATTACTGGGCCTAGGAAGTCTACCCTTGGTGATTCCCACTTCTTATCTCCTTTATACATAATTCTAGCTAGAGCTAACTTAGCATGATGTTAATTGTTTATATGTCTTTTCTTACCTATCATTTCGTAAGCATTTTTAGTACAGGGAACATGCCGTCATCTTTGTGTCTTTCCAGGGCCTTGCTCAGAGTGTGCACTCAATGAAGCCCTGTTAAATACACTGTTGGTCAGATCTACTCCCAAAATATGTATCGAGTCTGGTCACTTCTCTCTAGCTCCACTGCAGCTCCAGTGCAAACTGCTAACACCTTTTCCCTGGAGAACTGCAAACCAGCTTCCAACTGGTATCTTTGCTTCTATCCCCTTCCATTTTTGCATTGCAATAGGAGTGATATTTTTATATTATTTATAACAGGAATAATAATTTTAAAATATTAAACCAGTGTATCATTCTTTACCCCATAAAGGAGGTTCTCAAACAGCCAATCTGCCCCTGTAGCCTCTGTTAAGAGTGAACGGCGATGTTACTTCTGGAGGAGGGAAAAAGTGATGCAGGGAGTCCATACCAGAGGCTGAAGAATAGGGAAATCAACTTGTTTCACTCCAGGGACTGGGGTTAGAATTAGGGGACGTAGACGGTGAAGCATATGTGCCCCATCTCCCCTGTTAGGTAGATTAGTCAATCTTCTGATTTGGACTCTGAAAGGAGATTGCCTTGCAGTGTGCCATCCAGATAAATGTGGAACAGCCACATCAGCATAAAAGTGGTGGCATGGCAAGAGTAGGTAGAGTTAAATCACAAAACGTCTACCCTTGGCTCCCTTACAGCACGGAAAGTGTCCAGAAGTTCCCATGTGCTCAGAGGGATGTAGTGGAGCTATTTGGAAAACTTACTGATCATGGAAAGCTGTGGGTTGCAAGGCTGACCCTCAAGTCAAGGGTTGAATGACAGCCAAGGGCAGACTGCAGAGAGCTTTGCAGTACTGGCAAGAGCAAGGTTGTGGCAAGTTCATGGGGCTGGGGTGCTGGAGGTTGTGGAACACTACCAGGGCTAAACAGGCAGGCTCAATAGCTACAGCTTTCTGCAGTAGAGAAGCAATGAAAGAGTGATAGGGACAGGAGGCAGGGAAATTTGGGGCAGAAAAGGGTGAGTTCCTGGAAATGGCGCCATCCCAAGCTTGGAATTGCAGCCCAAGGGAGAACTTGCATCCTTGTTTTCCTGGTAGAATGTTGCTTTTCCCAAAATCAATAATGGCTCACCCTACCTCCAATCCTGTGCCCATAAAAACCCCAGGATCAGCCAGAAGCAGAGGAGGAGAAGCAGAGGGAGGAGAAGCATCCCTGTTTTCCTGCTTGAATGTTGCCTTTCCCAGAACCACTGATGGCTCACCCCACCTCCAATCCTTTGCCCATAAAAACCCCAGGATCAGCCAGAAGCAGAGGGAGAAGAAGCAGCAGAGGGAGGAGAAGCAGCCAGAAGCAGAAGGAAGAGAAGCAGAGACTATGGTTGGATGTTGGAGAGAAGTGGTCTGATTTCAGACGGATAGCTTGATGGTTTAGCTTTGGAGAGGAATCCGGCCCGACTTCAGGGGAAGATGACTTTCTTGCTCCGTCCCCTTTTCAACTCTGCATCCCACTGAGAGCCACTTTCATGGGCAATAAAATCCCCTGCATTTACCATCTTCAGTTCATTTGTGTGATCTCATTCCTCCTGGACACCAGACAAGAACTTGAGTGCCATGAGTACAGTGCAAAAGGCTGTCACACTGATCCTCCACTGAGCTGTTAACACTTAAGCCATCTGCAGACAGCAAAGCTAAAAGACCGCTGACTGTAACACTCCCTCTGGGTCTTCAGGGTTCACAGGCAGCCCCCTAGACACTGCTGCAGGGCCCCACACAAAGTTCACTCTGGCCAGCCCCCATAAGTGCTCACCCAGGCTCCTGCACCTGCTCACCTGTGTGTGCCCTCCCATGAGGGGTTGAACACAGCAGTTCAAGTCACCCCTGTCGGTGCCGAAGCAGCTGGCTAGTTCCAGTGCCCACACTCTAGTTCCCATCTGCGAAGGGGTCAGGGAAATATCCTGCTTCAGGAGGGCAAGGGCAGAGGCTAGACAGGACTCTGAGACCCCCACAAGGACCTACACATAGGTCTAAGGCCCTCCCCTGGCCACCACGAGCACTTGTGTGTAAGCTCCGCATATCCCAGGGGCCATCTTGGGGAGGAAATAGATGAAATCCTGGCATGTTCTGGAAAGGTGACTGTTTAGACCAGAAGAGACTGAGATATGAATCTTGAAAAGTCAAGTTTCTGTTTAAATTAGGAAATGCCTAAGACTGGATCCATGTGAGGAAGTCAAGAAACCACATTTTTTTTTTGCACATATGAATGTGGTTGAGTAAAATTTCAATCCAACTGTATAACATCCAGCTGACATCACTGCCCTGCTTAAAAGTCTTCTAAGGTTTCCAGTGACAGATGAATTAAATCTAAGCATCTTCCCACAGCCTATAAGGCTTAGCATTATCTGGGCCCAGCCAAATGCCCTCAACTCATCTCTGATCTTGCATCAGTCCTCAGAACATACAAACCTCTTTCCTAGGACCTGAATTTGCTGCCTGTACTCCCTGGAATCCTCTTCACCCTAGATTCTCACCACTGAATTTTCCTCTCTCTTCACTTCAGGTCCTAGCTTGAAAGTCACCTGCTCAGAGAAGCCTTCCTTGATGACCTAAAATAAATCTCTTTCCCCATCATCTGTTATCCTCCCCTGTGGTACTGTACTTCACAATGGTCACAATTTGGAATTATTTTGTGCTCATTCATTTACATGTTTACTGCCTATCCCCTTACTTAGACTCTAAACTCCAAGAGGATTGGTTTACTAATAAATATCTGTTGAAGGAAAGAAGAGGGGAAGAGAGGGAGGGAGGTAGGGGGTCTCATTAAGGGATGTCACTAGCATGAATGGAACTGCTTAATCATTCCAGCACAGAGCACCCATGCCCCAGATGCTGGCTGCTAGCGGCTCACATGCTTGTTCATTTATTGAAAGCACTATCCTTGGTTACAAAGAGCCTCTTGGTGGATGATGCCTGGGACATTTTACCCTACCCTGGGGCAGTGCATGGCATTTGGTTGACAGATGGGAGAGTGTAACAGCTCAGCCCCTTTAGCTGGGCAGGACAACCTCTGAGATGCAGCAGATGCTGCAGACCTCCCAGTGGGACCGGGTCTAGGCTAGACTATTCCTAAACCCCATCTTTGCCCAGCCCCTTCTGCCCCACACTGCTTCTCTCCTCATCCCCACCCCCTCACTATAGGTTTCTTCTCAGGGCTTTCCCTCAATTAATCATTTGCACAAGAATTCCATCTCAGCCTCTGAGTCTAGAGAACCTAAGACAAGCCCCTTTCATGGACAGTGTGCTGGGCATGGGAGATGGAGGAGGGCATCCAGAAAAGAAGAGAACAGGGCTGAAGCTAGGACAGGGACCACAACCATGTCGCCTTACTTTGCCCCATCCTTCCCACCCTGATTCTACTGTGCAGATGCCATGGATGTGCCACTTAGAATGCCATCAATTATTGAAGAAGTTCCAAAAGAAGGGAATGTAAGTGAAGATGAAAGATTCCAATGGAAGACAGACTGGTCCCACTGCTTGGGGAGGACCTAAGCTATCATGTCTGGGAAAAAAGCATTTTAGTTTCCTGCTGTGAGAAAGCTCCAAATGCTTTGGAGGCTGAAGAAGCTGCCCTGACAAAGACAGGAAAGCGCGGGCGGGGCTGATGGGTCTTTTTCATCTCCCCCCTTTGCTGATGAAGAGGCAGTGCTGTAAAATGACGGCAAGGCCTGAGATGGTAGCAACCCTCTTATCTCCCCTGTTGTTTTATTTTGGGGACGCGGAGGAGTGGGAAGCGAGTCTAGAAGGTGACAGCCTCCAGAATGGGAGGGGCCAGGGCTGAGGGAGTCTGGCCCTGGTCCTTGACTACCGCAGGGAAGGATGGAAATGTGTACGAGGCAGTCTGTGAGATGGCAGTCCCTTCTGAACCATCCTGTATTATGTCAGGCACTTGCAAGTGCAGGGAGAAGAAGAGCAAATGCAGATCAAGAGGAAAACCAAAGCTGAAATGCCATTAAAGGGCTATTTAAAGAAAGTGTTTTCATCGGAAGCAACTTTTCCCCCTTTCTTTTTTGAAGGCTTAACTGTCAAACAACAACTCCAAATACCTTTAACGGACTTACAGTGATTCAGTCACCACACTAGGCATTGAAATAAATCCCAGCCCTCAACTCAGAAATGCTCAGCACTGGTTTTAAACCAGTCGGGGAATCCAGTTATATCCAAGATGTGGCCCTCCCACCACATCTGTGGGTGAAAGTCCAGGTTTGCAGTTCAGGTTTGATAGGGATGCAGGGTAAGTGATAAGCTCCGTGAGAGCTGGGAGCTTGGTCTGTCTCGTTCCCCATGGTACTCCCACTGTGGGGAGCAGCACCTGGCAGCACCTCAAGGGGCTCAGTAGATGTCGGTGGAATTAAGGAATATTTCAGCCAAGATTAAATGCATGACTTTGGACTCAAATTTATAACCCAATTCCTTTTCTCACTAGCAAGGTTTCTTGGGTAAGTTTTTTTTTTTTTTTTTGGAGAGGGGGACAGAGTCTCACTCTGTCACCCAGGCTGGAGTGTAATGGCATGATCATCTCAGCTCACTGCAACCTCCGCCTCCTGGGTTCAAGCAATTCTTATGCCTCACCCTCCCAAGTAGCTGGGATTATAGGTGTGTGCCACCATGCCCAGCTAATTTTTGTATTTTTAGTAGAGATGGGGGTTTCACCATATTGGCCAGGCTGGTCTCGAACCCCTGACCTCAGGTGATCTGCCTGCCTCGGCCTTTCAAAGATTTCTTGATCTTTCTGAGTTTCAGTTTACTCATCTATAAAGTGAGGGGAAAAATAGTATCTGCCTTCTAGGTTTGTGGTGAGTCTTGAACAAGCTCTGATGTCCATAGCACAGAGTAAGCACTGCCAAATGGCAGTTGCTCTTATGGTTAAGCCTTGTATATTTCTTATGACAAATGAACACTAAAAACAGAATTCTACAGGAATAAAAACTGAGTTCCAGGAACTAAAACAGAGCAGTGAAATCCCAATTTTCCTGACCAATCATTGAAAAAGTGCCCCCCTCCCCCCCAAAAAAGACCATTCTCAGTTGTCAAGAAACCTAAAGTAGCAATTTCGAAATAAAGGAAGCAGTAATGTGTTACAAAATCCACTGTGTCTATTCACATCTATTTCAAAAGATGAAAATTAAATGATCATAAAAAGGTCTTCAAGAAATACCATTAAGGGAAGAAAGCAAGTTATGTAATTATGTATTGTGTGAATTACATCTAATTCAAATCCAAATTTAATATAAGTATATTCATTTATAATAAAAACCTAATGCTGATTTAAAAGCATCCTACTCAGCTTTGATTCTGAAGTGAAATACTTATTCCCTCACACAGATTTGATGTGATATGTCTAAGAGAGTCTATGAATATTCATAGCCAGCATATGAACTACATGTCCACATACATATAGTAATACACTTCTTACCCAAGCTGAAAGATGCACCCTTTTTCCTCTGGAAAGAAAATAATTACAGCATAGTTGAAAATGGAAAAGCCAACAGTCCCTTAAATAAAAGTTGCAGCATCCAGAGGGGCTGCCAGTCTAATAAATTGTTTGTTTAATGGGTTTGGGATGATGAGGTTGACAAGCCAACATGAAGCTTAAAAAGGAAATCTGCCAAGGTGGCCAGTATGCCTGGGGCTCAGGCTGCCTCTGGTGCCCCCACCAGGCACATTGAAATGCTCAGAAGCCCCACATGCTCTGCTGGAAGCAAAGGCACAATTCGCTGACTGGTGTCAGTCAGAGATCTTGCCTAGCCCCATTCAACCGCAGGCAATCCTGATCTTGGGGCTCAGGAGGTTCTTCTCCACTTAATGCTGCATCTGGCTGCTCCATCTCTCAGAGGATCGCCAGGGGAAGACGTCTCAGATAATAGTTTGGGGTCCTGAGCAAGGGCATGCCCATACACAGGTGCCCTACCTTGTGCTTACTAGGTGTGGTCTTCAAAATAATTTGTGTGTCAAAGAAGATTCTTCTAAGTTGCCTATTGTTTTCCACACACAGGGGAAGATAGTGTGAGAGAATCCAATAGCAAATTCTGTTGTACAATAAGGAATGATTTTGGCCATCCTGGGCAACAATGATAGTCCCTGTCTCTATACAAAATTTAAAAAATTAGCTGGGCCACAGTGGTGCACACCTGTAGTTCCAGTTACTGGGAAGAATTATTTGAGCCCAGTAGTTCAAGCTGCAGCAAGCCATGATTGTGCCACTGCACTCCTGCTGGGCGGCAGAGTAAGAACCATCTGAAAAAAACCTTTTTTTTTTAAAGGAACGCTGCTGGGCACGGTGGCTCATGTCTGCAATCCCAGCACTTTCGGAGGCCGAGGCGGGTGGATCACCTGAAGTCAGGACTTCGAGACCAGCCTGGCCAACATGGCAAAACCCCGTTTCTACTAAAAATACAAAAATTAGCTGGGCATGTTGGCAGGCACCTGTAATCCCAGCTTCTTGGGAGTCTGAGACAAGAGAATTGCTTGAACCTGGGAGGCAGAGGTTGCACTGAGCCGAGATCACGCCATTGCACTCCAGCCTGGGCAAGAAGAGCGAAACTCCGTCTCTAAATACATACATACATACATACATACATACATAGTTCTGGAATTCTACTTTCTCTTTTATAATTTGGGAGTGGGATCTGGAATTGGAGTCTGGCACATGGTGAGCACTCAGCAAACACTGGGGAGTGGCATAGCAGTGCAGTGCATGGGCTCTGGAGTCATACAGCCTTCATTTGAGTTCAGGTTCTACCACTGAGCTGGGTAGGGTTGTTTGTCCCTGCTAAGCCTCTGAATAGAGGAATGTGGGGATAATTCTTCTAGCTCCCTGTAAAGGAGTTGAAAGAATGAAATGAGCATGGGCCTAGTGGCACAGGCAGCACTCACTAAATGTTTTGGTTGATCCTCCTTGAACTGGGAGACACACTCATTGGAACCTCCTCAGACAAGGCTGGGACAAAGATAGGATTGAAGAGGAGGGGGACCTCCAGGCAGATCTGACTACTCCTTTGCTAACTCCACTGCCTTTGCTTGAGTCTCTATGCTCTTATTGCACTCTCCCCTTGTTTGCATGGCTATTTTCCCATACAGACTGCAGGTCCCTAAGGGTCTTATTAGATGCTGTATCCCTAGGATCCTGCCCAGTGCCTGGCATACACTAAGTATGGAACTGACTTAGTTCAAAGCACAGTTTTAAATATCTCCAGGTGTGGCTTTGGGCATCATGAAAAGAGAAAAAGAAGACCCCATAAGTTAGGATTCTTTTTTTTTTCTTTTTTTATTTTGCCACAGAGTCTTGCGCTGTCACCCAGGCTAGAGTGCAGTGGCATGATCTCAGCTCACTGCAACCTCCGCCTCCTGGGTTCAAGCGATTCTCCTGCCTCAGCCTCCCAAGTAGCTGGGATTACAGGTGCCCGCCACCGCACCCGGCTAATTTTTGTATTTTTTAGAAGACACAGGGTTTCACCATGTTGGCCAGGCTGGTCTTGAACTCCTGACCTTGTGATCCACCCACCTAGGCCTCCAAAAGTGCTGGGATTACAGGTGTGAGTCACCGTGCCTGGCCAGTATTCTTTTACTTGTAAGTACAATAAACACAATATAAATGGGCTTCAACACAGATAACTGAAAAGTCCAGGAGTAGTGTTGACTCAAATGATGCCATCAGAACTTGATTTCTCTCCCTCTGTCTCTTGGCATTGCTTTTACTGGTTGGCTCCATTTCAAACAGGCTTTTTGCCTCTAGCTAGCAAAATTACTGCATAGCTGTAGACCTAACATCTTCCCAATTTCCAATCTAACAGGGAAAAAAAAACACATGAGATTTTGTCCCAGAAAAAGGCTCACTGCAACTTTAGTGTGGTCATGTGTCAATTTCTGAGACAATCACGATGTCATGTGTTGATTGAG
This sequence comes from Homo sapiens, assembly GCF_000001405.40. NCBI lineage: Eukaryota > Metazoa > Chordata > Mammalia > Primates > Hominidae > Homo > Homo sapiens. The sequence continues at coordinate 146,405,366 of NC_000005.10, forward strand.
TTGTATACTTTTCCACTGAATGAAGGTGAGAGCCACTCCCCTTTAATAATAAATTGAGATTAGATTGGGGTGAGCCCTCAAGGTTAGTACTTATTTTAAAATGTACTAGGGATTTTGTTTTTACCCTGTTATGGTGTGGGGCCAGCAGATCAGGGGGCAATTGCCATTGTCAAGAGTTTTGTTATTCATAGTTCCCAAGAGGAGGGACCATGTTGCATGCCATGTCATGCAGGACCACATGGGGAAGCACCAGGGTTGGGCAGGAGGTGGGAGTGAGGGGAAAGCTCATGTGAAACCTTTAGCCTTGGGTTTTAAGAGAAAGAATGGGCAAGGTAGTGTAAGCAGTTGGGCAGAATTAGGATTGCATGGTTTGAATCATTTGGGTGGCCTCTGGGTGAAAGGATAGTCCCTTGTTGCCTAGTACCTGGCCCTTGGGTGATTTAGGGCACAGGGATAGTGTCCTGGACTGCAAGAGCCTAATAAAAGGTGGTGGGTGGGGATTGGTTGGTTTGCGTATCACAGGGGTGCTCCAAGGCAAGTTTGCTGTCTCTAGGAATTAGCTACCCCCGGCATGGGCAGTCCCTCTCCAGGTCCACCAGACCCCAAGATGTTGAAGCATCATAAAACACAGAAAATAAAAAATATGATTAATACAGTGCTGGGTGGCAAAAAACAACGGATATCTATTACAAAGACTAAGGTCTAGTATTAGTATAAAGAAGCAATCTCATTCATTTAGCCATTCACTAGTTCATTCACTCATTCATTTTTTCATTCAACATTTTTTTAGGAGTGCATCATTCACCATTTATTAAAAATCTCCCATGTGCTAGACACTGAAGTAGGTGCAAGGAACGTAGAAGTGAACAAGCCAGACCTGGTTCCTGCTAATTAGAGCCATCAATCAAATAATTATACATATATATATCTCTATCTATCTACCTACCTATCTATCTATCGATGTTTTTTTTCTGTTGCCCCAGCTAGAGTGCAGTGGCATGAACATAGCTCACTGCAGCCTCAACCTCCAAGGTTCAAGTGATCCTCCTGCCTCAGCCTTCTGAATAGCTGGGACCACAGGCGCACACCACCACATCCAACTGATTTTTAAATTTTTTGTGGAGACTGGGTCTTGCTATGTTGCCCAGGCTGGTCTCCAACTCCTGGACTCAAGCTGTCCTCCCACCTTGGCCTCCCAAAGTGTTGGGATTACAGGAGTAAGCCACTGCACCCGGCCTAATAATTATAATTCTCAAGGACCTATTCCAAATGATGCGGGATCCAGTAATTCATTTTTAAAGGCTTTAGTTCATCTACTTGTTTTAGGCTATAGTGATTGTTGGGCCTGTCAGTATATTCTGGGCCTTTGGAGAAAAGATCTGATGCTCATAAATAAAAATGCTCCACAAATGAGGATGATTTTTTCATGACTTGTATGGCATTTTAGAGATTACAAGGTGCTTTAAGTATTCTCATTTACTCTTCACAATTCTTGTTAGATATAGATTATTATCATCTCATTTTACTGCTGGAGAAGCTGAGGCTTTAAGAAGTGAAGTGACTTGCCCAAAGATTTACTATCAGCAGGGGCCAAGCAGGGCTCAAAACCAAGTCCAGTTCTTTTTCCACTTTATTAGTATTTTCAATTGTGGGACCCCTGCCAGTGGCTCACAGAGCATCAAAATAGTGACCTCAATTAGTGAGAAATGTATCTCTATTTCATATCTCCCTCAATCATTTCAGCTCTGTCAAGGGCAAAGTCTCATATTTGTGCTAATATATCTTTAACACTTTTTCACTTGCTACCCTGTCTCTCTTTCTCTCCTTAGAAATCAAGAAAGCACAGGACTCTGGCTCAGAACTGTTGGCAGGCACAACTGAGAAGCTAGAATCTAATATCATTGTTTTGCTTTATTTATGACAAGCAATATTGGTTTTCCATTTATGGTAGAGATATTAAGTTTCCCTTTGAAATAAATGTATTTTTGAAGTTAAAACAGTGTTGATTGAAAACAAATACTAAATAAATAATAAGTAGCTTGTGGGTATGTGCAAGTCATGAAAACGGTACCCAAATTACTGCAATCTGGGAACACCTCATAGACCAAGCAAGTAGGAAGAGGCTCCTGGAAGGGAAAATGCAGATTCCTCTCCTTTCCTGTCTAGGGAGGAAAAAGGACTGGTTTAGGCCCTGCTCCAAATAAAAGACATGGTCACAATCCTCTAAGATGGTGCTTTTCAGGCCAAGGCCCAGAGACTGATGCCAATCCAAAGTGATATTTTCAAATCATTTGTGAGAAGAAAAAATAAGGACCGTGTATATGTCAGTGTAAGAAGGCCAACTATTCTTTCTTAGGTAAGAAGGTATTTTATTCTGAAACTCTCTTATTATTCATTTATTTTTGTATGAGTGCAAGTGTGTTATAATGCCCATTCTTTAGTAATTGGTTTATGATAATAGATGGCCATTGCTGATTGTGATTGTTCCAATAGCTTTACTTGGAAAAACAAATAGCTAGTGACCTTATCCTACCAAACCCCCCTCCTCCCTATTTTTTTCTATCAGTGAACTTCTGTTCTAGGAGACTTCAATTGCAGGAAACAGCTTGCCTTCTATTGCTAGAGGAAAAAGATATTGATAGGCCCAGCCTTATAACTGTGGTTACTAGCAATGCAAAACAGCAAGCCATAAATCCTTATTGAACTCAGGCACTGCTGTTTGCCATTGAAGAGATCTTTCTTTTCTCTCCAGTGTAACTAAATAAAGATGGGAGACCAGAGAAATAAGATAGCTGTTAAATTAAAGAGGAAAAACGTTCAAGTTTCAAGGAGGCTGTTACAAAAACAAATAAGCATATAAACCAACCAACCCCCAAACTCCTAGACCAATATCTATCTCTCAGTGACCTTGGACCATCTTAGCTGAGATGAGCAAACTGACAGCCCATTAAGAATGCCAGCCCCACTCCTCTTATTCTCTGATGATGGAAATGTAAACTGGTATATCAGGCTAACTCTTTGACCTAGCAATTCCTTTTTCACTAATTTGTCAGAGAAAATATCATAGTTGGGCACAAATAATTATTTGGTTATAAGGATCTCCATTAAAATAATCATTTACTGCATAGAAAAGCTAGACACAAATATCGAATGGCAAGGGGTTGGCCAGGTAAATCATAGCACATTGATACACTGGAATACTGTGTAAATATATGAAAATATATTGTAGAAAAATACTCAATATTATGCAAAATGGTAAGAACGTATTGTTAAATGAGACAAGTATAAAAAAGCAAAAGAATAAAATACATACAGAATATTGGATACAGTATGATTTAATTTTTATTTAAAAGATGTTGGATGGAGGATGGGAGGAGGGAGATGATAAGGAAAAATAACTAATGGATACTAGGTTTATTACCTGGGTGATGGAATAATCTGTACAACAAACCTCTATGACACAAGTTTACCTATGTAATAAACCTTCACTTGTACCCCTGAACTTAAAATAAAAGGTTAAAAAAGTGAGTCTTTTATAAACAGCAAAAAATAAAAAATAAAATAAAAAAGGCATAATACACAATAGGTCTGGGTGGTAAAATTATAAGTGAGTTCCATTTCCCTCTTTTTGTGTAAGGCTTTTTTTATGTCTGCAATGAAAACATGCTACTTTTACTTTAAGAAAAAAAGAGATTCCCTTTAAATTGGCCCCATTTAACCTGATTAAAATGGGTCAGCAACCCTATGCATAAGCTTAAAAGTGTGTATTTGTGGACTTGCATTTTGCAGTGCTGACGTGCTTCCCCTAGAACCGAAGGGAGACACGAAACCTCTCTGCAAACTCTTTGTAGATTCCCATCTGTGACTTGATAAATATTTGATGCAGTGGCCAGTCAACATCCCTACATTAGTGAAACTTCTGCCCAGGAGCAACTGCACAGCTCTCAGCAATGAGATCGGAGTAAGTTAAAAAGAGTGTATTCATTAGCCACTTCAAAGGGTTTGTTTTTTTTCAGCTGGAAATTTTGCAGGCTGTATTATTGGCCCCGCTGTCTACCGCATGACGACCAAAAAACATACTACTGCAAGGAGGAGCCTGCTTCTTCCCTTAACAACATTTTCTTTCCTTTGTGTTCACAGCCCGGGAGGCAAACGCACCATGAATCACCCTCCTGTCGTCCCTTTGGTTAAACAGCTGTGAATGTCTTAAGTGAGTTTAGGATCTGCCTGGTAACTTTAATGCCAAAAACCTGGAGTCTGGTCCCCGTAGGTTGTGTAGTTTTGTACAATGGGGATGGGCCACTTGTCCTCTCTGCATCTTCAAAGACTATAATTGATAATTAAAAGTCAGCCTTTTGTCCCTAAATATCCTGAATTGACAAGTAGAATGAATGAACAACGTGTAGCAGGGCAGAGAAGGGCTCTGGTGAAACCAGCTGAAATTAATCCTGAAGCTAGCTACAGTGGTTTTCAGGAGGACCTGAGTAAACTCCTACTCATTTTTCAAATCTTGATTTAAATATCACCTCTTCCTAGAAGGCTACCAAGATCCAAGCCTGGTGCCCCTCCACTGAGCTTCCATAACTTCTGTACTTCTGTGAGAGCCTGTAAGCTGTACTCGAACTACCTGCTTGTTTATGTCTCTCCCCAGCAAACTATGAGTTTTGGGAAGACTGTCCTCTCCACCACTGCCAGGCATCTGGCACTTATAAAAGTGCTGAATAAATATTTATTGAATTGAGTACATTTTTCCTGAAACTCATGCTTCAGAAGAGTAACAAAATTTCAGGACTATAGGGCATCAAATTTGAAAGTTTCCTCTTTTCATTGATTGAAGCCCACTGTCCCTGTTCCCGACCCATAGCCGTCAAAGCAAGCAGCTGTCTAGTCTGCTTGCACATTTCTAATGACAGACAGTTTACCTCCCTTTAAAACAGTCAAAGGTAGACTTTGAAATGACTAAGAAAGTTGAGTAAAATAAAAGACCAACAGGACAGGTCCTCTACCAAACTGGGAAGCAGGTAACCCAGGCGCCTTGTCACTTCTAGTTCCTCCCCTCTCATCATTATTGCAACTTCTTGAGGCCTTTATTCTCTTCCCCATTTTCTGCTGGGCCTTGCTCTCAGCTGAGGGTTAAGGAAACTCCACAGTGGTAGCCACTGACAGTAGTTTAAGGCTCTGCTTCACAAACCAGGAGTGTGTATGCCATGGAGTCCTTGAACTCCAAGATGAACATGGAGTCTATTGTGAAGCATCGTTTTTATTTGAAGAGCTAACATTTGTATGTTAAAAATATATGTAGTATGGAAAAGCATATAGGCATGATTTTAAATAGACAGCACAAGACTCAAAAGAAATTGATCAAAATCTTTTGGGCTGAGTCCTCAGACTCCTGGGGGTTAAGAATTCACTCTTGGTTTGATGGGTTACTTTGGTGGAAAATACAGGAGAAGTAACACTGGCTTAATATGCTGTCGTCTTATATCCCCTGGGGGCATTTGCATTTCCACTGGTTTCTTTTGGAGACTGAAAAGGCTTTAAAGCCAAGAGGAATCAATGCATAATGGTGGAGTTTCAGGCTGCATGAATTGGGGTAGAGGGACAGATATTATCCAGCAGAGGCATTGCATTTATAAAGAACATTTCCTAGTGATCTGTCAGCCTTTAACAGGCAGTCCCATTTCCGAGTAGGTATAGTAAATGTCCACTTGATTCTGCTTTGACAATGTTTGTGCAAGTAACTTTGCCCTTCTATGCCTCAGTTTCCTTAGCTCAGTATGAGAAATTAACTCATACAGGTGCCGTGAGCTACTGTATAAAAAGTACTTTGCTCAGTGCCCAACATATAATAAACATTAACTAAACAGCAGTTCTTACAAGCACTAATTATAAAATTAACATATGCTCAGTCAGACCTACCCCTAAATTTGTGGGCCTAGAGTTTGTTAACTTTTTTGTTAACAAACAAGCCAACAGACTGTTAAAAAAAAATGTGGTGTATCCTTCTACTTTTGAAACAAAGTTGAGAACTATTTTTCATATGACTGAATATCAGCAAATTTTAAAGTTGACTGATCTTTAATTTTCTGTACATAACTGGCAGTTCTGTTGTTTGGCTGATGTTTGGATGCGTAATAACAAAGGCATACATAATTCATACATGACTATATATTTGCTATATAAAAATTATTTTTTCTTGTCTTCATTTTAGCAAAATTACAGTTACGTTCTTCCAATCAGGATTTTTACATAATTTATGTTCAAAGATAGTAATGCCAAATTCAACACCCTTTCTTAGCCATTGTATTCTTATTTTTAAATTAATTTCATCATGGAGAAAACTTGCTGTTAAGTCAATAGCAACTGAAATTGTCAAAGTTATTGTAACATTTACATTCAGAAATTGGCAATGGATTTTACATATAAAGTTCAAATACTATCATGGGGTCTTAAATTGTTGTTACGATAGAAAATACTACAAAAAATTTTAATTTCATAATATAAATCTATCACTTACATTGCAATTTTTACCTTCTCTAAAAACAATATCCAGATCCAGAAAATATTTTGGTAAGTTTTTTTTTATTTTTAATAAACCTAAAGTGATCTCAACAGATATTAGTTTGGGGATTATTTGTATGTGCATATTCTCTTTTATAGTGATGCAAACATTTTTGTTTACTTGTTCTGATTTTCTCATATTTTATAGAAATGTCACATTTGTTACATATTTTACATGCAGTTTATTTCAATTTAGAGTAACTATTTTCTCTCTATAAAAAAATTTAATCGTAAAAAGGCAAAACAGCCAAACTCATTATTTGGTTCCAGTTTTTAGAATTTCTGCAAGCTTTTGCTAACATCATTAAAAACAACAGTTTCTACCAAATAACCATAGATAGTGCAGATTCAGAAATAATTTTCTGCCAAAGATCATGATTCCTTCCTTAGCAAAGTAATGCAGGAACAGAAAACCAAATACCACATGTTCTCACTTATAAGTCGGAACTAAATGATGAGAACTCATGAACACAAAGAAGGAAACAACAGGCACTGGGGTCTACTTGGGGGTGGGGGGAGTGGGGAGGGGAAGGGGCAGAAAAGATAACTGTTGGGTGCCGAGCTTAATATCTGGGTGATGTAGTAATATGTACAACCAACCCCTGTGACACGTTTATCTATGTAACAAACCTTCACATGTATGCTCAAACCTAAAATTAAAATTCTAAAAAAAGATCATGATCCTTTTTTTTTTTTTTTTTTTTTTTTTTTTTGAGATGGAGTCTTGCCGTGTCACCCAGGCTGGAGTGCAGTGGCACGATCTCGGCTCACTGCAACCTCTGCCTCCCAGGTTCAAGCGAGTCGCCTGCTTCAGGCTTCCGAGTAGCTGGAACTACAGGCGCCCACCACCACACCCGGCTAATTTTTGTATTTTTAGTAGCGACGGGGTGTCACCATACTGGCCAGGCTGGTCTCAAACTCCTGACCTCGTGATCCGCCCGCCTCGGCCTCCCAAAGTGCTGGGATTACAGGTGTGAGCCACCGTACCCGGCCATGATTCTTTTTATTTAAGGATTATCTTTTATTTCTCATACTCTTCCAGTGCATCTTGTTATCTGGTGTAAATAAAATTTTGTTGTTTTAATAGCTTTTAGTCAGCATTCCCTTTGTGTGTCCAAAAGTGTTTTAGTGACAAACATATAACAGCTTTTTCAAGTTGTTTCATCTTTGGACAGATACAGAAAATATCCTATGTAGTTGTTTAATTGTTCTGAAGATGCAATCACCCATTTGACACAGCTGAGAACATGTCCCTTAATAAGAAATTCAAACTATGTATCACACATGCCTCATAATAAATGCTTGTTCCTTACCAACTGCCATTATCATTAGCTTGCCATCATTATTCTTTTAAATCAATGTCTAAAATTCAAAATTGTATTTTCAATTCTACTTTTTACAATAGGTATAAAATCAATAACATACACAATTTTGACTTCAATTTTTATCATCTGATGAACTATCAGATGCAAGTGTGGCCTGCCCACCATCATCAGATGATGGTACATCAGAAGATAAATATTAGTTGCTCAATATGATTTTGTCCTAACATAATTTACGTAAATTAGTTACTATTAATTTAAAAATTGTATCTCTAATATCTTTTATCACATTTAATAGTATTTTGAATTCTCCATTTAAAGAAATATGATCTTTTAAAATTCAATTTTGTTTTTTTTTGAGACAGGGTCTCGAGAGCTCTGTTGCCCAGGTTGTAGTGCAGTGGCTCAGTCTCGGCTCACTGCAACCTCTGCTTCCCAGGTTCAAGCAATCCTCCTGCCTCAGCCTCCCTAGTAGCTGGGACTACAGGTGCATGCCACCATGCCCAGCTAATTTTTTTGTATTTTTAGTGGAGACGGGGTTTTGCCATGTTGGCCAGGCTGGTCTCGAGCTCCTGACCTCAGGTCTTCCGCTCGCCATGGCCTCCCAAAGTGCTGGGATTACAGGCCTGAGCCACTGCGCTGGGCCTAAAATTCATTTTTATCTATGTTATATGCTTGGCTATTTTGGCATCACATTTGAAAGTTATTTTTTCTACTAGACTAGAACATTTCCATTGTTTTCTATGAATATCGCACTGTTGCTGTTCCACACAAGCTTGCCTAAGTATGGCACATCTAATACTGTTTTCTTAAGAATATCACAGCGATATTGTATATTTGTATTTGCTTGTTTATTTGTTGAATACTGTTAATCATTTGTGTTGTTTCAGGCTTTTTTTTTTCCATTCTAGTATTTGCGTGTGCATTTTTTGGGGTCGGGGTCAAATAACATTTTGTATTCTTTTAATTGAGAACCTAAGTATTTCCAGTCACAGATTCTTTCACTGGACAAAGCTGACTGTGAAGACAGACTGAAATATGTAATAATAGTAACAAAATATTTTGTCTTTTGACTTAGAATATTAAAAAAGTTTCTACAGTTTCTCCATTGGGAAAAAAACTTACAATAATACAAAATATTAACTTTTCTGCCAAGTTTATTCAAGGAAAAATTTATAACCAATAATTTAAATCAACTTACATTTTTCTGGAAATGTTCTCAGATTTCAGAAAGCTGTGACAAACTTTTCTAGGATCACCTTCCAATAAACAGTAAAGAAGCAAAAAGTTTTTAATCTTTCTTGTCAAATTTGCCAATTTCCCCATAATTTCTTTATCATCTAATGGGCAGACCCACTTGCACTCGTTTCTTTTGAGTTGTGAATTTGATATAAAAATATCTTTTTCATTGTCTTATTTTAATCATGAAAGAAACTTCATGTAAAGAACATGAAGTTACAGGTGTTTGATCTGATCTATTCAAGTTGTGGACTTACTCAGAATACTTTTCTTATTTTCATTGTTTTGCTCAGTAACTAAATCTTCACTGAACAGGGAATTTGTAATGTTTGTTTATGAATTGTATGTGGGCCATGCTCAGGAGTTCGCAATTTAAACAAATTACAGCTGACCACCTTGGTGAATATGTTTGTTTTTCTTTTCTATCCTTATTTTTCTGAGCTTCACTTTCATATTTTGTAGGTCTAGCACAATCTTAACTTGTTCTCATTCTTGGTCAGCTAAAGAATTAAGATAAGCAGCCATAAAAAATGATGAGTTCATGTCCTTTGTAGGGACATGGATGAAGCTGGAAACCATCATTCTCAGCAAACTATCACAAGGACAAAAAACCAAACACCGCATGTTCTCACTCGTAGGTGGGAATTGAACAATGAGAACACATGGACACAGGAAGGGGAACATCACACACCGGGGTCTGTTGTGGGGTGGGGGGAGTGGGGAGGGATAGCATTAGGAGATATACCTAATGTTAAATGATGAGTTAATGGGTGCAGCACACCAACATGGCACATGTATACATAGGTAACAAACCTGCACGTTGTGCACATGTGCCCTAAAACTTAAAGTATAATTAAAAAAAAAAAAGATTTAAGATAAAATGTAATCATATTCAAAGGGTTCCAAATTCGAATATATTTCATCAAAAATGTAATTAAAGTAAATGCTAAAATACTAAAAAATTAAAAACATTTCCTATTTTGTCAAAAAAGTTATTTTTCTTCTGCTAAAATATCCAAAATTATTGATTGAAGCTTAAGGGTAAAATACAAATGGTAATTAATGAATACTAATATTTAAATAAAAATTTCAAATGAAGCTTAATTTTTACTTAGTTTTAAATTTAGTTTACTCATTACATATTTTCATAAACATTAAGTTATCCGCAATTTTTATATTCAATGTTTCATGCTTCAAGCATGCTATGTCTAGACAATGTATAAAAAATTAAAAGTAGTATTTTTTAAATTGCAAAAGATTCTTTAGCTGCTATGTGTAACTGCTGCAAACACTGCAGTAATTTGTGAGTACTTACCCACAAACTGGAACTTGAAGAAAGCAAGAAAATGGATGCTTGTTACCCCGGGATATGCTGTGTTATTTTCTAAGAATCTATAGCATTCATGACACCTGAGAAGAAAGATTTGACAAGTATATTAATTTGTCTTTTACCTAAATGCTTCCACAGCTTAAATTCTCCTTGCACACACATTCCTCAGCAGTGTCCTTTTGTGATGCTGGCAGCAGCACAACCTGTGATTCTTCACAACATTTGGGTGGTCAGCTTGTGTTTCCAGGACCGAGGAGCATTTTCCATGGCCTGAATGGTGTTAGTCACCAAAGTGATTGTTTAGGGTATCTGCAATGGTCACCTGATTTCATATATTCTTTAATACATTTGTCTTTTTATGTGTCTTTTCTAAACATGAGATCTGAGGTAGGGGTTCCTCCTTACCAGATCTAGGGCTGTCCTGAGTACAGTAAAAATAATCCAACACTACTTATATATACAACCCACACGTATAAAATAGAAATAGGTTCTCCCTACAAGTACTTGAGTAAATTACCATGTAACCAGTTTGTTGTTTATTTTTCTAGACTTTAAAAAATACTAACACACATACACACACACACACACACACACATTTTTTTTTTTTTTTTGAGACAGAGTCTCACTCTATCACCCAGGCTGGAGCGCAGTGGTGCAATCTTGGCTCACTGCAACCTCCCCATCCCGGGTTCAATCGATTCTTGTGGCTCAGCCTCCCGAGTAGCTGGGATTACAGGTGTGTGTCACCACACCTGGCTAATTTTAGTAAACACAGGGATTCACCATATTGGCCAGGCTGGACACACACATATTTTATATAAAATTTATATATAAATGAGATCATAATATGAAAACTTTGGGAAGCTTCTTTCTCCATTTAATGGTATATTATGCACTGTTTCCAGTGTTGTTACACACAATTTATTAACTTTATCTTATTCATAACTATAGATTACACTTTTTTTTTTTTTTCTGAGATGGAGTCTCACTCTGTTGCCCAGGCTGGAGTGCAGTGGTGTGATCTCAGTTCACTGCAACCTCTGTCTCCAGGGTTCAAGTGATTTTCCCGCCTCAGCCTCCCGAGTAGCTGGGATTATAGGCGTGCGCCATCATGCCTGGTTAATTTTTGTATTTTTAGTAGAGATGGGGTTTTGCCATGTTGGCAAGACTGGCCTTGAACTCCTGACCTCAGGTGATCTGCCCACCTGGGCCTCCCAAAGTGCCAGGGTTACAGGCATGAGCCATTGCGCCAGGTCTGATTACACTATTTTTTAAGCCAATTCCTTTCTGATTGGCATTTGGTTATTTTTTTTCTTTAAATTTTTGTCATAAAAATCCTACAGCAAATATCCTTGGATAGGTTACTTGGTTTTCACTATGTCTAAATTCATGACTGCATTTGGTCAATACAGCTAATTTATTTATTTATTTTTTTAATATAGGTAATTTATAAGTGTTAGAAATTAACTACACACATCTTCTATAGGATCACTTAGTCCCTGCTCCTATTTTTCATATTCTGAAAGCTTTCTTAAACATTTTTCTGGACAATCTAGAAAAAGTTCTAGATGAAAATTTTATACTAATGTGTCTTGTCTGCGATCCAAGGCAGTTTGATACATTAGTGTGTTAAGCTTTCATGCTCAGAAATGACAGAAAAATTAGAAATCTATGTTAATTAGGAATGGCAAATGGAAACTTAAGTATATATATTTATATATTTAATTATTTTTCATTTAAAATAAATATAAAATACCTTCTTTTATATTTATTTTAATGTATTATGAGATGTCAATCCCTCCTATTGTCATATATATGATCTACACGTACAATTAAGATAGATACATACATATCTTTGTATCCGTGTGTGTGTGTGTGTGTGTATACAAGCTTTGTTTGGAGCTAGAAAGCAGCGGATCCAGGATTCAAATGTGGGTGTGGCTGGTAGGTCTTGTCAACCTACCACGCCAGTAGTCTTGCCACCATATTATGCTTTGTAGTAGGTATTAGAACTTGGTGGTGGAGGGTGGGGGTGAATTCAAAGAGCATCTAGTTTTTTTCAATATAAGCAAGAATGTTTATAAACACCAAACTTATCACAGTAGTCACATTTTTAAGGAGCGGAGAGGGGTTGAGGAGAAGAGAAAAGACAATTTTGCATTTGTGTATCGCTTGACTTTTTAAAATAATGAGAATCAGTTTGCGTTGTATTGTCAAATTTTAATAATTAATGAAAAATAATCTTGTACATAGTTGGTGTCAACGGCAAATGATTCAGACACGTTTGAAAACAGTTTGGAAGTTCTTTATAAAGTTAAAGAACCCATATGACCCAGCATAAGTTACCATATGACCCAGCAATGAAATTCTTAGCTATTTACCCAAGAAAAATGAAAGCATAGCCTGCAAAAAGATGTGTACACAAATATTTAAAACAGTTTTATTCATAATCACTAAAAACTGGGAACAATCCATGTGACCATCAATAGATGATTTGATAAAGAAGTCGGGGGTACATCTGTACAATGGAGTGTAACTCAGCAATAAAATGTAACAAACTGCTGATATGTGCAACAACATGGCTGAATCAAAACAGCATTATGCTAAGTCTAACACAAAAGATTACATGTATGATTCTATGTATATGATATTCACTAAAAGGGAAAGCTAAAGGGATAGAAATCAGATCAGTGATTGCTGGGGTTGGAAGAGACCATTGACTATAAAATGGCACTAGAGATCTTTTTGGAGTGATAGAAATATTCTACATCTTTATTGTAGTTACACAACTGTAGACAACTTTTTTTTTTTTTTTTTTGAGATGGAGTCTTACTTTGTCACCCAGGCTGGAGTGCAGTGGCACAATCTCGGCTCACTGCAACCTCCACCTCCTGGGTTCAAGTGATTCTCGTGCCTCAGCCTCCCGAGTAGCTGGGATTACAGGCAGCTGCCACCACACCCAGCTAATTTTTGTATTTTTAGTAGAGACGGGGTTTTTTCATGTTGGCCAGGCTGGTTTCGAACTCCTGACCTCAGGTGATTCACCCACCTCAGCCTCCCAAAGTGCTGAGATTACAGGCATGAGCCACTGCACCAGGCCAACTGTAGATATTTGTTAAAACTCACTAAACTCTATATCTAAAAGGGATTAATTATAGCTTGTCATAAATTATAGCTTGTATTACTACTATTATATAACTATATATTATATAGTTTTTTCTACCTAATTTTATTATATATGTACACTGTTATTACATTACATAATTATAGGTTAAATGCAGGGCATGTAGCTATTTGGTATGGCTGCACGGAGATAGCTGAGAGGAGGATTCTTCAAACCCACCGCCGCAAACATTGAATGATCAGCTCTAGATGGTAGAATCATACAGGTATAAATGGAATCAGTTAATTACAGTGGCAGTTGAGGCAGAATAATCAACTAGGTTCTCAAAGTTAATGGCGATAAGAGAATCTGAAGAGGCATATGATGTTCCAATTCAGGGCTCAAAAGTATTTGTTAAATAGATGAATGAGCAAATGAATCAATGGAGGAAATTATGAAAAGATGAGAGCAGTGGCAGCGAGGTTTTAAAATCATCCCCAATCCCCTGTCCCCATAAAAAAGAACAGATCAACTCTAATAGCAAAATCCAAGGCCCAATGTCAACATCTTAATAAAATCTAGATGAACAAGATATTCTCATGAACCCCAAAATATGAGCAGGTGGAGAAAAACCACCAATAATAATTAAAGATCCATATTGTCTATGCAGGAGAGAGGAATGAGGCATCTGACAGACCTGAGACCAGAATTCTAAAACTGGTAGTAGGTACTCACTAAAAAGCAGAGTTAGACTAATTTGGGAACAGTTACCAAAATTGGGAAGGGTTTTTGCACACTCCAATGAAGATGTGGGTGTATAGGGCCCAAGGTAAGGTCTAAAGGTGCTGAAGCTTGGCCTTGTGGACCTTTATAATTACAAAACTCTATTAGAGAAGAAAGCCTCACACCCAGAGTAGACTTCTGAGAGCAGAATCCAAATGGGGAAGCATGGGGTGACAGAGATAAAGAGAAAAGAAGGCCTAGATAAAAGAGCAGAGGAACCATATGTCAAAATACATAAGGCCATAAAAATACATTTTTTGGCTGGGTGTAGTGGCTCATGGCTGTAATTTCAGCACTTTGGGAGGCAGAGGTGGGCAGATCACTTGAGGCCAGGAGTTTGAGACCAGCCTGGCCAACAAGGCAAAACCCCATCTGTACAAAAAAATAGAAAAATTAACTGGGCGTGGTGGCATGCAACTGTAGTCCCAGCTACTTAGGCCAAGAGGGGAGGATCACTTGAGCCTGGGAGGTTGAGGCTGCAGTGAGCCATGACTGCACCACTGTATTTCCGCCTGGGCAACAGAGTGAGTCCCTGTCTCAAAAAAAAAAAAAAAAATTATATATATTTTTTAACATATATATTATATATATATTTTTGCATATATGTAAGATTGTGTTCAAAATCAACACTAAGTTCTAAGAAAAAAAGGCAGAATAACAAAGCATATCAGAAAGACATGCTTTTGAAACTGTTGAAAAGTATGACTTACTATTTCAAAATGTGCTAAAAGGCTAACGAAATAACATTAGGTAGAAAAGAACTATACAAGTCAGAATTAGAAAATCTTAGAAATGATGTAGGAGAATTCAGAATTAGAATTATTTCAGAAATAGAAACTAAAATAGAAGGTACAAAACAGTGAATAAATTCAACAGATAATGCCTTACATAGAAGGTAAAAATAAAAGTTTCAATACATTAAAGAGAAATGAAGGATTCCAAAGGAAGTGGTCAATATAGAAAGTAAGCAAAGAATATTCAACATATGTATGATAGAAAAGTCACAAATAAAAAATAAAAATGGAAATTTAAAAGTAATTTAAATTCAAAAAGCTAACACTCAAGAAAACGTTCCTAAAATAAAAAAGAGACGGAGGCTGGGTGCTGTGGCTCATACCTATAATCCCAGCATTTTGGGAGGCCGAGGTGGGAGGACTGCTTGAGACCCGGAATTTGAGAACAGCCTGGGTAACATGGCAAAATGCCATCTCTACAAAAAATACAAAAAAAAAAAAAAAAAAATCTGAGCCTGATGGCACACGCCTGTAGTCCCAGCTACTTGGGAGGTTGAGGTGGGAGGATCGCTTGAGCTGAGGAGGTCAAGGCTGCAGTGAGCTGAGATTAAGCTGCTGCACTCCAACCTGGGTGACAGAGAGATACCCCATCTCAAAAAAAAAAAAAAAAAAAAAAAAGAGAGTGAGACTGACATGAGTACCTAGCAAAATCAATCTAGAATGATCAAGGTCAAGATATATCCTAAAACAACTTCTGGGCTTTATAGAAAAAGGAAAAAATATTTGGGCAACTAGTCAAAATCTCAAGTCACTGACATAGGAAAGGAAATAAGATTGTCATTAGACATCATTCCAGAAGAAATGAAGTAACATTCCTTGAACATACTCAAGGAAAGTAAACATGAGCCAGAGATTTAATAGGTAGCTAAATGCAACAAGTTTTTATGTACATAAAAGAACCAGAGAATACTGCTCCCATGTACCTTACCTGAGGAATGTACTAAAGAAAGATTTTTTTAGACAACCAAAATGGAAAGATATTGGCATAAGAACGAAGGGTGAATGTTAGATGTACTTTTACCCATAAAACTATGATGGTTATAAAAACAGCAAACATCCAGGCAAAGTAGATACTGTACAATAATTAAAAGCAGAGAATGGTGAGAGAGAGAAAAAATAAAATATTCTTGTTGATTGTTTTATAGTTACTGATGTGGTAAAAGGGTGTTTATTCAAATGAGATATTGATGGGTAGGGATGAGAGAGTAAACAAGAAATGAACTAATTTTCATATTGCTGGAGAACCAATAGATAATAATGAAAGGATGTTTATTCAAATGAGATATTGATGGATAGGGATGAGAGAATAAAAAAGAAATTAACTAATTTCTATATTGCTGGAGAACCAACAGATAGTAATAAAAATAAGATGGGGGAACTAAAGTTATTTTAGCGTAAATGTAAAAGTAACCATTAAAAACAAAACCCTTCCAAATACCAAATATATTGAGAGAACAATATATCACATAATGACATAATGAAATCTAAATCACATAATGAAAAACTAGTGCGATAAAAGGCTTGCATATTTATAACATAAAACAATATGAAGTGAAAAAAGTAATGTGCAAAGAAATAGACATAGATATTTGCTTTTAAAAAGGCTAAATAACAATATATGTGTGTGTATGTGATGGTTAATTTTATGTCAACTTGACCGTGCCATGGGGTACCCAGATTAAACATCATTTCTGTGAATGTCTCTGTAAGGGTGTTTTGGGGTGAGACTAACATTTGAATCAATGGACTCAGTTAAATAGATGGCCCTCCCCAATGTGGGTAGGCATCATCCAATTCATTGAGGGCCTGACTAGAACAAAAAGACAGGGAGGCTAAGCGCCATGGCTCACGCCTCTAATCCCAGCACTGTGGGAGGCCAAGGCTGGCAGATCACCTAAGGTCGGGAGTATGAGACCAACCTGGCCAACATGGTGAAACCCCGTTTCTACTAAAAGCAAAAAAAAAAAAAAAAAATACAAAAAATTAGCTGGGCATGGTAGCAGGTGCCTCTAATCCCAACTACTCAGGAGGCTGAGGCAGGAGAATCGCTTGAATCCAGGAGGTGGAGGTAGCAGTGAGCCAAGATTGCGCCATTGCACCCCAGCCTGAGTGACAGAGCGAGACTGTCTAAAAGAAGGAATTTGGCCCTTTTTTGCTTCCTGCCTGCCTGCTTGAGCTGGAACATCTGTCTTCTGCCCTCGGACTGGGATTTTCACAACTGGCTTCCCTAGTTCTTAGATCTTCAGACTTGGACTGTAATCCCAGCTACTCGGGAGGCTGAGGCAGGAGAATCACTTGAACCCAGGGGGCGGAGGTTGCAGTGAGCAGAGATCACACCATTGCACTCTAGCCTGGATGAAAGAGTTAAACTCTGTCTCAAAGAAAAAAAAAGTATATATATATAATCAATAAGGATAGGAAAACCCTAATGTTGAATTTAAAAAGAAACAAACGAACCTATTTCAAGGTTTAAAGGCTTTTAAACAGACTTCTACTTTTAAGTGGGCTACATTCTAAGGACATTTTTTAAAACTGTAATCTTGAACTTTGTTAGGTTTGTTGTTGGTAGTGGTGTTGATGTAGTAAGTCTAATATTATTGAGTATTATAGAAGAGAGCAGAAGAGTAAATATAGTGATGTTCATGAAAACCAGCATTCTTCCTTTGAGAAAAGAGAGGTAAAAATATGGGCTGGGCGCAGTGGCTCACGCCTGTAACCCCAGCCCTTTGGGAGGTCAAGGTGGGATCACTTGAGTCCAGGGATTCGAGACCAGCCTGGGCAACAAAGCAAGACCCCATCTATAAAAAAAAAAAAAATTAGCTGGGTAAGGTGGTATGTACCTGTAGTCCCAGCTACTTGGGAGGCTGAGGCAGGAGGATTGCTGGAGTCTGGGAGGTTGAGACTGCAGTGAGTTATGATATTGCCATGGGACTCCAACCCAGGCAACAGAGCAAGACCTTGTCTCAAAAAAATGAAAAAGATAAAAATATGGACTGGGAGGACAAGAGGAAGAACTGCTGGTATTGGATTGGAGTTGGGGGATTCAGATAAATTAATGATTTTAAATAAAATATACTTTCTGGCTCTGTCTACTGAAAGGGCCTAGAGGCAATGAGACTCCAATAGCAAGAGCACTCTTCCTACTCATTTTTTTTTCTAAGAACTGAAGGTTTCCACTAAAAGAAACTGAATCTCCTTGGAGAAATGGCTGATTCAATGTCTGGAGCAAAGAAAGTGCAAGATGAGCCTGGGACCTCCTCTGCTACAGAATCGTGAAATAAGTAAAGAAGCACTCAAAACCAACAGGCATATGTCAGAAGGACACAGAGACCAACTGGAAGGGGCTCCCGTTGGCCTAATTTGGGACAAATTGAGAATTGAAAAGAAAACCGATGGTAATGATTTTTCCTAGTTGACAGTGATACTCAAGAACATTAAAAGGTGAGTATGAGAGGAGAGCATTTGCTTAAACAGCAGAATGCCAGCTTGTAAATGTGGAAGAAATGATAGGATTAGAAAAATTGTGATTTTTGCAATCACCAACATTATAATTGATTCAGTCAAAGTTTATTAATGAATGCTAGAACATGGTAAAAGTTGTGGAGGAACAAGATATTTTCATATCCTCCATGTACCATCCCAGAGATTACTTATTAATTATAAAGTGGGGAAATATACCTTTACAGTGAAGAATTCTAGCAGGCAACACCTTAATCAGAGGATTAAATTTAGCATCACCTATAACAGGGCACAGTGATATCATATGCCTCTTGTTATGAACACTGAGAGGGACCCAACATCACTTCTGTAGAAGTTTTTGCTAAAAGTCTTTAACTAAATCTAATTCTGAAGAAATATCCAGATAATCCAAATTGTGGGACATTCTATAAAAGAACTGACCTGAAGGCCCTCTCCCCATTTCCCCGCAAATGTCAAGAGAACTGTTCTAAAATAGACTATAGAGACGTGACAGCTAAAACAGCATGTGATTCTTGATGAATCCCGGATAAAAACAAAAACAAAGGCAAAACTAAGACAAAACAAAACAAGTAAAGCTTCAAAGGGTGGTACTGGGGGAAAAGCTATATATATTTAATAAGACTTTTAAAATATTAGATAATACCTCAATGTTGAATCTATTAGATTGACAATTTGGTTATACAGGAAAATGTCCTTGTTTCTTTGGAGGTAAATGCCAAAGTACTATGGAGTGAAGCTTCATAAAGTTTTTAATGTACTTTCCAATTTTCAGCCCCCAAACCCCACTATCTATCTATCTGTCTATGAAAAACACCCATATACGTATATGGAGTTATGTACAATAAACAAGAGTAGTGAAATGTTAACAATGGGTGATTGCAGGTGAAGGATATTTGAGAGTTCATTGTATTTTCTTTTTAAACTTTTCTGTAGGTTTAAACATTTTCAAAATAAAAGGTTGGGAGTTAGGGAGGCATAAACATGTGGGCTGCCGGTGGATGCCTGGCCCCAAGGCAGTCAACCTACAGATTCACAGCTAGAGACCTAGGACCTAAGCCACATGGCCTGAAAAGATGAGCTATTCTATATTGGTCAGGATCCTCTTGGCTTCAAGTAACAGGACACCCGAGTCAAAGTAGCTTAAACCTTAAGGATACCTCATGTAACAAGAAGTCTGAAGGTAAGTGGCTCGAGGGCTGGTCAGTTTGTCAGCTCAAGGATGTTGACGCCCTCTTCTGTCAGTTTCTCTGTCGTTCTCTTGGCTTTGCCTCATGGGTGCATGATAGGTACAACCGCGTCATGCATCATGTCCTCATGTGACATCCAAAGCAGGCAGGAAGCGGGTGGGCCAGCTCCCTCTCAGGCCTCCCCGTCTCGTATCAGGGATAACACTCTTTCCCATAATCCGCCCCCCAGCCCCGCAAAAGTTCCCTTACCTCTCAGCGCTCTTACAAACCAATGATGTATTCACCACCTGAGGTTGTTCACCTGAACAAACCTGATGAGGAGGGTGGTTGCTGAGTGGGCAGCCAGCGGTGTTGGCCACAGGAGCCAACCAGACTCCCCCCGCTCAGGAAACTAAGCCTAGAAACGCAACTTGTGTGTGCTGTTAGCAGTCCAGCTGATGGTGAATGGACAAGAAGTTGAGGACATGAGCCATGGATAAGCCAAGGTTAAGACAAAAGAAAACACCATCTCTATCCCTGTAGTGATAGAGGGTGAGAAAGCCATTTGGTAGGGAAAGTGAAATAGAGCACATGGTCTGAGTCAGTGAAGCTGCCCTTAGGGTTAGAAATGGCTCCCCCAGCTGCCTGGATCCCTGATGTTTTCTGGTTAAGATTTCAGTTCCAGGCCACATAGAATGGACTAGTCAGAACTCCTTATTGGCCAGTAACAGAACAAAATACTGCCCTGGCATCAAAGAGGAATTAGTTTAAAATGTTCAGGAATGTCTTACTATCTAAGGCAAGAATTGTAGGAAGTGTAGCCAGGCCTTAGAAAGTGCTAGCACCAGGTGGCTTCTCTTTGACTCTTGTCTCTGTGTTTCTCTACTGAGCATTTTATTCTTATCTCTGCAGTAGATAAGCAAATATCTTCGCATCTGGTCTCCAATGTTATTATCATACATCCACCCACATCTCCTGAATTCTCATTAAAGTTTTGACGCTGCTGAGAGCCCATGTGGTAGACAGTCCCTCGGTCCTACTTTCAAATTCCCAGAGGAGAGAAGCTGAGAAGCCTAAGTTGGGTCAGATGTCCAATCTGTCAAGTCCATGGGCTTCAGGTCACAACAGATAAATAGTGGGTAAGGAGGAGGAGTATTAGGAGAAAGGGGTCACTGATGTAAGGCCGCAAAGATATCCCAACGGCATCCACTATGATCCCCTTAAAGTACTGGTTCTCAAGGTTGGGGGTAGGAATTCCTCCCCACCCCCACTTTTGGCAATGTCTGGAGGCATTTTTGGTTATTACAGCTTGGGGGGTGGATGCTACTTCCATCTAATGGGTAGAGGCCGGGGTGTTGCGAAACATCCTAGAATGCTCCTATGACAGAAAATTACTTTGTCCAAAATCTCAATAGTACTGAGGTTGAGAAATCATGCTCCCCTTTTGATCCTGTAATGGGCCTTTCCACCAAATGGAGCATCGGTATTCACAGAGCACAAACCCATGCCTAATATGTAGGAGGACTCTTAAATATTTGCTGGACAGAAGGTGAGTGAAAATACCATTCTAAAACAGGGTGGACACTGATTCTACTTCTGATTACCCAGGTTCAGGGTGTACTCTGGGTGAAGCCACCATGGGAGCGCACAAAGGCAGGGAATGGTGAAATTCTTGCCTTGGGGAGTGGAAGGTAGGGGTGTGTAGAACAGAAGATGGAATAAGCAGAAACAGATGCAAATAGAAGACAGAACCATAAACCCACGCACAACTTGCTCTTGCAAGTGCTCACAACACAAGTAGCAGCTGCTTCTCTGGTACCTGCCCCTCCTACACACCATAAGGGAGAGCTGCCGAGCCTTAAGTCCTAAACAGCTGTAGGATATGATATAAGCATCTTTCCCCCCAGTAATTCGTCGGGCAGGCAGGTACAGGCTCCAGGCCACTGGGGTTTCTTTTTTGGTTTAGTAGATACATGTGCTTTCATTTCTTAAGGAACATTGTCAGCCTGAAATCTTAGAAAAACAAAAACACCTGTAAATAATTCAGAGTGAAGACAACTCCAGAAATAAGGAGAGGGAAGAGTTTGTAAGGCTGAGTATTTTCCTAAAACTCCTGACAACCAGAGTCTACTACTGGGCAAAGGAGAATAAGTTTTCTGGCAGAAACGCCAGAAAAGTTAGATAATGCAAAGTCTTTGCTGCCCTCTACTGATGAAAATGAAGACTAACGTGTGGTTTGAGAGGAGAGAGGTTTTTCAATTACCATTCCATTTTTTCATTTACTTTTTCAACACCTATTTACTCAGCTTATACTTGGTGCAGGTGATGTGCAAAGCATTGAGTACAGTAGCAAAAATTACAGAGCAGGTGCTTGTTCTCATGAAACTTACAATCTGCCAAAGGAAACCAATTTTGTATGTCAACAAACAGGAAACATTTTAAGGTTGTTGAAAGTGCTCTGAACGTTAACAGGCTAATGTGGAGATGTGTGGGTGGGGGAGACGGGGTACAGGGGGATGGCAGGCAATTTAAGAATGGAAGGTTGTGACAACGCCAGCTGTGCCAGGAGAGGCCAAGAGCTTTTCATGCAGAGAGAGAAGTGGGTGTAAACTCCAGAGACAGAAAAGTGCTCCCTGGGTCCTTGAACTCCGTGCAGGAGCAGAGGGCTGTGTGGAGAGGCCAGAGAAGTGGGCAAGTACCAGTTCACAGAGGGTCCCAGTATTTTGCCCAGGAGCTGGGATTTTGTTTGGGATACATTTTATTCAGAAGAGGAAGCTATTGAGCATTTGCTATTTTTGTCTTTCAAGGACTATTTTTTTTAATAGTACATACTCGCTACAGGGTATCAATAAAGATTTTTTTTTCCCAGAAATATCAGAAAGTTTAAAAAGTGCATACATTAAATAACTATATTAACATCTAGAGAAGCCGGGCGCAGTGGCTCACGCCTGTAATCCCAGCATTTTGGGAGGCCGAGGTGCGTGGATCACTTGGGGTCAGGAGTTCAAGACCTGCCCGGACAACATGGTGAAACCCTGTCTTTACTAAAAATACAAAAACTAGCTGAGCGTGGTGCCACGCACCTGTAGTCTCAGTTGATCCAGAGGCTGAAACACGAAGATTGCTTGCACCTCGGAGGCGGAGGTTGCAGTGAGCCAAGATCGCACCACTGCACTCCAAGCTGACTGACAGAGCGAGACTCCATCTCAAAACAAAACAAAAATCATCTAGAGGATTATTTTGTCTTCTGTGTGGATGATGGACAGTAGGGCAGCGGGGCAAGAGGAGGAGACAGAGCCAGGTGGTGCTGTGTGGGAGTCAAGCTGGGAAGATGGACAGAAATGAATGGATATGAGGTGGCTTTGGTGGTCTCACCTTCAGGACCCTCTGGTGGGTTGGATGTGGAGGACAGTGACACGGAGAGAGCTGCCAAGGCTGTGAGGACAAGAAAATCAGCTATGACACACGTTTGAAGAGCAGTGGCACCTGCAGGCTCCATCCCTGGCTCTTTGCTGGCCAGTGGGCCAGGGCCATTTGCCTGCCCACCATGCTCTCTCCTCCTGCCTAGTCTGGGTGATTACACCTGACAGGGTTCAGAGAGGCATCCCTCATAAAAATGGCCATAAAGCCGTTTGCTAATACGAAGCCTCCCATAAATGTCAGGTGATGAGAATTACAGCCCCGCAGGCTCATAAAAGAGCATGTCATGGCTTGAGGAAGCCACAGCGACGGTGAGGGCACCAGACTGTCTTTCCAAGCTGTATTTTAGTTTCGGGGAAGATATGACTGGAGGAAGTGCAGTGCTGGCTGAGGCCAAAGTGGCTCAGAACCTTAAGTGAAAGGCCCAGTTATGAAACCTGTCAGCAAAGCTTCCGTCCCGTGGCCCAGGGCTTCTTCAAGGTGAAGTGGAATGTATTCTGAACTTGTAGAACTTAGCCAGGAGGAGTAGGGGCATTAGTGAACCTGGCCTCAGGCAGCCTCTGATTCCGGGGAATAAACAACATACTGTTTCCTACTTTTTCCAATCCTTGACCCACCTGTCAGCTAATTAGTACATAGCCCAGGTGTTCTCTCTGCCTTGAGCTGCTCCCCTGCTTACCATCTGTCTAGCAATCCTTTGATGCACCCCATATGTCTCACAGCCCTGACCCCCCAACCTCTTTCTTTCTCTCCCTTTATTTTTTTTCTCTCTCTTTCATGTCCAGTCAACATTCAGCTAAAAATCGCTGGTATCCTATAATAAACATGACATTGTGCTGGGATTCTGGAAACCAGGCTGGGGGCAAAGAAACATGATATGAAGACCCCATCCAGAAGAAGTTACACATCTAGGACAGGCAGCTAGGTGAGTAACTTCTTCTGAGAGCACATCCACACTTAAAAAGTAAAACAATAGTAAATAATTGTGGCCAATATCAATATTGAAGGCTGATTGCATGCCAGGTACCTGCCAAGGGCATTAGCTCTTGTGGTCCTCCTGATAACCTGTTGAGGTGAGTACTACTATGATTCTCATGTTGAGATCAAGAGGCTGAGGCTGGGGAGGTGGGGACCTTTGCAGGGCGACATAGCCTGTGACCTTTTTAAATGCAGGTTGGCATGATCCTGAAGCCTGTATGCCGCTCGGCTCTGGCACATCAACCAGGATAAACTGAGGCTCCTAATAGTATGGGCATATCCTGCATGCTGCTCCACTTCTGGGGCCACTCTGCCTTTTGCTCGCTCTTAACTTTTCTTCCACACACACCACACATACATGTGCACACACACACATCTTGATCCATAATCCCATCCTGACCCCTATCCTTTGGATCCTAATGACATTTTGACATTGAATAAAAATTATGCAAAATTATTGCCTGCTCATTGAGAGAGCAATTTCAGGAACAAACACCAATAACCCCAATAAATTCCAATAAACTCAACATAATAATTAGCCTTAATAAATAATAAACACCAATATATTTTTGAATCAATTTTTATATTACATAACGTTGTTTTAATTTTGGGGATTAATTCTTTTTGGTTTCCTAAAGTGGTTTCTTTTCTTTTTTTTTGAAACAGGGTCTCACTCTGTCGCCCATGCTGGAGTACAGTGGCATGATCACGACTCACTGCAGCCTCAACCTCCTAGGCTTAATTGATCCTCCCAACTCAGCCTCCCAAGAAATAGCTGGGACCCCAGGCGCGTGCCACATGCCAGGCTAATTTTTGTATTTTTTGTAGCGATGGGGTTTCACCATGTTGTCCCGGCTGGTCTGAAACTCCTGGGCTCAAGTGATTCACCCACCTCGGCCTCCCAAAGTGCTGGGATTACAGGCATGAACCACTGTGCTTGCCCTAAAGTTATGTCTGGCAGTTCTTTATGTAAATTTTAGAGTGAAAATTTAATCATCAAGAGTTCTGTCTGCATCAAATTGTACCAATTTTAGGTATTATTTGTGTGAGGTTTCTTCAGTGACTTATTTTTACCAGATCCAATTTTCCTGGGTCAAATTTTGCAGATCTGCATTTCAAGATTTGCTCCATTTTTAGTCAATATCACATTTTTACCACATACAATCAGTCATAGCCATTTTCAGTTTTAATTTGTGTTGGTTATTTTTGCCAGAAATATCCCTTATAAATTGAACAGCAGATTAATGGTTTATTTACTCATTTCTTATTCAACGGGATGAGAACATTGAACAACATTAGGCAACAGAGAGAGCTAGGCAAAACAGAGACAAAGACTCAGAGATAAAGATAGCAATAGGAAATCAAATTTTAAGAGTAAAAATTATATTTATGGTAATGGTAATAGCTAATATTTATTGTGTACTTCTTATGAGCCCTGTTCTAAACACCTTAAATGGGCTTATATTCATTTAATCTTCACAACAACTCTTTTTTTTTAACGTCGATTTTAAGTCCAGGATACATGTGCAGATTTGTTACATAGGTAAACTTGTGTCATGGGGGTTTGTTGTTCAGATTATTTCATCACCCAGGTATTAAGCCTAGTACCCATTAATTATTTTTCCTGATCCTTTCCCTATTCCCACTCTCTACCTTCTGAACAGCCCCAGTGTGTGTTGTTCCCCTCTATGTGTCCATGTGTTCTCATCATTTAGCTCCCACTTGTGAGAACATGCAGTATTTGGTTTTCTGTTCCTGTGTTAGTTTGCTAAGGATAAGGGCCTCCAGCTCTGTCCATGTCCCTACAAAGGACATCATCTCCTTCTTTTTTTATGGCTGCATAGTATTCCATGGCATATATGTACCACATTTTCTTTATCCAGTCTATCATCAATGGGCATTTAGGTGGATTCCATGTCTTTGCTATTGTGAATAGTACTTCAATGAACATACGTGTGCATGTATCTTTATAATAGAATGCTTTATATTCCTTTGGGTGTATACCCAATAATGAGATTGCTTGGTTGAATAATATTTCTGTCTCTAGGTCTTTGAGGAGTCGCCACACTGTCTTCCACAATGGCTGAACTAATTTACACTCTCATCAACAGTGTGTAAGCATTTCTTTTTCTCTACAACCTTGCCAGCATCTGTTTTTGTTTTGTTTTGTTTTCACCTTTTAGTAATAGCCATTCTGACTGCTGTTAGATGGTATCTCATTATGGTTTTGATTTGCATTTCTTTAATGATCAGTGATGTTGAGCTTTTCTTCATATGATTGTTGGCCGCATGTATGTCTTCTTTCAAAAAGTGTCTGTTCATAGGCCGGGCATGGTGGCTCACGCCTGTAATCCCAGCGTTTTGGGAGGCCGAGGCAGGCAGATCACCTGAGGTTGGGAATTCGAGACCAGCCTGACCAACATGGAGAAACCCCGTTTCTACTAAAAAAAATACAAAATTAGCCAGGCATGGTGGTGCATGCTTGTAATCCCAGCTACTCAGGAGGCTGAGGCAGGAGAATCGCTTGAACTCAGGAGGTGGAGGTTGCAGTGAGCAGAGATCACACCATTGCACTCCAGCCTGGGCAACAAGAGCAAAACTCTGTCTCAAAAAAAAAAAAAAAAGTGTCTGTTCATATTCTGTGCCCACTTTTTATGTTTTTTGTTTTTGCTGTTGTTTTTGTAAATTTGCACAACAACTCTTTGCAGAGATGTAATTATCATTTCTATTTTAAGATGGGGAAACCGAGGCACAAAGACTGGAAATAAATTGTCTCAAATTATACAGCTAGTAAGAGGCAGATCGGGGATTCACACCCAGGCAGCCTGTGACTGAGAAAATGCAGCTGTGCTTGTATATTGATTGCTTACTTCTTGGTACTGCAGCATCCAAATGTCCCCTGGAACAAAATGTTGGAGTGAGTCAAAATGTTCTTTCATTCTATGCTTTTCTGCCACCTGAAATACCCTCCTACACCTTCTGTGCCTAACACCATTATATGCTTCCTTATGGGAGTCAGACTGACCTTGAGAAGGAGGGGACCATTGCCCACAAAGCTGGGTCTCCTGACCCTCTACTGGGACTCCCAGCATCTGAGCTAACTGCTGTTTGAATGCTTATCATCTGTGCTGCAATTCCCTTTGCTTCTTAGTCTCTCTCAATAGAGCTTGCTTGAAATGCTTGTTTTCCGGTACCATAAAGAAATAGCACTTAAACATAAATTTAATTTTTTTAGTAAGGCCATTTTTATACTTTCTGCAGAAAGGGTACACTCGCCAGCAGTTTTGCCATGAGAGTACACTGAACAAAGGAGACCAGGTCATTTACAACCTGACGTGTCTACCCTACTGCTGTGTCCGGTTTCCACTGGCTGGAACGGGACCTCACATTCTATATTTGTCCCGAGTGGCTAGCAACTTAGAACTTTTTAAAAGAGGCAAAGGCAGAGGAGAACAAAGGAAGGAGGAAGTAACTTGTGGAATGCTGAGAAAGGTAAAAATACCTTTAAATAAGGAAGAGGAACAGGCAATGACCTAATGCTTGCTTGGACCAGTATAAGCATGCCAGGGCAAATATTTAGGCTAAATGTGGGAACTAAGAACATAAAGTACATTGATTTTTTTATTACGGCTAGCAGATATTTAAGAATGTTAGCACAGGTTTTTGAATAAATTTATTATTATTATTATACTTTAAGTTTTAGGGTACATGTGCACAACGTGCAGGTTTGTTACATATGTATACATGTGCCATGTTGGTGTGCTGCACCCATTAACTCGTCATTTAGCATCAGGTATATCTCCTAATGCTATCCCTCCCCCCTTCCCCCACCCCACAACAAACTAAAGAGCTTCTGCACAGCAAAAGAAACCACCATCAGAGTGTACAGGCAACCTACAGAGTGGGAGAAAATTTTTGCAACCTACTCATCTGACAAAGGGCTAATATCCAGAATCTACAATGAACTCAAACAAATGTACAAGAAAAAAAACAAACAACCCCATCAAAAAGTGGGCGAAGGATAAATTTTGCTTTTTAAGAGAAGTTACTATTTATTTCTAATTAGACAGGGAGGAAAGTCTTTGAAGAGGAACCTCTACTTTACTTTTTACAAGCCTAAGATTCTTAAGAAAAGGAGTTGGCTCTTATTGCCAGTGTTTCCATTTCCTACTATAGGACTGGTACAAATTAAAAAGGTTATGAAAATTATCAAATAAATGCTCCTTGGCCTTTTGGCTAAGATCAAGTGAAAATTATTGAATAATAATTTTGCATAAACAAATGTGCAATTTCACTAACAAGGTATTCTACTAATAGTTACTTGCTTTATTATTTACTGTCAAGTATGATTGTTTTGGCTTAACATGTTCTTCTGCATTAAAGAACTTGTGATCTTTCATGACAGTTCTGGGAACTTATTCAAAGCTCATGAAGTTTTGATGTTCTGATGCAAGTGACTGGGTTATGGATAAACATTTAATTTCTACATTCGTCCACTTTCTATTTTGTTCTAACAATCCCATAGTATCTGGTGATAACAGAGTTCACCAGCAAGGGAGTTTGGATATGATACAGCATAAGCTAAAATCTAAAATCAGAATAAGTCTATATAGAATATGTCCTGATTGGTGCAAAAGTAATTATGGTTTTCGCCATTAATAACTACAGACTTGATCTATGAAGTAGTTAAGTTATCCTAATGTATTAACCCAGGCTGCTGAAGTCAGAAATCTTAAGGTTGTCTAAAGCTCCCTGCCTTCCCTACTCAAATCCAATCCATCAACCAGTTTTGTTGATTTTACCTTTTAAATAGTTCCTGAATCTGTCTCCTTTTCTCCATCTTTGCTATCATTGCCTTCAGTCAACGTCTCATCATGGTTAATCGCAGCAATGTTCTACTGTCTCCCCAGCTGCAAGCTTGCTCCAATTCATTATTCTCACTATAGTCAGAGTGTTCTCTCTAAGAAGCAAATCTAATCGTCACTCCCATACTTGAAACCCTTAAATAATAACTTCATATCATCTGCAGAATAAAATATGACTCCCATCCTCCTTTCTAGGTCCATTTCCTGCTGCTCCCCTGTACACTAGTGCATTAGTCTTGATAACGTCCTTGTAAGTTCCTAAAATTACTTCCAAAATGCTGTCCCTGATGCATCCTTTCTTGGTTCTTGTTTACTTCCTCAGTTTCCACCTTCACAACGGAGTCTCCCTCCAAACACAGTCCCTGCTTCTGTGTTTCTGCCTAACTACAAAGAGTATGACATAAAGATTCAGAGCAAATGCAGTAGTATGTGGTTGCCAGACTACCCCACCTAAGTTGTATGAGTTTAGGCAACTCGCGTAAGCTTTCTAAGCCTCAATTACCTCATCTGTGAAGTGGGGCTAGTTAGTAGCTGTGATATGTAGATTGTCATGGGGAATTAAATGAGAAATTCCAGGTAAAGTCCTTGCGTGTGCTAATCACTTAGTAATTACTAGCCATTTGTCTTGGCTAATATTTAGTTTGTTTACTTCTGCTAGACTGTGTGCTTCAAGGATAAAGACTCTTGTGTCTTTAGCAACTATGATAGTAACGGGCACAAAATAAGTATTCCTTAAATGTTTGCCAAATGGACAAATGAATGGATGATTATCTTCTACACCCCAAATTGGAACACTTGATCTCACATGTTTGAGTAATGGAGAAGAGTTTAAATAACTTCTAAAATAGTGAGTTATTGCTATAGCGATGAAAAAATTATTACCCTACCGCATGTCCTGAGATTGGTGTGGTTAATGACACACTGCAGGTGTTGAGTTTAGAAAATTGTAAGAGACAAACAACACTTTCAGTCAAATTTAACTGGGGAAGCATAATATTGTAAAGACCTGGGTTCTGGTCCTGTCTCTGTCACTAACGGGATGTGTGACCATGAAAAAGTTAAAAATTGAACTCTCAGTCTTTATTTCCTCATCTGTAGACAAACGATGCACAAGATTATCTCGAAGATCCTTTCACTTTGGCAATCAACTGCTTTTGTAACTTCTCAAGGTGATAAATTACACTTTCAATTTGGGGAAATTGTATACGAAAGTATATGAAATAATTGCATTATAATAGTCTTAACTACTGCTGCTATTTAATGTTCCTGAGATTTTGTTGTTATTGTTGTTGTTTTTAACTTTGAGAAACAGAAAAATTTTAATGGTAAGAATTTATAATTGGAATGAACCATAAAAGAGATAATTGTTGTTGATACAAGAGGATAAGAGAGAATCCCCACTTACTGCCCCCGACCTGGCCATGTTCAGTAAAAGAACTAGCATTGGCTTTATACAGTGGATATGATTAACTGTTTATGTTAATAAGCAAGGAGACTATATATGTATCATTAATAATTATGGGACAAATTCAAAGTTTCTGAGAGTTAAACTAGTAAAATGCATACACAATGTACTTAGATATAGTCATCTATGTTAGTAAATGAAGAGATTGCAAATGTGTGGTTAATTATTCTAGGAAAAACACAAACTAGGGTAATCTTAGAGAATATGATCATTGTTTAATAAGTGGAAACCTAAATAATCATATGGTATTTTATAGGGAAAAAATTGTGGAAACAAACATAGATGGTCAACCTAAAGCAGGGTACTCTAATCTATGGCTCTCAGATTCCAGGTGGTCCATGAAATTGCTTTAAGGATCTGCAAATTTATGAGTTTACTAACCATTCGCTGTCTGTTGGCTGAACCAGCCAATGGTGTTAATGATCAAAATGATTCCCTCTCTTTGTTTCCTATAAACCACAATAGAAAAGAACACACCTCCTTTTTTTTTTTTTTTTAATCCTCCTCACTGGAGAAGTAGGCTAAGCTATCTGTGTAAGGAAGAGGTTCTTGGATAGGACAGAGAGTTCCCCAATGCAAGGGCAGGCACAGTTGGTCCAAGTAGAAGGTGTATCTTTATTTGGAATATGAATTATCAGGCTTTCATGGCCCAAAGCTATTAAAAATTAAAATTAAATAACATTCTTCCCTTGTTCTGCTTCTAATCTCATTGAACTGCCTTCTGATTATTTTGCTTGCTATGTATGTTTGCCCACAGGGAGGACAGGAGCAGCTGGTCCACCTGACAGTTGTAATTTTTTTCATAAATTAATACGTTGGTATTCTGGTTTATGAAGATAATTTTTTTAAGTGTTCAGTTTATAATTTTTTTTTTGAGACCAGGTCTCCTTATGTTGTCCAGGCTGGTTTCGAACTCCTGGGTTCAAGGGATCCTCCTGCCTCGGCCTCCCAAAGTGCTAGGATTACAGGTGTGAGCCACCATGCCCTGCTGTGTGTTCAGTTTAATGTGTGTGTTATTGACTTTGTTTCCAGGCTCATTTTGCCCAAAAAAAAAAAATCTATTTGCGGGGATTGGAAGGCTAGGAGTGCAATCCTTAACTGCATGTGTTTCTCGAGGTCAAGCGTACCTCGCGAGCTCTCTTGGCACTCATACTGCTAGCTGAGTCTTTTCTGGGGACGTCTCACTGGGTACTGCTTGCGCTTACCATTAGATGAGCATCTTGTCTGATCCTCTTATTTTGTAGATGGACAAATTGAGGCATCATAGTATACCTATGGTTTTCACCTTTCTCAAAGGTACTTAGCACCTTTGAGAACTAGCTATCTGAACACTTAAAATGGATTTTAGAAAACTTTTTCTTTTGGGCTGGGCACAGTGGTTCATGCCTGTAATCCCAGCACTTTGGGAGGCCAAGGAGAGAAGATAGTTTGAGCCCAGGAGTTGAAGACCAGCCTAGGCAACATAGTGAGACCCTGTCTGTACAAGAAATACAAAAATTAGCTAGGTGTGGTGGTGCACACCTGTGGTCCCAGCTACTCAGGAGGCTGAGGAGGAAGGTTTGCTTGAGCCCAGGAGGTTGAGGCTGCCATGAGCCGTGATTGCACCACTGCACTTCAGCCTGGGCAACAGAGCATGACCCTGTCTCAAAAAAAACAAAAATCAAAAAAAAAAAATAAACCTTTTATTTTGAAATAATTTTGGATTTACAGAAGAGTTGCAAAGTTAGTACAGACATAGTCCACATTCGGCTTCTCTTAACGTTAACATTTATTTTCATTTTTATTTTTTGAAACAGAGTTTCACTCTTGTTGCCCAGGCTGGAGTGCAATGGCACAGTCTTGGCTCACTGCAACCTCCATCTCCTGGGTTGAAGTGATCCTCCTGCCTCAGCCTCCCAAGTAGCTGGGATTACAGGCGTGCGCCACCACGCCTGGCTAATTTTATACTTTTTTAGTAGAGATGGGGTTTCACCATGTTGGTCAGGCTTGAACTCCCGACCTCAAGTGATCCCCCTATCTTGGCTTCCCAAAGTGCTGGGATTACAGGCATGAGCCACCATGCAACATTAACATATTATATAATCATGGTTCATTGATCAAACCACAAAGGTTATATATATATATATATATATAAAATATATATATATAAAATATATATATAATATATATAATATATATATAATATATATATAAAAATATATATATTATATATATATATATAAAATATATATTTTAATAGAGATAGGGTCTCACTGTGTTGCCCAGGCTGGTCTTGAACTCCTGGGCTCAGGCAATCCTCCCACCTCAGACTCCCAAAGTGCTGTGATTACCAGTGTGAGCCACTGTGCCTGGCCCTTACAATATTAATTAAACAATGAACTTTATTTGGATTTCCTCAGTTTTCCCCACCAGTGCCCCTTTTCTGTGCCAGGATGTGATCCAGGACACCACTGTACATTTTAGTCATCATGCCTCCTTTGTTGCCTCAAACTGTGACTGTTTCTCACTCTTTATCTGTCTTTCATGATCTTGACACTTTTAAGAGTATTGATCAGGTATTGTGTAGAACGTCCCTCAATTCAGATTTGTTTAATATTTCCACAACTTTAGACTGAGGTTGTGGATCTTGGAGAAGAATACCATAGAGGCGAAGCGGCCTTCTCACCACATCATGTCAGGGATGTACACTATCACTGATGATATTAATTTCTTTTTTAATCTTAATTTTAGTAGAGACAGGGTTTCACCATGTGTGTCAGGCTGGTCTTGAATTCCCAGCCTCAGGTGATCTGCCTGCCTTGGCCTCAATCTTTTTATTTTGAAAGTTAGTAAGTAAAGAAAAAGAATTAAGCATTTACTCACTTTTAAAACAGAAACTATTTTCAGGTAACTAAATCGCCTCTGTTGTCAAAGGAAATCTCTAATTTAAGGAAGACTGTCAGTGAGCAAGTGTGGAAGGTAACATATAATTGGAAAATCATCAGTTTGCCACCCGTAAGGAAAGTATTGATTCAGGAAAGGATAAAATCATTAAATCGTTAGGTTAATGGTTGACAGGTACGTTGACCATTCATCCCATTTTGCCAGAGATGGTCCTAGTTTATGACTATTGTCCAAGTGTAATTATTAGTAGTGCCCCTTTTAGTCTCAAATGTGGCAGTTTGGATTATAAGTGATAGGGTCACCCTCCTGACAGGGTACCAACATTTGTATGAAACCAAAATAATATCATGCAGATAATATTCTGATTATAATAAGATTGAGCTGTCATCACCTTTAACTTAGCATCACTTAGGAGGGGACAACCAGATGTGTCTCCTGTTGTGACTGAAATTGGAATATACAGCATTACCTAAGAAGTTCCCTTGACAAAAATGTTCAATTTAAATCTGGTCAAATATTCAGATCTATCTTCCTGCTTATAGGAAACACAAGGGTTAGAGGAAGCAATCAGACAGATCCAGAGGGGAAACAGTCCTGGTCTTCAGCAAGTCCATATTATGATAAAAGGAACTGTTCTAGATTAAAAGCTTGAGGCATAGCAACCAGATGTACTGCTTGGTTCTGAATTCGATACTTATCTGGCCAAACCAGCTGGAAGGACATCTTGGGGACAGGTGAGGAAATCTGAATATGGATTTGCTATTACTGTTAATTATGTTAGGTGTGAAAATATAATTTTTGCTATGTAGAAAACTGGGCATTAAAAAAAATAGATGCATTCCAAACATTAGGGGTGGAATATTATGATGTCTATAATTTACTTTAAAATACTTCAGGGCTGGGCGTGGAGGATCATGCTTGTAATCCCAACATTTTGTGAGGCCAAGGTGGGAGGATCTCTTGAGCCCAGGAGTTTGAGACCAGCCTGGGCAACAATGTGAAACACTGGCTCTAAAAACAAAAACAAAAAGAAAAACAAAAACATGAAACTAAACTAAAAAAAAACCAAAAAACACAAAAAGCAAAAAAACCCTTCAGCATTAACTACAATAAATGGAGTTGGCAGGAAAAGAAATAAGATAAAATATATAAAACGTTTCATAAACTTACACCTGAAAGACAGTGTCATAGGTAAGGCAGCCCCCAATGATCCCACCTTCTGATATTCAGCCCCTCCTTGAGTGTGGTCTACACTTTTCAACTTGTTTCTTCTTCCCCCCCTTTTTTTTTTTTAATTGAGACAGAGTCTCACTCTGGAGTGCAGTGGTGCAATCCCGGCTCACTGCTGGGACTACAGGCGTGCACCACCACGCCTGATTAATTTTTGTATTTTTAGCAGAGATCGGTTTTCACTGTGTTGGCCAGGCTGGTCTTGCTCCTACTTCAGGTGATCCACCCGCCTTGGCCTCCCAAAGTGCTGGAATTACAGGCGTGAGCCACCGCACACAGCCTCACCTTGCTTCTAATGAATGGATATGGGCAGAAGTGATGGAATTTCACTCCCAATATTATTGAAATATTGGAGGTTACAAAAGGTTACAAGTCTGTGGCTTCCATCCTGAGATTGCTTGTGCTGGGAGAAGGACACTGTCATGTTGTGATCAGCTCTGTGGACATGCCCATGTGTGGCATGTCTTCTGTCTAGCAACCTATGAGGAACTGACATGCATTAAAAGCCAGGTGAGTGAACTTGGAAGAAGATCCTTCAACATCAGGTGAGTCTTCAGTCTTGGCTGGCAATCTGACAGCAACCTCATGAGAGGTCTTGAGCCAGAGGCACTTAGACTGTGCCTGGATTCCTGACCCGTGGAAGCTGTGAAGTAATGTTTTGTTGCTTTAAACTGCTAAGTTTTGAGATAATTTGTTATGCAGCAATAGGTAACTAATACAGATAGGAAAAGAGTTATTTGGGTGAAAGAGGGCAAGAAGAACATCATAGGCAGAGAGAAAAACCCATGAGATAAGTATTTAAGGTAAGAAGCATGAGTGTCTTTGAAAAATGGAAAGAAACCAAGTCTGATTAGAACTTACAAGCAATGAGGAAAGATGAAGCTGTAGCGATGGGCATGATATAGGGCTACAAAGACCATGTCAAAAGTCTGTTCTTTTTCCTATTGGGAAATAAGAAGCCATGGAAAGGATTTAAGCAGAGGCTGTTTTAGAAGCTTAACTGGATGTTTTGCAGAGAAGAGAATAGAGGGAGCAAGGGTGGAAGCTAATCTGGGAGAAGCGCTGAATCATCTGGGGCTGGGTATGGAAAACAGATGGCATCGCCTTTCTCAACTCAGACTCTGAAAAGGTCAACACTGCTCTGGGCCTTACTCTGATTACACAAAATTGGCACAAGGATGGCCATACAAATCAACACCAGTTAATACGCTGGCTACCCAATGACCAGTTAGATTTCTTCTTGGAAGACTTCTTACCTACAGATATCCAGAGATTTGGCAGTGATGTGTGGACACTAGACTGTGAGGTGAGTCAGGTGCTGCCGTTACATCTGCATTGAATAGGATGAGTGAGAGGAGAAAGTGAGTTTACAGAAAGAGGAGACTAGAGCAAACAGGCCAAGATAACCAGAGAGGAGGAGCCATGTGGCCCCTGAGAAGGAAAGGAAGAGAGTGGGAAACTCTATAGCTCCTCAAAGCTTTCCAGCCCCTATAAAGGTCAGGGCAACTAGAGCTCTTGTCCACAGAATTGATTAGTTCTGTTTTCTCACCAATACTAATTTCACTCATGCTAATTTGGCTTCTTTTCCTTGCAACCCAAACATTTTCCTGACTAGAATAAATTTCTGCACCATGATTGAATAGATCATTTGACCTCTATAGATTAAAAAAAAAGGTATGGATTGGGAGGGTGAATAGAATGATATTCTTAACACTTGCATAATTACTGACTCAATATATTCACAAAGATGCAATTATTTACTTCAGTTCGGGAATTCTGAGCCCCATCCAAGCAGCCTATATGCTGATACTACTTAATAGCTGAACATATAACAATGATTTCTGAGTTTTCTTACATCCTAGATCCAAAGGAGATTAGGGGATGAGAGGTTAGAACTTGTTCTAAATTCCATAAGTAAGTTACAAACTGATGAAGTGACAGTTTGAAGGTAGATGCAATGGAGATGTCATCTGGAGAAGTTTTACCTGCTGCCCTCAGACATCCATACAGAATGGAAGGAGCCCAGGGACACTTTATGGTCTAATTGCCGATTGGCAGTAGAGCAGATTGGTTATGAATGTGGACTCTGTAGCCTGGAGGCCTAGACTTGAATTCCAATTGTGTCATTCACTAGCTGTGTGACTCAGGATGCATTATTTAATCTCTCTGTGCCTTTGTTATCTGTAAAATAGAAATAATAGCAATGCTTACCTCATAGGGTTTTTGTAAAGTTTCAAATGTGTTAATACATTTAAAGCGCTTAAAACAGTGCCTTGCATGTAGGAAATGATTGATAAATATTACTTATTAAATGAGATGCTTATGTAAAATGCTCAGCATACTACAAGCTTAGGAAATGTAAGCTACTATTATTATTTTCTGCTATAATCCTGTATGTTGATTTAGTATGACACTTCCTATTCATGGAGTAATATTGTTTATTTAGTTCTAGTTTCTTGGCTATCTCATTGTCCTCACTTATATATATGCAAAAAGGTGGACCCTATCTTGATTTTGACCTTGTCAGTAAAGCACGGGCTAGCAAAATGCCGTTTTTCAGTCCATTCTGGCTGCTGTAACAAAATACCATAGACTGGGTGGTTCATAAACAATAGAGATTTATTTCTCACATTCTAGAGACTGGAGAGTCCAAGGTCAAGGTGCCAGCAGATTTGGTGTCAGGTGAGAACTAGCTTCCTCAGACGACCTTCTCACTCTAACCTCATGTGGCAGAAGAGGGCGAGAGGTTGCTCCTGGGCCTCTTTTACAAGCGCTCTAGTAACATTCATAGGGTTCTGCCCCCATGACCTAGTCACCTCCCAAAGGCCTCGCATCCTAATACAATCACCTTGTGGGTAAGAATTTCAACATAGGAATCCAGACCATAGCAGCCCTAGAGAAACTCTGTAAACAAATATTACTTATTGATGATTTTTAGTTGCTGCCTATGCCATGGTAAATAGTTCATTTATGAAATCTCAGGGCAACTCTTTGTTTTCCAAATAAAAAGGTCGAAGCTGTGAGAAGTGACTTGCTCAAGATTGTACAGCCAGTAGTTGATAGAGCCAGGACTAGAATCCTGACCTAATTTACCCCGAAGCTCATTAGCAACCTCTATCCATACTGCCTGTGAGGGAGCTAGCAGATGCATCCAGCCTGGGATTCTCTATTTCTGAGATCTCTTTAAATATTTCAAAGACCAGTATTTCCAGTTAGGAATAACATAGCTGCACAGTTTATGGGTTAATAAGTGTGTTATTAGGAGCTGGGGGCTTCAGCCAGGAAAACAGTCTTTTTAAAGCATTTACAGTCTAGAGGGAAGAGGAAGAAATGATACATTGTGATTTGGGTGAGACACAGGATTGAGTGGTCTCTAACTGGCTTTGGTGTTAGACACACACGTGTTTGAATTCTGGCTTCCCCTCTTTTCAGCTATCTGAATGTCGCCTTGCATCAGTCCTATCATCTGTCTGAGCCTCAGTTTCCTCATTTGTAAATTGGGGACAATACATCCACCTTGCAGGGCTGTTGAAAGGACTGGAAATAGTGTATGTAATGTACCTCCTATGGATTTAAGATAGGTGCTCAAAAATGGCAGTTATTTTTTTAAAGCCTGATTCTGCATTGGAACCAGTTCTCAAGAGCCAATTCTGATGAGTGTCTTCACAGCAGGACCTAAGCCCTGATGAATTAATTTGTCTGAAACCAACATTTTCTCTTCATTTCATCTTGATATGCTAATTTTGGGGGGTCAATAATTCAATGGTTACCAATTAAGCAAGGATGGTATTTGCTATTCTGTTCTATATAGTTGTGTACATTATCAGTATCCAAATAGTTATCAAGCTTTGACTATCGGAAAGTCCATTTGGTCTCTTAAAAGATGCACTGAATCTCTTCAATTCCTTTTTCATTTTGATTCAATAAAATGGTTCACTCTAGAAAAGCTGTGTAGACATAGTTCAAGTCAGAAATTTGCAATATGTTATAAATAACTATTGAGCCAAACTACCTGAATTTGAAGGACATTTTTATGGGGATACACTATAGCAATGAAATAATGAAATATATACATATATACACATATGATTATCATTACATGTGATAGATATACATATGTATATACTTAATCTATTTAAAAGATTATACTATAATATAAATATCTTAAAGTATATTTAGATAAAAATAACATAATAAAAACTATCAGATAATAAAATTTTTAATACCTGCAAGGAGTTTCTTCAACTGACAGTTTGTTTTCATTTTTTATTTGAGATGAAGTCTCACTCTGTCACACAGGCTGGAGTGCAATGGCGAGATCTCAGCTCACTGCAACCTCTGCCTCCCAGGTTTAAGCGATTCTCCTGCCTCAGCTTCCCAAGTAGCTGGGACTATAGGCACGTGCCACCATGCCTAGCTAATTTTTGTATTTTTTCAGTAGAGACGGGGTTTTGCCATGTTGGCCACGCTGGTCTCGAAATCCTCAGGTGATCCACCTGCCTCGGCCTCCCAAAGTGCTGGAATTACAGGCGTGAGCCACAGCGCCCGGCCTGTTTTCATCTTTTATATATGCTAGTGACTTATTTTCTATAAGCTTTCTATTTTGAATCTTTTTTTAGTAGGAATTAGTTTGTAATGAGCCATCTATACCAGTATTATTTTCAGAATATTGACCAGAACTTGGGGATACACACTGATGTTGAAAAAGGGATCTAACTCCCAACTTTTAGTCAAACTATAGTTTGTTCAAATGCCACACCTTTTTTTTTTTCTTTTTTAAGACAGTGTCTCACTCTGTATCCCACGCTGGAGTGCGGTGCTGCAATTACAGCTCACAGTAGCCTCGACTCAAGTGGGCTCAAGCGGCCCTCCCACCTCTGCCTGTCAAGTAGCTGGGACCACAGTCATGCACCACAATGCCTGGCTAATATTTTTGATTTTTTGTAGTGGTGAGGTCTCACCATTTTGCTCAGGCTGGTTTCAAACTCCTAAACTCAAGCAGTCCTCCCGCCTTGGCCTCCCAAAGTGCTGGGATTACAGGCCTGTGGCACCACACCCAGCCTCAAATGTCACATCTTTAACAAAATTTTCACCATGCTCTCCTCCAATTACTCATGCTCAGAACTGTGTGAAGCCTTTATCACAATTTATCATATTTAATTGATTTTGAATATTTAACTGGAATTCAGTGTAGAATGGTGTTTTTGAATTAAAATATAATTCACATACAATAAAATTCACCTTTTAAAGTATACGAGTTGGCTGTATGCAGTGGCTCACACCTGTAATCCCAGCACTTTGGGAGGCCAAGGTGGGCAGATCACTTCAGCTCAGGAGTTCAAGACCAGCCTGGCCAACATGGCAAAACCCCGTCTTTACCAAAAATATAAAAAATTAGCTGGATGTGGTGGCGGAGGCCTGTGGGAGCTACTTGGGAGGCTGAAGTGTGAGGATCGCTTGAGCCTGGGAGGCGGAGGTTGCAGTGAGCTGATATCATGCCACTGCACTCCAGCCTGGGTGACAGAGTGACACTCCCTCTCAAAATAAGTAAATAAATAAATAAATAGTATAGAATTCAATGGGTTTTAGTATATTCACAAAGTTGTGCAACCATCAGCGCCAATTCCAGAACATTTTTATCATCCAAAAAGACATTCCATATCCATCAGCAGTCACTTCCAATTCCTCATTCCCCTCTACCTCCTGGAAACCACTGTTCTACTTTCTGTCTGTATGTATTTGCCTGAAATGCAATGCAATTTCATCATATTTCATGTAAATGGAATCATACAACAGGCGGCCTTTTTGTATGTGGCTTTTTATGTCTGAACAATATTTCATTGTACAGTTATACCATGTTTCTTTTTTTTTTGAGACGGAGTCTCGCTCTGTTGCCCAGGCTGGAGTGCAGTGGCGCGATCTCTGCTCACTGCAAGCTCTGCCTCCGGGGTTCACGCCATTCTCCTGCCACAGCCTCCCGAGTAGCTGGGACTACAGGCGCCCGCCACCACGCCGGGCTATTTGTTTTTAGTAGAGACAGGGTTTCACCGTGTGAGCCAGGATGGTCTTGATCTCCTGACCTCGTGATCCGCCCGTCTAGGCCTCCCAAAGTGCTGGGATTACAGGTTTGGGCCACCGCGCCCGGCCTATACCATGCTTCTTAACCATGCATCAGCTGATGGTCATTGGGTTGTTACAATACTTTTTGGCTATTATGAATATTGCTGCTGTGAACATTTGTGCACATGTTTTTATGTGGATCCAATTATTTAGGCTTACAGTATTTAAGAGTGCTGCTTTGCTACTACGCTGACTGGGGTTAAGACCAGGCTCTGCTATTTAGTAGATGTGTGACCTTGGGCAAGTTACTTAACTTCTCTGTGCCTCAAGCTCATCTACAAACAGTGACTATGTTACCCACCTCCTAGCAATTTTTGAATCTTAAAAGAGTTAACGTACCTGACATACTTAGATCCGGGTTTGCTACATGGTTAGGTCCAAGTAAAATTTATCTATTAGTATTATTTTAATATTTTTACGACTTTAATAAAAGGGCTCATCTTCATTGTGCCTTTGAAACCCCAAATCCAAAACTTTTTTTTTTGTTAATTAGAAAAACTAAATAAATATTCAGAATTGTCTGGTATTCTGGGTGTGCTAATTTCAGACAAGCACATTTTGAGATCGAGGGAGACGTGGTTAAGCTGTAAATTGCAAAGAGGCTTGCCTTCGCCAATTTACCTTTCTTAATGCAGCAACTTATAACACCTATTGGCTTGCAACGGTTTAGTATAATTTGGGAGGTATTCTTGTAATTAATAATATATTATTTAATAACATGGATATAGAGCTGAGTGGTGACTTAAGACTCCTGCTACTGTAAAGCTAGGAAATAGCGGCTTTCCACAGCAACTGTGCAATCGGTTTAGGCGCGGCCCAGGTCGATTTTGATTGGCTTGCCCAGTGGAAATGCTCTCCGCCTGAGCTACTACTGGCCAATATGGCTCCACAATTGGCTCTCCTGGAAGCCGACAGACACGTGGCTACCGCAGGCTGAGCCGAACTTGGGAGGACTTAGTTCTGCTTACCGCGAGAGGGCGCCGGCGGTTCCTCACTGCTAAAATCTCATTTCCCATAAAGCCCCCGAGTCACCAATCAACTGGCTGTCTTCATACCGCTTTCAAAGTCGGCGGGCGCCTTGCCCAATAGCAAA
The DNA here is from genome assembly GCF_000001405.40 of Homo sapiens. NCBI lineage: Eukaryota > Metazoa > Chordata > Mammalia > Primates > Hominidae > Homo > Homo sapiens. The sequence continues at coordinate 146,447,198 of NC_000005.10, forward strand.
GAACATATCGCCCCCATTTCGAAGATTGATGGAAAGTTTGACCAACCGCATCTCAGACTTCTGCTGTCTCCGCCTCTCTCGTTGGGGATTGACGATTTTTCTAGCCAATAGGAGACGTCGGGTCGGCGGGTGGATGAACGCGGCCCTCTGTAATGGCGGAGCGTGGCGGGGACGGGGGCGAGAGTGAACGATTCAACCCGGGGGAGCTCAGGTAAGGAACGCTGCCCTCCTTCACATCTCTGCTCACGAGAGCCCCAGAGGCTAGACGCTAGACCTGCCATGTGGAGATCCGGGGCGGACGGTGGGTAGCGGAGCCGGGCGGCCCGGGCCGGGACCGCATGGGGTTTAAGAAGGGGGAAGGGGAAGGTGGCTTGAATGAGAGCCGGGCCCGGGCTGGGCCAGGGCCTCCTGCGCGTTCCCTGGCTGCTTCCTAGTGCTTTCTTGGGGCCTCGCCGCCTCTCGCGGCCTGCAGCCCTCTGGCCGGGCGCGGTGCTCCCGCCTTTGGGCCCCGCCTCAGCCGCGTGTCGCCTCCGTCTCGGCCGACCTGAGTCTGTCCCCAGGCCGCGCTCCGCTGCGGGCCTGATTTTCCTCATCGACGTCTCTGCACTCCGCAGTTACTTTCCCTGTACCCCTCGCCACTTCTGGCTAAGCCTTCTCCACGCCCTCCGCGGCTCTTTGGGCTCCCCACGTTTGCCCTTTCATTTCATCCCCCTCATTGCTTGCCTTTCTTAACTTCTGTGGCTTTTCTTCCTTTTTTCATCCCTTTATTCCTTATTATCCTGTAGTTGTGAGTAACAACAACAGTAGCAACCCCTTATTAGGCACTTACCGTGTGCCAGTAAACCCTTTACTTAGGTTTGTCTCATTTAATCCTCACAACCACCCTTTGGAGTAGTTGCTATTAACATTTTGCAGGCCACAGACCAGAGGGGTCTTCAGTTGTTACTCGCCCATCTTACAGGTGAGATAACAGCCTCGTGGAGGTTGAGTCAGTAGAATAAGATTGCATAGGCGGATTTGTGGCTCCAGGAAGTGGCTTGAACTCAGGCAGTCAGGTTTCAGAGCCTGCAATCCCAATTGGCGTTCTATTCGTCTACTACTCATGCCATTTCCTTGAACAGTGCAGTGACCTTTTTTTCCCCTGGAACCTCAGTGTCTATGAGTTTGTAATTAAAATTTGGTAAAATGAGAGTGACCTGGAGAAATCTTTTGGTCAGTGGTTTTTGAGGAAAAGAGGTATTATGCTTTATGTGTATTTGGTACTTTGGTTTTTTTCTGTATGGGAGAAATGGCATTTCAGATGTTCAGCTCCCATTCTGAATTGTGCTGTTGTCAACGTTTGAAAATGAAAAAGAGCAGGGTAGATTATGAAGACTCTGTTGATACTGTCTTGAACTTAAGATGAAATTGTGTAAGGAAATGGGTATTGTTATTCAAGGTTTTAGAAGAGGAAAATGCCTTTCAGATTCTGTATGGTCGCACACACAAATCTCCACTTTGGCAGAAATGAAATTTTGTTTTATTTCAGAGATGAATCTGAAATCCTTTAAACTCCATATGTATACAGTATTAATGAGTGATCAAGGTGAATTGTCAGCATCTTTAAATATTAGCGATGCCAAGTTTATTCCTGATTTCGATCTTAAAGGGAGGTTACTTAGCTAGTTTCAGATGGATTTATTAGGGAACATTCTTTTGCATTTTAGAAAGTATCTTTCTAAAGCTTTAAAAAAATCCAAATGGCTTTATTAATAGTCTAGACACTGTTGCACAACTGATTTGAATAGAGCTTTAATTTGCAAATGAATTTGCCCTGTTGCAAATATTTTATACCGTAGCCTCTTGGATTGGAAGTTGCTTGCAGAGCATACTGTACAGATCTTTATTTTAGCATTTCTCATGAAATTAGGTGTGTATGTGGCCTCTTTGATGGCAGAAGTTGGGGCTTAATTTTTGCATTATATTTGTAACCTGAATGTACTTCATGGTGTGTCTGTCATAACCGCCTGGCAAATGAGATGTTCTGTAGTTATGTTGTAAATAAATGAAGATAGGAGATTTAAAGATACTTCACTTATTGGGCCGACATTTATTGTGTGCTACATGACAGTTGCTGACCTAGGTGCTGGTAATAGTGCCCTGAACCAGACCGAAAAAAGAGGTTTGTCCTGCAGGAGCTTCCAGCTTAAGTAAGAGCCATCTAAATTGTAAATGAAATCAACCACATCAAATGATTAAATCTGCCTGTAAGTGTGAAGTGACTTACACAAGGTCACTGGGTAGTTGGCAGGGTCTGGACTAAACCTCAGGTCTCCTCAATCATAGTTTATACAATTTGCCCCCATATATCGGTAGCATCTTTTTATTTCTTGCCCCTCCAGTTAAAGTATTGTCTTTAGCATTGGGGAGATTGCATATCTGGATAGAGAACTTCTATTGTAGAAAAATACCTTATGTTTGTATTTCCATGATGTTCTTGTGAAATATTTTTGTTCCTTCTATTCATGCAAGTAGGCTTTTGTTTTTCAGAAAGGTTGTAAGTGGTAGGAATGCAAATCACAATAGATGGAAAATTTATAGACGTTCCAAATACCATTAAAGTAACTTCCAGAGTCATTTGTATAGATCCTTTCCCTAGAGCCTTTGTTTACCTATCAATACTTAAGATACTTGCAATCTAAATTTCCTTATCTATAAAATGAGAATAAGAATATTCTGGTGTTATCACTGACTAGCTGCCTTAAGAAAATATTTTTCTGTGCTATCATTTCCTCTGTAAAAATGGTGTCAAACTTACCTTATTGGGCTGTAGTGAGGATTAAGAGTTAATACGGATAATGTCTGTATAACCATGCTGGTATATAGGAACTTTACTATCATTATTAAAACAATAATGTGTTTTAATGTGTTGCAACAGTATACTAAAGGGAACTATATACTAGTGGCTAAAGATAATACAGAAGTAAATGGGAGATTTCTTCATAGCATTTATCATAATCGAAAACTCAAATTAGGAATAATGATCCTGAGAGGGCCTGTAGAGGCCAGAAGTGGGAAAACAGTTTGAGGTGACATTTGAACTAGAGGCTGAGTAATGAGAAGGAGCTAGTTATGTGAAAATCTGGGGAAGAACATGCTCGGCAAAGAGAACAGGTGCAGAGGCTTCAAAGTAATAAACTTGAAATATTTAAAGGAAAAGACTAGAATTTGTGGAAAGGTTAATGTGGGCCAGGTTATACAGGGCCTGATATAATAATTATAGTAATAATAGCTAACATTACTAATATTAATATTATTTAACACTTACCAGTACTATTACTGTCCTAATGTTACAGAAACAGTAATGATAGCTAATAACTTAGATAGCACTTACATACTAAGCACTATTCCAAGTACTTTATTAGCTCATTTAATCCTCATTGCAGGTTCTGGTGAGGTTGTTGTGATGAAGCAGTATAATATAAAGAGCCCAGCCCATGTTCTGTGCGTAATTAACATCAGAAAATGGCAACTTCAGGCTATTCAAAAAAGGAAATTATGTGAATTTTGTCACCATTTTAGTGGCAGACTTTTGAAAACCATAACAAATTAATAATGAAATGCCTTTTACAGATAAACACTGCTAGGTTTTGTGGGGGAATGAAAGTAATGATAGTTGAAGTAGTTTACTGTGTACCAGCTACCACCCTAAATGTTTCACCGGGATTATCTCATTGAACAGTGATATCAGATACCTTTTCTGTTCCTTACTCATTCACATCTGAGGAAACTCAAGGCTCAGAAATTATGTAACTAGCCTGACAACAAAAGACGGAGTCCTAACAGGGCTTTTTTATGGTTCTGGATCTTAAATGCTTAACTTCAAGCTGTAACCAGGAAGTATGAAATTGTACAGAAATGAATACTGTAGACTTTTTGAAAAAAGGAGAGGCAGATGGAAAGAAAATCTAAGAGTAGGGTACATTATTAACTCAAGCCTGAAACAGAGTGTCTTTCCTTGGTGATTATCTTTTTTTTGCCCTAAAAGTTTGGACATTCCTTCAGTAACAGTGGCCTGTGTCTTTTGGGGATGCATATAATTTGAAAAAGACCTTCTGATTATTTTGATGCGATCCATATTCCTTTTTTTTTTTTTTTTCTTTTAAGACAATGTCTTGCTCTGTCTCCCAGGCTGAAGTGCAGTGGTGTGATCTTGGCTTACTGCAGCCTCCACCTGTCAGGTTCCTCCTGTTCTCCTGCCTCAGCCTCTTGAGTAGCTGGGATTACAGGGAAGCACCACCACACCCGGCTAATTTCTGTATTTTTAGTAGAGTGGGGGTTTCACTATGTTGGCCAGGATGGTCTCGAATTTCTGACCTCAGGTGATCCACCTGCCTTGGCTTCCCAAAGTGCTAGGATTACAGGCGTGAGCCACCGGGGGGCGTCCGGCCCATATTCCTTTTTAACTCATATTTTCTAACCTTTGGATTGTAGGATCATTTGCAAATTTGATTAAATATACTTGGTGTAGTAGTTCTGGACTTGTTTACAGTCCTGGTTATACCAGGACTGTAAACAAGTCCAGAAGGCAAATTAGTTTTTTTTTTTTTTAATTTTTTAATTTTTTTGAGACTTGAGTCTCGCTCTCTTGCCCAGGCTGGAATGCGGTGGTGCAATATCGGCTCACTGCAACCTCTGCCTCCTGGGTTTGAGTGATTGTCATGCCTCAACCTCTCAAGTAGCTGGGGCTACAGGCATGCACCACCATGCTTGGCTGATTTTTGTATTTTTAATAGACTCAGGGTTTTGCTATGTTGGCCAGGCTGGTCTCGAACTCCTGGCTTCAAGTGATCTGCCCACCTCTGCCTCCCAAAGTGCTGAGATTACAGGCATGAGCCACTGCTCCTGGCCTAAATTGGTTCTTTATTAGGATTTTTTTGGTGTGTGTCAGAATTGAACGATGATGTGGTAAATTTAGAGAAAGTTCAAAGGGTAATCTATAAGCAGAGGGTTGAAAAATGTCAGAAAGTTGAAAGAGCCTGGTAACGAGAGACTATAAGAATGATTATTTTCAAATATATAAAGAATATAATTGTTAATTCCTCTCTTGAGGACAGAAATGTAGGTTTTTTATGTATAATGTAGATGTATAGTAGCTACTGGGAATACCATGATAGGTACTCAGTAAATGGGTGGAATTGTAAAAATAATTTTTTTAAGATCCTGCATACGCTACTTGTAAGGTAGTTTGGGTACTGTATCACCTAGGTATTCAGTGGTTCATGCAACAAATACTAATACTAATATTTATTGAGCCCTACTATGTACAGATCTATGTGCTAGGGATACAAGAGTGAACACAATTCCTACTCTGAAGGAGCATTTGCCTGTGTTTGAATCCTCTCTTTATTTTCTTTATTTATTTATTATTGAGACAGAGTTTTGCTCTATTGCCCAGGCTGGAGTGCAGTGGCACAATCTCGGCTCACTGCAACCTCCACTTCCCAGGCTCAAGCAATTCTTCTGCTTCCGCCTCCCAAGTAGCTGAGATTACAGGCGTGCACCACCATGCCCGGCTAATTTTTTTGTATTTTTAGTAGAGATGGGGTTTCACCATGTTGTCCAGGTTGATGTTGAACTCCTGACTTCAAATGATCTGCCTGCCTTGGCCACCAAAGTGCTGGGATTACAGGCGCGAGCCACCGTGGGCCACCTGAATCCTGGCTTTAGTACTGAACCAGTTGTGTGGCCTTGGACAAGTGACTTCTTTGCTTTAGTTCTTTATCTATAAACTGAGATTAATAGTATCCATCTCATTGGGTTGTTTTGATGATTAAAAGACTTAATTTTTGAAAAGAGCTTAGAGCAAGCACTGCCTGGCTCATAGTAAGCACTTTTAGGAGTTAATAATTCTCTTTACAAAAGCACTTGGGGGAAGAGATAGATAATACTATCTCATGTGATATTACTTATTTGCTTAAATGCTGTGGAGAAAATACATTAGGGTGTTGAGAGTGAGGGGTGGTGGGGCAGTGTGCCCTACAGGGAAAGGCTTTCCCTTTAGGTAGAGACTACTAATGATCTGCCAAGTGACCCCCCTGCCCCCTTTAAAAACTTTGGAAGTAATTTCAAATTTACAAAATGTCGCAAAAATAAAGCTAGGGTGTTATTCAATGTTAATATTTTACCTCTTCTGCTTTACTATTTGCGTGCACACGTGCATCCTCTTTGTTATTCTGAACTGTGAGGGTAAGGTATACCTATGGCTTTTTACCCTTCAATACTTCAGTATTTTCTAAGAATAGAGATATTATTTTACTTAACTACAGCCTAATTATCAACTTCATAAATTTGTAATGATATAATACTTTAATCTGTTGTGCATATTCCAGTGTTGTCAGTTGATCTGGCAATGCCCTGTATGGCATTTCCTCCTGTTAGTACAGAATCCAATCTAGAGTTAAAATTGTGTTGTTATTGGCCGAGCGTGGTGGCTCACGCATGTAATCCCAGTACTTTGGGAGGCTGAGGTGTGCAGATCGCCTGAGGTCAGGAGTTCAAGACCAGCCTTGCCAACATGGCAAAACCCTGTCTCTAAAAAAAAAAAAAAAAATTGTGTTGTTATGACTCTTTAACCTTTTTTAATCTGGAGCATTTCCACAACATTTCTTTGTCTTTTATGGATAACATTGACATATCTGAAGAATACACATCCCCCTTTTAATAGAACATTCCTTCCGGCCAGGCGCTGTGGCTCATGCCTATAATCCTAGCACTTTGGGAGGCCGAGGAGGGCAGATCATGCGGTCAGGAGATCAAGACCATTGCCAACATGGTGAAACCCCATCTCTACTCAAATACAAAAAAAAAAAAAAAAAAAAAAAATTAGCCGGGCATGGTGGCGCATGCCTGTAGTCCCAGCTACTTGGGAGAAGAATCGCCTGAACCCGGGAGGCGGAGGTTGCAGTGAGCCGAGATCATGCCACTGTACTCCAGCCTGGCAAGAGAGTGAGACTTGGTCTCAAAAAAAAAAAAGAAAAGAAAAGAAAGAACATTCCTTCCTTATTCTGAGTTTGTCTGATACTTTCCTCGTTGTTAGATTGAGGTTATACATTTTTGGTCGGAATAGGTGATGTCGTGTCTCTCTCAGTCACACATTATCTATCTGTCCTTCTTAGATGATAATTAGTTTTGATCACGGGGTCAAGGTATTGCCTAATTTCCTTATTACGTAGATTATGTAGAGTGTTTTTTTTTTCATCCTTTCTTGCAACTTTAAGCAGCATGTGGGTAAATACTTTAAGACCATCAGATAACCCTCTTGTCTAAATTTTTGCCTAGACTCGGCATCCATTGATCATTCATCCAAAACTAGATCATCCATTGATGTAAGTTTTTTTTTTTGTTTTTTTGGTTGTTTGTTTGTTTGTTTGTTTTTTGAGATGGAGCCTTGCTCTGTTGCCCAGGCAGGAGTGCAGTGGCTTGATCTTGGCTCATTGCAACCTCTGCCTTGCGGGTTCAAGTGATTCTCCTGCCTCAGCCTCCCCAATAGCAGGACTTACAGGCGTGCGCCTCCATACCTGGCTGATTTTTGTATTTTTAGTAGAGATGGGGTTTCACCATGTTGTCGAGGTTGGTCTCAAACTCCTGACCTCAGGTGATCCACCTGCCTTGACCTCCCAAAGTGCTGGGATTACAGATGTGAGCCACTGCACCCGGCCCATTGATGTAGTTTTTATCATGACGGTTGCAAAATGATGACTTTCCAACTCCACTTAGACTTAAGAACCTTTTAAATTTGATGGATGTAATTAGAGATCAGTAGCTACATTTTTGTAATTTTAAGAAAGAAAAATTTATTCCTTGCTTTCCCATGCAGGATGGCCCAACAGCAGGCCTTGAGGTTCCGAGGTCCGGCTCCCCCACCAAATGCAGTGATGCGAGGCCCACCACCTCTGATGCGACCTCCTCCACCTTTTGGTATGATGCGAGGCCCTCCTCCACCACCACGGCCGCCCTTTGGACGTCCTCCTTTTGATCCTAATATGCCGCCAATGCCTCCTCCAGGAGGGATACCTCCACCTATGGGCCCTCCACACCTCCAGGTAAAGAATGTAGAGGTTGCCATTTCTTTGTTGGCATCATTATCAATATTATATATGGGTTTTGAGTTAAAAACTTACATTCTTAAATAGTTTCAGTTTATAGGAAAATGGGAGCTAAAGAGAAGATCCATATATTAATATGTTTCTTCTGAATTAGTGGTAGCAGTAATTACTATGGAAATTCAGAATAGGACTTTAGATGGTGATAGAGAAGTATGTGTATAAAACCAGGATTCAATAGTTTTTACCTACCTTTAGCTCTGTGAATTGGCTTTAGTAATGCATCTTCTTTATGGGAAATGAAGTTTGAAATTTTAAGATATTTTTGAGTGGAGAAAATTTATTTTCAATGATATATGTTGCCAGCAAGTCTAAAAATATATGTGTATATGTTCCTGAGTAAGTCTTCCTCCTGGAAATGGTGCCTAGGATAGAATCTGGAAAGTGACAGCAAACACATTTTATAAGCACATAGTTGAATTTTTTTTCTCCCCTGGGGGGAAAATAGGGTTATCTTACTCTTTTTGAAAACGATTTATTATGGGATTTCTTTAAATAAAAACATTTATGGTATTTTAACCTGGGGCATAGATCCTTCTCCAGTGTATCCAGACTTACTGTCTGAGGTGAGGTCATGAAGGTATGAACTCTCAAATGTCTCATTTTGGGATTGTATTCTTTTTGAGTATGTATCTATGTTTTCTTAGTTTAGTCTGTATAATTCTGAAACCAAATAAATATAGTGGTATCATCTGCCTTCCATTAGCTTAGACAGTGAAGAATGAATTATACTAAAAATGGAAGAAGACAATGATGTGCCATTTAAGTGATGTTAATTCTGTTTAGGTAGGGTTGTGGTTATGGAAGAGACAGGTTTTAATACTTTGCTTAATAATTTTATGGCCTTCCTAATAACGAATAGCCTCTCCTTCCTTTAAACACACTGTTAAATGGTTTTATATTTGCTTCAAGGTTAGAATAAGAAATAGTTTTTTTAACTTATTCTGGTATAATCTTTAACGTGAATTTGTTCTAATTTGTGACTTTAAGAGTTAAACCTACTTTGGAGTATTATAAAATGTAATGGACTAATGTAACCCTCTCATTGAAATATATCAAATGTTGTGCTAAGATACTTTCTAATGTTGTCATGCCTTTCTTGGTCTTGGATAATTGTTTGGCTTTATATTAAGTCCAAGTGATTTTCAGCCAAGGGCTCATGAAACGTATTTGGGATAGATATTTTATATAACCTAGATCTGGTGTGCTGACGCTTGAAAGATACTCAACTGAATCCAGCAAAGATTGGAGTATGGGAAAGACATTTTTAGGAAAATAAAGTACAACTTCACACTATTAGCATAGTTTGAGTTCCATTATCCAGATTAAGCTGCTTTTGATAATTGAATTTTAATGTTACTTACAGCTTATAGAGGAAATCTTTTAAATCCCTGCTCAAAATGTTTTTATAATGTCATAATGTCAAATTTTTAATTTTGAAACTCATTTTTATGCACAGTGAAAACTTTTTCTTGAAGGATTCTTCAAGAAGCTGTGGAGACAGTGATGTGCCTGGTATTAAAACAGGATATAAAAATCAATTTTTTAAAAAAAGTAATCCAGCGCCCTGTGTGTGAAAATCAGATCATGTAGAAAGGAGAAAGCAGAATTCACTGACAGTGTTATAACCCAGAGTTGACCACTATTAGTAGTTTGATGTGTTTCTTTCTAGTTTGTTTGGTAATTTTTGTTGCAGACATTTTGCTTCTATGACAGGTGAATGTGTTTGAATAGACTATAAAACTAGTTTCTCTTACAGTGTTTTACTTTTGAATAGAATTCAGTAATAATTTGGAGGAAAAGTAATTAAAGTGACCATTACTGTTTTTGTGAATTAACAGAGACCACCTTTCATGCCTCCTCCCATGAGTTCCATGCCTCCTCCTCCGGGTATGATGTTTCCACCAGGAATGCCTCCTGTGACTGCTCCTGGTACTCCAGCACTACCTCCTACGGAGGAGATATGGGTTGAAAATAAAACTCCAGATGGGAAGGTAAATAATAAAATATATTTAAGTTGTCATTTGTTGACAGAGGAGTAAAACTTAAAGAGTTCTGGCAGATTGAGGTCAGTGATACTGTCATTTAAGAATGAGCCCTGGGTGAGCAGGGAATGGGGTAAGACTTCAGGAGAAGCTGACTGGATTTAGTTTTTGTGCAGCAGATATAAGGTTGCCTGGAGTGCTAACACACATTTACCTGTGATTCTGGAAGCTTCTGGTCACATTGGTACCATCTGCCTAGCACATACCAAATTCCAGGCTCCTAGAAGGAAAGCAGGTGTTCAGCGTAGCTGGTTTAGGCACATCGAGCCATTCTTATCAGTAAGGGAATGTCAACCCTCCTGAAATCCAAGTTCTTGGACTCCAGATAAGGGTCAGCAGGGCTTTCTACAGATAGCTGTCTCAGGTCTGTTATGTTGAATTTCTGCATAAAACATAACATGGGTTTTCCTTTGTGCTCATTATAGAAAATTGGGCTGTGGGGTGGAATTACCTATTTTTGTTGTTTTGTTTTTGTTTTTTGAGATGGAAGTTTCACCCTGTCGCCCAGGCTAGAGAGCAGTAGTGCAATGTTGGTTCACTGCAACCTCTGCCTCCTGGATTCAAGCAATTCTCCTGCCTCAGCCTCCTGAGTAGCTGGAGTTACAGGCACCTGCCATCATGCTCGGCTAATTTTTGTATTTTTAATAGAGACAGGGTTTCACCATGTTGGCCAGGCTGGTCTCGAACTCTTGACCTCAGGTAATCCCACCCGCCTTGGCCTCCCATAGTGCTGGGATTACAGGCGTGAGCCACTGTGCCTGGCCCTAAGTTATTTTATTTTATTTTATTTTTTATTTTTTTATTTTTGAGATGGAGTCTCGTGCTGTCACCCAGCCTGGAGTGCAGTGGTGCGATCTTTGGTTCACTGCAACCTCCGCCTCCCGGGTTCAAGTGATTCTCCTTCCTCAGCCTCCCAAGTAGCTGGGATTACAGGCGCCTGCCATCACGTCTAGCTAAATTTTTGTATTTTTAGTAGAGACAGGGTTTTACCATGTTGGCCAGGTTGGTCTCAAACTCCTGACCTCAGGTGATCTGCTCACTTCAGCCTCCCAAAGTGCTGGGATTACAGGTGTGAGCCACCGCGCCCAGCTATTTTTTATTTTTGAGATGGAGTCTCCCTCTGTCACCCAGGCTGGAGTGCAGTGGTATGATCTCGGCGCACTGCAGCCTCCACTTCCTGGGTTCAAGTGATTGTTTTGCCTCAGCCTCCCGAGTAGCTGGGATTACAGATGCCGGCCACCACACCTGGCTAATTTTTTTATATTTTTAGTAGAGATGGGGTTTCACCATTTTGGCCAGGCTGGTTGGTCTTGAACTCCTGACTTTAAGTGATCCACCTGCCTCTGCCTCCCAAAGTGCTGGGATTACAGGAATGAGCCACCACGCCTGGCCCTACGTTATTTTTAAATAGCTTTAAAGATAAAATATGGTTCCATTCTTGTTTTTAATAATAACTGACAGATTTTATGATACCATTGATTTTTGCTTCCGCTGCAGGTTTATTATTATAATGCTCGGACACGTGAATCTGCATGGACCAAGCCAGATGGAGTTAAGGTTATTCAGCAATCAGAACTGACACCTATGCTTGCAGCCCAGGCACAGGTTCAGGCTCAGGCCCAGGCGCAGGCTCAGGCCCAGGCGCAGGCTCAGGCCCAGGCACAAGCTCAGGCCCAGGCTCAGGCTCAGGCCCAGGCCCAGGCCCAGGCCCAGGCCCAGGCCCAAGCCCAAGCCCAGGCCCAGGCTCAGGCTCAGGCACAAGCTCAGGCCCAGGCCCAGGCTCAGGTCCAGGCCCAGGTCCAGGCACAAGTGCAAGCACAAGCAGTTGGAGCTTCCACCCCTACGACCAGTAGCCCAGCACCTGCAGTATCCACTTCAACATCATCATCCACCCCTTCCTCTACCACTTCTACCACAACAACTGCTACTTCAGTTGCGCAGACAGTATCAAGTGAGTACCACTCAGCATGTGTTTTTATATAGGGGCTAGAGACATGAACAAGTAGGGGACTACATTTCATATTGATCCCAGTGTTTCTGGTATTATCCTTTAATACCAGAATTATTTAAAATACATTTTTGACACTAAAACTTTTGGGTTAGAGGAAAACAGGAATTTATATTAACAGGAGAAATTATTTGCCCAGTTGCAGTTTATGAAGCTAAATTGAGAAAGTGCAAAGTTAGCTGTTCCACTTGGCCAACAGTAATGCCGGGCATTGTGGGTTTGCAAAATAAGTGTAAGTCTTGGTCCCTACCTTACAGTTTCCAGTATTCCTAATCGAGGAGGCAAGAATAACACGTGTTAAACAATTAGATATTGGTGTGCAAAACTATACAGTGAGAAAGATGTAAGAATTTGAGAAGTGGATAAATGAGTGGGTGGACTACATGGGTATTTATCATGAAGGAAACGGAGTAGGGTTTAAGCAGGTTCACAGGTAAGGAAAGGATTTTCAGGTAGGAGAAGCAACATGAATAAAGGTCAGGAAAATGATAAATGTAGTTTATGGGTTTTTAGGAAACTTCTGAGGTGAGAGGGTGTTTTTTTTGAAGGGTCTTAAGAACTAGGCAAATAGGTGAGACAGGCACTGGGGGCCTGTATAAATGCAGTATTTTGGAGGATTTTTTTTGGTGTTGGTTTTTTGGGTGGTGATGAAATAAGGGAGGTTTATTAGGAGCTTCTCAGTAATCTCTTTTAGAATAGTTTCTAGACTGGGATGCGAGTAGGTGAATTGAGGAGTTGCCATAGAAGGGAGCAGTCAGAAAGGCAGGAGAATTTTCAGGTGTAAACTCACAGAGGCCCAAAGAGTAGATCTTTTCTGAAAAGGTGAGAGTCGATTAATAGCAGATTTCAGAGATTAAGAGAGGGACACAGCTATTAATTTGCTTAAAAGATTGTTATTAATGTGACAATATTGCTTTCTTTTTGGGGGGTTTCTTTCTTTTTTTCTTTTTTCTTTTTTTTTTTGTATCAATATATGGATGTTGCTCCTTACTCTGCAGGTTGAGACTAAGCCCGAAAGTACTTAAATAATGATTTTTTTATTTGATTATTTGTTATGGCACTTGTCTCAAGATACACAGCTGTCCCTACAGTGTGATTATAATTTGTATTATTTTACTACCAGGATAATTGATAAGAATAAAGAAAAAATGTGGGGTTTTTTTGTGATTACTTCAGGGACTTGGGAATTATTAGTGTGTAAGAAATACGTATAAGAGAGAAATTAATTCACATTGGCTTCAAATTTGAATTTATTTTATTGATAAAAAGCAACTGAAGCAGTCAAGTAAGGTACATATAATATGGGGATAGCCTTTAAAGATCCTCTTAATGGTTTTTAGACATTTTGTAGCGGGGGAATGTACTGAACAGGAAAATATGAATAGTGTTTTACAAATCTGTTTGCTTTTGTAGTGAAGGTGAATTTTGATATGAAAGTATAACAGTCATACTAGCTAGTCTGTTAAGGGTTGTTACCTTTTTATAGGTTTAGTGCTTCCCAAACCTCTGTGGCAAGGCAGGAGACTACCAGTTTTTATGGGAGACCTGTGGTAGTAATGGGAGAAGGGGATTAATAAAAGCAATGTAGTTTTATGTGGAGGCTCTGTGTTGCTTACATTTTCTTTCCTGCGTTCTTAGAAAGGAGAAATAGTAGTGCTTCGTTTTGTTTTAGGAAAGGTGATGAGCTAGATAATTTAACCATACTATATATAGTCCATGTCTGTTTTCAGAGTAGTGTGTCAGTAAGCTCATAGCTGTCTTGTGTCCTGTTTGTCAGTTTTGCTTTACTCTTCAGTGATTGGGAGGACTTTATTCCCAGAAATATAATATAGCAAAATCATATTCTTTTTACTGCTTTTAAACATCAATTTTGATGTTGTCTACGTATTCCAGTGTGTGTTTTTATTTTACTTGATTTAGTATCATAAAGTGTTGTCTTACTGCAATCTTAATATTTCTCCATCTATTATATATAGTCACTTGTCTTTTTTAGTTAAGATCTGAGGCTGGGTTAGTATATTTTGAGGCCTAGTGCTTCACTAGCTACTTTAGCAAATGAAGTTAGTGGGAATTTACCCACTGAAGTCTTAGATACCATTCTCCCAGTTTCCCATTATTTTATTGCTTTTGTTCTTTTCCTGTCGTGACTCATGGCTGCTAATCAAATTCAGAAAATGCTGTGCTGGAAAGTAAGAGGAATGGGTTGTAAATATTTTTTGTCATCTCCATTGGTGTTCTTTTCCACTTGAAATTTGATGCCCTTATTTATTTTCCTGACTATAGTACTTTGGATCACAATTTTAGCAATTATCTGAATACTATAATAATATTTAAATTTTAATTTTCTGAGCTACAGTATAGATCTGTGGGGTAAATGGGACTAAAAATTAAGAATATATTTTAATCCCAGTTGAGCATAAACTCATTTTGTGCAAGTTTGTGAAAAATGATGAAGAAATCCTACTTCTCAGGGAAGTTGGGAACAATGACCAGATACATTTTCAGCCAGTATAGTAGATTACAAATGCTAAATGGTATATGTATGGGACTGGGCAAATGTTGCATGTACTTTGTATTTTTCACACTGTTATAAAATTATATTAATATGATACTGTACCCTAAGGCTAGGTCTATGCTAGACCAACAATTCATTCCTGGGCCCCTGAAGATACTTGTTTGGCCCTGCTGTCTATTTAGCCAAGGTGAGTCCCTCATTAACAAGTACGAAATTGCTCACATCTTCCCAGCCTAAGTGAGTTTTTCATTATTAGAAGCTAGAAAAAGATACTGACAGATTTTGTTGTCAGTTGGATTATTGGGTGATTTGTATTAAATAGTGTGCTTTTGTTTAGAACAAAGTTGGCATAAAGATTGGGAAAGCACTGTTTTCATTTTATTTCATTTGACAAATTCATTCTTAGTCCGATACAGGTAGACATTTTTTTCTTTACATCAAAAAAAGATGAAGTATTTGTTACCAATGAATTACCAAAATGAATTTTATTTTGGAACTAGATGGGTTATGAATAAATAACAAAATTGTTTTGTAACATGTGAGAATTGAAACTGAAAAGTATGAAATAAGGATTTTAGTTTTTAGTTTGATTTTAAATGCAATTACTAGGAATGGGATGTTTTATTTTCGATATTTAAAAATAATGTGTTAGCAGAACCCAAATGATCCTGAATTTCACATTTTCCTGGTCTCTCACAATGGAAACCTCAGTTTAAAAAAATTTTATTTTTTTAAAATAATGAGAGAAACCTGAGTTGTTTTTGATTCCATTCATTCATATCCAGTTAGTCATTAGTTATTTGCTTATCTTTTTCTGTTCTTTTCTTCCTATGCATCTGTGAGGTTAATTCATCAAATGAAACCTGTTTATTACTCTTCCATACAGGAACCTTTAGTTTGCTATATACCCATTTACCTTCATGAAATCACATAAATAATGTGAATGCATTCTTATAAAAAGTTCAAAGTCTAACAAAACGTATATATTAATAGTAAAATGTGAAAGAGGCATTCACAGAGGGTAACTACCATTAATGTATTTTGTCTTGTATTCTACTAGATAATTTTCTCTATATTTACCTAAGTTCTGCCCTTTTCCTATCCATTTAAGGGCATACTCCTTAGCCTTTTGTTCAAGGCTTTCTAATTTCTGCTTCTGGCCTACCTTTCCAGCCACACAACTCACTAGTTTTGTTGGTATGCCTACTGTTTCACTCATTAATTGCTTGCCTTCAATTTTCTAAACAATTCCTTTTGGTTCTTTACTCTTTGCCTTATTCATACTTTTCTCACTGGTTTATTTTTTTCTTCTACCCCTTCCTGCTGTTTTTCTTGTTGAAATCTTAATTTTTCAAGGCGCAGCATCCCAATATAAACTTTTCTATACCCTCTCACAGTTAGAAATGTTCTTTGGGTCTTGATTTTTACTCCTATATGTTTATCCCATTTTACTTTGTATTCATTTTTGTATTTCATTTAAGTATTTTCAAGCTTCTTGAAGATAAGACCTTTTGACAAATTTCTTGCAGTGCATAGAATGGTCCCTTAAATACTTAAATTACTGAATGTGTAAATGATGAATGAATATAGTAAAATGATTTATGAAGGAGTGATACATGTTTTTGTTTTATCTTTTATCAGCACCCACAACACAAGATCAGACCCCAAGTTCTGCTGTTTCAGTTGCCACGCCTACAGTTAGTGTTTCAACTCCTGCTCCTACAGCCACACCTGTGCAAACCGTTCCCCAGCCGCACCCTCAGACGTTACCTCCTGCTGTTCCTCATTCAGTACCTCAGCCAACAACAGCAATACCTGCTTTTCCACCAGTAATGGTACCTCCGTTTCGTGTTCCCCTTCCTGGCATGCCAATTCCACTTCCAGGTAAACCAACAGATTATAATGGTCTTTCCAGCTATGTTTTCATATTGTCAGTTAGTTTGTTCTCATGTGTCTGTTGCGTTTGAAATTTGCCTTGAATCTCACCTGTTTGAAACGTTTTTGAAAGATTCATGGCTAACTGCAATATTTTCTCTTAAGTTTTGGTAAATGTCCTTTTTTTGTTGTTGTTTACATGTCCTAAAATTAGAGCCACATTTAAAGCTACACTTATTTTGGATAATGCCCTCAATGAGTTAAAAATGATTATCTTTTCATGTAAATAATGTTCTAAATGCAATATTTTTGAAGGGTTGAGTTTATGAAGTTGAGAAATCACGTCACAATAGCTAACACAAGTTGGATGATTTATATACAGTGCACTGTTGTAAGCATGTTACATGCATTAACTCCTTTAATTTTTACAACCCATGTTACGAGATAGGTACACAGACAGGTTAAATTACTTGCCCAAGGTCACATAGCTAATAAGTGATGATGTTGAGATTTGAGCCTGTGCCCTCCACATCCAGATAGTAAGCTTTTAATAACTATGTTAATACTGGGAAGAAAATGTGAGTGATTTAACTATAAAACAATTCATATAAAACAGGAACTAGAAGGTTCCCTTGTAACAATTATGAAGTAAAGCATAATGTGCATCATTTAAAAGTTTAAATTGTTATGGTGAATTAATGTGTTATATTGTCTTAAGAGAAGTCATTAAAACTAGAGAAAGAATTAAGAAATATTGTGGAGTGGAATTCTTACCATAGGGTTTAAAAATGATAGTGTTGGGCATTCCAAATTTGAATGCATTAGTTTTTGTCAAACACATTTAATCCTTGATCCATGGTTCATTCTCCTTGTGTTATAGTTGAAAGTATTGGTACCTTAGAGAGGTCAGGTTCACAGGGCTAGTTTGTAGCAAAGATGAATAGAACTTAGGCCTCTTGTCTCTCAAGTTCACATTCCATCCACTTATTGCTACTTTCTTATACTCCTTTCTGTGTAAGAATACAGTTGTGATACAGCTATTTCTTAGATTTGCACACATCTTAATTATCACTATTGCACTGGTTGTCTTTTTCTTTGTGACCACTCTGAAAAGGACACCTTCAGATATACCTTGTCAAGAAAGAAACCAAAAATTTCAGGTTTTTTTTTTAATTTGGAAAACCTTGTATACATTGTTGATGTAGTGTTAGATAATTAAATGCCCATTATGTGGTGTTTAAGAAATTCAAATCATTTAAAAAGAAAACAAAAGATGTTTTCCCTACTATTAGGGATTATCCCTTTTCTAGATTAAATTTAAGACAAGCAGCTGGATACTTTTCTCTATGTGTAATTTTTCTGGGAAAACTAAATCATAGATGGAGAATAGCCTGATATTTGTCACAACCTCTTTTTGTAATTTTGGTCTGCTTTAGGGTTAAGGACAGTATTAAGACCAGATCGTGGATTCTGAGTGATCTCAAGGAGTTGGGGTTGCTCATTTTGTAGAGGGAAGATTGAGAGGTAGCATGATAATGTTGTTGAAGTATTTTGAAAGGCTGTCATTTGAACAACTTTTGCTTTTCTTTAGAGGTTCTTATTAGGACTAATGGATGAAAGGTACACAATAGCAAAATGTATTTCTATAGAAAGTAGAAGTTTCTCACAATAAAATCCCTCTGGCTCTAGCTTCATTTTGATGTCATATTTTCCCCAAAATATGATGACATATTTTGATGTCATATGGAGCAAGCATATCCTTGCTCCATCATTAAAAAGATTTGGACAGGTGGTGGTGACCATTTGAGTCACCAAATGAAGCAGTACCTGTGAAGTTTGGCAGTAGAAGTCATTCAATAAACAGTAGCCATTAGTGACATTTTGGGGGTCAGTTGGAAGAGAACTTGAATTGGATAGTCTAAGATTTCTTTGGAGAGAGTGAGTGTCATACAAAGTGATATATTAGGCTGGGCACGGTGGCTTACGCCTGTAATCCCAGCACTTTGGGAGGCCGAGGTGGGTGGATCAGCTGAGGTCAGGAGTTCGAGACTAGCCTCAACATGGAGAAACCCCATCTCTACTAAAAATACAAAATTAGCCGGGCGTGGTGGTGCATGCCCAGCTACTCGGGAGGCTGAGGCAGGAGAATTTCTTGAACCTGGGAGGTGGAGGTTGCAGTGAGCCGAGATCGCGCCATTGCACTGCAGCCTGGGCAACAAGAGCGAAACTCTGTCTCAAAAAAAAAAAAAAAAAAGATATATTAGCATCAAATATTAGTTTGTTTATTAAGACTTTTTGGTATTGATATTTGTTCACTTTTCTCATTTTCCCTTTTAACTCAGTCCTACAAGGTGTTTAGTAAAAAACAAGGACAAAGAAGACTTGTTTTTTTCTTCCCCAAATCTTTGGTTTTACAAACAATGAGATTTGTGTCTCCTGGTTTTTGCCTTTTAATTCAATTCAGCAATAAGGTGAATGGGAAGGATTTGTATGTAATTTGTCTTGGAGGCTTAATTTCTCTTTGAAATAGTATTGTATGGGTCTAATGAGGATGATTGAGGAACGGATGGTCAAACAAGATAAAGGGAAGGAGTGGAAGAATTAGGTAAAATACAAGAGTAGGGGGTGGAGTTTGGATAAATGGGTCTAGGATTATAGGAGTTCTACTTCTAAAACTATAAAATCTTATCTGGAATTTTAAGAAACTTAACTGTCTGTGACATTGGAATCATCCAAAATGCTGAGTGGAATTTTCTTATTTCTTAGATAATAATTTGAGGACAGAGTTGTAGGAAAATTGAACAAAAGCTCCCTCTAAAAAAAAAGGTTAAAAATTTAGATTTTTATTTTGCGAGTATTCACAATCTGCATGTAATCACTTTGAGAGAAACTTCAGTGTATCTTTTTAGCATGAGAAGAAACACAGGACCTTTCTATATGGTCTGTATGTTGATAGTCAAATAGAAGAGTTCTGCGAGCCCAACTGATTTTTAATAATGGTGGTTAAGCCTATGTATGAATAGATTTGATTTTCTTCTGCATAAGTTGTATAGTTAAAATTATTTATTGGAAGATGGTTTTGGAGAACAGTCTTTGAGAGTAAAGTTCGTATATTCATAAGAATTGAATTTCCTGTGCTGAGTTTAGTAGGTTCAGTGCTCCTGCAGATGGCAGTATTTATACTGATTAAACTTAATCCATGCTGTAACTTCCTTAACCAAATGAATTTTTCCATTGCTTTCTTTCAACATTAGGGAAAATAAAATTATACATATAACTTTATTCAACATGCTTTCATGATCCAATGTTTTTATTTTAGTTTAAAAGTTAATAGAAAGTTTACTTTATTCTTTATATAAAATAGTAATTAAGAAATAAAGGTACTTTTCAATAATTGACACTATTTTTGTTTGCTTGTGTGAACATAGTTAAATTGTATACAAACCCAGGAGTTTAATTTTACTTTTAGTCTCAGAGGTAGGAGAAATTTTTTTCCTGTCCTTTAGTGGGGAAAATAGTTTATTGTTACTATTTTTAATTTTTATAGAGTACCAACTAAGCTTAGTTTTTTCAGCTGAAAAAAATAAAAAAGTAAAAATTATTGCCCCTATACTTTTCTTCAGACTTTGGCCTTTTCCTCTAAAAGTTTTTAATTTTCTCAGTTAATCAGTCTTAGTTTTGCAGCTTTTCTTTTCATTCCCTTTTTAAAAATCACCATTGTAATGCATCATGATGAGTCTTCATTCTTCTAAGAACTGTACATAATTTTCATTCTTTAATACAAGTACTACTTCTTTAGTTAGCTTAAATGATAGAAGTTTCTGCAGCCATCAGCCCAAGTAGTCATTAGTGGTATTAAAGGGGCTGTATGTTTCTTAATGTTTTAGCCTGCTTCCACAGTGTTCTAAGGCCATGGGGTTCCATAGAGCAGGCACTAAACATGGATATTTTGGCATTAGTGAAATGCTACCTTCCTCTTCATCTTTGCCTTTCTTTTATTTAAAGTATTATTTGCAGTGGAATATTTGGATCCATCTCATACCTTACTTTCTTCCTCTCCTCACCACCCCTAGCTTATTCCTTTTTTACTTCTGCATGGTTGTACTCCATGCCTCAGCTCCTGCATGTAGTTTCAACTTAGCGGCAGCATAGAGAAAGTGTCTTGTCAGTGTCATGCTGCATCTGCCTTTTACTGGTATCTAAGCAACAGCAGCATGGGTTTGATGTCCTGTGGGAAAATGTCCCACATGAGAATTTGTTATGTATGTGTAATGAAGGGGCTTTCTTTTGTTGAATTTAAACTCTTAAGACTCCTTCAATATGTTCAGAGCTGGTTTGATAAAAAGGTAATTGATGGTATCATTTAGAATTAGTGTCATTGGATTTGGCAGCACTTCCCACAAAATGTCAAACAGAAAGAAATTTTACTCCATTCTTGGTCTTTTTCATTGGAAATAGCATTCTAAATTGTAGTGGTAAATTATTTCCCTGAATCCCAGTGGTAGCCGACATACAATGGCAGCTTTCCAACGTATGCTTGCTTATCCATTTTACAGGTGTAGCAATGATGCAAATAGTCAGCTGCCCGTATGTAAAGACAGTCGCTACCACCAAGACCGGTAATTTTTAAAACCATCTTAGTTTGTTTTGTCTGTAAGTTGGCATGGTAGTGAATGTTGTTGTTTATCCTTTTATTTATTTTTTGCCCAAGTGAGTGGATATTTTTATATTTTTCTTTTTAATGAGCAGTATAAATGCAGTTGTCATATTTGGCCAACACTTAATTTTCCCAATTGCCTGTAGTATTAGCTTCTTTGGTTCACAAAAACAAATAAGGTCAGATCACTTTATATCTTAATTTATGTAATAAGTGTAAACAACTTCATTCTCATATTCATAACATTTAATTTTATTTTTGATGTGTGTTTTTAAGTTAAATATAAAAAAACATTTCCATGTGTAAAGTGATGTGATTATGCTTGCATGCTAGTGAGTATATGTGTGTGAATACATGTGTATAGTATACATTTACATTTTAAAGTTATTGAAGTAAGATAACTACCTGAAACTTAAAATTCAGTATAGGATTTGAGGACTTTTTTTTTTTCCAGTTTTGATTCACATATCCTTATTTTAATAGTATTTTATTTATATATTACCAGCTTATTTAGCTGTCTTGTAAAAAATATAAATCTTGGTTTGTCTTCTAAAAAGTAGACGAGCTTTGCTTTCTCTTAGGAAAAGAGTAAACAAAGGGTATAAGGATATTTGAGTTAATCATTTAGAGTCGATAAACTCAGTCATTTGCTATAAAACTGAGAATATTCATACCCTTTTAGTTACCTTAAAATTAAAAATAATTTTGCCTAAGGAAATATGTGTAGTAAATATGTTTGTTGTCTTCATTAGAATTTGATAAATTATCTTCATAAAAATAGATTTCTATTCATAAGTAGAGAATATACCATGTTTTTAAATATTTATTATGTTAAGACTTTGTCATAGGTGAGATCCAAATTTCTGACTGTTTTTAAGGGTTGAATTTCTGTGTCTAATTGAGTTTAGGCATTAGAACTAAAAATCCAGGGAAATAGAATTAAGTGGTATTTTTATGTCACCTTTTTATATGATTTTTGTTTTGTTCCAACTGGTCCATTCATTTATTAATATTTAATAGAAAGATTTAGCTCATATTTTAGAGTTTTATTTTGTATTGCGGTTTGATACTTGGATCTAATTTTTTATTATTCTTTTTTTAGGTGTATTGCCAGGAATGGCCCCTCCTATCGTACCCATGATACATCCCCAGGTTGCTATTGCAGCTTCACCTGCTACCTTAGCTGGAGCAACAGCAGTTTCTGAATGGACTGAATATAAAACAGCAGATGGGAAGACATATTATTATAATAATAGAACATTAGAATCAACCTGGGAAAAACCCCAAGAACTAAAGGAAAAAGGTATATAGTGGTTTTAATGACTTGGAAAGTAGTATAAACTGTAATAAGTAGAATGGTATTTGAAATTCTGAGTTAATTTCTTTTTAACATATTTGAGGGATTTTCTAATTACACAGTCATTGGATTGTTTATTTTTACTGAATTGATAAATATTTATTTTAAAAACTAGTTCTACTTACATGTTTGTCATCATTTTTTTCCATCTGGAGAAATGGTTATATGTACGTACATATGTATGTACATATTTTTACTGTTAGGAATTTTCTAATTATATTGCATAATTATTGTAATCATCATTGAGATTGATAATACAGATCAGGAAGGAATGTGTTTTTTATATGTGTTCTGAAGAAAAAAATTTAGGCCCTTAGGGTCTTAGATGTAGAAGATTCATAATTTTCTATATCACAAGCTGCTATTATTATTGTTGTTTTTAAAATTTGAGACAGAGCCTCACTGTGTTGCCCAGGCTGGTCTTGAACTCCTGGGCTTAAGCAATCCTTCTGCCTCAGCTTCCCAGGTAGCTGAGGATTATAGGTATGTGTCATTGTGCCCAGCTCACCAAACCCCCTTTTCTATTCCTAAGTATCTTAGTATCTTATCCCTTTTAGCAAAATGAATGATTGCTACAAATGATATATGAATGACCTGAAAGATTTAATGTGCCTTCGAAGTCAGTAGGTCATCTTCAAATCAGATAGTTACCTGATTGGTATAGCAAGGTATTTGAAGTTGTGCATTACATAAGATTCAAATCAAAGATATAAGGAAAGACATTTTATCTTCATGGTTAATACTTGGGAATGGAATATCTTAATGGCTTATTCTCTGAAAGTTCTTAGAAAATTACGTCAAAACCTTTGAGTGACATTATCTTAATTTTTTTCATAGAAAAGTTAGAAGAGAAGATTAAAGAGCCAATTAAAGAACCCTCTGAAGAGCCTCTGCCAATGGAGACGGAGGAGGAGGATCCTAAAGAAGAGCCTATAAAGGAGATAAAGGAGGTAAAGGGCCATGACCTGTTAACCTGGGAGCCACATTAATTGTTTCCTACAGCTTACTTGTATCTGAGTATCTATTGGATAGATTTAAAAATAATTGTTATAAATTTGATCTCTGAAATTTTAGGATTCTTGCAAGTTCTTAATTCAGTTTTTTCTTTGAAAGTGTCATTAAATTACTTCTTGTACTAAACTGAGATCCATAGAAAGACAGGGCCTTGGACCAGAGCTTGGACCTGATCTCTAACCTTCTGACTTATAAACTGAGTGGTATTTGTTAAAATTATAAGTGTAACTTCTTACTTGGGGAATGTTAGATATATTTTATCTGTCCTTTCTGCTGTTGTGTTCTTGCATAGCATGATCCATGTATAGCACTAAAAGAGTTTTTTATTCAGTGAAGGATCAGTGGTAGTCGTGTTTCAGTAGCAGGAAAGCTAGCAGAAATAAGAAACAACCTTAAATGAAGAGGTATGTACTGTAGTTCTCCATATCTGCTCCTAAGCACATGGTTAGTGAGTCTATAAGATAGGACAAGCTGCTGCTGCTGGGTTCTGCTATTGTGAAATTCAGCTCTTTCTGGGGGATGAGGATTTAGAACTTTCTTCCTACTCAGAGTCTCCTCTTATTCTAGCAGCAGATTTTGTGTTGATTGCACTTTGAGCTGTTTGCCTTCATGTTTTTGTGGAACATTCAGGTATTGTTAATGTGATACTAATTAGAGTAATATCATTTCTTGTAGGAGCCCAAAGAAGAGGAGATGACTGAAGAAGAAAAGGCTGCCCAGAAGGCAAAGCCAGTTGCTACTGCTCCTATTCCTGGTACTCCATGGTATGTATTTGGCTCAAGTAGTAATTTTTTTTTTTTTTTTGAGACGGAGTCTCACTCTGTCACCAGGGCTGGAGTGCAGTGGCACGATCTGGGCTCACTGCAACCTCCACCTCCCTAGTTCAAGCGATTCTCCTGCCTCAGCTTCCCGAATAGCTGGGACTACAGGCACACGCCACCATGCCCAGCTGATTTTTGTATTTTTAGTAGAGACGGGGTTTCACCATGTTGGCCAGGATGGTCTTGATCTCTTGACCTCGTGATCCGCCCGCCTCGGCCTCCCAAAGTGCTGGGATTACAGGTGTGAGCCACCGTGCCCGGCCTCAAGTAGTAATTTTTAAAAATCATACTTGATTGTTACATGGTTTATTTTGTAGAAAGAAAAAGTACTTTAAAAAGTGTATGTCAAATATGTTTTTATCTACTGAATATTTTGGCCTTTGTTGTATTTGAGTTATTCAAAACTGAAGTTCAATTACTACAAGTGTCTTCCTAGTACTACTCTCCATTAATGTGTATTCTTCATAATTATAGACATGACCACTGTGAGATCCTGAATCTACTTTTTGTTTAAAATATTTTAAATTTGTTTTTGCATGTTTACTCACTATGCGATTACATTTATAGAATTGTGTAAAATTATGTCTTTCAATCTAAGTATGGCATACCTCATTTTATAGTGCTCCACTATCTTGTGCTTCATAGATACTGTGTTTTTAAAAATTGAAAGTTTTGTGGCAACCCTGTATCTAACATGCCTCTTGGTTTCATTTTTTCAACAGCATGTGCTCATTTTGTGTTTCGGTGTTACATTTTGGTAATTCTTGGGATATTTCAAACTTTTTCATTATTTTTATATCTGTTACAGTGATCTGCGATCAGTGATCTTTTATGTTACTGTTGTAATTGTTTTGGGGTGCCACAAACCACACCCATGTAAGATGGTGAACCTAATTGATAAACGTGTGTGATCTAACTGTTCCACCGACCGGCTGTTCCCCATCTCTCTTCCTCTCCTCGGGTGTCCATTTTCCCTGAGACACAACAATATTGAAATTAGGCCAATTAGTAGCCCTATAATGCCCTCAAAGTGTTCAAGTGAAAGGAAGAGTCACATACCTCTCACTTTGTGTGTGTGTGTGTGTGTGTGTGTGTTTTGAGACGGAGTCTTGCTCTGTCGCCCAGGCTGGAGTGCAGTGGTGCGATCTTGGTTCACTGCAACTTCCGCCTCCTGGGTTCAAGCGATTCTTCTGTCTCAGCTTCCCAAATAGCTGGGATTATAGTTACACGCCACCACGCCTGGCTAATTTTTTGCATTTTTAGTAGAGATGGGGTTTCACCGTATTAGCCAGGATGGTCTCGATCTCCTGACCTCGTGATCCGCCCACCTTGGCCTCCCAAAGTGCTGGGATTACAGGCATGAGCCACCATGCCCAGCTACATACCTCTCACTTTAAGTCAAAAACTAAACATGATTAAGCTTAGTAAGGAAGGCATGTCAAAAGCCGAGATAGGCTGAAAGCTAGGCCTTTTGGGCTAAATAGCCAAGTTGTGAATGCAAAAGAAGGAAATGAAAAGTGCTATTCATGTGAACATAAGAATGATAAGAACCTTATTCCTGATAATGGAGAAAGTTTGAGTGGTCTGGATAGATGATCAAACCAGCTACAACATTTCATTAAGCCAAAACCTAATCCACAAGAGATGCCCTACCTGCCCTCAGTTCTGTGAAGGCTGAGAGTGGTGAGAAAGCTGCAGAAGAAGAGTTGGAAGCTAGTAGAGGTTGGTACATGAGATTTAAGTAAGAAGCCATCTCCATAACATAAGTGCAAGAGGAAGCAGCACGTGCTGATGTAGAAGCTGTAGCAAGTTATCCAGAAGATCAAGTTAAGGTTATCGATGAGGGCAATTACACTAAACAAGAGATTTTCAGTGTAGACGAAACAGCCTTCTATTGGGAGAACATGCCATCCCAGGACTTTGATAGCTAGAGAGAAGTCACCGCTTGGCTTCAAAGGATGGGCTGACTCTCACCATCTCTCTGGTGACTTTAAGTTGAAGCCACTGCTCATTTACCATTTTGAAAATCCTAGGGCCCTTGAGAATGACGTTAAATCTACTCTGCTTGTGCTTTATAAATGGAACAGCAGAGCCTGGATAACAGCATATCTGTTGATAGCATGGTTTACTGAGTTAAGCCCACTGTTGAGACTTACTGCTCAGAAAGAAGTTTGTTTTTTTCCTCAAAATATTGCTGTTCATTGACAAAGCACCTCTTCACCCAAGAGCTGTGATGGAAATGTACAAGGAGATGAATGGTGTTTTCATGCCGCTAACAACATCCAGTCTGCAGCCCATGGATCAAGGAGTCATTTTGACTTTCAAGTCTTATTACTGAAAGTAATAAGGCTATAGCTGCCATAGATTGTGATTCCTCTGGTGGATCTGGCTATAGCTGCCATAGATTGTGATTTCATCAGGCTATAGCTGCCGTAGATTGTGATTCCTCTGGTGGATCTGGGCAAAGTCAATAGAACACCTTCTGTAAACAATTCACCATTGTAGATGCCATTAAGAACACTGGTGATTCATGGGAGGAGGTCCAGATATTAACATTAACAGGAGTTTGGAGGAAGTTGATACCAACTCTCATGGATGATTTTGAGGAACTGAAGACTTCAGTGAAGGAAGTCACTGCAGATGTGATGGAAATAGCAAGAGAACTAGTATTAGAAATGAGCCTGAAGATGAGCCAGAATTGCTGCAATTTTATGAGAAAACTGTAATGGGTCAGGAGTTGCTTCTTATGTATGAGCAAAGAAAGTGAATTCTTCAGATAGAATCTACTGGTGAAGATGCCATGAACATTGTTGAAATAATAAGGGATTTAGAATATTACATAAACTTGGTGGATAAAGCAGCAGCAGGGCTTCCATTTTGATTGATGCCAAACTTTAAGGAAGCTGTACTGTAGGTAAAATGCTATCAAACAGCATTGCATGCTACAGAGAAATCTTTTGCGAAAGGGGGAGTCAATTGATATAGAAAACTTCATATTTGTCTTATTTTAAGAAATTGCCACAGCTACCCCAGTCATCAGCAACCACCAGCCTCATGAGTGTTCAGCCATCAAGAGATTGAGGCAAGACCCTCCACCAGCAAAAACATTATGATGCCCTGAAAGCTCAGATGATAGCATTTTTTTAGCAATAAAGTATTTTTAAATTATAGTATGTACATTGGTTCTTTTGGACATAATGTTGCACACTAAATAGACTACAGCATGATGTAAATATAACTTTTGTATATGGTGGGATACAAAAATTTTGAGATTTACTTTATTGCAATATTTGCTGTATTTTGTTGGTCTGGAGCTGAACCCACAATATCCGAGGTACGCCTGTCTACTTCTTTTTTTCTCTTATCTTGTTTTTCCCTTTTCTTCCTTTTGCCACATCTGTGCTTCATTTCCTGTTCCTGCTCCAACTTATTTAATCTATATACAATCCACACATTGCAATGATTTGGCTTGTTTCTGAAGTCTTGTAATCTATAGGTTCCCTTCTGACTTCTTTTCCTTGTTTTTGTTATTGAAGAAATAAATGTTTTTCCTATAGTGTTCCCAAGTCTGGATTTGTCCCCATGGTACTGTCTAATAGGATCCTCCATTCCTGAATTTCCTACAGACAGGCAAGCAGGTCTAGAAGTGTGATCAGATTCGGATTTAATCTTTTTGGCAAGCCTAGTTCATAAGTGATGATTATTATTGTGTAGATCAGATGTTTTCAACTAGGAGTAATTTTGCCCCTAGTGGACGTTTGGCAATGCCTGGAGACAATTTTTGGTTGTCAAAACTTG
This sequence comes from Homo sapiens, assembly GCF_000001405.40. Taxonomy (NCBI): domain Eukaryota; kingdom Metazoa; phylum Chordata; class Mammalia; order Primates; family Hominidae; genus Homo; species Homo sapiens. The sequence goes on from NC_000005.10 coordinate 146,475,432, forward strand.
GAGGGTGTTAGTGGCATCTAGCAGATAGATGCTAGGGATGCTCTAAACATCCTATTATGCACTGGACTGCTCCCAACAAGAATTACTTACCTAGCCCAATATGTCAGCAGTGTAAGATTGAAAAACTCTGGCCAAGATTGATTAAATCATTAACCCGATTAAATCATTAACCCATTTATGCTGAAGGTTGCAAATTTTTTTTGTGAAAAATCAGACCTTGGCAATGACCTTGAGCAGTAGGATATAAATCCCACAAGCTTAGCGTTCCAATAATGGAACACTAGGCATAACTGTGTTAAGGGTTGAAAGTAGTGGTAATGTATTTCTTTTATTCCCTTTTCATTAACTGGGATGCTTATAGAGAGATACTTCCCCTTATCACCATTGGTCACTTAGAGGTACAAATTGTATAGGAAGGGAAGGGCTTAGCAGTTTTCAGAATAGTGAGTTGGTTTGAGTATTATTCATAGGTTTAAATATATTTTCTATGTTTTTAATCTATTGCAGTTTTTATCCTTATTGATGTTTAAAATTGTCTCATCTTTGGTCAGGAGAAGCCTCTTGCGCTAACTTTTTAGGTTTTTTTTTGTTAAAATCCTCTGTAGCTTCCCTGCTTTCTGCTGTGACAAGATGTTCTAGGCTTATCTTGTATATATTTCCTGTCTCAGACCTAGACTGAGCCATTTCTGCAGGGGGCTCTTGGCACTTTTGTGGGAAGTGGATAGTTTGCAACTGAATTAGTCATTATTTTTAGACTTCTTTGGCAGACCCAGCTGGAAGATATACACATTCAAAGATACAGCATGAGTTGATACCATTACTTGCCATTTAGATCTACCTGAAGATTTTTATTGAACCTCATCATCTATCTTCAGTATCTCATTTCTTGCTGAAAATACTGTTTCTCAATGATAGTGACCTAATTACTCATTTGCTTTTCTCAGACATGTCACTGAGTAACAATACCAAAACTATCACTAACAATATAATTACTGAAGATAGTTTTTGTTGTTGCTCTAGGAATGTATAATCAAATTACTGTGTTTTAAAGGCACTTGGAATAGTTGTTTTCTGTATAATTTCTATATAATTATTCCACTGACTGTTACACAGGCTCATTTAAAAAAAATAATTATGGAAAATATTTACTTGGTTTCAAAGTTATAAAAACAGTCTGTATTCCAAGAATATATTCCTGGGTTGTGGTTTCTCTGTTTGAGTATTGTACATGAAAAGCTAGTAACCAACTCCAAACCCCCTCAATTTGGAGCTTCGTGGTCCTCATTAATTTTCGGACTTGGGGGTCCGTCCCCACCTCCTCTGTTCTTCAGATGAGATAGTTAATTATTGATTTTTTATTTTATTTTTTTGTGACAGGGTCTTGCTCTGTCACCCAGGCTGGAGTACAGTGGCACGATCATAGCTCACTGCCCCAGCCTCCTGCCTCCTGGGTAGGTGGGACTACAGGTGCATGCCATCACGCCTGGATAATTTAAAATTTTTTATTTTTTGTAGAGATGGAGGGTCTCACTTTGTTTCCCAGGCAGGTTTCAAACTGCTGGCTTCGAGTGATCCTCGCACCTCAGCATCTCAAAGTGCAGGTGTGAGAAGTACGGGCGTGAGCCACCATGCCCAGCTGATCCATCTTCTAATTCACTGATTGTTTCCTGGCGTCTCCATTCTGTCTTGAGCCAATCCAGTGAAATTTAATTTCAGTTATTTTTAATTTCTAAATTTTCCTTTTGGTTTTTTTTTTGTAGTTTATATTTCATTACTGAACTCTTTTCATTTATTTTAAGTGTGTTTTTCTTTATCTCAGGGAGGTATAGTTATTGTTGCTTCAAAGTTTTTTACTATCTTAACATAGGAGGCTTAGTCTGATCATTTCAACTTGTAAGTTACCTTGGACTTGACAACTGTTGATTAATTTGATGATCAGGTCATATAGACTTAGTTTCTGTTGGGGTTTTAGCTGCCATGCTACTGCAACCATGCCACTCTGCAACCAGAGATCACCCTCAGGGCAGAGCTACGAGGTGGGTGAAATGGGAGATTTACTCCCTTGCAGTTGTTTCTCTAAATTTTGGCTGTCCTCCGTATTGCTTTCTGTTTATTCATTAAGACTATACTATACAGAGTCTGAATGTAGTTGTGGTTTTTTTTTTCCTTTGAGTTTTCTAACTGTAATTAACAGGACCAATGGCTTGTAGTGCTTGTAGTGGGCTGCAGTGTATGATGCCCTAGTGCAATTGGTACTTTACTTTTTTTTTTTTTTTTTTTTTTTGAGACTGGGTCTCACTTTATTGCTCAGGCTGGAGTGCAGTGGTGCGATCACAACTTACTGCAGCCTTGACCTCCCGGGCTCAGGTGATCCTCCCACCTCAGCCCTGAGTAGCTGGGTCTACAAGCTCGTGCAATCACATCCAGCTAATTTTTTTAATTAATATTTTTTGTAGAGATGGCCTTTCACCATGTTGCCCAGGCTGGTCTCAAACTCCTGAGCTCAAGTGATCCTCCTGCTTTGGCCTCCCAAAGTGTTAGAATTACAGGCCTGAGCCACCGTGCTGGGCCTTCCCTTTACTTTTTATTTTAGATATAATTAGATCTTAAAGTCTTCATAGAAGGTTGCATTTCAGTATGTAGTTTTGGTTTGTTAAGAAATATTAAGAACTATAGTAGCTAGGATGCTATGTCTGTTCTTTAGCTTTAGAACTGCTTAATAGCATTATTGTTGCCATTAAACTCATTCTTTCTGATAGTTTAAAATTTAGTACTCTCAAATTGAGTGTGCCAAACCAAATTCCTAAGCATTTTAATCTCTGATCACAAATTGCTTTGCATTTCTTGGTTTTCTCAGTTAATATGTTGATCTGTTATTTTTGCTTGAGTCATTCAGTTATCTTGTAAAAACCATGTTTGGTTCTCTGTAAATAACTATTGGTAATAAGAACATGTCGTTCTTCAGTACCCTCATCTCCCTACTTGTAACAGGCTGAAAGAAGTCCTAGCTGTAAAATATGTTCTGTAACATAAGAGAATGATATTTTGCATCAATTCTTAGGTGTGTCGTTTGGACTGGTGATGAGCGGGTCTTCTTTTATAATCCCACCACTCGTCTTTCTATGTGGGACCGACCTGATGATCTGATTGGCAGGGCAGATGTTGACAAAATTATTCAGGAGCCCCCTCATAAAAAAGGAATGGAGGAATTGAAGAAACTAAGTAAGTTTTAAATTAGGAATTTATCCACTGATTTTAACATTCTTTTCATATTTTGATAGAAAATGTGGAAGGCATTTAGAAACCCTTTATTTTTCAAAGAATATAAGAAGCATTCGAAAAAAATAGACTGCTATCCTAGTTTGAATGAAATAATAGAGATTAAAAATATGGAGAGAATTTGGATAAGATTGTGCTTTGTAAAATATGTGTGTCTTTAATTTATTGTCCTACTCAAGATTTTCAGTTAGTCCAAGATATGGTTGGTAGTGTTGCTGCTTGCTTAGTGCTTATCAATACTACTAAAATGCTCCTCGGTGGGCCTTTTAGCACCTTTTGTGACTAGTAATATATTTCTTGAAATAATACATTACAAATTTTTTAAAAATACAAAATCTCAATCTTTTGAATTAGATGGTAAGCTCCTTATATTCCTGAGACTAGACACCTAAACCTTACTAAGAGATTATCTTTTAATCTATCTCATATTCAGAGGGCATACTAATATATTGAGTACAGATATTTGTACGTAATTTTTGTTGTGTATTTCTTATTGGTAATTTGCCCTTGTGTTGATATGATTGTGTTTTTATAGAACTGTGGCCCGCAAGTGGTATAGAAGCAAGATAAATGAATTATTTAATGCTTCTAATGAAATAAATCCTAGTGTGTATCATTTATAGTCATTGAGACATTTTCATGCATTATATATATGCTGAATTATAAGTAATTTCTGAGTCAGTGCCGCTTTGCCTATCTAGTGCTGAAGGTACTAGGCTCACCTTCAGCAATACTTGTTTTATAGGTATGATAATAATACTTTATAACTATGGTATTGAATGATGTTGAAACAATATGTGATTTTCTTTTGTTTTTCGTGAATTTGTTTTTAAATATTTGATTCATTCATTTGATAAATACATTAACGTGCATTGTTAAAAGGTACTGTAAATCCTGAATCAAGAAAGCTTTATTTTATATATTTGTAAATTTAAGGTTTGGGCAAGAAACATTTCAAAATGAATTAAATTTAATGTAAAGGGAGGATAAATAGAGGAAGTGTAGAATTATGCTTTGTTTAATGTTTTATAAAGGGATGAATATTAAGAGGTGAATATATTATGTAAACAGTAATTTTTAAAAAGAAAAGTTTGTGAAATATATGCAAATGACTTTGTAACAATATTTGAAATGTTTTTGCCAGGGCACCCAACTCCGACAATGCTGTCGATCCAAAAGTGGCAATTCTCTATGAGTGCAAGTGAGTGAACTAACCATAAATTGCAGCTTCTTTTTAATACTATTAAAGCAAGTGTTCTGGTAGTGATTAGCAGAAGGATTCATTCCTAAATATTTTAATTAAATTTTGTCTTATAGTTAAAGAGGAACAAGAATTAATGGAAGAAATTAATGAAGATGAGCCTGTTAAAGCAAAAAAACGGAAGTAAGTAATACATACGATTTGATTGAGGTAGATTATATCTTTTAAAAGTCGATTTGGTAATAATTTGTGATTGGAAGGGACAGGTAATGTGAATGTTGTTAGGAGGCATGATTGCTCTCTTAGGCCTGATAATAAATAGCTTTGTTTTTCATTGTAGAAAATGTGTCCCTTCTTTTGCTAGATTTGTAGAAGATTTGGGTATTCATATATGTATTATGACTCCAAATGATAGTTTTGGAATTAATTCTTTTTGGAAATTTATTAGGTCTCAATTTTATGAAAAGTTAGTTTCCTCCCTCATTTAGACCCCAATGGATACCATTCCAGAGATCTCATAAAAACAGACACAGACTTCTCCCTCTTTATATGGTTATCTTACGACTTACCTAGTCCTTGAGTCTGGTCATTAACTCCTTGGTGAGGAGAGAACCCATAAGCTTAGGAAGTGCTCTGCGAGAAAGAGACTGCTAAGAAGTAGAGGCATTAGCTTGGCCAGTGCTCTAGAGTTGGGTAAAATGTAAATGTTATGGCGGGGGGAAGGATGGGGTAGAGGGTATGCATGTATGGGGAATGGGACCATTATTTAGCAGCAAAAAGGAAAGTTTGAAGACATTAACAGGAACTGGTTAATTGTAGTCCTTATCTGAAAAGGACAGATTGAATGCAGCCAAATTATGGCAAAGAAATCAGTAGGACAACCCCTATAAAGGGTAGTTCTTTTAAAAAAAATTTCTTTATTGGCAACAACATAAAAGATATGAAAGAATCACTCATAATTTATCAGCGTAACATAGCTATTCTCATTTTTGCAATTGACTTTTTAGTTCTTGACCAAATGTAATTTTTATTAGTTGTGATTAACTGATTTTGTGCTTTTTTTTTAAAAAAAAAAAACCTAGAATAAGACATTTGTTTTGTTAATTATTATAAATGACTGTATTCATTCTGTTTATGTACCATAATTTTGGATGTTCCTACGATGTTAAACTTTTAGGTTGTTTTTAATTGTTTGTTCTTATAGACAACTCTGTAAGGTTTTTAACTGCTTTTATCAGGAGAATGTCAAAGAAGTCCTTTATGTGGATTGCCCGAGCTTCTCTATTTAGGTACAAAGCTAAAAGCCTGTTTTTCCTGGCTTAGTTTTTCTTTTATTTCCTTTATTGAGATAGATAGTGATAGTTTGTATTGTGACATTTTCATTTAGTATAGTTCTATAAAGGTTATTTGTTTTTATTAGTTACTTCTTGGATGTCTTTTAACTCTAACTATTTAAATAGTTTTAAAATTATTATTATAAGAGGGTATATTGTTTGGCAAATTGCTTTTACCTGTTTGTTTTGTGCATATCTTAGGTCACAGACTATCTCGCTAAGTTCCTGCAGGTCACGGACTATGTCTTCTATTTCTTTTGATTCATTGCCTAAGTTGCTAAGTACCTCTCACTTGCATTTGTGGGTTAGCCTTAGTTCCATTTAAATCTCTGGGGCTACCTACAGTTTCCTGTATAGCATGCTTTTGAATTTCCACATGTTCTGTTTTCCTAATTCCCTTAAGTTTGTATAGGGAATAAGAGCCAATTTTTAAAATATACTTAGCAGATCATATTTAAGAAGGAAGATCTGCTAAAATACACCCAGATATTATTGAATTACATACTTTTTTGGATTATTTACGTGAATGGGCCTTTTTCATAGTGCATATATTTGAGAGGTGCCGTGATTCCATGTTTACAATTTCACTTGAGTACCACACAGAAACAGGGTTGCCCTTACACCTGAGGTGCATTTTTGGAGGAACAAGAAGTAGTTTAGTCATTGATGAACAGTTCTAATTCCACCTAACTACTCCTGGGCCCATGTTGCTCTCTGGGACCTGTCCTTCAACTTAAATCTCAACTTATCACCCAGAAAGTGAGTAATAAAAAGTCAGGTAGGTAAGGTATATATCTTACATATTCACTTGGCCAAGATTGCAGATATTTTAGTTTTATTTTTAAAATGAATGTTTGAGATTACTAAAACATTATACCACTTAATACCAATTTTTATTAGATTTTACAAAATATTTTATGTGTTTATAATGTAAAACATTTTGGAAAATACTGTTTTTTCTATATTTCAAGAACTAAAAAAATTATATTTTGTGCTGTTTGATTCTGACACATAGAGGTTTACTGCAGTGTTAAACTTTTTTTTTTTTAAGTAAGGTTGCTCCCTTTTTATGTTATTAACCAGTGTCAGGGAGAGACAGCCCATTAAAGGTGTATTTTTTTCCTAATAATGTAGCCATTGTAAATCATTAGAAGCCCATTTTAATTTTGTTATTATGAAAGTTATTTATCCCTTAGAGTTCATTTGAAACCCTCAATATAATTTGTTTTTGCCAAAAATATGCTGCTCAGTAGTGAGTCTTGAAAATTCCTTTGATTTTAAGATTTCTAATAAGATCTGAGAATTAATATTTTGTCAGTTGATGTCTTATATTTTATTTTTTATAGGAGAGACGATAATAAAGACATTGACTCAGAGAAAGAAGCTGCCATGGAAGCTGAAATTAAAGCTGCCCGAGAAAGGGCCATTGTCCCTCTGGAGGCTCGAATGAAGCAGTTCAAGGACATGCTGCTAGAGAGAGGGGTCAGAAAACAATCTTTGGGGGAGATATTTCTGTTTTGTATAAGTAATATAAATATGTCTTGCTAAAAGGTCAAATCTAAGGTTAGTGCTCATGTTATGGGGGGGGATAAGGGGATTTTTAAAATTACTGTACATTTTTTGCAACAGCCTTTTTCTTGGCTAATCTTATCATATTTAACTAAATGCCATTTTACTGTCCTTTTAAGTACAAATAACACTTAACATTTATTGGGTCATTAAATTGTGGTGAGTAATATAAGACGAGTATTAACATTACAGAATGGCGGACTGCTTGGGATAGGTAAGGTATATATGATTATTCTTCCTTTAATATCTTGAGAATGGCTTTTGTTAAAGGAGAACTGATACTTTGTGATATTATTATTTGCAATTTAATTGAGAAGGGATTTCAACTATTTGGTTATATTCACAGATTCATTTGAATAAGTAAAATTGTTCAATTTTAAATCACAACATTGTTCACAAGATTGGAGCAAGCATGAGAAATCAAAATATAAATCTTCAAGGCTTTTTCTGATGTACTGATTTTTAAAATGTCACACAGTAGTAGTTATTTTAATGAGTAATTAAGTGTCTGTTATTTCTATATAATATAGGAATGTTCAGAGCCAATTAGTGTGGAAATTTGCTATTGCTAGCCTCCCACTGCTTGTCATTTATTAGTGATGGAAACTTCAGTATGGTTTTATGTCTCCTTTATAAACAGATATCCTGTAGATTTCAAGCAAAATTATGACCTTTATATTTTTAGAGGAGACTTAATTATGAGGCAATACGTTTTTATTTTAAAGGTGTCTGCTTTTTCAACGTGGGAGAAGGAGTTGCACAAGATAGTTTTTGATCCCCGGTACTTACTTCTCAATCCTAAAGAGAGAAAACAGGTAAAAGGAAAATGGCATTAACTAAGAATGTATATCTCTTGCCAACATAGTTTTTAAATTATAAGGAATAAAGTACCATCCCTTTTTTTTCTGATACAGCATTTCAAAAATATAGTCTTGCATCTTAGAACATATTATGTGTCTGTGTGTGGACATTTCTACTTCAAAATTCTTGGATATTTTTGCCCTTATGAGCATGGCTGTTGTCTTGTAAACATTTTGTCCTTATGCCTCATATACCTAGGTTATGTGTAGTATGGTTTTAAAATTGATTTCAAATGCATTTACTAATTTGCTTGTTTGGGCCAATGATGCAAATTTAGAGTAGAAAAATAGCAAAATACAGATGAGTAAAAAGGATAAAAAAGCTACTGTAATCCCAACTAATAGATATGACTACCGTTGAACACTGGTTTATTATTGAATACTGAACAGCCTTCTTGACCATTATGTGTCAGTATGTACATATATATGTGTGTGTGTGTCCTGTAGATAGTACTTGAACATAGGTTTATGTCTTATACACAACTGCATATACAAAGTTCACATCTAAGTAGCATCTGTTAAAATATCTGTTTCCATCATAAACTCAGAAAAACAGTGGATACTTAAGGGTCCCTGTTGAATTAGTGTTGCTTTTTATTCCCATGATGATTCAGTGACACATATCATTTCGTGATTGCCTCTTCTAAAGCATTGCACACTTCCAACTTACTTAATTTCTGAATTACCTGAACTATCCTGACACTGATCTCCATAAAATGGTGAGTATGTGGAACCACTTGCTATAGTGCTGTTAAGCTGTAAGATTTCATTTGGTAACAGTAGTGCCCATCTTTGATATTTTTAATGTAACAATTGAAATAATTCTTCACATGGTGTGTACCATTATGCATGTAGGTCTAATCATGGACTTGAATGAAGGGAGAAAATTTACAATGTGCCAGATATGTATTTTAGTACTTGGAATAGAAAGACATAACTTCCTTAATGTATTTGCATCTTCATTTTAAGCTTTGTATCTTTTTTAAAAAACAAACTCTGTGTGAGTTTTTTATTCTCATTTCAGTTTATGGCTCTATCAAAATTTATAAATTAGCCTTGATTCCTTACTTTTCCCACTTCCCCTTTACAGTCTTATCAGCAAATCTATAATCTACCTTCAAAAAATTTTCAAAATCTCACCTTTTATTAATCATTTCCCCCATTAACACCCTAATCCAAGCCACCATAAACAACCCTTATCATCTGTGTAGCCTATTGTTGATCTCCTTCATTCCATCTGTTCTTGTTCCTCTTTAGTCAAGTTCTTTTTCCACACAGCAGCCAGGCTAATTTTAAAGTTTAAGTGATACTAAATTAAGTCACTGTTCCCTTGCTTAAAACTGTTTAGTGCTTTCCATTTCATTGAGAATAAAATTGAAGCTCTTTTCATGGTCTCTAATATTCTACATAGACTTACCCCTGTATACCTCTTGATGGTCTTTTTTAATGTCTGTTGATTACAGCCACACTGGCCCTGATATTACTTGAACAAGCCAGTCATTCTGGTGTTTGCTATTCCTTCTGCCTGGACTGTTTTTCCTCCAGGTGTTAGTACAGCCAGCTTCATTTCATTAAGGTACTTGTCCCAGTGCCTTCTAATCAATCTAAGTATTGTCTCTTTGCCTTTTCTAATTTCTTTATGGTGCTCATGGCTCTAATTGTATAAAATTATGTTTTTATTATTTGTCTCCTCCTCCTGCAAAATATAAATTGTATGAGGCTAGAAACTTTGTCTTCATTGCTTTATTTGTAGTGCCTGGAACATTGCCTAATCTAAATATCTCTGAAGGCTTTAAAACTTTTATGACGTATTCCTCCTGGTACTGAGTGTTATAGTGAAATTAGAAGTAACATATTGAGAACTATAGTTCTTTCCCAATTTTTGAAGCATTCTATAAGCTGATGGTGGTATCTCCTTAATAGAATTACGTTTGAAAAGAGAAAATATTATTCTAGTGTTCTGTTTTCAATAAAATCTCTAGTTAAAAGTTCTCATGCCATTTATTTATTTATTTATTTTATGCATCTATTTATTTAGAGATGGAGTCTTGCTCTGTTGCCCAGACTGGAGTGCAGTGGCGCCATCTCATCTTACTGCAGCCTCTGCCTCTCAGGGTTCAAGTGATCCTCCCACCTTAGCCTCCCAAGTAGCTGGGATTACAAGCGTGCACCACCATGCCCGGCTAATTTTTCTATCTTTAGTAGAGACAGAGTTTCACCATGCTGGCCAGGCTGGTCTTGAACACCGGACCTCAAGTAATCCGCCTGCCTTGGCCTCACAAAGTGTTGGGATTACAGGCGTGAGCCACCACGCCTGGCCTTTCATGGCTTTTAAATAGAATTCTTCTCTCAACAATCAGAATGTAAGAACTGAGAAGAAGTAGTAGTTAACATTTGGCATTTAAAAATAAACACGTTTTTTGAATACTTGGTTTTATTATTTGCATAGGAGTATAAAATGAACAACCAGAAAGGTGCTAGGTTGCACATTACACATTTGCACTTTGTAATTTCATATTTGCAGTTTGTGCTTTGATTTAGAAAACACTAATAACTTCATTGGAAATGCCTTGTAATACAAAATTATATTTCAGTTGTCCTTTTCTAGTTATTTGTAGATTCGTGTACATTCTGTATCATTATAAAAGATGTATTTTATATAATTGTAACCATAAATTTTAACTTAGAATTTTCTTTTGATAAAGTTTACTTAAGGGGTCTGAAATGTTTTTGTTTTATTTGTTATGACAAATTTTAATTGAATAACATTTTCCATAAAAACTAGACCATTTGCATAAAGGATGCTACTAGGTTCTGACATAGATAGTCGTTATGCTATTAACACTTTAAAATAAGTTCTCTCTTATCTTATTTCAAAATAAACATTTTAAAAGCTTTTCCTCTAAGAACTGGAAGAAGACAAGGATACCCACTTTCACCACTCTTAGTCAACATAGTGCTGGAAGTCTTAGCCAGAGCAATTAGGCAAGAGAAAGAAATAGAGGGTATCCAGATTGGAAAGGAAGAAGTCAACTTGTTTCTTTTTGCAGATGACAGGATCTTACATATGGAAAAACCTAAAGATGCTACTAAAAATCTCTTAGAACTGATAAATTCAGGGTGGGCGTGGTGGCTCATGCCTGTAATCCCAGCACTTTATGAGGCCAAGGCAGGCGGATCACATGAGGTCAGGAGTTCGAGACCAGCCTGGCCAACATGGCGAAACCTCATCTCTACTAAAAATATCTCTACTAAAAATACAAAAATTAGCCAGGGGTGGTGGTGCATGCCTTTCATCCCAGCTAGTTAGGTGGCTGAGGCACAAGAATTGCTTGAATCCAGGAAGTGGAGGTTGCAGTGAACCGAGATTGTGCCATCGCACTCCACCCTGGGTGACAGCAAGACTCTGTCTCAAAAAAAAAGAACTGCTAAACTGATTCAGGAAAATTACAGGATATTAAATATCCAAAACAATAGTGTTTCTGTACACAGTGAACTAGCTGAAAAAGAAATCAAGAAAGCAATCCCATTTACAATAGTGCCAAATAAATAAGATAACTAAGAATTAAATTTAACCAAACAAGTGAAAGACCCCCATAAGGAAGATTATAAGATACTGATGAAAGAAACTGAACAGGATACAAAGGGAAAGACATCCCAAGCTCATGGATCAGAATAATTAATATTGTTAAAGTGGCAGTACTCTCCAAAGCAATCTACAGATTCAGTGCAATCTGTATCAAAATACGAGTGACATTCAAAACAGAATGTCACTGGAAGAAAAAAATCTGGATAGGCAAGGTGGCTCACGCCTGTAATCCCACCACTTTAGAAAACCAAGGCAGGAGATCACTTGAGGCCAGGAGTTTGAGACTGTCATAGTGAGATCTCTCTACAAAAAAATGCAAGAACTAGCCAGGTGTGGTGTCGTGCACCTATAGTCCAAGCTACTTGGGAGACTAAGGTGTGGGGATCACTTGATCCAGGAGTTTGAGGTTACAGTGAGCTATGACCGCTACTGCACTCCAGCCCAGGCAACAGAACAAGACCCTGTTTCAAAAAAAAAAAAAAAAAATCCTAAAATTTTTGTGAAACCAAAAAAGACTTAAAATAGCCAAAGCAATCCTAAGCAAAAAGAACAAAGCTGGACGTATCGTAGTACCAGACTTCAAAATATGCTAGAGAGCTGTAGTAACTAAAACAGTACGGTACTGGCATAAAAACAGACACATAGACCAAAGGAACAGAATAGGGAACTCAGAAATTAATCCATATATCTATAGGCAACTTATTTTGACAAAGGTGCCAAGAACACTCACTGTGGCAAGAACAGTCTCTTCAATAAATGATGCTGGGAAAACTGGAAATCTATATGCAGAAGAAATGAAATTAGAACCCCACCTCTTAGCCTATCTGAAAATCAACTCAAAATAGATCAAAGACCTACATATATGACCTGAAATGATAAAACTACTAGAAAAAAACCATAGAGGAAATAATTCCAGACATTGACTGGGAAAAGATTTTACAAATAAGACCTCAAAAGCACAAGCAAGAATAAACAAATGGGGTTACATCAAATTAAAACAGTTCTCCATAGCAAGGGAAACAACAGTGAAGACATCCTACAGAATGGGAGAAAATATTTGCTAACTACTTATTTGATAGGGAATTAAATGTCCAAAATGTACAAGGAACTCAGTCATCCCAACAGAAAAAAACAGATCTTACTAACAAATGGGCAGATGATCTGAACAGACATTTCTCAAAACATACAAATGGCCAATAAATATATGAAAAAATGCTCAACATCACTAATCATTGGGGAAATGCAAATCAAAACAGCAGTGAGGTGTCTCACTCAGTTAGGATGACTTACATAAAAGAGGAAGAAATAACGAATACTGGCAAGGATACTCAGAAAAGGGAACTCTTTATATACTGTTGGTTAGAATTTAAACTAGTATATCCACTATGGAAAACAGTATGGAGGTTCCTCGAAAAACTAAAAACAGAACAACGATATGATCCAGCAATCCCCCTATCAGGTATGTATTGAAAGGAAAAGACATCATTATATTGAAGAGATATCTGTACCCTAATGTTTACTGTAGCACTGTTCACAGTAACCAAGATACAGAATCAACCTAGGTGTCCAACAACAGATGACTGGATAAAGAAAATGTGGTTAGCCATAAAAAAGAATGAAATCCTGTCATTTGCAGCAACATCGATGGAACTGGAAGTCATGTTAAGTGAAATAAGCCAAGAACAGAAAGATAAACATCTTATGTTTTCACACATGTGGAAGCAAAAGAAAGTTGATGTCATAGAAGTCAAAAGTAGAACAGAGGCTACTGAAGGCTGAGAGGGGTAGGGAGAACTTGGGAGGATAGGAAGAGATTTGTTAAAGGATACATAATTAAAACTGGATAGGAAGATTAAGTCCTGGCGTTGTGTAGCCCTGTAGGATGACTGGTTAACAATAGTAAGTAGTTTCGAGTAGCCAGAAGGAGGATATTAAACGTTTTTCCAACACAAATGATAAATGTTTGAGATTGATATGCTAATTACCTTGATCTCATCACTACATGATATGTATTTAAACACATTTCGATTGCACATGTATTGAAACACAGTAACCCCATGAATATGTACAATTATTATTTGTCAATTAAAAAAATCCCTGCCCTTGAACTCTAAGAGAAAACACCAAAATAAACTTTTAAATATCTCATTTGTTATTCAGAGCTTTTTAATATTGACAGTATTACAGTATGGTAATATGTTACCAACATGATTACTCGGAATTGTCAACCATCTGGGCCACTGTTACTGAATAATTTGTCATTGAATCAGTGTGAAATTAAAAATATGAGAATCAAATAATGGAGACTTACTTTTAGTAAATGTATTTTGAAACAGAAAAGATAAAATCATAAGTGAAATTTCACAAAATGAATATATCATGATCCAAAAAATGGAACATTCCAAGCACTCCAGAGCTGCCTTGAAGGCTTAAAGGGTATAGCCCCTTAATATACATTTTTGTTCATGCCTATAAAAGTGAACTTAACAGAATTATTTTTAAAATTTACTCATTTTCATTGTATTATGAAATTTTGTTCATGAGTTGAAGTTATCAGAAAATAACCACTTAACATAGGGAACATAAAGCCAAGCGTATTGGAAAGCATGACACAAATTAGGAGCAACTTGGAAGCATAACACAACCCCTAATTTTCTATGAGATATTAATCTTAGAGAGTGATTCCTAACCTTGGTCTGGGGTAGCCCAGCAGAGGGAATACGAAGTTCTTTCTAGATTCTCAAAGGAAAGTTAATACAAATTCCCTTGAATTTTAGGTATCATTTAATATTTTATTTATAAGTAAGTATATACTGAGAAGGGAGTTGGAAACAACTTTCTCCCTCTCTTCAGCATGCAAATACTTTCAAAAGGTTTTCTGCAATGCTATACTTAGAGGAAATTGAAGATGACTTACATGTCTAGCAGGGGACTGGTCAGGTAATCACAGATATGGTAGTCCCTCCTTATCTGTGGAGGATATGTTCCAAGACACCCAGTGGATGAAGATTGGTAGACATATGTGGATTGACTTGGGAAGATGTCGAAGGTATTTTGGAACATTTTGTTGTACTTGTTATAAAGATGTTCATAGAGCTGTTCCCTACATAGTAAGTCTTTTCCTTTTTGTAGCTTCTTGAGAGAATGTGCAGGGAAAGTTTATTTGAGGCCTAACATACTTGGAAAAACCCTTATTGTACCCTTATTTGGAATTGTTTGGCTAGCTAAAGGCATTGCTCTGCTTCTAGTGTTCGTTGTTTTTGAAGCCATTCCTATTCCTTTATATGTGAATCTGTTTTTCTTTCTCTATAAGTATGTAGCTCTCTTAGTCCCTAGTATTCTGAAATGCCATAGTGGTATTTTTCCTAGAGGAAGGGTCTATTGTGCTCAGTACTTGGCTGACCTTTTCAGTGTGGAAACTCAGCTCTTTTAGTTACGGGAAATTCTCTTGTGTTACTTTAAAAAATTTGTTTCCAGTTTTCTCTGTTTTTTCATTCTGGGACAGAATTTGAATTTGCCTTCATGGATTGGTTCTTCAACTTTTTCTCTTTCCTGTTAATTACCTTTGTCTTTTTATTTAACTTTTTGGATAATTTCCTTGCCTTTATTAACCAACTATTTAGATTTTTAAAATTTATTGTGTCTTTTAATTCCTAAGAGTTCTTTTATGTTTTTTGAGGTTTTTCTTGCCTTATGGGTGCATTATCTTAGCTCTGTGAGGTTGTTTAGGAACATTTTTTTCTTTTATATTTTTATTTTTCTGTATAGTTTCTGATTCCACTAAGTTTGTTCTCTTTAGGGCTCTATTTTTCATGTTGGAGAGTTTCCTTAGATGTCTTGTAGACCCTGACTACTTAAGTGAAGCACTAAAATGCTGTTTGGGTACTCTTTTTTTTTTTTGCATGTAGAGATGGGATTTTGCCACGTTGCCCAGGCTGGTCTTGAACTCCTGAGCTCAAATGATCCTCCTGCCTTGCCCTCCCAGAGTGCTGGGATTACAGGTGTGAGCCACTGCCCGGCCTATTTGGGTATTCTTAGCATTTAGGTGGGCCCTCGTGCTTTGGGGCTGTACTGCAGAGTGGTGGTTCTCAACCACGAGTAGTTTTGCCCCCAGGAGACATTTTTGTCACCATTGAAGTGAGTGCTGCTGGGATCTAGTGGGTAGAGGCCAGGGATGCTGGTATACATCTTGCTCAAAACATCACTGTGCCAAGGTTGAGAAACATGCTGTAGGGTGAGTTAGGCTGGTTTGTTGAGAACCCCTGGAGCCAATGTTTTAGGCTGGTCAGATTCCCAATAAAGACTTCTAATCTGGCTGGAGGGCACAGATCTCTCTGCTTCGGATCTGAGAGAACTAACTGTGTCTTAGTATTTGGTATGTGTTTGGTTAATCTCCATGTTTTTAGTTTGGTTTGCCTTATTCCCAATTCAGATTCCCTTAGTTCAAAGACACTCTCTTTTACTTTCTAGAGCAGGCAGTCAGCAAATTTTTAAGAGTCAGATAATTTGTATTTTAGGCTTTGTGGGCCATATGGTCTCTATTGTAACTTTGCAACTGCTGTTTTAAGTGTCAAGTACCTGTAGACATACGTAAGGGTATAAGCATGGCTGTTCAGTTAAAGCTTTATTTATGGAAATACTGTCATTTGAATTTTATTTAGTTTTCATGTGTCATGAAACTTTGTTTTTCCCCTCAACCTTTAAAAAATGTAGAAACTATCCTTGAGCTGTATAAAAACAACCCGTAGGCCATAGTTTGCCAATTATTTGCTTTGGAATAGTCACTTGCCTTTTACATTCAGAAGTGGCAGTGCCCAGAAACATTAAGTTGGTGGGGGCATCTGGCAATTTAACAACTTATTAAATAGCTTTTCATCCTTAAAATACTACTTATTTTAGCTATGCCCCATCCTCACCTCCATAGGTATCTGATGCTGTCTATTCTTGAGTTGTTTGAGGAGATTCTGGTTTCAGAAAAAAAAACTTGAGTTGCCTCTTTGTTTTTCTTGACTGCTAGGTTATGTTGAGTGCTCTCATATCTGTCACATCCTTTTCCACTTGTCCCATCAGCTTTGCAAGTTGCTGGTTCTTTTTTTCTCAATCATTGTTGGGTTATGACTTAAAAAAGAAGTTCTTCTGTCATTTTGTAGGGTGTGAAGTAGGTGGTAAATAGATGATCAGTTCATTATCTTGACTGTATTATTAAGTGGGGGAAATATAGAATAGATGTAAAGCATGATTACATTTTAGTGAAAATACTTATGTCTTAAGAGAAGCACGGAAATAAAATATACTACAGATTCCATACCATTGATATTTCTTTCTAAAAGGGATTTGGGAAGACTGTGATTTCTCTTCCGCATTTCTAAATTTCTTGACATGTTTATAATAATCATGTATTTATAATCGGGAAAAAAATTAAAGAGGCTTTTTGCTGTTTTCTTTTGTTCTTGAAGCCTAAGTAGAGAGCTGTGTGCTTGTGTAATATCTCAGTGAAGCTTTAAAGTGAAACTTGGTATAGATTATCTGTGTATAATTATCTACAGTTAATATATTTTTCCTGGTATAGTTTGGACAAAGACATTGTCCAATAATTTGGTAGTTAAATTACCTATATGAAAGATTGACTTGTCAAATTTGTTGATTTTTATAATAGGTGTTTGATCAGTATGTAAAGACCAGGGCAGAGGAAGAACGCAGGGAAAAGAAAAATAAAATAATGCAAGCCAAGGAAGATTTCAAAAAAATGATGGAAGAAGCAAAATTTAATCCAAGGTATGTGGTTTGTTTCTCTTAAATATCAAAGTGTATTTATTTTCTCCTAAGATCAGTTTTTAAAAATTAAAAAAATAGATATTTTTTGACTATTTGGGCACTAAAAGCTCCTTATTTGATTATCGGTTTTTGCCAAAATTTCTAATCTTTATTTTTTACTATGTTTCCTTTAGAGGAATCCTAAGTGCTCTAAGAAGGGTACCTTTGATTTAAGTGCTTCCCTATGGGAATAAGTTCTTTAGAAACTAGTATATGATAGAAAATCTGTGCCTCATCTTTGTAAAGTTTTATACATAATGAGTTGCAGAGGAGGAACATTATTTTGATTAAATTGAAGTGGTGAAGGACCTTTTACCACTTCAATTTCAAAATTTTCTAAGTGTCTAGTTAATGGTCATGTCTGACATTTTGAATTGATTGGTAATATGTATTAAATACATGTAATGGGCTGAAGAAAATGAGACATTTTAAATTTATTTGCCTAGTTTTATAGTAATAACAGTTACTGGGTATTTTATGTGCTTATTTGCACTTTAAAACATATATGTATGCATTTATACATTTACATGTAAACATGACTGAAAGCATATAATTTTATATATATGCATACAGATATTCAGTCTTCAGAACAGGTAGTTTGATTTAGGTACTTACGTGATACCTGTTTTATATGAGATAAGCAAATTAGGTAGCTTGCCCCAGTGAAGCTGGGATTTCAATTAGATTTCAGTGTTGCACAGAATTGTATAGGTAGGGGGAATTATTCTTATTTATGACTTAGATGTAAGAGTAGTGGTATTAGGTTACTGGGAATACCTCAGTATTCTAAAACTGTCGGGTAGCATCATGGAGTCTCTGGGTTAAATGGCACTTATTATAAACGTTCATCTTATATAAATAGTTAATTTTGTCTGTGGAGGTAGGAAAGAGTGATGTTGTTTAAGAAGAATGTTTAATATAGTTTTATATTTGAAATATGGTATTAAAAGTTTTAGAAAATAAAGCTAATAGAGTATTTGTGATATGAAGAATTTAATATTCTTCAGGGGTAGTAGAGGTTCAGACTTTCCAGGGAGTCCTGAGTTTTTTCTGAGTCAAAAGAGTGAGATCATGAGTCAAAATAGTTGAGTCTCTGTTATAAAAGACATTTTGGGGGGCAGTTGAGGTCACTTGGTAAGAATTGGATATTAGATGTTAGAGAATTAGTAATTTTCTTGGGTATTGTGGTTATGGAGGAAAAAGGCTTTACTCTCAGGAGTTGCATGTTGAAATATTTCTAAGTGAAGTCTTAAGATGTCTGCAGCTTATTTCCAAAGCATTCAGCAGAATATATTTATTAAAACTCCATATGGGTCTGTGAATAATTGAAACTCCAAAGAGATTTCCCTTGGTAGATATGACTAAGTCTTACCATATCGTAGTACTCTACTGGTGTTCTTTTCAGGCAGGTAGAATTGTTGAAGTGATCTGTATTATGCAGGTTACTTCATAAAATGAAACGATCAGGCACTAAGGGCATTGTCCTGTATTGTTATATTGATACATCCAACTCTGGCATAGAAATTAAGACCATTTTTAGTTCTAGAAGAATGCAAGGAGGAAAAACTTTAAAATGAGAAAATGTTGTCTGTTGGCCTAATTTTTTTTTTAAAGTGGGAAAAAATATTGCAGAACCTTTTAGTAGAGCTAGTAAATATAGAGCACCAGAGTTTGTTCCAACGGGAAAGAAAGGGGGAAATTACTGAACTGTGCCTGTCTCTTGTATGTCGTTTTTCTTTTTAATGAAAATTTAAGTCATACCTCCCACAGTCAGTTTCTGGTCACTACTATCTCCCTGTCACTCACCACCAGCCATTACCTACTTCCTTCCAAAATATTTTTTATCCTGTTTGTTTTAAAGTAGTTTTTTCACAGTTAAGAAATAAGTCATATGAAAACATCTCCATGGGAATCTAATGCTAAAAGTTCACTTCTGTCTTTTCTCATAAAAAGTGTCAGATATTTTACCTATAAGTAATAGAAATAAGTCTAAAATAAATCAGTTATCACTTTACACGTTGATTTTCCACTTTTTAAAAGGTTTTTTCTTTAATCATAGTTTATGCTTTAATCATAACAATGCAAGTTTATTATCCCTTATCCCAAATGCTTGAGACCAGAAGTCTTTTGGATTTCAGATTTTTTAAAAAAAATTTTGGAATATTTGTATTATACTTACTACGTGAGCATCCCAAATTCAAAAATCTGAATTGAATGTCTTGTTGGCACTAAGTAAGTTTTGGGTTTTGGAGCATTTGGATTTCAAATTTGGGATGCCCAACCTGTAGTTGCTTTTTCTATCTTAAAATTATAAACTGAAGGGCTTAATTTATCATGAAAATAAAACATTTAATGGACTACATATGATCCCTTTTCTGGAATATACATTTTTATTTTACCATGCCATTTTATTATTGTTATGTATCTGTTGTTCAAACCAGGTTTGCAATATATTCATTGTTAAAAATGTTGAATTAATGTTGGATATTGATTAGTATTGGTTGCATACAAAAGATTATTAGAATCTAGCCTTGGCCAGCAAAGCTTAAAAATAATAAATGTTAGCTGTGAGTGATACTCTTAACCTTCAGTTGATGTTTTAAGTTCTAAATTGAGATTAACTGGCCAGTTTTTTGTTTATAATTAAAACTATAACATAATCTTTGTTTTAACACAAGAGAATGTTTTATTTTTGCATTTAAATAACTAAATAGCTTTTAAGTGGGCTAATCTTTATTTTTTTTCTTCTAAAACCATGCTAAATATAGGATTGTTAATTATAAGAGTAAATTCTTGGCCAGGCGCAGTGGCTCGCGCCTGTAATCCCAGCACTTTGGGAGGCCGAGGCAGGTGGATCACGAGGTCAGGAGTTTGAGACCAGCCTGGCCAGTATGGTGAAACTCCATCTCTACTAAAAATACAAAAATTAGCCAGGTGTGGTGGTGGGCGCCTGTAGTCCCAGCTACTTGGGAGGCTGAGGCAGAAGAATTGCTTGAACCTGGAGGCGGAGGTTGCAGTGAGCCAAGATCGCGCCACTGGTTAAAGCTTCAAATATTTAAACTATATACCAAATATATGAAAGCTTTATAATGCCTTTTATTTATGGAGAAACTTCTTTTTTAAAACTTAGGCTCATTAGCCCTCATAAGCCTCATCCTTTTATTTAACCTGTTTGGAGTTTGCTGAGCTTTTTGAATTTATAAATTGATGTTTTCCATCAAATTTGGGAAGTTTTTGGCTAGTATTTTTTCTGCCCTAATTCATTCTTTTCTCTTTTGGGATTCTAATCACACATATATTAGTGTTTGATATTATCTTACATGTCCCTGAGACTGTTTCCCCTACCTCAGTCTTTTTTCTATCTCCTCTTTGGATTAGATAATTGTTAGTGATCTAACTTCATATAATTGACTCCTTATTCAATTGTCAACTCTCATGTTAATCCTATCCAGTTAATTTTTTTTCATTAGTTTTAGGTTCTTTTTAATATTTTCTGCATCTCTGCCAAAACTCCTTATTTGTTCATTCATTTTTAGACCATGTTTTCAATTCTTTGAACCTGTTTTTCTTTGATTCTTTCAGTGTAATAATAACAGTTTTGTTTAGTTATTTTTTTAAGAGGCAGAGTCTTGCTCAGTTGTTAAGGCTGGGGTGCAGTGGCTCAGTCACAGCTCACTGCAGCCTCAGATTCCTGGGCTTAAGCAGTCATCCTGAGTAGCTGAGAATATATGCGTGTGCCACCATGCCCAACCAATTTTTAAATTTTTTGTAGGGACAGAGCCTCACTATGTGTTTTTTTTTTTTTTTTTTTTTTGAGACAGAGTCTTGCTCTGTCACCCAGGCTGGAGTGCAGTGGCGTGATCTCAGCTCACTGGAACCTCTGCCTCCTGGGTTTTTCTCTTGCCTCAGCCTCCTGAGTAGCTGGGATTACAGGTGCCTGCCACTACTCCCAGCTAATTTTTTTTGTATTTTTAATAGAGACAGGGTTACACCTTGTTGGCCATGCTGGTCTTGGAACTCCTGACCTCAACTGATCCACCTGCCTTGGCCTCCCAAAGTGGTGAGATTACAGCCATGAGCCACCACACTATGTTTTTTTGTTTTTGTTTTTTTGATTCAAGGCCTTGCTCTGTTGTCCAGGCTGGAGTGCAGTGGCACGATCTCGGCTCTACAGCCTTTGCCTCCCAGGTTCAAAAGATTATTTTGCCTCAGCTTCTCAAGTAGCTGGGATTACAGGCGTCAGCTACTGTGCCTGGCTGGAGTCTCACTGTGTTGCTTAGGCTTGTCTCGAACTCCTGGCCTCAAATGATCCTCCTACCTTGCCCTCCTGACGTGCTGGGATTGCATGCATGAGCCACTGCACCTGGCCAGTAATAGTTGTTTTAAAGTTATTGTCTACTTAGAACGACATCTGGACATCTTGGGTTTGGTTTCTATTGACTTCAAAAAATTTTTTCTATGGATCACGTTTCTTTGTATATTTAGTGATTTTTGATTGAATATTGGACTTTGTGGCTAATATATAGAGACTCTGGAGTCTGTTACCTTTCATTGAAAAGTGGATATTTTTGTTTTAGTAGGCAGTTTATTTACTGGTTGCCACCTTAATTTTAGGCTTGACTTTATGTTTTGTTAATGTGAATCTCTGAAAGTGTAATATGTTTCTTTTAGCCTTCCAGCTCTGTTTTCCTTGTGGATCTTTTGTGGACTTTGTTGGCCTGATCCTATTCTCCCTTTAATACTACTGACTCTCTGTTATCTCTTCTATGCTCTTAACCCTGTAGTAGCTTGATATATAGAGTGATCTTTCCCTGCTGTTACACAACTTGGCCTTAGCTGTGGACTCATGGGTAATCGCTAAGTCAGATTTTTCTTGGGTACCCTCTCTTTGTAGATTCCTCTTCACCCAAGCTCTAATCTTTGCTTCCTCCAGTTCATTAAGACTATGGTACTCTAGTTGGACTTGAGCTCTCTCTGCACCTCATAAATT
Source organism: Homo sapiens (assembly GCF_000001405.40). Taxonomy (NCBI): domain Eukaryota; kingdom Metazoa; phylum Chordata; class Mammalia; order Primates; family Hominidae; genus Homo; species Homo sapiens. The sequence goes on from NC_000005.10 coordinate 146,498,068, forward strand.
TCCCTTCTTTCAGGCATTTCAGTCTTACTCTTTCTGTTGTCTACTCCTTGAAATCGGTTGCCTCATATACTTTTGTCCAGTTTTATAGTTGTGTATGGAGAGCTAATCCAATAAGAATTTTTCTATTATGGCTGGAGGAAGGACTTAGCTTCATCGCAGAGTGGAAATTGATGAGCTCTTGTCTCTTGAGGCATGCAAATTCTTTACTCTGTGATCTCTTTCTTTTTTTTTTTAATAATAATATTTATTCTCCTAATTCTATGCTGATAGCATACAAATCCCTTAACCACATTTTTGCTCATTACCTCTTTTTACTCCTTTCTGAAACTTACTGTTCACTGTTAGGTAGATGTTGAGTCCCAGTGTCTCTTTGTCATATACTCTTGTTGGAAAAATGGTATCTTCTGCTATGCCTTTATACAAGCAGAAGTAACTGCCAAAGTTAGCACACTTGTAATTTTGTTACAGAGCAACTTTTAGTGAATTTGCAGCCAAGCATGCTAAAGATTCAAGATTCAAAGCAATTGAAAAGATGAAAGACCGAGAAGCCTTGTTTAATGAGTTTGTGGCCGCTGCTAGGAAGAAAGAGAAAGAAGATTCGAAGACCAGAGGTGAGAAGGTAAGATGGTTTTAGTTCCAGTGGTGTGATTGATGGGAGTGTGAATGGGAAAGGTCTATGCTGGTGTTATGTTTCTAACCTTATTCATTGGCATAAATAATAGGACGTACATGGACTGTTCTTTTAAGTTAACTTTTATAATTATTTATGTATGTATGTATTCTATCACTTTACTTACATAATGCTTATTTTAGTAGCTTCACTAAACTATATACTTTTGCTTTAAATTGTGTTAATATTAAGATGCCTGGTAAACTCAGAACAGGTTGTTAGGACTGCCTGCTCAGTGGTGCCTTCTAAGATTTCAAGATTCTTTATAGGTTGTAATATTTGAATTTCAAAAAGCTTCTTTATCTTTTTTGCCCTCTAAAAGATAGCATTTTAGTGACTTTCTATTCTTTCAGTAAACATATCTTACATATAAATTATTGCTTATCAGAATTAAAGGTCAGCTATTAAAGATTAATGAATTCCAAATGTCATTTGATAGCAGTGTCAGGAGTGGAGAGGAGCTTACCACTGGGGAGGAAAACTAGTAGGGAGATGACCCCAGTGGTGTGTGAACCATCAAAACATGCAGCCACTCTCCTTAGTGTCCTGGTATGCTTTGTGAATGTAGAAAAATAACCTCTGGAGCCTAATCATTCTTGACATTTAAAATTGCCTCTTATTCCAGAAAGTTATAATATTACAAGTTCTATTAAGAAATGTTGTTTGAAAGTAATGCTACTCCTGGGAAGAAGTCTCTTTCATTCAAAATAGTAACAGTATTAGCTAAAACAGCTTTTATCAGAAATACCTGAAACCTCCTAATTATCCGATTTATTGGGCTTCCAAGTGAGTTTTCCAGAATTGTTTCACTGTTTACTTAAAAAATGATTATGCTTCTCAGAGGAAATGTGTAAAATCAAATTCTACTACATAATTTTATATGTTGAATTAGAATCATGTTAATGAATTATTTGCTACTTTTGATTTTAGAATAACCTATTTAAGAAAACCAAGTAAATAAGTGATTGTTTGATTTTGTATGATTGCTTTTATAGAAATTAAATGTATTTATATTTGCATTTGTAACTGATTTTCTTTTTCTAAACACTTTTTTTATAACTATTTTATGTATTCTGTTTTATAACAAGTGGATAGACTTTACAGTTTTGTGCTGTGCGGCCTGTCAATCAGTTCAGTGACAGCTGTCAATCACTGACACGCAAAGTGTTATGGGATTCCCTAGTGAGGAAAGAATTGGTATCTCTGTGTGGTGACTTTAGCCTCCCGAGTTCCGGTACTTTACATTTTTTTAGTCTTTTTCCTTATGAAGTGATGAGAATTGTGCCCAGAATGTGTTAATTTTAAAAAAGAAATTAAATAGATATGACATCTAAATTAAATAAATCTAATATTTAATATATTCAGCTTTATTTTATTTTGGCTATAAAAATCTTAATTCTTTAAATTACAGGGTTGGCTTTATACCATTACTAGATTAAAAAAAAAAGGCAGGAAATTGCTAAAGTGAAGCTTTCTCAGCCAATTTAAAGAATGCAAAATCAGTGAGTGACTAGGCCATCAAAGCAGAAATCTTTAAAGTAAGGGTTTAAATATAGTGGATTTTATATTCACATTTTGAGCACATTTGGTTAAGGGGCTTTATCATTTTTCTTTCATGACTTCCACTGTATTGTGTATACTGTTCTTAAGTATATTGTGTATACTTAAAAAAAAAAAATCACATTGTAACTGAGTAATTAGATAGCAAGAGCAGTACCAGTAGCATGGTACGAGAGTTTATTTCCTTGTTCTTGTAATTCTCCAGCTGGTCTTTGTAGCATTGTGATAGTTGAATCAATAGCTGAACACTAAAGGTTTAAAACTAATTTTAAAACTAATTTTGAAAACCTGTGAAGAACATTGACTTCTGGTGAAATTCTTGTTTTTCTTAAGTAGCATTTTGACGGTAAAGTCATTCTCACAGTAAGAGCATCATTTTCATGTAGTTTTTACCACTAGTTTTCCATTTTATTAAAAAGTGCCTGTAAAAGTCTACTTATTGACCAGGAGTGGTGGCTCATGCCTGTAATCCCAGCACTTTGGGAGGCTGAGGCACGAGGATTGCTCGAGACCAGCCTAGGCAATATAGCAAGACCCCCATCTCTACAACAAAACAAAAAAATAGCTGGTTGTAGTGATGTGCTTCTGTAGTTCCAGTTACTCTGGAATCTGAAATGGGAGGATCGCTTGAGCCCAAACAGTCAAGGTTGCAGTGAGTTTTGATGGTTCCACTGCACTCCAGCCTGGACAACAGATGGGATTCTTTCAAAAAAAAAAAAAAAGAAAAAAAAGTCTACTTATTTTGTTTGCCAAAGTAACTATTCTTAAGCTATTTTATTGTAATATATTATTATAACCAATTTTTATAAAATTGTGGTTCAAATACTTTACCTTTTGAAATAGCACATTTGAGGTTGTATGTAATTGGAGTTAATACACTGTTACAAAATTGACATATTTTTCTCTTCCCTCTCTTTTAAATTTCCTGTGCATAAATTATTTTTGTTATAGTAAGGAATGGGGAGAATAATAAGGCCTTGAATTGCAGCTAATGGTAAATGACATTTTTTTGACATTTATGCAGCTGTCAGGCAATTGTTCTCATACTGATAGCCTTAGTAAGCCATTTATAACCTGTCATGGTAATATCCACAATGAAAGGAAGTTAAAGTTTAATTTTATTTAAAGTTCACTTGTTTATACATCACACATTTAAAAACCTATATGATAATCCTTACTTTATAGGTTTCGTGTCTAATATATGAAAATTGTTTTAAGCTAATACAAATTCCTGTGGCTTAGAAAGATTCCTATTTGATATAACTTGCATGTTTTATTTAACATAAATTTTGTAAATTTTGCCTTCCAGTTGTCAAATGCATCTAGGAATTTGGTGTTCATCATGTCAGATACAAAGTAGACAAGATGAACAGAAAAATTTAAGTTACATCACTACATCAGGTGGTTTCTTAATCAGTGTCTGGAAATACTGGGTTTATGAGTATTTCTTATTAGTTCAAAGTGAAAGGCCAAGTTTAGTAGTGGAGAAATCCACAGCCAATTAGCTGTTGTCTTTAGAAACATTTCTGATGCAGATATTCTGTTTCTTATAACCTTAAAAGTATTTTCCAGAAAGAACATCAACTTCACTTTTTTTTTTTTTTTTTTTTTTTTTTGAGATGGAGTTTTGCTTGTTGCCCAGGCTGGAGTGCAATGGTGCAGTCTCAGCTCACTGCCACCTCTGCCTCCTGGGTTCAGGCAATTCTCCTGCTTCAGCCTCCCAAGTAGCTGGGTTTACAGGCACCTGCCACCACACCCAGCTAACTTTTTGTATTTTTAGTAGAAACGGGGTTTCACCATGTTGGTCAGGCTGGTCTCGAACTCGTGACCTCAGGTGATCCACCCACCTCAGCCTCCCAAACTGCTGGGATTACAGGCATGAGCCACCATCTCACTTTTAATCCTCCAGTAGGAGAAATGAAGTTGTAAGGGGAAATGATAGTGTTAGACTAGGCAGAAGGAATGATTCATATATTTTTGTGCATACACATTTTAAATCCTGATTCCCATGATCAGGTGGGAAGGTACCATTTTCAATTCCTACTGGAAGGGAGGGGTTCTTAATATGGTCAGAATCCTTTGTTGAAATGACCTTGGTTACCTTGGGTATCTTCTATGGTAGGAGTACAAAGTAGTATACATGGGATTAAATTTTAAAACAATTAGGCCCTCAGACATACATAAAAATAACTATCTCATTTACTCCTTTCCTCACCTATTTAAATAAATAAGAAATACAGTTTTGGAGAGGGGTTTTAAGTAGTTGTATATGTTGATACTGAAGGATTAATGTTTAATACCTTTGGTATAATGTTTTTAACTTGGTATTTCAGTTGTTGAGTATAATACTGGATAAACACTTAACATTCTGAGTTTATAATGTTATAAACATTACATACATGTTTAATGCTAAAAAGTGTAGAAGATCTGAATGCAATTTTTTAGTAATGATTAATTATGAACATAGAAATTCTGTAACTTTCTCACATATCAAGGTGTACAGCTGCCTTTTTTTCACCAAAATATAAATTTTTACCCTATTTTGATTTCAGACATTTGACAGTATAAGTTTGTAATGACTTGCAGTGATTTTTAAATGTCCTATTAATTTCAATGGCCAAAATTTTTATCCATCTAGTTTTTAAATAAATCATTTTTACCTTGTTGATATTAAAGAATTGTCAGCTTCATAAGCCTGACTCTTAGCTAAAAAGAAATGCAGCTCGATGTAAATTTATATTCCCTATGAATACATGGCAGTTCTGAGATCTAAAGTTATCAACAATCTGAAAAAGCCTTTTTCTATATTTTAATAATTTCTTTATAAAATATTATTTATCTTGAATTTGGCAAATTTTAGATGAAAGCCTATATGCTTGTCGATGTTTACATTTCTAGTAAAAGAACACTTCTGATCTTTTACTGTAATTCTACTCTAAATGCCTATATTTTAAAAGTTATTATTCTCATATTTAAGGTAGGTGAACTTTTTTTCTAGTTGTAAATATTTAAGATATGATGAATTTCTCATGGTACATTATTTTCCCTCCCATCCCACTACCTGTTTTAAAATACAGATTAAATCGGATTTCTTTGAACTATTATCTAATCATCACTTGGACAGTCAGTCTCGATGGAGCAAAGTAAAAGACAAAGTAGAAAGTGATCCACGTTACAAAGCAGTAGATAGTTCATCAATGAGAGAAGACCTTTTCAAACAGTACATTGAAAAAATAGCCAAGGTAACTGTTGTGTTTACTTGTATTGCTTTCATTGAATAATACAATTCTTGTGTTTAAGGGTATATGTTGTTGTTGGGGATTTTTCTATTGGGGGTTTGGATTTTTTCTTGTTAGTATTCTTAACATAAGAGTCTAGTTGATTTGGAGATGAGAGGTACACAGTGTTTAGGTATATTCTGGGCAAAAACTAGATTTGGAATTTTTTATTTGGCAAGCTAGTTATTCTGTAAAAACATATTTTGATGGAGTTGGTAAGAAGGATAATGTAGTTTTTGCTTTTACAGAATTTAGACTCAGAAAAAGAAAAGGAGCTTGAAAGGCAAGCCCGCATTGAGGCAAGCCTTCGAGAACGAGAAAGGGAGGTTCAAAAGGCCCGTTCAGAACAAACAAAAGAAATAGATCGAGAGAGAGAGCAGCACAAACGAGAAGAAGCTATCCAGAATTTCAAAGCTCTTCTGTCTGACATGGTATACGTTAATCTTTTACTTTTTTTCTCTAAAGTACTGGATATTGGAAATTTATTATGTTACTGTTATGAATATTTTAATGTTCTTTAATTCTGAGGGAGATAATTTGCTAAATTAGAAAGCATTTAAAAATTGAATACTTGGTATTAGTACTGTTAGTATAGGAAAAAACCCAAGTTATTCAACAAATTCAGAAGTTAGGCATTTTGCATATATGGAAAGTCATAATCATTTAGTCTCACAACTTTATTATTTATTGTTCTTGATGAAAGTCATTGTAAACTATTACACACTTACCTGCCATAGTGATAAACAAAACGTGCTGAACACAATTTAACCTTTTCGTTGATGATTTAGGGCCATCATTGTGATGATCAGTTATACTTGCAGATGGTATGAGATTGTAGGACTGGAGGTGTAACTGACTGCAGGAGATACCCTGAAACTTTGTTGAAAATCTTTCTCCCTTACCCCTCAGAGTTGTTGAGGTATGTAGGGTTTTTTGTCCCTACAGTGAATGACCCTAGACTACCGTCCTACTTGCTAATATATTTTGGAGTTGGGGGTGGCTTCTCTTTGTCATATCTCTCCTATGCTATTTCTTTTCTCTTTTTCAGTGGAGCTTGCTACTCTTGTCACTTCTGATTTCTTCCCTTGCATCTGTTTCTTACTCTACCCAGGAGTATCCAATCTTTTGGCTTCCCTGGGCCACATTGGAAGGAGAATTGTCTTGGGCCACACATAAAGTTCACTAACATGGCTGGGCACGGTGGCTCATGCCTGTAATCCCAGCACTTTGGGAGGCCAAGGCGGGCAGATCACTTGGGGTCAGGAGTTCAAGACTAGGCTGGCCAACATGGCGAAACCCCGTCTCTAATAAAAATACAAAATTAGCCGGGTGTGGTGGTGCGTGCCTGTAGTCCCAGCTACTTGGGAGGCTGAGGCAGGAGCATCACTTGTACCTGGGAGGCGGAGGCTGCCGTGAGCCGAGATCGCGCCACTGCACTCCAGCCTGGCGACAGAGTGAGACTCTGTCTCAAAAAGAAAAATGTACATTAACACTAATGATAGCCAATGAGCTAAAAAAAAAAAAAAAAAAGGACAAAAACATCTCATAATGTTTTAAGAAAGTTTATGAATTTGTGTTGGGGTACATTCAGAGCCATCCTGAGTTGCATGTGGCCTGTGGGCCACGGGTTGGAAAACCTTGTCCTACACCCTGGACAATTACAGTAGTTTCCTAATTTCTCTCCCTACCTCTAACATTCCCTCAAATTTATCCGTTCTGTTGCAGTCACAGAAGTCTTCATAAAAAGCTAATCAAATTTTGTCACTCCCCTGGTTACTTGCAGGGGATGAAGGTTCTCTTTACTCCCAGCAGTTTCCTACAGGTCACATTTAGCCTCCTTAGCATAATATAAAAGATTGTTCATTTCTTACCTCCCACCTTCATATTTCCTTAACACCTTTGCTTTCTTCATTGTTCCTTGAACTGTAGCCTTGCTGAACATGCTTAATGAACCATACCATCCTTCCATTGCTCACGGCAGTCCCTCTACCTGATATGATTTGGAAGTGTTCCTGTTGCAGTGACAGACTTTCTCGTTCTTCAGGGGTACGCTCAAGTATCTCTTCTGTGAGGCTACTCCTGACCTATCTAGGCAGATTCGATCTCACTGTTCCTTAGACCACCCTTGTGCTCAGCATATGACTGCAGCACTTATTACCTGTATTTGCAGTTATTTGCTTACATGTTTATCCTTTTTGTTTTTTTATTTTTTATTTTTTTGAGATGGAGTCTCACTCTGTCACCCAGCTGGAGTGCAGTGGCATGATCTTGGCTCACTGCAACCTTTGCCTCCTGGGTTCAAGTGATTCTCCTGCCTCAGTCTCCTGAGTAGCTGGGACTACAGGCATGCGCCACCACACACAGCTCATTTTTGTATTTTTAGTAGAAATGGGGTTTCGCCATGTTGGCCAGGCTGGTCTCGAACTCCTGACCTCAGGTGATCCACCCACCTCCCAAAGGGCTGGGATTACAGGCATGAGCCACCGCACCCGGCCTTTTTATCCTTTTTTTTCCTTCTAAGTGAGCTCTTTGAAGGAAGGGATAACGTCTTATTTTGTAATCTTATTGCAAAGCACGGTATATATCTGACTTGTATTTAGATGCTTGGTAAGTGTTGGTTAAATAAATGTTTTTGTATTTTTGTTTTCTTACCTTTCTGTTATTTTAGTCTGTGTTTCTTCACATTGGCAGTAGTGTGGCTTAACTTTTAATGCCATTATCACCAATGAAGCATATCTTTTTGCTGGTTGGTGAGCCAGCCAGACCTGTTATGCCTTCTATTATACTGTCTTCTTCTTAAAAATTGTTTTGAGAAGTCATAATTGTATATACTTACGGGGTACAGTTGCTGTTTTGATATAGGTAGATAATATGGAATGATTAAACCAAAGCTGTTTAACATATTCATCACTTTGTTTGCTTATAATTTTTTGTGGTGAGACACTTGGAATTTACTCTCAGTTATTTTGAATGTAGAATACATTATTGGCTTTAGTTAACCCTGGTGTGCAGTAGGTCTCAAAACTTATTTCTGCTGTCTCTGAAACTTCATTATCTTTGACAAGTAACTCCTCATTCTCTCCCTTGTCCTGTCTCCTACCCCCTAGACTTTGGTGACCATCTACTCTCTATTTCTATGAGTTCAACTTTTTTGGATTCCACAAATGTGAGACTATGCAGTATTTGTGTTTCTGTGCTTGACTTATTTCACTTATGTTGTCCTCTAGGTTTATCCATGCCATAAATGAATAGAATTTTCCTCTTTTTTTAAGGCTGAGTGGTACTCCATTGTGTATATTTATTACATTTTCTTTATCCATGTATCTGTTGATAGACACTTAGGTTGATTCCATATCTTGGCTATTGTGAATAATGCTGCAGTGGACATGGAAGTGCAAATGGACATTCAGATAAGTCTCTTTGGTGATATATATATAATTTTTTCTCTTCAGGTACGTTCTTCAGATGTGTCATGGTCTGATACTCGTAGGACCCTCCGAAAAGATCACCGCTGGGAATCTGGATCCTTATTGGAAAGAGAGGAGAAAGAGAAGCTTTTTAATGAACACATTGAAGCACTTACCAAAAAAAAGAGAGAGCACTTTAGGCAACTTCTGGATGAAACTTCTGCAGTAAGAATCTCTTATTTTTCTCATTTTAATCTGGATGAATCTTGTTAGTAATTTCTTAAAGCAAAGCATTGATATGATTTTTAGTGTCATGGTCTTTAGATTCATTACTGGAATGCATCTTATGACAATTCTCTGATTTTAAAAAATTATGGTATTCTTATTTATTTAGAAATGCCTATTCTTTGCAGTTTTCACATTCATAACTGCTCCCATAGTAATTCAAAATGTCCTTAGCCATGTGGTCAGTGATCCCTCCTAATAATAGATTTAGCAAATTTCTTCTTTTGATCCATTTTCAATTTGGTACTATGGCCTCTTGTTCGGCAGTTTGTACGCTTTGTTATCCAGGTTTTGTTCCTTTTTATTTGCTCTCTTTTTGGTGATGGTTTCTTCAGAAGTTATGATGTTTGCCCATGTAAATACAGGGTTTGCAGGTGATTGTCTTAGGCCACCTTGAAAGTATGGCCATGAAAATAACTCTTGTGGCAAGCCAACAAAAAGAAATTGCATTAACGCTGCTTCCCTGTCCCTAACTAGTCCAGTTACGCTTGGGCATTACAAGAGATCGCAGGTCAGTGTGTAATATTATGTACCTATGTGCTGCAGTTTGACTCCCTAAGTAAAAGTGAGTTGTATTTATGTTTTTTATTCATGTCTTTTCAAAGATTACCTTAACATCCACGTGGAAAGAAGTAAAAAAAATCATTAAGGAAGATCCTCGATGTATTAAGTTCTCCTCCAGTGACAGGGTAAGAGGATTTTGTGTCGAGATTTACTGTCAGTCTATAAATACTTAAATCGGGGCCTAACAGCACTACTATCTTAACCAAAATGAAGTTGATTGTTTTAAGTGAATTACTTTTAAGTGTATGAGAAGTAAATCTGAATTTTAAGTTTATGTATTGTTTCTTGCATGATAAATTAGCAAGACAGCACAATAGAAAGTTTAAAATTTTAGTACTTGGGGTGAAGCTTGTATTTTAGGATCTTAGAAATTTAATGAAGCTGCAGTTTTATTTTAGTCAGGTACCACTAGACAGACATATTTAGGCTGGCAATTGGTACCAAACTATCAAAGCACTTGACTCTTAAGCCAAACAGAGCCCTGTAATGAGATCGCTAGTTCTCATATGCTTCAAGGTCTGAAACAGTGAATGATGTCAAGAAAAGTGTTGTTTACTACAGTCCATTTTATCCCTAGGCCTTTTATTTGTTTTCTTTTACATCATTCCCCTTTCCTGGTTGGTTTCTGTAGGTCTGGGCATCTTTTATAAAAACTCATAAATCTAATATTCTTCCCCCTCAAAGTCTATTGGATTGTAGATGTTTGGACCATAAAATATGCATGACTGGGAAAGAGGGGTAGACCCAGTCTCAGTTTCTAACTTTTCTGACTGTTTAGAATTGATAATAAAGTCTTTTTTAAGTCCAAAGAGTTTATTCATCTTATTACTTTTGGCTTGCCAGAAAGCTAAATGCTCATTACTGTGTAAGTTAAGTATTGAGTGTTAACCTACAGTTGCTGTATCCACAAATTACTCTTTTTGTTCTTGAAGTTAAAAATACAGTGTGCAGGAAGTGAACACTTAATCCTTAATATCCTTATTTTTAAGTGTCCACCTCATGAGGTTGTTGTGAAGATTGAAGTAGATGATCCTCATAAAATGCTCAGCAGTGTAGCACATAGCAAGTTCTCAAGTTTTAGCCACTACTAATTTATGATTCCTCATTCTTTCTATTTGCCGCAAAAATGAGCCTTGCAAATTGTGATTTAATGAATTTTATATATGAACAAAATGTACCCTGTTGCCTTTTTCTTTTGAATTTTAAATTTTATTATGTGACTTACACATTACTGTTTAATAAATAATTGATGTTTATTTTGGAATTAGTGGGTTTTATTTCCATAATCTCAACTTTTTTTTTTTTATTAACAGAAAAAACAAAGAGAATTTGAAGAATATATCAGAGACAAATATATCACAGCCAAAGCTGACTTCAGGACGCTTTTGAAAGAGACCAAATTTATAACATATAGGTGTGTGCAATGAAATGTTTCATATTGGCAGTCATTCTCTTTACTAGTCTTTACTCTAATGGTCAGAGCATTCTTTGCATTCACACACATGTTGACATTATTAATTTTTAGGGATAAGAAGATACCAACTTCTGTCCAAAGTCAAATACAGCCCATATCTACCATACTTTTTTTTTTTTTTAAAGAAAGGGCCCAGATGTCAATTCTTATTTTGTGTTACCCACCCATCCAGTTTTGAATACATACCTTTTTTTTTTTTTTACTTCACCGCTTTTTTTAGGAATACCCTCAACTATATAAGAATTGTATTTCATGAAGAGACTTTTAAAATAATCTTTCACTATCAGTTATCTTTGCCTCCTCTGAAGACTATTCAGTGTGGTTAGATCATTCTAAAGCATGAAATCATCTATTTAAGCTCAGCATAAACATTTTTTTTTCCCTCAGAGGAAAGCATTTTGCTGGGTACATTTAAATAAAAATTGTAAATTATGAAATCAGAGCCTTTAAACAAGATTTCTCTGTAGCAAACCCAACAGTTCTTCACCCCTAACAATTTATCATCAGGAAAACAATTTCGCATTGCTTACCAGTCAGTATGCAGGAAACCATTTTTGTTTCATGCTCCAGCTTTTCTTCTTTAAGAGAGAAATTTGAAACATCTTAATAAAGGGTATGTGCACGGGAGGCTAGATAGTGCTGAGGGTGTGGTTTTTAGATATTTTGTCATTTGGATTTTTTGGTCAGGATCCTTAATGTTTTGCATCAGCTTGGGCTTTTAAATTAGATGTGAAGTAAGACTTCTTTCTACATTTTTATAGTTAATTTAGTGAAAGATGTGAAAGTGAAAGCTTGTGAAAGATGCTGGGATTGGCAGCCCCGCAGACTGAAGTCCTCTGTTCATCCACAGAACAGGTACAGCACGGGCAAGATTTACCCACCCACCCTCAGCCCTGATCTGGAGGGACCACCACTAGGGGTGGGAGGGTAATTCAGCTTCTGAGGCCCTTTCACTCCTTGGAGTCTTTGCTGAGGCGACTTACAAAGGTGACCACTGCCGTGAAATTTTTCTTAAAAAAAAAAAAAAAAAAAAAAATGGAAACACAATTAGGAACTAGATGGACATTTCCAGCTCATTTCTGAAAGACCTGTGAACAGCAGTCAGTAATTCTTGGACTTCTTTTTCTTATTTCAGATCCAAAAAATTAATCCAAGAATCAGATCAGCACCTGAAAGATGTAGAAAAAATTTTACAGAATGACAAACGGTATCTAGTACTGGACTGTGTGCCAGAGGAGAGGCGTAAACTGATTGTGGCATATGTTGATGACCTGGATCGCCGGGGTCCACCCCCACCTCCCACAGCATCGGAGCCCACGAGACGATCAACAAAATAATTCTAAATACTCTTCCATAGGGGCATCTATTCAAAATGCTTGCATGAGCCAATTTTCAGGTTTTTACATATATGTGCATTAGTCAACCTATTGCGAAACCATCTGACAAACAGAAGGAGAAGCATTTGTGAACAGTTTCTGAACAGAACACTTTGGAAATATTTATGCTTTTCTTTGTGTGGCATGACTGACATACATACTCAAATATAGGCTGTCTCTAGTAAATCTTAAAATCTTGAAGCTAAAATTCATCCTTTTATGAGGTGTGGAAGTCAGTGACTTGGTGACGTTCTTCCTAGCAGTGTTAATACATGCAAGAAGTAAGAGCATTTGTGGCTTGAACTTGCCAGATGCAAATACCACAGACTCCAAGAAAACCCGAGTTGGGGTTTGTTTTGTTTTGATTTTTTTTTTTTAAAGCGGGTAAAAGAGAAAACACTGAAAATTGAATTCTTATCTTCCAGAGGCTACAATTATTATAATGGACAATACTTTTACCTTTGTCTCTAAAGATCAGATTAGTTTTATTTGTTCACTTACGTGCTTTGATTATCCCCTCTGAATTATAGACCGAGTCTTGTTGTTTAGCCTAAGAGAAGATTTATGTAGTAATTTCTTCTCAGGTATGGAACCACGGTCATAACTAACATGTTGGCCAGAATAGAACCACTGGTTAAACATATTTTATTCACCATTAAGTGATCTTTATCAATATTCTGGATTAGACAACAAATTACCTTTCTGGGTGTTTCTTGTAAACTATACTCCTGTTTGAATGTTAAACTTTGTTGCTAAAGTTTAATTTTAAGATGTTTGAATGTTCAGTTTATGTATTTGAACTACAATAAACCAACCCTTTTTATATATCTGTATTGTATATGATTATTGTTACTTAATTTTTAAGAGCTTATTTTAACCTGTTTTTAAAAGCAGCAAATAGAATTTCCCACAAAGTAAGTTGACTCTAAATCTTAAGTATTACCTAGTTTTTAAAGGTTTGAATATAATAATGCAGTATTTGCAGTATAAAAAGGAAGGAATTTGTAGAGAATCATTTTGGTGCTCAAGTCTCTTAGCAGTGCCTTATTGCCTCATAGCAAGAAGATGCTGGGGTTTTTTTTGTTTTTGTCCTTTGTATTAATGTATGATGGTTTGCGCCTTTTTGGCATTCTTTCAACATGTCGTGTACATCACACCATGAATCAGTTCCTAATTGATATATCTAGCTTTACCTCCCGAGTTAAAAAAAAATCTTTTTATTTTATGCCTTCATAGGTTGCTCGTTTCAGAGTGCCACATAAATAAAATGTTTAACAAAATATATATGTTAATAGAATAATTTATTTTCCATTATCTCATACCGACTATGATTGTAACAAATCCTAGAAAGAAGGAATACCAACAGATCTGTATTTGTATGTTGTGTGCATACAGTCACAGACACACACATTCACATCCATGTTATATAGTTCATAGCTTAAATCTATTAAGTGCCATGGAAATTTTGTGAACTCTTTATGTAGGAACCTGGCATTGATCAGACTAAGGTCTTCAGCTGTAAAGTTGATAAACAGGATATGTTTTTTCTTTTTATGCGTACAAAGGATCTTACTCTGTCTCCTAGGCTGGGGTGCAGTGGTGCCATCATAGCTCACTGTAACTTTGAACTCCTGGTTTCAGTGATCCTTCTGAGTAGCTGAGACTGCAGGCATGCATTACCATGTCTGGCTTTTTTTTTTTTCTTTTTAAAATTTTTTTGGAAATGGTTTCACTCTGTTGCCCAGGCTGGCCTCAAACTCCTAGCCTCAAGCCATTCTCCCACCTCGGCCACCCAAAGTGCTAGGATTACAGGCGTCAACCGCCACACCTGGCCGCCTTCTGTTTCCTTTTTTTTCTTTCTTTGAAGTTCATTTTATAAGTTCATTGAGTGATTTTTAAGTACTGTGAGGAATGAAATTGAAGTGCTTGCCAAAAGGAGCACAACTATTATGTAGTATGTAGAAATACGACTGTCTCACAAGGGTAAAGTTTCCAGAATGCCTTATTTTGTTATTCTGAATTCCACATAATATTGTTTGCCCACTTACTACGTTGTTTCTCACAGTAGAGAAGTGAGAAGAAAACAGTTTGGTGATATCTGTTCTAATTTCCTACTTTTGTCTTAAAGTATCTGGGTTTGATCAGATAAGATACAAATCAAACTTCTCTAAGCAGATTTTTTAAGGGATCAAGTCGGGACTTAACTTTGTGTATCAGGTTCTTAATGAAAGGTTCATTGTAATTACTCTTTGTTCCAGTGTCTGCATCTTGATTTGGTGCTTGTTAGCAAACTCTGAAAATCAGTTCACCTTGAGACCTGTTCCAGTGTTAAGGTCAAACAGCCCCATAAAGCTCCATTGTTCCTAATAATGATTTTGGAATGATAATTCAAGACAAAGACAGCTTTAAATCTCCAAAAACTATCGGAAGTAAAGCGTAATTATTTTTATTTCTTTACAAGTTTAAAGTGTCAAACCCTGGAAGCTTACATCCTAAATTTACTACATATAATGAACATAAAAATTATTTATTCAAATAATCACAGACAATGATAATCCTTTTTATAACTACCATATCACAAGACAATATTTTGGATTCTTGGGTTAAATTTTACTTTATTTGAATACATGAGCTTCAAATAAAATTTGTAATGAAGGATGTAAAAAGAATACAGCCCTACCTCCTGTGTTAAAAAGCAAACTATGACCACTTATGAAAAAGCAAAGAATCCGGAAACCCATAGACAAAAAGCAAAATCTTTTTTTTTCCATAACATATCCTTTATATTTCAGATTCTCCATGGCTTGGTTTGCCCTAAAGGCATTTCTATTCTGAGGGAAACTTTCAGTGAAAATACCCGAGTTCCATAACAAAGTAATCAAGAATCATGGGTGAATGTCATTATACTTAAAAGGGGCAGAAATATATCATAATCATGTTTTATTGGGTATGTTTTACCTTGCTATAAAATGAATGGTTATTGCCTGTTACTCAGATTTTACCGTATGTCTGGGTACACAGTTTTACTGCTTTCTGCATTGCCCTTATGCTTTTTATTTTGTATTCTTAACCAAATTCTGTCTTGGTTTGTTGAATTTTCTCTTTTTGATATTAATCTCTTTCTCAGGTTGCTAGATTATTTTTATAACTTAGCCTATAGTATTTTAAAAGTTGAGTAGGGTTCAAGTTCAATGTTCTGAGTAAGGGTAAGTTTAGTACCATTAACAAGAAAGATCACCATCTCCATCTTCTATTTGTATTTGAGGAGTAATCTATACCTATATCATTAACCATGGTTTATCTTGGGAGAAAGGAGATATTAGGAGGAACACATTTCTGCTTATAGAAAAATAACTTTCCCACATTTTGGAAGTGAAGAGAGGACATTTTTTTAAGTATTTTTTCCCCCATATCAGACTACTGAATGTCATTGGAAAGCTGCTACAATTCTTAGACTTAGAAACTGAAGACTCATTCAGGTAGCTTTAAAAAGTTCACTGAAGCAGGCTTTAGTTTAAGTTTGAATTTATTTAAACTTGGCCAGAACCAGCCATGGCTTGAAATGAGTCCAGAATTGGAATAAGGTGCTGTTTCTTTTTCTTTGACCTTCAGTCATGAACATTATGATACGGACTTTTCATCAAGTAAATTAACACTTATTAAGTAAATGAAGAACGCATTAAAATTTATCATTAATGTGTTAAAAATCTCAAGTGAAAGTAGATTTTGAGCTTTGGTTATGTGAAATACAATTTAGTAGGTAAAATTAGGACTAGCAGGTCCTGGGTGAAACTGAAGGTAAAGGGGCTCAGCTTTGACAGAACCTCTACTGCAGGCTCCAGCCGGTCCACTACAGGGCTGGTCCTAGGGGGTACCCAGTAAAACCACTGTGAACAAATGACAGAATAGCCAGGCTGTCTAATCACTTTGACAGCAACATCTTTACACAACACTTAAATTGTTTGGGAAGCCAAGTTCTAATTCTGAAACAATTATTACTTCTAACATGGTTCTCTACTTACCACATTGCACATTTGGAAAGTGTAGATTGTGAAATATTTTTATAATTCCTAATGGTAATAATTATATCAGTTTGTAAAGTCAGCAATATTGATAAGCAGCAGTACAAGTAAATACAATAATCACAGTTTGTTTTGCTTTGAAACTTAAATCTATTTAACACCTTCCCCTGTCTCTTGATCTTCATGTTCCCAGGGGATAGGGTCATTGTCCTGTACAGAAGGGACTGTGTCCCTCTCATGCCAAAACTGCTCTACGTCAGGAAGGATGGGAATCTCTGCCTTCTCAGTTTTCCCTTTGCCAGAGGAGGGAGAGCTGGGTTTCTCTTTTTCTGGTATGGATGCTGGGGATTCTGGAGATGGAACCTTGTCAGGAAGACCCTCTGAGTTGCCAGCTGGTGTTTCCTGAGACTCTGAGACAGTTGGAGGTTTTTTGGTTATCATCCATTTCCATACACCTTTCAAGCCTTCCCTGAACTCTTCCGACATCACAAGAAAAATGAGAGGATTTGCTGAAGAGATGGAAAACATCAAGACTTGAGACAGGGCTATGAAACCTTGTGGTGGGGCCGGGCCTGCAGCCTTCAGATGCCATACCCACAGCCAAGCTACCCATTCGGGGAGCCACAAGAGAGCAGAGATGATGGCAATGCTCAGCAGCATCACTGTGACTTGCTTTGAGCGTATCTGGTTTCTAAGATTTTGAGTCTTAGTTCCTCGTTTTTTACATTGGTCATAAGCTCTCCAGAAATAAAAGCTGGCAAAAAATAATGGAAGGCCAAATGCCAGGAGTGGGTAGAGCTTACCAAACATCGACATAAACTCTTCAGCCACAGCTGGTACATCCACGAGGCACATTTCCACACCTTCATGATGCCTGATGGTGCTAAAGAACCATTCCGGCAGGGGTAACAGGCTAGCCACAGTCCAGATGGCCACCAGCACTGACCAGATGGTGTAGTTGTGGATACTCACTTGCTTGGCTGGGTCACTTGCATACATGAAGCATACTTTGGCCACCACAACGATTGTCAGGCTCTTGGCTGCCATGCATGTGTGGATAAACCAGTCAGAGGACTTGCAGACAAACCAGCCTAGATCCCAAACACTTTTGGAGTACGCCGTAGCTCGGATAGGTGCAGAAAACAGCAGGAGGGAGAGATCAGCCAGGCTGAGATTCAGAATCAGGGAGTGGATCATGGATGGCTTTCCTTTCCAAGCATTGTGAAGGAGGATGCCAATCACACACAGGTTTCCCACGAAGCCCACCAGGCAGACAGCCACCAAGAGAGCCGGGATGATGGTTCTCCAGTCCTGGGAATCAGAGGGCAGGTACCCTCCGGCAAAGTGGAGGTGAGCAAAGGACACATTCATGCTGCTGGAGTTAGAGTCTGCAAAGGCAGCTGCCAGCATCACTCTTCACAGCTTCTTACAGAAGTTAGATTCTTATTTAGGTTTGTCTTTCTGCCTGGGCTCTTTTGCATAGGAAATAAGTACTCTGTCGTCAGTGTCAAATGACACTTCTGGATCCTCCCCTTGCTTATTTCCTGAGAGCAGAATGTGGAAGGAGGCTGGCTGTTAAGCTCTTCTCTGCTGCATACAATATACTTGTGACTGTACCGACTGTCAGATAGCAGGAGCACATGGCTGCTGCTCATTAGCAAGTCTAATACCAAATCGTCAGCCCTGTGGAGTAATACAAATATACCCATAAATGATGAATGAAGAGAACATACATGTAAGTGGCATGTGTTCCTTGGGGGGTCACTAGAGCCAGTCAAGGCAATTATTTTCAACCAGCTCTTCCTAAAATCTTGACTGCTGTCTGTAATTTAGTGAACACTACATCTGAACCAAGTTCTTTGAACTTCACCTGATGGCCGGATCCAGTGGGTCTGGAGTAGGGCCCAAGAAATCATTTCTAACAAGTTCCCATGAGACTCTGATGCTGCAGGTTGGGAGACCACACTTTGAGAACCACTGTTTTAAACTGAGAACTAAAGCTTCCCCTACCCACTCTGCAGAGATGAGCTTCCTCTTCTTTTCCCCAACCCTTACAACCACCTCAGTTCCATCAACAGCTGGCTGAGTTCAAACACAGCTGGATAATGAAAACAAGTTAGAAGTCCTATTAAAAAAATCTAATTATGGATGACTCTCAGTTTATTCTATTACGAGTTTTTAGAAGCAATTTTACAGCTCCAAATTAGAACTGCTTTACATACTAATAAGACTTTTCAACAAGTGATGGTGATGAAGGCAACTGCATGATGAATTAAGCTGCTTTTCAGAGAGCATTCCTAGAGGATTTACCAAGACAAGAGAAATGAAAGAAAAATCAATATCTATGTGGAAGGCATTTAAGAGATTTTTTTAAATTATATTTTAAAGTTGGTAAAGATTTTGTGCTGGGCACACTGGCTCATGCCTGTAATCCCAGAATTTGGGGAGGTGGAGGCGGGAGGATTGCTTAAGGCCAGAAGTTCGAGACCAGCCTGGGCAACAAAGTGAGACCCCTGCCCCCACCTCTACCAAACAAACAAGAAAAAAAAAAAAAAGAAAAAAAAAAAAGTCAGCCATGATGGTGTACACCTGTAGTCCTAGCTACTTAAGAGACTGAGGTGAGAGGGTTGCTTAAGCCCAGGAGTTCGAGGTTGCAGTGAGCTATGACTGTGCTGCTGCACTCCAACCTGAGTGACAGAGTGATCCTCTGTCTCTAGAAATAAAAAAATTCTCAGATAAGATGATTTGGTAGAACTAGCCCTGAAATTTTAAAATAAGCAATGGATACTCTGGGGGGATTAGAGGAGCTCAAAATGTTCAGAGAATGGGGTTTGTGGGGTTGATATGAAGATACATGCTACATTGAGTGTGGCTAGTCAGAAAAGCTAAAGCATGATATACAGGAGAGTATGCTGCTGCATTCAGATCTCTGGATTCTGGTACTGTGCTTTCACGTTTTTCGCAAGTAAAGAAGGGTCTGACGTTTTAAAATTCTTCAGTGTCCTAGAAAATAAATAAGTAGTGATCAGTATAGCTATTGGGACAGTGGTCAGTGGTGCTGGGTTCCTTTGTTTCCATTTCTATTTCCTTTTGCTTTCCTTCCTTTTACCTCTGGGAAGTAGTTGTTCCTATAGAACAGTAAATTGGGGCAACACCTTATTCCAGCAAGGCACAGTAACTCCCAGTAACTACTTAAGGATGAAATATCCTTGAGTCTCAACAAGCATCACTTTTGGGTGTGAAGAGGCCCGCAACGTCTTACAGGGAAGAAAATGGGGGAGGGAGCAGAGTGATGTTTTGCAGATTGTAGACTACAAGGAAGGTAGTTCACTTGATGTATGTGGAAGAGATTCATTCAGAACCAAGAAACAAATATACTGCTTCACACTGTGGCTTATATATTCAAGATTATGATATTCAAGCCTCCTGAAGCTGTATAAGATAAAAAGCTAAATGGGTTCAAGCCACCTTTAATACCATGGAAATTTGATTCTTAATAGACAATTGAGGGAAACTAAAGACTGTCATGTGGTACTTCCCAAGTCTATTGGTACTGACTCAGGGAAGCATCTCCTGGTGCTCCAGCTAGAGATAAAGTCTTTGGACTGAAGGATAATGAACTTTCTCCGCTCTTTTGGGGGAAATTTATTTTAACTTTTTATTTAAAAATAATTGCTTCTGGGCACGGTAGCTCACACCTGTAATCCCAGCACTTTGGGAGGCCAAGGCAGGTGGATCACCCGAGGTCAGGAGTTCAAGACAAGCCTGGCCAACATAGTGAAACCCCGTCGCTACTAAAAAATACAAAAATTAGCCAGGTGTGGTGGCACATGCCTGTAGTCTCAGCTACTCGGGAGGCTGAGGCGGGAGAATTGCTTGAATCTGGGAGGCTGAGGTTGCAGTGAGCCGAGATGGTCCCACTGCATTCCAGCCTGGGTGACAAAGAGAGACTCTGTCTTAAAAAATAAAAAAATAAAAATAATTGCAAATGTATAGAGAAAAAATGCAAGAAGAGCACAAAGAATTGCCCTATATACTTCATCTGAGTTCACCGATTAATTATTTATTGAGACACAGTCTCACTTTGTCACCCCAGGCTGGAGTGCAGTAGCGCACTCTTGGCTCACTGCAAGCTCTGCCTCCTGGGTTCATGCCATTCTCCTGCCTCAGCCTCCTGAGTAGCTGGGACTACAGGTGCCCGCCACCATGCCTGGCTAAATTTTTTTTTATATTTTTAGTAGAGACGGGGTTTCACCGTGTTAGCCGGGATGGTCTCGATCTCCTGATCTCGTGATCCGCCCGCCTCGGCCTCCCAAAGTGCTGGAATTACTGGCTTGAGCCACTGCGCCCGGCTGAAAATTTCAACATGTGATTTTGGAGGGCACATAAAGATTCAGACCATACTACCCAAGTTTCACATTTTACTTTGAATATTAGCCCTTGTATATCTGAGTATCTGATGGATGTTATATGTGGCTTGTATCTACATTTTCTTCATTTTAAAATTATTTCCGTATAAAGGATAAATGTAATTAGCAAACATAAAAGAAGTCTTTATTTGCATTATAAGTGGAAGTTATTTGAATCTTTGTTTATAGCATATTCACTTAAAACATAGAATTCAGTTGTAGATGTGGTGAACATTTGTCAGGTTTCCTTATTTTTATTTATTTTGGGGAGGTGCCTAGTATATGAACCTCTCCTGTTGGATAGAAGGGATTCTGGGGAAAAATGATATGGATGGGGTGGATAGAGCAGAACAATTAAAAACAATTGAGAATTATTTGAGATGGAAACTGGAAACAACCTCATCCCCACAAAATGCTGGAAACAACCCAAATGTTTATCAGCTGGTCAATAGATAAACAAGTGGCTACCTTCATGCCATGGAACATTATTCAGCAATAAAAATGAATGATAAATTCAACAATATGGATGAAAAAAAGCACTATGCTAAATAAAAACATCCAGACCAAAAAAAAAAATACCTACAGTAAGATTCCATTAATAGGAAATGTCCAGAAAAGGCAAATCTATAGAAACAGGAAGTAGAATAGTGGTTCCCTGGGTCCCGAGGTGTGAAAGGGGAGTGACCGCAAATAGGCACAGAGGATATGTTTGGGGTGATGAAAATGTTCTATGATTGCATTTTATGGTATGCAAATTATACCTCAATAAAAGCTCTTTTCAAGAAAGGAGTTATTTGGGATGGAGAAAAGGTAAAGAGCAGATTTCCCTGCTCTTGAAATGCTGAGTAGCCTCCAGCAGAATGGATATTCTATTCTGAGACTTTTAAATTTATTTTTATTTTTATTTTTTCTGAGGGCTCTGTCGCCCAGGCTGGAGTGCAGTGGCACGATCTCAGCTCACTGCAACCTCAGCCTCTTGAGTAGCTGGGTCTACAGGTGCCCGCCACCATGCCTGGCTAATTTTTTTGTATTTTTAGTAGAGATGGGGTTTCGCCATGTTGACCAGGCTGGTCTCAAACTCTGACCAAAAGCAATCCACCCACCTCGGCCTCCCAAAGTGCTGGGATTACAGGCATGAGCCACAACAGCCTATTCTGACTGATTTAAAAAAATAGTTTATGAAGAAAGAGACTGTGGCCTAGAGGGACCAAGCGAAAGGACAGTGCTGGGTGAGAAAGGATATGAGGGGAGCAGGGAGAAAGGGAGACTCAGAACGTAGAGACACAAAATTTGCTGGGTCCCTCTGATGCCTAGTGTCCCTGGCTTTAAATGGTCTTTCAGAAAAGCCTTCTCTAATTCCACACTTAAGCTAAGGCTGTAGCCACAGAGCAGCTGCCAACCCCAAATGCGTCAGCTGTGTCACTTTCCTGACACACACACCACTCATAGTGATGTTGCCAGGAGGTTGGCTCTGGACATTGAGAAGCAGTCATCAAACAACTGAACATCTGAGCTGTAGGCATATATATATATATATATATATATATATATATATATATATATATATATGTACACACACACACACACACACACACACACACACACAATTCTGCTTTATATGTAAGTTACAGGGGACCTCATTCAGCTTAATCTTCAAAAGAACCCAGAAAAAGCAAGTTTGTGGCCAGACTTTTAAGTGGCTTCTGGTCAAAACAGGGCTAAGAGTGACCTCTTACTGGGGCTGGGCAAAGTTTACCCTGTAGCTTATTTCCAGAGAAGGGGTAATAACAATGGCAGTCATTTACTGAGTGAGTCATAAGCTCCACCTACTGAGCTAAGCATTCCAGGCACTTGGACCTTCATGACAACTCCTGGAGATGGGTACGACGACCCCAATTTACAGATGATGACATGGAAGCATAAAGAAATGCAGTATCTTGCCTGTGGGTCTGTAGATCATATAGGTAGTAGATGACAGAGTTGGGATGGAAACCTCTGGAAGTCTGACCCCAGAGCTGTTCTCCCAGGGGTTTCCATCCCAACTCTGTCATTTACTACCTGTGTGATCTCTTCCATGATCCCACCCCACCAAAGAAGCTGTGGGAAGTACTGTTCTTTAAGCAATGCAGTTCTCAAATTAGTATAGTTTAGTTCAATAAGCATTTATTGAGCCTTTGACACTGAGAATATAAAGTGCATGTACCTCCTTTCCTAACGTGAATGCTTACTGAGCTATTTTCTCTGTGCCAGGCACGATGCTAGACTCTGGGAGCCCAGGATCATAAAGGGTCCCTTTATTTGAGGAGCTACAATCTAGTGGGAGAGATGAATAAACAAATAAGACATTTCAATGACAGCTAGATTGTCATTGAAGAGTACTGGCTGCTGTGGATGCCTGGAAGAGGGACGCCTGGTCCAAACCAGGAGCTGGGTCTGGTGGAAGGGTCAGGCAAGGGCTCCCTGTTAGAAAAGATATCTAAGCTGAGGCCTTAGTCATGCACCCGCTTACTCATCTCTGCCAGAGCCTTTTGAAGCTTATCATTGTTGTGTACTCAGTACCCCTGTATTAGACGCACCAGAAAACAGCTATTGCTTATCAGAGGAGTTAGCGTTGTTTATTTCAGGGCTTTGAGAGTTAACCTCTTTGTCTACCTATAAGTTTTCAGGCTCTGAACATTGCAGGTGAAGCTCCTGGTGAAACAGAGTGGATTCAGCTGGGCTTTGCCAACCAGCTGCAGTTGGCTAGCAGGTTGAAGTGTTTGAAGAGCGTGCCTCAGCTCCCTCTGTGGACGCTGCACGAGTGAGCCCTCAGCTTTGCAGTTCTGCACCAGTTTCACTCCTACACGCAATGTTGGAAAGGCCATAATACACAGTCAGTGTTGCTTTCTTTTCAGACTGCTTTGCTTTGCTGAGGCTTCCTTTCTCTAGTCCCCAGGTTGTGCTCCTTTTTGGACTACAGTTATTTTGTTTTTGTGGAATATCTTTGGCTGTGGGACCTTCCTGAGTGACATGTCCAGGATTTAGTGTCTGGTGTCCTGGAGTGTTGTTCCAGAATACAGGTGCAAGCCAAGTGATCTTCATCTCTAAGGTAAGTGTCTGCATAGGTGTGGCGGGGTCTGAGTGGCTACTCCTACAAGAGACCTCCCTCCTACTTTTGCTGTTGGTTATGTAGCCCTGAAGTCCTGCTGTAGGAAAGATGATGGAAGAAGATTGATTGTGCCGTTAGTTACACAGTGGTCATCAACTCTGGAGATGTAGATTATAATTTTATCATGTTATTTAATTGATAAGCCATTTATTATTGATATGCTTATGTTTTCAGACTTGATGGTCACCCTGTATATTCTTTTTTTTTTTTTTTTTTTTTTTTGAGACGGAGTCTCGCTCTGTCGCCCAGGCCGGACTGCGGACTGCAGAGGCGCAATCTCGGCTCACTGCAAGCTCCGCTTCCCGGGTTCACGCCATTCTCCTGCCTCAGCCTCCCGAGTAGCTGGGACTACAGGCGCCCGCCACCGCGCCCGGCTAATTTTTTTGTATTTTTAGTAGAGACGGGGTTTCACCTTGTTAGCCAGGATGGTCTCGATCTCCTGACCTCATGATCCACCCGCCTCGGCCTCCCAAAGTGCTGGGATTACAGGCGTGAGCCACCGCGCCAGGCCCACCCTGTATATTCTAAATCCCACAGAACTGGGTTTGTGAGAGCCAGGTGCTGGGAATTGGGAGATCTGAACCCTATTTCCAAGAAATGAGACTGTTATATCAGAAAGAGGCTCTTTTGAATGATCTGGGCCAAACTTTTCTTTTCCACATGTGGAGACAGATGCTCTGAATGTGTGCGTGACTTGTCCCATGTCAGCAAGGCACAGGCTGGTGTCCAGGAATCTCAGCTGCCAGGTGGATGCATCTTCCTCTCTACCCTGTCCTGCACTTTTTTCTGCCAGGTGTGTTTTTTTTTGGTGGTGGTGGTGGGGGGTCTATGTTAATAACTGCTCATTTAGACTTCATGGAGAACAAAATTTGGACATAGATGCGATGGCTCTTCGGAAAGCAAAAGGATGGTAGGAACATAAGGAGATGACTGTATTGTGTCAGCTTAGGTAGAACTTTCTTTTCTTGAAAAAATCCTTCATAGTCATATCCAAACACAACTGTGGTTGATATTTTGATGCACTGCATTCTTTTAACTCCCCCTTTTCATCCCAAGAGTTTGTTTTTTTTAAAGTTGTTGTAATAAAATAATAATTGCAGCTATGATTTTTGTTACTATGCAATGAAGGGCCCTAGTCAGCCAAAAAGACCCTAGAGAGCTAGTGGGGATTGATTTCCTCCACCAAGAAGATGACATGGTTCCCTAAAAAGGAGTATATTGTTTTAAAAGAACAGAGACTTTTCAGCAAGTAAAGTGCTAAGATACGGGCCCAGGATGGTTAAAATCTACTTTAGACATCATAAGCCCGTTCCTGGCTACAGGTGTTTTGTTTTTGTAGCGTATTGCCTGCTTTAAGTTCTTACTAAATGACATGTTCTTTTATTTAGGGAAAAACCTAGTTGTTAAAAAACAATAAAAATTCCATTGTCATGACAACCTTGTACAGTGAATTTTGTCATGTTCTTTTGTTTGAAAAACAGCTTTATTGTGATATAATTAATATACCACACAGTTTACCCATTTAAAGTGTACAATTCAAGGTTTTTGGTATACTACTATTTTCATACCTTGCCCACCCTGTGGGGCCGGTGTGATTGTGATGCTCTCTTCAGCACCAACGAGAGTGGTTTCCATGACTACAGAATCCAGCAGGTGGAATGGCATCTTCACACATGTTGCAGACATCCTAGGACCAGATGAGCTGGGGAAGGAATACACAGTATTCCAGTTCCAACTCTAACTTCATAGCTTGGCGGCATGTTAAGAAAGGAGCTCCATTGCCTTCCTTGGGCCCCAAACTTTGCCTGCCTTAAGTGCAAAAATGCTTCTGAAAAGAGAGCGTCTCTGTGAAGGGGAGTAATAGTAAAACAGGATTTTAGCTGTCATGTGAGAAGCTGATGAGAATTTGTAGACCAGCGAGTCTTAGTCTTTGGTAGAAATATCTGGAGTGTTGGTTAGTCTGACAGTCTCCTCTAAAGATAAATGTCCAAACTGAAGACTCTTCAATCATTCAACAAGAATCTATGAAGCCATTCTAGAAGTTATGGAAAAATCAAAGATGTGGGACTAAGGTCCTGTCAAGTCTTCAAACCCACTCTGGGGAGACAGGATGGGCTTTGGTGAAATTGTCATCTGTCATGTTACATAGGAGGATATGATTAGAAATGTTGTAAAGCAAGTACCAAATTCATGTCATGGGCCAGAGGTGTTCTTTCTTTAATTGTGAAAAATTTTTTTCAGACCACATCTCAGGCAAAAGTCCAGTGTCTGCAATATATAAAAGGAGAGCTATATGGTTTGAAGCAAGCGTTGGAGTGGAATCATGATCCCATTTTCCAAAGCTCCCTCACTTACTGTTGTGGCCCTTGAGGAACCTCCCTGAAATGAATTAATATTAACATATTAATGGTATATGAATCACTGATAGAGTCTAGAAGGAGGTTTAAAAGCTCAGAAGCAGGAGTTTATGAATTGGTCAGGGAAGGCTACATGGGAAAGGTGAGATGTGATACCTCTCAGATATCTCTGCATATTTTCAAGTACAATTTATATACATACATAATTTTGGAAAGATCCTATTAGATGCCATTGAAAATTTGATTTTCTTCTTCATATTTTGTCATAAATAACTTTCTGTGTTATCAATATAGATCTACATCTTTCAAATGGCTGTTGAGAATTCTCTTTTATAAGGGACAGAGTATAGGCTGGGGAAGAAGGGGCATGCTTTAGGATCTCATGTCTACTCAGAACCAGCCTCAGCAATTATTTTGTCAAAAGAGCTATCCTTGCCTGTAAACACCAATGACACTGGAGACCATTCAATTGGCTTTAAAACTTGCTATAGCTTTTACATTTTCTACATATGTGGGCACAGGAGCTACATGGAGAGTTGAATCATGTTCAGGCTTTGAATTATTTGCATAATCTAGTTCAAGCTCTTTTCTTACCCAGTCTTAAGCAAGTGATAAATATGACAGCATGTACTCTTGGGCAAGGAACCGTCAGTAGGTCTTCAGCAGTCTCTTAAAATTATTGTTGCTGGCTTTTTTTCTTTGTGTTAGAATATATATATATAAAAAGGTAACTATGTGAGTTGATATGTTAATTAGTTTGATAGTGGTAACCATTTCACAATGTATAATATATGTATAGTCTGGTTTCTGTATCCATGGGTTCCTTATATGTAGATTCAACTAACCATGGGTTGAAAATATAAAAAAAAAACCTGTCTGTACTGAACATGTACAGACTTATTGTCAGTATTTCCTAAAACAGTATAACAACTATTTACATAGTATTTACATTGCATTGGTTATTACAAGTAATCTGTAGATGATTTAAAGTATACAGGAGGATATGCATAAGTTGTATATAAATACTATTAGGTTGGCACTTTTGTACCAACCTAATAGATACCATTTTATATCAGGGACTTGAGCATCCTCAGATTTTGGTGTCTGAGGGAGGTCCTGGAACAAATCCCCAGCGGGTACTTAGGGATGGATGTATATTAAAACATTATTTTGTACACTTTTAATAGATACAATTTTTGTCAATTATGCCTTCATAGAACTGAAAGCAAAGATTTAAAAATTATTATTGATGTAGTTCAAATAGTAATCATAAATACCCTGCCCTTAAGGAGGGCTTACTAAGTACCAGGTCCTTTGTATACCATTCACACAAACTCTAGGATTTAAACACTTTCACTGTGTCCATTTTCTAGATGAAAAGAAGTAAATGCAGTAACTGGTTCCAGGTCATATGGCCTGCAAGTGATAGGCCTGGAATTTAATTCCAGGCAGTCTAGTTTTGGCATTTAAAGCACTAACTTGTCTCCAAAATAGGATTTCTTTCTAATAAGTGTAATACTAGTGAATGAGTTATCCAAGGGAGGTATGAGATCAGCTGCTGCTGACTGGCAGAAATGTATATAATAGGATGCTGTCTGCATTTCTCATATAGAGTGGTTATTTCACTGGTTGTGCTGATTACAACCCAGACATTTCCTTTGAGTCTCCTCTCATCTGCAGCCTTATTTACTGTAAAAATAGTAGTTTGGGACCAGGCGCGGTGGCTCACACCTGTAATTCCAGCACTTTGGGAGGCCAAGGCAGGCAGATCATGAGGTCAGGAGATCAAGACCATCCTGGCCAACATGGTCAAACCCTGTCTCTACTAAAAATATAAAAATTAGTCGGGCGTGGTGGCACATGCCTGTAAGCCCAGCTACTTGGGAGCCTGAGGCAGGAGAATCACTTGAACGTGGGAGTCGGAGGTTGCACTGAGCCAAGATCGCACCACTGCACTCAAGTCTGGTGACAGAGCAAGACTCTGTCTCAAAAACAAAAAAACAAAACAAAAATAGTAGTTTGGTAAATAATCTTCCATAGATCTCTTTTAAAAAAAATTTTTTTTGAGACGGAGTCTCACTCTGTTGCCCAGGCTGGAGTGCAATGGCATCATCTCAGCTCACTGCAATCTCCACCTTTTGGGTTCAAGTGATTCTCCTGCCTCAGCCTCCAAGTAGCAGGGATTATAGGCATGTGCCACCACACACAGCTACTTTTTGTATTTTTATTAGAGACAGGGTTTTGGCATGTTAGCCGGGCTGGTCTCGAACTCTGGGCTCAAGTGTCCTCTTTGGCTTCCCAAAGTGCTGGGATTACAAGGGTGAGCTACCACACCTGGCCTAGATATCTTTCTGCATGCTTATAAATACATTATTATACACATGTTTATAATTTTTGAATGAGATTCTACTACATTTCATTATAAATTTGTTTCTACAAACAGCCTTCCTTCTTTTCATTAAGTTCCACCCTTCCTTGCTTGGAATAAATGGACCAAGGAAGCTATTTTAATGAAATTTTAAGCGATTCAGTGAAAATATTTGGTTTTCAAGCTTCTTTTAAAATTTTTATGTATTTAGTTCTTCAACTGTTTATAGTGGAATTACAGCAAAATCTGAATTTAATTAAGATATAAAGAGATAGGGCAGTGTGAAAAGCATTTTGCTTCTCTTGATCTAATAAAAAAATCTCTTCAAAATGCCCTAGTTCACTTTACTTAGTTATCTTTCTTTAACCTATTGAATACCCTCTGCTGTAGGGTCATCATTCTGAAGGTGACTGTCACCTTACAGGTTATGCAGGGGAACTTCGATGCCAGTTCATGCCTGTAACTTGTGTGTAGTAGTTGTGTAATTTGTGTACAGTAGCTATGGCTACTGTAACAAAGTGACACAAATTGGGTGGCTTAGAAAACACACATCGTCTCACAGTTCTGGAGGCTAAAGTCCAAGATGAAGGTGTCATAAGTTTGGTTCCCTCGGAGGGCTGCGGGGGTGTGCCTGCTCCATGCCTCTCGTCTAGCTTCTGGGGGTTGCTGGCAATCTTTGGTGCTCCCTGGCTTGTAGATGCATCACCCCAATCTCCACTTTCATCTTTACATGAAAGCAAGATTTTACTTTACATGGCATTCTCACTGTTTCCAAATTTCCCCTTTTTATAAGAATACCAATTATATGGGACTAGGATCCACCCAGTGACCTCATTTTAACTTGATCACCTCTGTAAATACCGTATCTTCAAATAAGGTCATGTTCTGAGATATTGGGAGTTAGGATTTCAACATAGGAATTTTTAGGGGAACATAATTTGATCTATAACATTGTGTTTTAGAATGAAGCTGAGTCACTTGGTGATGTCCCTGTTTCTTGTAAAAGGCAAGTCAAGGCAGGGAGAGAGGGAAGATATTTGATGAATCAGATAAATCAAGGTTTTAGATTTTTCTATTATTAACACAGTGGAAGCAATGGAAGTCTGAGGTATGGCTCACGAAGAGTTCATAATCTATACAGGTAAAAGGAAGCCATTGATTGTACGAGGTAGTGTAGTTGAAGATGTCTGCAAACTTTCAAGTGTCAGACATATGCATAATTAATGACTGCCAATGTTTTGTGCATTTGCAAGGAATATGACAATTATCATGAATAAAACGAGGGATCCATTCAGCCCCAAATCCTCATTAGTGCTCATACAGTATGTATAACTTTGCATTCTCATTTATTTGTATTTTCCTCATTTCTAGTCATTTAAAATAATATGTTCATGTAATTGCACAATTCCACAGCTCTACTGAGATGCTGCTGCCGAGTCTGAACCGTTGATTAGTGGGCACTGCCCCCTTGTGATAACTGAAAATGCTGATTGTTCAGCTGATGGAGAAAAACTGAATTTGGTGTTCGGAGGGCAGTTTGTGGTCACAGTGAGTAGCATATAAAAGTAGAGGTTGAGAGAAAGCTAGGGACTGTAATTGAATGGGACATGGATGGAGCTATTGAAAAATATTTTTCCTGTAATCCCAGCACTTTGGGAGGCTGAGGTGGGTGGATCATGAGATCAGGAGATCGAGACCATCCTGGCTAACACGGTCAAACCCCTTCTCTACTAAAAATACAAAAAATTAGTCAGGCATGGTGGCGGGTGCCTGTAGTCCCAGCTACTCGGGAGGCTGAGGCAGGAGAATGGTGTGAACCTGGGAGTGAGCCAAGATAGCGCCACTGCACTCCAGCCTGGGCGGCAGAGCGAGACTCCATCTCAAAAAAAAAAAAAAAATGGAAAATATTTTTAATTAGCATAAGCATATTTGAGTATTATAGGCAGAGGAAAATGAACACATAGATAAAAAATGATTCAGGATGTCTGTGAGAGAGGAGGTGTACAACCCTCTCCTAAATTGTGGTTTCAGAACCAGTGGCGTCCGCACTGCTTGGACACTTGTTAGAAATGCAGAATCCCAGGCCCCACCCAAGACCTCCTGAATCAGAATCTGAATTTCACAAAAACTTCAGCCGATTCATCTCCCTGGCAAAGTGTGAGATTCTCTGGTGCACAGCAGAGCGGAAGTGTTTGGCACATGGACCTTAGACTTATTGGGTTGGAATCCCAGCTCTGCCACTGACTAGAGTGTGGGAATTTACACACTCTATTTGGGAAGTTACATTTTTGGGCCTCAGTTTCCTCAGCTACAAGTGAGGAATGATATTAATACATTTCTCATGGGATTCTTGTAAGGCCACCATCACCACTGCCATCACCATCATTGCTAATGTTTAATGAGGGTTTACCACATTTCAGGCAATGCTGAAGCACCGTTCATGAATTCATTAGTGAGATCACGAAGGATAAACACCTGCCAAATGGTACGCGCTCATCAACTGTTAAAAACTGACATTTTTGAAACAGACAGGAGACAGGCGAATACTGGGTAGAAGAGGGCAGTTCCCTGGCAAACACCTCACTCTCAAGCATGGAAACCTGCAACCTTAATGGGAACAGGCATTCCTGATTTTGTGCCCAAAAGTTGCCTTTTGGCCTGCCACACCCCACCCCATCCTGTACCCATATAAACCCCAAACTCCAGGCTCCACAAGCAGATGAGGAGATGAACAGGGGAATGGCAGAACAGCGTGCAAGAGAAAAGAGAAGGAATGTCTGAACACTGAGAGGAGTTTGGCCGGGGACGGTCAGAGAGGAGATCAGCCGCTGGATGGCCAAACGTCAGGGGAAGATCATCTTCCCACTCCATCCCCCTTCCAGTTCCCCATCCATCCCAATGAGAGCCACCTTCACCATTCAGTAAAACTTCCACATTCATCCTGCAAGTCCATGTGCGACCTGATTCTTCCTGGATGCCAGACAAGGACCTGGGTACCAAGAGGCACTGAGCTGTTTAACACTTAAGCCGTCCATGGATGGCAAGGCTAAACTGTAACAAAAGCCAGGCCCACTTGGGCTTTGGGAGTTGCAGTCACCCACCCCTAGATGCTACCATGGGGCCAGAGCCCAGGGGCACTCACTCTGGCTCCTGCACCTGCCGATCTGTGTGCTTCCCCTCCTGTAAGGGATTTGAGCCCACAAGCCACACCCCTGTCACATGTCCTGCAAGAGGGGTTGGGGAGTTCTCCTGTTTCACTTTTGGTTATTATAATCACTATAAAGCATGGTGTTTGAGCAAGTATATTGGAATGGACTATCTCAACTGAAGAACTAAAGACTGTGGCTTTGGCAAGTGGAGGCAGGATATTGAGGCCTGCTGGGAGTAGTAGTTTGGAGGGCTGAATTCTGAACCCCGGACCCACTATTTGGATTATTGATTATCGCAGAAAGGATGCTTTCTAATGAAATCAATTTTCAGAGAGCTTGCATAATCTAGAAAAGAACAAGAAAAACTGTTTAAAATTGTGGTTCTCAAATATTTTGGCCTTTGGACCCCTTTACACTCTTAAAAATTATTGAGGATCCCAAAGAGCTTTTGTTTATGTGAGTTATATGTATTAATATTTACCTTATTAGAACCTAAAGCTGAGGAAAATTTAAAATATTAACTGATTTTAAAACAATAGTATCCAACCCATTACATGTTAATATAAGTAATACTTTCATTAGAAAGAACTACACTTCCTAAAACAAAAACATTTAGTAAGAAGAGTGAAATTGTTTTATGTTTTTGCAGATCTCATTAACATCTGGCTTGACAGAATGGAGCTAGATTCTCTTATCTGCTTTTGCATTCAATCTGTTGCAATATCACATATCATGTATCCTCTAGAAAACTCTACTCTACGCTCATGAGAATGAAAAAGGCAAATAACATTTTAGTATTATTAGAAAATGGTTTTGGCCAGGCACGGTGGCTCATGTCTGTAATCCCAGCACTTTGGGAGGCTGAGGTGGGCAGATCACCTGAGGTCAGGAGTTTGAGATGAGCCTGGCCAACATGGTGGAATCCCATCTCTACTAAAAAATACAAAAATTAGCCGGGCATGGTGATGTGTGTCTGTAATCCCAGCTACTCAGGAGGCTGAGGCAGGAGGATTGCTTGAGCCCAGGAGGCGAAGGTTGCAGTGAGCCGAGATTGTGCCACTGCACTCCAGGCTGGGAGACAGAGCGAGACTCTGCCTCAAAAAAAAAAAAAAGAAAATGGTTTTGATCTTGTGGTCTCCTGAAATGGTCTCAGGGACTCCCAGAAAACTAGGAGTTTAAAAGATTAAAGCACCCTCATTGTAAGCAAACATATGTGTAGTTGAAGACAAACAATCTATTCTTTTACATTAATTAAATGCTTACTGGGACAGACCTCTGCTGGGATTCCAAGTTGTATTTGAGTGAAACAGAATTTCTGGAAGAAGGGTAATTCTCAGTTTTCGTGAATTCAGCTTGTTCTTATCCACTGTGGGGTTTACCATGCCACCACAGGAGTCTTTGATTAGGGTGCACTTGACAATTGCCTTTCGATTTCCAGTTCAGCTACAGAAAATTTGCTTGGCTTTTTGGTTTCTTTGGCTATTCCTGCTGCTCGTTGGGAATGTGGTGATTAGCTTGCAGGGTATGATCAAAGCATTGATTAACTTTCGTGTCATGTTTTATCTTCTAGAGAGAAGACGATGGTAGTGAAAAATAGACCAGAAATCTCTCTCATTGAATATTTGTCTCTCAAAATACAGCTTTCAAAGAGTATTAAGGTGGAGTGGGCTATAAAATCTTTGCATGCAGATTGGGAATGCCCTATGAGGTGGTGATTCCTCCCTGCTTGAAGAGTTGTACTTCGCAGTAACTCAGTGACAAAGAGCCTCCTGTTTTGTTTTGGCCCCTGCAATGACTATTGTGAGCACCATGCTCTGACAAGAAGTTTAACACCACAAGCTTTGGGATGGCTAAATGCAGTGTAGCTCATGAAAACTTTGGGACCAAATTAATATGCTTTAATTTGGAAAATATGTATTGGGAAATTATTTAATACATAAAATATTTTTGGGAAAGATTAAAGCTTTGTTATGTAAATAAAGCAATCCTGAATTCTCACAAATTTAAAGTATAACCTGGGGGTGGTGGTTTGTGCCTGTAATCTCAGCTACTCTGGAGGCCAAAGCAGGAAAATTATTTAAAGCCAGGAGTTTGAGACTGGCCTGGGCAATATAGTGAGACCCCATCTTAAAAAATTATTTTTATATATATAGAGAAATACATAAATTTACGTCTATTATATATATATCTATATATGTCTATATCTATGTATATATATATAGATATAAATTAGCTTGGCGTGATGGCGCACGCTTGTAGTCCCAGCTACTTGGGAAGCTGAGATGGGAGGATTGTTCGAGCCCTGAAGTTTCAGGCTGCAGTGAACTGTGATCGTGCCACTGAAATCCAGCCCGGGCAACAGAGATTGAGACCCCCCCTCTGTCCCAACCCCCTCAGAAAATCCAAAGTATAATAACAGAGAATTTTTTATTTGATATTTGGTATCCCCATTCACTTTTTTTTTTTTTTTTTGAGATAGAGTCTCACACTGTTGCCTGGGCTGGACTGTGGAGTGCGATCTTGGCTCACTGCAACTGCCACCTCCCAGGTTCAAGCGATTCTCTTTGCCTCAACCTCTCAAGTAGCTGGGATTACAGGTGCTCACCACCAGGCCTGGCTAATTGTGTGTGTGTGTGTGTGTGTGTGTGTGTGTGTGTGTTTAGTAGAGACGGGGTTTCCCTATGTTAGCCCTGCTGGTCTCAAACTCCTGACCTTATGATCTGCCCGCCTCGGCCTCCCAAAGTGCTGGGATTACAGGCGTGACCACTGCACCTGGCCTCCCCATTCATTTTTAAGTGATGGCCTGTTAAGGTCAAATTTAGTCTTTCTCTCTCTCTCTCTCTCTCTCTCTCTCTTTCTTTTCTTTCTTTCTGACAGAGTCTTGCTCTGTCACCCAGGCTGGAGTACAGTGGCATGATCTTGGCTCACTGCATCCTCTGCTTCCCGGGTTCAAGTGATTCCTGCCTCAGCCTCCCGAGTAGCTAGATTTACAGGCATCCACTACCATGCCTGGCTAACTTTTGTATTTTTAGTAGAGACTGGGTTTTGCCATGTTGGCCAGGCTGGTCTCCAACTCCTGACCTCAAGTGATCCGCCTGCCTCCATCTCCCAAAGTGCTGGGATTACAGGCGTGAGCCACCATACCCGGCCTAGTTTACATTTCTTGAATACATATCATCTTATGCTGGAAGGTCAGGAATATGGATAAAGAGAACTTTGATTTTTAGTGGCTGATCTAGTTGCAGGTGATAACAGGCCTCAATAATTTGGTAGTTTTCTACAGTTGCACAGATTTGGCCAACAGAGGGCGGCAGAGTCCAGTACCTTGAGAGCACAAATGCTGTGTAACCTGTGTGACTTCCGTGCTTAGCTGGTGTGGGTGGTGGAGACCTTAGTGAACTGGAGAGGAGATCTCAGATCTTGAGAGGACTGGCTTGCATTTGATTCTAGCTGATAGTTGCCTGTGGAGAGAAAACCCTAGTGTTGCAGGCTCGGGGCTTATGATTTTTCAAGAGATGAAAACATTCCAGAGTTCTCAGTGAAATTTTCTGATTTAAAAATGTTGCTCAGGGAGGGAGAGCATTAGGACAAATACCTAATGCACGCAGGGATTAAAACCTAGATGACAGGTTGATAGGTGCAGCAAACCATCATGGCACATGTATACCTATGTAACAAACCTGCACGTTCTGCACATGTATCCCAGAACTTAAAATGAAAAAAAAAAAAAAAGAAAAATATATATGCATTAAAGAAGATAGATTATTAAAAAAAGTTGCTCAATTTCTTTTAAAGCATTGCTTGGGGAAAAGAAAAATAAAAGCTGCCAGTGCGTTGAATTTGACCTATGGTCTTCCCAGCCCTATAGTATCCTAGGAATGTGATTGACAGCCCAGACTTTTTTGTCTCTTTATATAAAAGGACATTTCCATAGCATTTCCTCAAAAGGGAGGAGAGGGGAATACTACAGAAAACAAAGGTAGAGCTGCTTTAACATTTCAGGGGAAATTCATGCAGTCTCCACTGGGAGGAAAATTTCAAGGTGTTAAGAAATTTTTGGTTTGGAATCCTGAAGTATAATAGAAGTTGACCTGTTAGACAAGAATTTTCCTCCAAATAATAAATTACTTTTTGAGCATTTATTATAAAACCATCACTTTTCCTACTGCTGTGGGCAGGACCACACACTCCAGGTTTTGTGGGATTGGTTGACTTTTAAATATTCTGTCATGTTTCCCTGTAACCACTTCCACACTTGTCAGTATGGTTTCTTGACTTTTGATTTGGGTACTATAGTGACCCTCTGGCTATACTCAGGGTTTGCTTTCAATTCCTGCTGCAGCTGCCTCCTAATAGGCCTATCTGCCTGGACACTGGCCTCCCTCAAGATTGTCCTTTCTCACCACACAGAAACCACAGCCATTTTTTCAAAACTCAGATTGGATCAAGTCTTTCCTACTTCAGTGTTCTTCCCTTTCACTCTTAAAATCCTTCAGTGGCTTCTTATCACACATTAGGTTAAAGATACATAGCTTGAGCTGGGCATGGTGGCTCACGCCTGTAATCACAGCACTTTAGGAGGCCAAGGTGGGTGGATCACGGGGTCAAGAGATCAGAACCAGCCTGGCCATCATGGTGAATCTACTAAAAATACAAAAATTAGTTGGGCGTGGTGGCGCATGCCTGTAGTCCCAGCTGTTTGGGAGGCTGAGACAGGAGAATTGCTTGAACCCAGGAGGCAGAGGTTGTAGTGAGCCGAGATTGCACCACTGCACTGCAGCCTGGTGCCAGAGTGAGACTCTGTCTCAAAAAAAAAAAAAAAAAAAAAAAGTGCCTGGGAGGCTGTGGTGGATGGATCACGAGGTCAGGAGTTTGAGACAAGCCTGGCCAACACAGTGAAACCGTGTCTCTACTAAAAATACAAAAATTAGCTGGGTGTGGTGGTGGGTGCCTGTAATCCCAGCTACTCGGGAGGTTGAGGCAGGAGAATCACTTGAACCCGGGAGGCGGAGGTTGCAGTGAGCCGAGATCGCACC
The DNA here is from genome assembly GCF_000001405.40 of Homo sapiens. NCBI lineage: Eukaryota > Metazoa > Chordata > Mammalia > Primates > Hominidae > Homo > Homo sapiens. Next base: position 146,535,171 of record NC_000005.10, read on the forward strand.
ATTGCACTCCAGCCGGGGTGACAAGAGTGAGACTCTGTCTCCAAAAAATAAAAAGATAGATAGCTTGGCCCGTGCCTCTTCCTCCTGATTTTTTCATCTTTCACTCCAGCCACCTTGGCCTTGTGTTTACCATGTTTTCTTCCACCTGGGAGCTTTGGAGCAAAATTATTTTAGGTGCCCTCCTCCTCCCAATAGTGCTTTGATTAAGGTTATACAGGCAAAAAGCTTCCAAGGTACATGATGAGAAAATTGAGTGAAGATGATGTTGACAAAGGTGTTTTTGAGTTAGGATTATTCTTTATCATTTATTTAGAGCCATGAGGGAAAAGGTAGAGAATAGTGACAAACCAGGCACTATAAAATTGGAGTTAAATCTGTGCTGATTATCTTATCAACATAAAGTTGAATTTTTTTTTTTTTTTTGAGACAGGCTCTTGCTCTGTTGCCCAAGCTGGAGTGCAGTGGTGCAATCATGGCTCACTGCAGCCTCGACTTCCTGGGCTCAAGTGAACCTCCCACTTCAGCCTTCTGAGTAGCTGGTAGTACAGGCATGCACCACCATGCCTGGCTAATTTTTTAATATTTTTGTAGAGACAGAGGTCTCCCTGTGTTGCCCAGGCTGGTTTCAAACACTTGGGCTCAAGCAATCATCATGCCTTGGCCTCCCAAAGTGTTGGGATTATAGAGATGAGCCACCATGCCCAACCTAAAGTCAAATTTCTAAGTGCTCTCTTAAAAAGAGCAAAAACACTTTCCTGTATATTCAGTGGTTGGTTTTGATAGTTACCTTCCAAGGATTGTGGGCCTGCAACTTTGAAACTACTAATATATAAGGAAAACATCATTTGTTAACATGTTTGTTGAAGGAAATTGCTAAATTTGTGATATTAATCACAGATCTTACGTATTAGCTGACTGATTCTTTCTGTAATAATCCAAATAATAAATTCAAAAACAAATTGGAACAAAACCCCAACTTCTCATGAATCTCATATGCACCTTCCTGCTCCTAGTGGTTTAGGTGAACACTGTCTTAGATTACTTTCTGTGATGGCGGAAGTGTCCTGTATTTCCACTGTCTGATTTGAAGTGTGGCTAGTGCAACTGAGGAACTGAATATTTAATTTTATTTAGTTTTGTTTTAAAGCTATTGGCTACCCTATCAAATAGTACAGGTACAGATTGCCTGGTTGTTAAGAAAGTATCTGAGGCTGGGCGTGGTGGCTCACACCTAATCCCAGCACTTTGGGAGGCCGAGGCAGGCAGATCACCTGAGGTCAGGAGTTCGAGACCAGCCTGGTCAGTGAAACCCCGTCTCTACTAAAAATACAAAAATTAGCCGGGTGTGGCCATGCCTGCCTGTAGTCCCAGCTACTTGGGAGGCTGAGGCATGAGAATCACTTGAACCTGGGAGGTGGAGGTTGCACTGAGCCAAGATGGTACCACTGCACTCCAGCCTGGGCAAAAGAGCAAGACTCCATCTCAAAAAAAAAAAAAAAAAAAAAAGTATCTGAAAGACTTTCCTTCTTTGGAATTTATGTTTGCAAGTCAAAATACAGGGGGGACTGTAACAGATTAGTTTCAAAACACCTTATTTTATCACAGGGTGTGTGTACATGCAGGCCCCACAGCCTGGAATATGATTTTTTCCCTTCTTCCTCAGAGTAACTTCTCCTTATCCTGCAGATCTTTGTTCAGGCATTGATTCCTCTGGAAAACTTTCCCTGATATTTCATGTAAGATCAAATCTCCTATTAACAACACCATGCCTATCTCCTTCACTAGAGCAAATTCATATGTTGGAGGGAATGACGCAATGGAGAAGGAAAGATGGATATGCTAGGGTCTTGGCCCCCCATGAGTGGCAGTGGAGTCGGGAAGTACAGAGCGCAGGGGATCCAGATGGCATGGGTGGGAAAAAGACTTCAATGGGGAGGGTAGTCCTCTCTTGTGATGAGAAAGCAGAGGCAGCAGAAGGTGCAGGTGCAGGGGAGGGTTTTGCATTTGGAGGTGGCGACTGTGGGAGTTGCTGTCTGGCTCCCGTTTTCTTGATTGAGTTGGGGAACAGGGGTGTGGGGGGATGGTGGCAGTGAGGCCCTCAATTAAAAAGGGGGTTGAGGGTGGAAGGTTTGAGGAATTGGGACAGATTAAGACCTGGTTGCTCTAAAACAGCAGAATGGCCTTTGAGAGTGGGGATGCTGATTTAAAATGACACCAGCCTGCCTGCTCATGTAGGGCATCTAGCAAGGTGTGGCTTTACAGGTGTGGGCTTAAAGCAAGGTGATAGTTGGGCTATTCAGGGTTGGGGTTTTGCCAAATCTGGGAACGAATGAGGACAGACATGTTAAGAGCAGGAAAGTTTCCTCCCCATTTTTGTCCCATCGTCGATACAGCCGAGGCTTCTTCCTGATCTGAAGTTGGTGAACTTGAGTTGAGCATGGAGTGAGAATTTTAGTGATGCACCCCACGTCCTTCTACCACTGCTCCATTCACTTCCCATGTCACTGTTATTTGAGGAAATACCCCGAGCAGCAGAATGTGAAGTGTGCTTTCTTCCTGGGCACGTGGCTGCCATAAGATGGAATTGTACCACATCCCTTGTGACACACAGGGCTACCGAGCATCCTGCTCACCTCTGTCACTTCTGTACCTCTCCCTCCCACCTTAGAAATACTGATCATGAAAGAGAGACTAGTTCTCTGATGGGAAGGTGATTGAACCTCACTCACCTTTGCCTTCTGGGGCCTCATGATTCGATGACTACAAAGCCCTGCACATAGCTTGGCTGAGGTTCATTTTTATCAGGAAGGAACCAAGTTTACTGTTTGTGGGATGGTTTTGGTGGTCAGTCCACAGGTGAAGCGTCTCTGATGGGAGTACCCAGCTGACAGGGTAAGAGTCCCCTGGGGAGGTGGTGGCTAAAATGACCTATCTGGCCATTTGTGTCTTCTACAAGGTGCAGTGAGGAGCAGTGCTGGAGTCCCTGAGGCCCTGAGCCCCTTCAGCGGCTGCTTTGCCAGCTGTCTCTTTAATTTAAATGGATATTTCCCTTTTATTTTAAAATCAATTTTAGTTGTGCAAATACATGAATGAATTCTTCTAAAAATTTAAACATGGAGATGGAGCTAAAGCTTGATTTTCCTTGGACTGCTCTCTATACTTGCAGTCCTCTCCTCTTGTTCCCAAAGGTAACAACTAATGTTAGTTTAGTGCACGTATGTGCAGACTGTTGGATTTGCCTACTGTATGATTTAGGATTACGTTCAGCTGCATATGATAGGAAAATCTCTAATAACACTAGCTGAAGTCAGAAGTTTTCTCAGATAAAGTCTGGAGACAGGCAGTCCAGGGCTGATACGGTGACTCCACGATATTACCAGCAATCTGGGCATCACTCTGCCTTTGTTCACTGTCTCCACCCTCAAGGTCACCTCCTGGTTCAAAATGGTGATGAAAGCTCCAGTCATTCTATCTGCAACCCAGGGCAGACATAGAAAGAAGGGAGGGAGCCTTATTTGCATTCACTTCTAACTACATCTCACTGACCAGAGTTCAGTCATACAGCCGCATGTGGCTGCAAGAGATGCTGTGAGCTGTTGTCTTTCAGCTGAATTCATTGCTACAACAAATAAAATTGTAATTCTATTATTAAATAGCAGAGAGAAGGCAACTAGCAATCTCTGCCATGCAAATGTGTGTATAAAAGTAATAGCATTAATTTTATACCACACATATAATTTGGTAGCTTGTTCTTTCCAGCACAATGTGTTTTAGAGGTCTCGGACTATTAATACACGTAGTTCTACATTTCATTCAGTGTTGCATAGTATTTCGATTATAAAAATATAATTTGTTTAGCTATTTCCTCATGAGCAATCATTTATTTCCAGCTTTTCCCTGTTAGAAAACAGTACTGTAATGAACACCCTTAAATATTATTTCTTGTGTACACATGGGTGTCATATTCCAGAACAGATATTAAGTGAAATTGGGCCAGGCACGGTGGCTCATGCCTGTAATCCCAGCACGTTGGGAGGCCAAGGCAGGCGGATCACGAGGTCAGGAGATTGAGACCATCCTGGCCAACATGGTGAAACTCCGTCTCTACTAAAAATACAAAAAATTAGCTGGGCATAGTGGCACATGCCTGTAGTCCCAGCTACTCAGGAGGCTGAGGCAGGAGAATCGTTTGAACCTGGAGGTGGAGGTCGCAGTGAGCTGAGATCATGCCACTGCACTCCAGCCTGGGTGACAGAGAGAGGCTCTGTGTCAGAAAAAAAAAAAAAAAAAAAAAGAAGTGAAATTGGTGGATTGAAGTTGATGCACGTTTAAAAGATGTATTAAAAATGCCTCTTGGCTGGGTGAGGTGGCTCACGCCTGTAATCCCAGCACTTTCGGAGGCTGAGGCGGGTAGATCACCTGAGGTCAGGAGTTCGAGACCAGCCTGACCAATATGGTGAAATCCCATCTCTACTAAAAATACAAAAATTAGTCGGGCATAGTGGCGTGCACCTGTAGTCCCAGCTACTTGGGAGGCTGAGACAGGAGAGTTGCTTGAACCCAGGTGGCGGAGGTTGCAGTGAGCCAAGATTGCACCACTGCACTCCAGCCTGGGTGACAGAGACTCCTTAAAAGAAAAAAAAAAAAAAGCCTCTCAACTGGCTATAGCGTTTTACACCCGCTCTCTCCCCATCAGTGTATGACAGGTCTGTCTTACTAACTTTGCCTGTACTTAATATTACATTACTATGAAGTTTTAAACACTTTATACTGGCTCCAAAGAAACGCCTGCTGAGACATAAGAGTTTGCCACCGGACCCATAAGTTCATTTTTAACGTAAAACTTCAAACATCCTGTCTATGAATTAACTTTATCATTAACTTTGCTTCTAATTTAAATGTAACAGTCTATTTTACAGTCACAGCTTGATTATCACTGGAACAGGATTTGTGTCCATCAGAGAGAACTGTGTGCTGCGGGCCTATGACTAAGCACTGATATTTACTGAGGGCTTACTGTAGGCCAACACCCTTACATGCTATGCTCTTTCCATTGTTATTATTGATCTCCTTAATAACTATGTGCTATTTTCCCCATTCCCAGAGACAGAAACTGACACATGAGAGAGGTTAAGTAAATTGTCCAGGTTGCACAGGCAGAAAATGGTAGAGCTGGGATTCAGACGCAGCTAACCAAGGTCTCTTTACCACTCTGAAATACTGTATCTGCCTATAGTATTTCAATGTGAGACACACAAACCATTACTGAGTCTCTCCACATGCAAAGAATGCTAATGACTAGCTGTGTGTATGCTGAGAATAGGGAGGGGGACAAAGGGACAAACAAAGGAGGTGAAGATCTTAGCGTGGCCCAGTGATTGCCTTCCAGGTCTAACTCCTCTCTGGTGAGAGAGTGTGCATGACTCGCTCTGTACTGGCTGTAACATCTTCTACCAATAATGACCTTCCATGTTGTAATGAAAACTATGTGTAATGGGAATTCCTGGGGTGAAAGGATCCTCTTGCATGGAATGAAGTAGGTTGGGTCAATTTATGGGGAAGCCACCATCTGCAAAAGCCTTCTAACTCAGCTCCCTCCTTTCACTTTTGTTCTACTTGACAGCCAGAGTGATCTTCAGAAACTAATGTCCCTAAGTTCTTATTTTTTTTTTTTTTTTAGATGGCCTCTCACTCTTGTTGCCCAGGCTGGAGTGCAATGATGCAATCTCAGCTCACTGCAACCTCCATCTCTTTGGGTTCAAGTGATTGTCCTGACTCAGCCTCTGAGTAGCTGGGATTACAGGCACCTGCCACCATGCCTGGCTAATTTTTGTATTTTTAGTAGAGACGGGGTTTTACCATGTTGACCAGGCTGGTCTCGAACTCCTGACCTCAGGTGATCCATTTGCCTTGGCCTCCCAAAGTGCTGGGATTACAGGCATGAGCCACTGAGCCTGGCTATGTCCCTAAGTTCTAATGACGCTCACCCTCTCGCTGGAATATGCTGGTACTTTTTCCCACTTTAGAGTCTTTGCATTTGCTCTTTCTCCAGAATGTTCTTCCTGGAGACTTCATGGCAGCCTTCCAGTCACATGCAGGTGCTGGCTTAACTTTTCCCTCAGAGTGGTGGTCCCTCAAATGTTCCTGTTATTGCAGCTAAAGTCACCCAGCCACTCTTCTGTTGTCCCCTTTTAGTCTCTTCACAGCACGCGCCTAAACGTTCTTGCTTGTTATGTCCATGTTTCACATGCCTGCTACACCAGGACACGAGCACATGGGCTCCTCTAGGCAGAGCCCTTGTCTTGTTCACGTTGGTGTTCCTGCCCAGGACAGAGCCTGGCATCAATGCGTGGGGCTCCGGCAGATAAAGGCTTAGTTTACTTGTAAGTTTGTTCCTTAAACTCTGATTGTCATTTACACTGTAAAGGAAAAGTAATAATATGTATTATAATAAAGAACTATTAAATGCTAAACATTGTGCTAGCTACTTGACCTATATGATCTTACACAAAGCTCACAATTCCCATTGTGCAGATGAAGAAACTGAGGTAATTAGTGTAGTCAGAACTTGAGCCTAGATTGTCCCTCTAAAGCTCTTGTCCTTCTCACTGCCCTAGAATTCAGTGTTGCTAGCAATTTTCTACTCCTGGGATGCGATAGAGTCGGGTTCTTTAAAGATCCACGGGCAAATAGTTCCCTACATAAAAAATATAGGGGTGGAGTGAGGTAGGGGGTGGTGTTATCAAGCCAAATGCCTTCAAGAAACCCTGGATGCAGTCTTACCCCACCATTGGTAAAATGAAATGACTCCCTTCTTCTTGGTGTTTGGGTTGTAGTTAATCTGATATTTATTTCAACCTTTTACAGGAATAAAAATAAGAAAGCAGTCACACATTTTGTTGGTATCTTTAGAGTGGGCGGCATGGCATCTGCCCTGCTTGGCTCCTGGCTTACCCTGTTTTGCCACTAAGTACATTTTCCTAGGCCGGCCCCTCTTGGCAGGAGATCACACATGTGTTATGTTGGTGTATTTAAAAAGTGGGTAATTCATTTGTTAAATGAATACGGCAATTATTAATTTCAATTTATCCTGTTTATTGGGAACAGCTGTTCATTAACATTTATTTAACTGCTAATTTTAGAGCCAAACTAATTACCTCAAATACACAGCGCAGTGGTGTCCTGTATAGAGGAGCGCTCGCTCTAACTGCCCTGTGTGCCAGAATAACTAGCTGGCCCTCGTGGGTGCCGTTCTGCAGGTGACCAGGTGGGGGCTCACCTCAACCGGAGATCGGACTGCAGGCTGCAAACAGGTCCGTGGGGCACAAATCTATCTACAAAGTATCTTAAGGCCAGAGTGGCAAATTGTCCCCAGGGGCCAGGAAAGTCGTAAAAATGAATGAAATGGGAAGGTGAAAGAACTTGCACCGCCTCACAGGTCTATCTTTGTTCTATTACTTTTGATCAGCATAAAGTTATAAGAATCTTTCTTTACAGCAAGAAAGACGATTTCAAGCATGATGATAAATATCATTGTCCCTAACCCTGAGTTTCCAGAAGACACTGTTGGATTCTTTAAAGATCCATGAGCAAATAGTTCTCTAAATAAAAAATATAGGCGTGGAGTAGGGTGGGGGGTGGTGTCATCAAGCCAAATGCTTCCAATAAACGCTTGGTACAACCTTATGGCACCCTTGGTAAAATGAAATGACTCCCTTCTTCTTGGTGTTTGGGTTGTAGTCAGTTAGCTGTTTATTTTTTACAGGAGTAGAAATCTACCTTTTACAGGAAAATAGGTGGGCACAGTAGCAAACTGGAGAGCACACAGTTGGAAGGGGGTCTGGGGGGTCAGTTGGGGTCAGGATGGGGGGTAAGGACATGAGGATTGGGAGCTGCCTCTTAGAGGAGTCAGTTGTTGTCAGCTGGGAAGCTGGGGCCCTTTAATTTTTCAAGGGAAACCAAATACATGGATTTTTATGTGGAATTTCCTAAATTTTAGATATTAGCTCAAATTTTATTTATTTATTTTTTTACATAGGGACTTGCTCTGTCACCCAGGTTGGAGTGTAGTGGCATGATCATGGCTTACCTTGACCTTCTGGGCTCATGGGATCCTCCTGCCTCAGCCTCCTGAGTAGCTGGGATTACAGTTGTGGACCACGACGCCTAATTTATTTATTTATTTATTTATTTTTTGTAAATACAGGATCTTGTTTTGTTGCCCAGGCTGGTCTCTAACTCCTGGGCTCAAGCAATCCTCTTGCCTCAGTCTCCCAAAGTGCCTGATAATGGGTATGAGCCACCACGCCTGGCTTAGCTCAAATTGTAAAAGTATACTGTGTAGAATAGCAAAATACACCTGTGGCTTGAGGCCTGCCCATTTGCAGCTGCTAAATTAAAAGTTTTCTCTGTGGGTAATACTCAGGTGGCTGGTGAATAGACATGTCTTCTGAGGCCAAATCTAATTTATTTGGCTTTCAATCATTGTTTTTTTTTTTTTTTTTTGGTCTAGACAACTGTCTCTCTTACTAAAAAAATTAATGTTAAGCAAAATTCTTAACATTTCCGTGCTTCATTTTCCTTATTTTTAAAATGAAAGAGTTGGATTTTGTTTGCTTACTATTAATCTACAACTTTAATAGGACTTAAAACTATACAAGAAACACAAAACTTACAGGGGACATTAAAGTGGTAAAGCAATTTTTATGTAGGAGCCGTTTTATTAAATACTTTGGATCTTTTATTTTTTTTCCTCTCTTAAGGGCAAATCCCTTCTTCTATAGACAAGACCATTGTCAAAATGCAGATCCCAGGTCCCCACAAGTCTGAGCCTGTATGGTTGGCATCTGGTGGTAGGCACCCCAGTGACCCTGATGCAGAGGGGCCTGGAGCACACTTTGAGGATTTGTGCTAGATTTTGCTTGTTGGCACTCAACATCTGTTTCCATCGCTCTCTGTGTCCCCAGACTCCTCCATCACAGGGACCAGAAGTCTGAAAACCTACACTCCCCTGACCCTTTGGCCACTAGGATTCTAGATGCAACTTAGATTCTGGCAAGTAGGAGCCCTTGAGATTTTGAAGGTAGAAGGAAGACAAAGGCCTTTTTTTTTTTTTTTTTTCCTGAGATTTTGTGCTGCTGATATGTGTGAGTGCTGGCAGCAGCTGGGCTCCAGGTTCATTCTGTGTTATTTAGCTTCATGGTGTGGGGAAGCTGTGGCTTCAGCAGTGGCAATAGCCACACAAGCCACAATGGCCTGGCCTCCTAGTGACAGTCACTGCTCCTGTCCTCTGGTTGGTGGCTGTGGTAGTTTATAATCTGGAGGTCAGACCCTGTTTCAGTCACCATAGGCAAAGTTCTGCTGTGGTAATAAATAACCTCCTAATTTTAGGTGGCTTATTTCTCATTTGTGCTGTGTGCCTACTGTGGATTGCCTTGGGGCTGTGATTTGTGTCTCCTCACTGTAGGATCTGGACTCATGGAGCAGCCATCAACTTGGTCTATCATGCTAGAGGGGTGCAGAGGCCTACAAAGACTGTGCTGACAACTAAATGGTGTGACCTAAAAGCAAAACATGTCATCTACTCTCAAAAATCAATGTTCCTGGCTGGGTGCGGTGGCTCACACTTGTAATCCCAGCACTGTGGGAGGCCGAGGTGGGTGGATGACTTGAGGTCAGGAATTTGAGACCAGCCTGGCCAACATGGCGAAACCCCATCTCTGCCAAAAAATACAAAAATTAGCCAGGTGTGGTGGTGCGCACCTGTAGTCTCAGCCACTCTGGAGGCTGAGGTGGGAGAGTCACTTGAACCCAGGAGGTGGAGGTTGCAGTGAGCTGAGATAGCGTCACTGCACTCCAGCCTGGATGATGGAGTGAGACCCTGTCTCCAAGATCAATGCTCCCAGCAGCACCCAGCACCCAGTACCACCCAGCACCCAGCACCCAGCACCATAGCATGAACTCAGGAGGGTACTATAAATGCCCATGAATTAGGACGATGGTTTGGAGATCTTATTGCTAGGAAAAGGAAGCCCTTGCAGTATTTTATGCATACAGAGGGAAATAAACATAAGAAATGTATAACCCTAAAAGGCAAGAAAAGTCACTTGTCCCATCCAACCACAAAGGGACTAGGAAGTGTTCTCAGAAGGTGGAGAGCTGGAAATACTTGGTGATGACTACTTATAACTCCCACGAAAGCGTAGAGGCAGCCTTTTAAATTCCATTCACTAACTCTTCCAGTGATTTCGCAAATACCTATCTCTGAATCAAACCCCATTCTTCTCAAGATATCTAGAGTGGTTTTGTTTCTTGCCTAAACTCTGACCAGTAAATAGACATTACCTTGTACCTACACTATATATGCTATCTTGAATTTGTGTTAGCTAACACACTGTTTTAGATTATGTTAGTTGTAGTATCTTTTAACACCTCGTTTATGCAAACAGGAATTAAATCAATGACTAAAGCTTGAAAAACCCTCATCCCCATGCATTAGCAGACTTCTGCATCCACTCAATTTGCTACCTGCTCTCTGCAATTATATAGTCTCTTCAATGAAAAGCTTATTTATATTTGTTCAAAGTAGCCTGGGTTTGTGGTTTTCTCTACCAAAGAGGGCTCAGTTGTGTGAATATTGATCTAGAAGCACCTTTTGGTGTTGATTCCCAGGTTAATAGGTCTTGCTGAATTTTACTAGCTTGTGCCTAAACACAGATCTTTACCAATAAATCAAATTAACCTCTTCCTTTTCTCTCAGAGCTCAGTTCTCCCTCCTCTACTGTTACTCTCAATGGTGCCACCATTTTGCTAGACAGGCTGCATATATCAGTTTATTGGGAATGGCTGCTAGGAGAACTGTGAGAAAGATTTCTGGGACCTGAGAAGAGGAATGTGGAGATCAGTCATTGTTTTCCATGAGTACAGTTGGATGGAAGTTGGCCAACTTCATCAAGTCTTCAGCTACAACCAAACTGGATTCCTTGCTGTTCTTAAAGACATCTTTCTCCTTTATCTGACTTTATTCCCTTCATTACATCTACCTGGGCTATATTTCTTCACTTTCTCACCAATCCAATTTCTACTCCCCCTTAAGACCCATTGAAAACTTTCTTGATTTATCATGGATCTTAGCCATTTTTGTTCCCCACACAATGTTGAGTTCATAGTTGCTACATAAATATTTGTTTAATGAATAAAAAAAAATGACTTCTTTTGTTGCCTTAAACAGCCTAGATATTTTTTCTTAACTATTTGTGGATTGTTTTGTCTTTAAAGTTAGATTGGCCACCATTGAGGGGAGTGATGAACCAGACCTTAAATTCATTTGTATAATCTTCATTGTCTTGCCTATAGAGACTTAAACAATAATACCATTTCCATTTGAGAATTTTTGCCCTGAAGGTTGTTGGCACACCAGGGGTGGCTCTAGAAATATATATACTTATCAGACTATTACTGATGATAATGTTCAGAGACTGAATTTCCTAGGAAGGAGGGAGGGTAAGGAGAGTTGGATCACAGCCTGATAAAATATCCTTTTCTCCACCTAACCCTATCCACTCTTCACCTAGATACCAGTTCTCATTCTTCAGTCCCCAGCCTGTTTGTCATACCTACTTAGAGAAGTAGCTCTAGCTCCCCTCTAATAGCAATGATAACTTTTACTACTTTGAATTTCTTTGGACTATCCTTTTCTCTTTCTAGCCTGGAAACTCCCTGAGGTACCTGGCTGCCTTTGTTCTTTTTTGCATCCCCAGAACTCACTGCAGTTCCTGGCATATAGCAGACATTGAATAGTTATTGTTTGGATGACGGAATGACTATCTAGTACGTTAACTCTGAACTAAATTAATTTTTTTTGAGTTGGGAGTGGTAGCCCATGATTGTAATCCCAGCACTTTGGGAGGCAGAGGTGGGAGGATCACTTGAGCCCAAAAGTTTGAGACCAGCCTGGGCACCATAGTGAGACCCATCTCTACAAATAACTTAAAAATTAGCCAGGCATGGTGATGTGCACCTGTGGTCCCAGCTACTTGGGAGGCTGAAGCAGGAAGATTGCCTGAGCCTGGGAGGTCAAGGCTGCAGTGAGCTGTGATCACATCACTGCACTCCAGCTTGGGTGACAGGGTGAAACCACGTTTCAAAATTTTTTTTTTTTTTAAAGAGACAAGGTCTTGCTATGTTGCGCAGGATGAGCTCAAACTCTTGGGCTCAACTGATCCTCCTGCCTTAGCCTCTTGAGTAGCTGTGATTATAGGCATGCACCACTGTGCCCAGCCTTAAATGAATTTTGATTAATTCCCATAATTTAGCATTATTACTATTACAACTTGGATTACAACTTGAATATATTAGGACAGATCAAATATTTAGCAAGATGGGGAGTGTGGAATAGGATATCTCTAAATAATTATATGTTCTACATTATAGTAACCTTTAACTTGATACTAAATTTTTCTTAATTTCACTAAATTTTACCCAATACTAAATATGACTTTATTTTCAGGGGTTGGGGGAAGACTGAAGGCCCTTCTGAGCCTTCCAAGAGCTCAGGTTCATCATTTACACACCATCCTATACTTTGACTATGAGGAAGGACCATGCAACACAAAGACAGTTTAGGACTGCCAGAGGCAACTCCCATCACACGTTTTAAAGAGAACATTCACTAGCCAGGAGAATTGCTTGAACCCAAGAGGCAGAGGTTGCAGTGAGGCAAGACTGTGCCACTGCCCTCCAGCCTGGACGATAGAGAGAGACCCTGTCTCAAAAAAAAAAAAAAAAAAAAAAAGAACAATTCTCTTCCTCTGTGATAACAATGACTTTAGGACTACAGTTTTCCAAGGTACTATATTTCACTTTTAATTTTAGCTATAAGCCATTGACTAATATGACTTGAACCTATGATGAGATTTCTACTCTTTAAAAAAAATCCCCCTTGTACACAGCAGAGAGATGCAAAGAATTAATTGACATGTCAGGCTTCATTTTCTGCATAGTTACACTGAGCTAATATTTAGACTTCAGCTATATTTTTGATGCAAACAATGTGCAGCCATACCCGTGTCCTTTTTAAATTACAAGGTTTGAGCCTGCACATTAGCCTCGGGAGGACCTTGGATCCGTCTTTCTTACACATGGGACTTGAGGCAAGTCATTAAAACAGAAGAACCCTCATGTGCAGAGCTGAGGAGCCTGCTCGTGGTGCAGTAGAATCTGGAAAATGAGAGGGAGGAGCTGGCATAAGAACACCAGTTTTGCTCTAGAGCAGGGATTCCCCCTTCTCTGCCCCAGTATCCAGGCTGACACTGGTATTAAGGGTAGTTCATGAGTTGGCCTTGATATTCTTGGGTGTCATTCTTCAGAGACATTGGGGCTATATGTTGAATGTCTACAGTTCTACCCTCTCCCACGACCCCTCATCATGAATTCAGCTAAAATGAGTCTATTTTTATCATCTGCCTGTATCATCCCTGGTGGCCAGAATGATAGTTGTTAAAAATAATGCTAATTATAGCAATAATAATAGCTGTCATTTGTTGGCCATCTGCTATGTTCTAGTAAGTTGCCAGGGGCTTTCCGTGCATTATCTCATTTATCCTTCACCACAATCCTGTTGTCATAGACATTTTTCATTGTGGGGAGAGTTGCCTTTGTGTGCATCTTTATGAGCATCTCCCTTTGAAAAGGAATCTAGACCTCCAGGGGTACCCTGCCTTTCCTCTCCTACCTCTAGCAGACAGGTTAGCCTCCCAGACACCTGTGCTGGATTTTTGAGCAGGAGCCAAGACACAAAGGGCAGAGGCAAGGGGTGGTAGAGTCCATCTGTGCTGCTGGCAGCAGTATCTGGACAAATATTCTTAATGCCCAGCCTTCAAGGCACTCGTGGCTCCTGCTGGCTTTCCATGCATGTACATCTGTGGTTCTGTAGATTCTAGTAAGTTCCTTTTTTTTTTTTTAACTTGAATGCTGTTGCTTGCAACCAAGTATGTTATCACATGTGTGAATCAGGTACTATCATTATCTCTGTTTTACAAGAGAGAAGACTGAAACTCAGATATATTAAGTAACTTGACCAAGGTCACATATGAGTATGTTGCAGGGCTAGGACTCAACCCACAGATGTCAGATACCAGAATCTGATTCTTCCACTGGCCTCTGCCAAGTTAGTCGACTCTTAGCTCTGTGTGCCTGGTCCATCAGACATGGTTATAGCATCTGAGAAGGACAAGAGGATAGCCTAGTCTTCAGAAAAGACACATGACTAGTTTTTGTTTTCTTCATTTAACAAGATAAGAGCTGCCTTGATTTTTCTTTACCCAGGTGGATCTATTAGATTTCCTTTCTTGAAACACTTTTCCCTCCTTTTAATGAACCAAAGGATTGCAAACCCATGAGTGATTGTTTTAAATTTTATTTTTACAGCCCAGCAAGCTAAGAACCATGAGTGATTTTTAATTAAACACCATTTTTTTGTTTCTTGAAATCTAAAGCTCCAATTAAAAATAAGAAACCATAACTGCATTAAACTTCATCACTTGAGCCCCAAGTCAGCAAGCAGCCATAAAACAGTGACATGCTGGAGATGAGTTGCATGCATTTATCAGTAAATGGGGCTATGTATGCTAATGGGCTTCAGCTTGGGAACTCCAGGCCTGGCTGCATCAGACTGGTTAAAAGCTCAATTCATTAATAGGAGCCCATGAAGGACTGACTTGTAGTGTCTAATGCCTGCTCCAGGTCCCACAAAAGCAGTTGAGTGTGTGCCTTTGCCTTTGGAAGGAATTTTGCAGAATTGTGGTTGTGAGGGGCTGGGGTTGAGTGGAGACTTCTGAGAAAACAGGATCACACTGACCCAACCAAGGCATGGGAGCAAAAGACTAGCACATATCAAATTCCTGGGTTGTGTCAATTACTGTACTAGGAACTTTATATTTGTTAGTCATTTAATTCTCAAGGAAATTTTTTGATATAGGCAGATATAGCCTATTTCTTTCTTTTCCTTTTTTTTTTTTTTTTTTCGAGACAGAGTTTCGCTCTTGTAGCCAGGCTGGAGGGCAATGGCGCGATCTTGGCTCACTGCAACCTCCGCCTCCCAGGTTCAAGCAATTCTCCTGCCTCAGTCTCCCAAGTAGCTAGGATTACAGGTGACTGCCACCATGCCCGGCTAATTTTTTTTTTTTTTGTATTTTTAGTAGAGATGGGGTTTCGCCATGTTGGCCAGACTGGTCTTGAACTGCTGACCTCAGGTGATCCACCCCCCTCAGCCTCCCAAAGTGCTGGGATTACAGGCATGAGCCACTGCGCCCATTCCAACCGCATTTCTTATAGGTAAGGAAATTGGGATTCAGAAGGGTCAGTTGCTGAAGATTACAGAGGGAGGAATAACTAGGGCATAAACCCAATTTTGACCCCAGAGCTATCTCCCATGACCTTGGCAGTTTGCATTATCTCACTGGACCTATTTTGGGGTAGAGAATCTTTAATAGTCAAAAGATTCATTAGCATGGGCTTTGAAGTTAGACAGACAGACCTTGTATCAAATCTCTTCTGCCTGTATGTCATCTGACAACCTCTTTGAGCGTCAGTTTCTGTTCATTACAGGGGATTTTAGCAAGTTTTCATAAGACACAAGCTTGCAACGATATATGGCACAGTCTGGGACACATGTTGACAATCATTGGTTGTTGATGCTCAATGATTGTTGATATTGCTGTTTTTTCTTACTCATCTTGCCTTTTAGGGTTTCTAAAGTACTGCAGGATTTCTCTTCCTAGCTCAAAGTTCTCCAGGCTGTCATCCTCTTTCGTGGGCATTTATAGTATCCTCCTGTGTTCATGCTGTGGGGCTGGGTACAGCCAGAAATGCAGTGGGAAGAGGACTGCATCGGTCAGGACTCTGTTTTTTCTTTCAATTGCACGTGATAGAAAATGTAATTCAGACAAATTTAAGCAAAAATGATCCTGAGTTTAGGCTAGAGAATATGTAATAAAAAGTTCAAGAGCAGATTTGGCTTCAGACTCTGCATGATCCAGGCTCAAACAGTGTAGTCAGCACCTGACTTCTCTTTCTCCTCTGGCTGCTTTTGCTCTGTGTAACTTCAGTTCTTCAATGAGCTCTCACTCAGGGCAGCAAGACGACAGTAGTTCCCATTCTACCTGCTCAGCTTCATGTCCTGAGAAAATGTGAGCGAACTCTCAAAGGTCCTAGGATTTGCTCTGGGATGGCCGAATCAAATGTCCCCGCCTCCATTGCCAAGCCCAGGAGAACTGGTGCATCCACTGGCCTTACAGAGGTGGGCTCTACCCAAAGAACTGGATAGAGAGGGAGGGAGGGGCTTTTCCTGAAAGGAATCATGGTGGGTCTTCTCAAGGTGATAGATGCTGGGCAGCAAATGTAACAAAATGTTGACTACAGGAGCATGGTCTCTGTCCTTTGGATACTTGCAGTCTAGAGCAGGGGCTGGTGGACTCTTTCTATAAAAGGCCAGATGGTAAATGTTTCAGGCTTTGTGGGTCATGTGGTCTCTGTCAACTACATCATTGCAGTGCAAAACAGCCGTAGACAATTTGTAGACTAATGAGCAGGACTGTGTTCCAATGAAACTTTATTTATGGACACTGATATGAATTTCGTATCATTTTCATGGGTCATGAAACATTCTTCTTTTCATTTTCTTTAACTAGTGAAAAACATAATAGCCATTCTTAGTTTGCAGGCTATACAAAAACAGGCAGCAGGCTGGATTTGGCCAATGCCTGGTCTAAAGGTAAAAACAAACACTTTTCTTCCCAGTCCCATTTCCTCCCATCACCACATCTATTTATCTCATGTATTACTTGTGAAAGGGGGAAATAGCACGGTCTGTTGGAGCATTTGGTGAGGATCAATTGCTCAAGATTTGGTGGATAGTGAAACATACTGGGTTCCAAGTGACTGAGCAGTTTTGTATACATCCAGTTTTGTGGCCATCCCAGATTATTGTATTGGACACATTTATGAATTCCTTTGCTTTGTAAGTCCTGAGAGACTTGTTAGTCAATCAGCAAGGTTTTTTTTTTTTTTTTTTTTTTTGCCTGCCAGTGGGTCTTCTGTATAGACAGAGAAGGCAGAAAGAAGGTGAAAACTTTTTGATCTACTCATAGTCTAACTTTGAAATGTAACCAAAGTAAAATTCTTATTCTGAAAAGGGGCATGGGTACATGACAGTAAAAAATTCCTGAGCTCTATCTTTTTCACGTATTTGAGCGTGGTGAAGGCCAAATAAAATAGGGTTGAAATTCAATGAGATTAGCATTTAAGGCTGTGCCCTAGAGATGCTTTGCAATGAAGTTTTTCCTTCCATAGTAAAATTTGAAAAATCAAGATAATGTATTATGTATAATTTATTGTTTTAATTTATTGCTTTAAAGATTTTTTTTTTAATCCTGAGATTATGTCTTTCCTACCTTATTATTTTTCTTTTCTAAAATTATAATAAAGGTAGGGGGTCTTTTTTTAAAGGCAAAAATAAAAATAATTCCCAACCTTGGGAATTCCATGAAATTTCTATGTAAATTCCATGAAATTCAAAGGTCTAAAATAGAAGAGCAAGGTCAACATTTTTAGGTCATATATCTTTGTATATAAAATTTTTGAGCAGGAATCCCTAGCTTATATATATTTATTTATAAGTTGTTTATTACTAACCTCATATGGATCAGATATTAGTAAAGCATAATACTTATTTTTTAATTAAAATAATAAATACTTCCACATTCCAATGGACAATTTGCATTTTAGAGGCCATTGGTTTGATTTAGACAACAAGAACTTATAATTTAATAAGGAACCTCTGAGCTTTGAAGAGTCTGAGAAAACATCTCTCCAGGGCCACCTATCCTGGCATCTTTGATGGGCTTCAGATCATTTATGACCCTCTGGGATCCTATGCAAAATGATTTATGTATATTCATTTTTCTGGAGTTGAGTCCACTGCTTAAATAGGTTCTCAAAGAGTAAGATCTGCCGACTAAAAGACAAATTCACAGATCTAGTGCAGCTGCTTTATAAAGACAGAAAAGAAGGTAAATTGCCAGGATCAAGGCAGTAAAGTCAGAACTGAAGTGGAATTTGCATTTGATGGAGTTCCTGTTTCATTGCTTTTAGAATCGCTTAGATCTCTCAGTTTCTATCCCATTCTTTGGGTATTAGAGATTCACAAACAACTACATAACACATTGGCTCATTGTAATGTGGATTTTTCAAATGCTAATAATATTTTATTGATAGACAATTTACATAGAGTAAAACACACGAATCTTAAATGTACAGCTTGAGAAATTTCAACAAATATAAACATCTATGTAAGATCACCCAAGTTGTAATACAGAGCTTTCTTATCACCCCAGAATCTTCCCTCATTTCCCTTTACTGTCAACCCCTTCCTCCTGCCAGAGGCAATCATAATGTGCTTGCTATCACTGGAGATTATTTCGTCTGGTTTTGAATTTTACGTAAATGGAATCATAAGGTATGCATTCCTTTTTTTGGTGACTAACTTCTTTCAACATAATGCATTTGATAGTTATCCAAGTTGTTGCATGTAGTAGTTCTTTGTTTTTTAAATTGCTGAGAGGTATTATATTATATAGGTATACCACAGTTCATTCATTTTCTTGCTAATTGATATTTGGATTATTTCCGTCTTTGGCTATTGTGAACAATGATACTATAGACATTCATATATACTTTTATAGACATTCATGTATGTTCTCTTGGGAACATACTCAGGAGTGAAATTTCTGAGTCATAGAATAGGTGCTATTTAACTTCGTTAGAAACTGCCACACTGTTTTTGAACGTGGTTGTGCTATTTGATATTCCCACTAGAAATATGTGAGAGTTCAAATTACTCTGTATCCTTGTCCACAACTTGATATTGTCTCTCTTTTAAAATTTGGCCACTCTGTTGGGTGTGTTGTGTTCTTTTCCTCTCCAGCCCCCATTTTAACACTTCTGAGGTTGAGATGCTTTTTAGAGTTAATATCAAAAGAAACTTACTAGCTGGAGTTAATATCAAAAGAAACTTACTAGGCAAGGAAATGAGTAGTGACAGATAAGAGGCTATCTTTGTTCATATCAAACTTGGAGTTCATAGAAGGAATCTGTTCATTGATTGTCACCTTGGCTGAGAGATTTGTTTGGTAGCATGATTTAAGATAAATGCAAATTAAACATGATATCTTAGTTCATTTGTGCTGCTATAAGAAAACACCACAGACTGGGTAATTTATAAAGAATGGAAGTTTGTTTCTCATAGTTCTGGAGGCTGGGAGTCCAAGATCAAGGTGCCAGCAGGTTCAGCGTTTGATGAGAGCCTGGTCTCTGCTTGCAAGTTGGCCCTTTGTTGTTGAATCTTCCAAAAGGGACAAACATTGTGTCCTCACATGCTGGTAGGGACAGAAGGGCAAAAGGGCCTAAAGCTAGTTTGTATCACCTCTTTTATAAGGCAGTAATCCTTATAATTAATCACTTCTCAAAAGGTCCCTCCTCTTAGCCATTAAGTTTCAACACATGAATTTTGGGGGAACCTTCATACCATAGCATGTGGATATCTCATTGTTGGTTTAAATGTCTTCAGAAATTCATATTATTGTGCAAGATTGAATCAAAAGTTATTGTATATATAAATTGCTATACATTGCAACTAAAGGCAGCAGAATTTTCTAAATGTTTTAGAATAGTTGATAGGGTTTTCTCAATTCTGAGAGGCTGGTATGACAATTCACGTGCTTGAACTTCGGGTTGACTTTAGAAAGAAGCTAGTAAACTTCCAGTGGCATATACTTCAGTTAAGAAAAATAGAAATAATGAGTTAACCAAATAGGAAATGAAGATGCAATCTTGCTATTCTTTGATTTTCTTGAAAGCATTTCTAAAAATGGTACATTTGAATGGCTTCAAAAGTAATAAAAGTAAACAGTTATCTCTTGCCCACCCTATCTCCTCCCTGGAAGCATCCAATGTTAGCAGTTTCTCGTGTGAGCTTTAGGAGATGTTCTATATAAATACAAGCAAATATGTACATTTTCTCTCACCTCTTCTTTTTCATTTCTTTTTTAAAAATACAAATGAAAACACATTAGGTATACTGTTCAATACTCTACTTTTCTCACTTAAAAATATGTTTTAATTTACTACACAATTTTACTACTATTCTTAACGTAGTGTCAAAGAGGTGAAGATTACAAGTGTGAGTCCGGGAAAGCTATGTGTTACCACAGTGCCCATAAAATTGCCCAAGGCCAAAAGCAATTCAGAAGAATCTTTACTCTCTGAAACAGGCTAAGTCCCAAACATTGCTTGGTGGGCTCAAGAAGAAAGAGGTATATTGTTATATAAGTAAAGGTAGACAGTTGTAAATTAAAAATCACGCACCTTTAATGTAATCTTTCTTTTTTCCCCTTGAAATGTTGCTACTTTGTTGATATGCACCTCTATTACCTTGGGGAAGATGAAATTTCTAGGAGTCCTTTTCTTGGTTCACTATCCAAATATTGTCTATTTCTGGTGTAGTGGTCCTGGAACCCTTTGAAAAACTGGTAAAAGCTATGGACTTTCATTCCAGAGAAATCCAGGTAGGTACACATAAATTTGACTTTAACTTTAGGGGGTTTATAGACTACCCAACGCTCATTGGTGGCAAATGTCCCTGACGTAAACACTTGGTTCTGATCTGACTGAAGAATAAAAATAGTTTGTGTTCTGTTGGAATTTTTAGTAATAAGCCTATTTTTTTCAGAAATTTTAGTAAATAAAAAGTTGATTGCATGGGGAACCTGGCACTAAACCATTCGTAGATGACCTACTTCTGGGTTGGGGTTTTGTACGTGGCAGAACGGCTTTCTTGCTGCGTCCTATTGAAAGTCAGCCCTCAACACGAGGGTTTGTAAGTTTTTAAAAAAAATTTTTCTAAATTAAAAAAAAGTCAGTTGCAAGTTTTTTGAGGGCATACATTAGACTTAATCAGCTTACAAATGATTTCCTTCTGCCATTTCCTCCCAAAATAATGTATTTTAGTTTGATCACTGTATTAGTCTGTTTTCATGCTGCTGATAAAGACATACCCCAGACTGGGCAACTTACAAAAGAAAGAGGTTTAATGGACTTACAGTTCCACATGGCTGGGGAGGCCTCACAATCATGGTGGAAGGAAAGGAAGGGCAAGTCACATCTTACTTGGATGGCAGCAGGCAAAGAGAGAGCTTGTGCAGGGAAACTCATGTTTTTAAAACCATCAGATCTCATGAGACTCATTCACTATCATGAGAACAGTGCAGGAAAGACCTGCCCCATAATTCAATAATCTCCCACTGCGTTCCTCCCGTGACACATGGGAATTGTGGGAGTTACAATTCAAGATGAGATAGTCTTAACTCGTGTCAACATTAACTCAAAAATTCACAGTCCGACATCTCATCTGAGACAAGGCAAACCCCTTCCACATAATTATGAGCCTATAAAATCAAAAGCAAGTTAGTTACTTCCTAGATACAGTGCGGTACAGGCATTGGGTAAATATAGCCCTTCCAAATGGGACAAATTGGCCAAAATTAAAAGGCTACAGGCCCCATGCATGTCTGAAATCTAGCAGATCAGTCAAATCTTAAAACTCCCAAATGTTCCCCTTTGACTCCAGGTCTCACATCCAGGTCATGCTGATGCAAGAGGTATGTTCCCACAGTCTTGGGCAGCTCGGCCCCTGTGGCTTTGCAGGGTACAGCCTCCCTCCCAGCTGCTTTCAAAGGCTGGCATTGAGTGTCTGCGGCTTTTCCAGGTGCTCAATGTGGGTTGTCAGTGGATCTACCATTCTGGGGTCTGGGGGACAGTGGCCCTCTTCTCACAGCTCCACTAGGTGGTGCCCTAGTAGGGACTCTGTGTGGAGGTTCTGACCCCACATTTCCCTTCCGCATTGCCCTAGCAGAGGTTCTCCATGAGGGCCCTGCCTCTGCAGCAAACTTCTGCCTGGGCATGCAGGCACGTCCATACATCTTCTGAAATCTAGGCAGAGGTTCCCAAACCTCAATTCTTGACTTCTGTGCACTTGCAGGCTCAACACCACATGGAAGCTGCCAAGGCTTGAGGCTTGCACCCCCTGAAGCCATGGTCCGAGTGCTACATTGACCCCTTGCAGCCACAGCTGGAGCAGCTGGGATGCACCAAGTCCCTAGGCTGCACACAGCATGGGGACTCTGGGCCCAGACCATGAAACCATTTTTTTCTCCTAGGTCTCTGGGCCTGTGATGGGAGGGGCTGCCGTGAAGACCTATGACATGCCCTGGAGAAATTTTCCCCATTGTCTTGGGTATTAACATTTGACTCCTCATTACTTATCCAAATGTCTATAGCAGGCTTGAATTTCTCCTCAGAAAATGGGATTTTCTTTTCTATTGCATTGTTAGGCTGCAAATTTTCAGAACTTTTATATTCTGCTTCCCGTATAAAAGTGATTGCCTTTAACAGCACCCAAGTAACATCTTGAATGCTTTGCTGCTTAGAAATTTCTTCCGCCAGATACCCTAAATCATCTCTCTCAAGTTCAAAGTTCCACAAATCTCTAGGGCAAGGGCAAAATGCCATCAGTCTCTTTGCTAAAACATAACAAGAGTCACCTTTGCTCTAGTTCCCAACAAGTTGTGCATTTCCATCTGAGACCACCTCAGGCTGGATTTCATTGTCTATATTATTATAAGCATTTTGGTCAAAGCCATTCAACAAGTCTCTAGGGAGTTCTAAACTTTCCTACCTTTTCCTGTCTTCTTCTGAGCCCTCCAAACTGTTCCAACCTCTGGCTGCTACCCAGTTTCAAAGTCACTTCCACATTTTCAGGTATCTTTTAGCAGTGTTCCACTCTACTGGTACCAATTTACTGTATTAGTCCATTTTCACACTGCTGATAAAGACGTACCTGAGACTGGGCAATTTACAAAAGAAAGAGATTTATTGGACTTATAGTTCTGCATGGCTGGGGAGGCCTCACAATCATGGCAGAAGGTGAAAGCCATGTCTCACATGGCAGCAGACAAGAGAAGAGAGAGCTTATGCAGGGAAACTACCATTTTTAACACCATCAGATCTTGTGAGACTCATTCACTATCATGAGAACAGTGCAAGAAAGTCCTGTGCCCATAATTTAATCACCCCCCACCAGGTTCCTCCCATGACACATGGGAGCTGTGGGAGTTACAATTCAAGATGAGATTTGTGTGGGGACATGGCCAAACCATATCAATCACTTAGACATTTTATACACAATCATGTACTTGTTAAGAGCATTTACTGTCAGAATGTCAGTGGGCAGGGGAGCTCTATGGTTTGAATGAGTCCTCCAAATTTTATGTATTGGAAACTTAACCCTCAAATTCTTATGCTGATTGAAGGTAGGGCCTTTGGGAGGTAATTAGGATTAAATAAGTTCATCAGGGTGGAGCTCCCCATTATGGACCTAGTGGCTTTATAAGAAGAAGAAGAGGGACCTGAGTTGACACACATGCTCTTGCCCTCTTGTCCTGTGATGTCCTCTGCCATGTTATAATGCAAGTAGAAGGTCCTCACCAGATGCCAGCACTATGCTCTTGGACTTCCCAGCCTCCAGAACTGTAAAAAATAAATTTCTTTTCTTTATAAGTTTTTAAATTACTCAGTCTTGGGTATTCAATTACAGCACAGAAAATAGAATAAGACGGGGAGCAAGATCTAACTCTGTTCTGCCACTTATCTAATACAGGACAGTTTAATATTTCTTATCTTCACTTTTTTCATTTGTAAAGTAAGGTTAATAGTACCTTCATGGTGTCGTGTAAGGGTTATATGGGACAATGAAGGAAAATCTGTGAGCACAGTGTCTGGCACAAATAAGAGTTCAGTTTGTGTTATCTGTCAATTCTCTCCTAATGACTAAGATTCTTAATATTTTGGAATTGTATTCGATGACTCTATATCACATTCATCATTATTTTAAAAGATAGGCAATTTGATCACCTTGAGACTGATTGAGAAGTTCAAGATCATAGAATGCCAAGTGGCAACATTGTATAATAGTTACCAACATGTAATTGGAGTTCTATTGGCCACTTGGGGGAATGGATTTTATAGGTATACTAGAAATGTTAAAGTTTATAGAACAGAATAATTATTGTAATAGTAACCTCAACATCTTGTATTCATATGTATGAGTCTCACTGCTAACTTCTCACCTCCCATTGCTATTAACCAAATGAGTTAAAAGGGATTCTAGTTATAAAAACAAGCTGAGAAATTTCCTAACATAATACATGCTTGTCTTTGGTTTGTTCTTATAATGTCTGAGAATTATTTTCCTTTTTCTTTATTTTTTGAGATGAAGTCTCACTCTGTCGCCCAGGCTGGAGTGTAGTGGCACAGTCTCGGCTCACTGCAACCTCTGCCTCCCAGGTTCAAGCAATTCTCCTGCCTCAACCTCCCGAAGCTGGGACTACAGGCGTGCGCTGCCACGCCTGGCCAATTTTTTGTATTTTAGTAGAGATGGGGTTTCACCATGTTGTCCAGGCTGGTCTCAAACTCCTGAGCTCAGGCAATCCACCCACCTCGGCCTCCCAAAGTGCTAGAATTATAAGTGTGAGCCACCATGCCTGGCCAATGTCTGAGAATTAAAAGAGGTCTTACCAGTATTCATCAAAACTTAGTTTTGGGAAATTTATTCACATTTACCCAAGATTCACTGAAAATACCATATCCCCACAATTTAGTAGATTCTCCCTATCTTTCTTATTCTAAAGACAAAACTTGTCCTGGAGGTCATTTTACTTTTTTTTTTTTTTTTTAACCTAAACAGGAAGCAGCCTTCTAAAATTAGCAGACCTTTTAAAAATTAAGCAGGCTTTTGCCAGGCTCACATTGCGTGTGTGTGTGTGTGTGTGTGTGTGTGTGTGTGTGTGTGTGTGTCTTTATTTCTGTATGTGTGCATGTATTCATATATGAATGTATGTATCTCTGTGTATCTTTTTGTGTGTTTCTGAATCTGTATTTTTTTCAGTCATCTTATGGCTGAGAAAAGGCACTAAGAAAAAAAGGTCTGAGAAGTCCATTCATCACTGGGATCTGCCTCTCTGCCTGACTAGTGGCTCCCCACAGAGTCTTAACAAGGTGCTGCTGAACCAAAGCTCTTCTCCCCCACCCCAAACCAATACTGAAAACACTATAATATGAGGCTGTTCTATCGTCTTCATTCCCAGGCTCTGCAGGACCTCCCCTCCCCCATTCATCTCTAGGCCCATCAGGGATGTGGGCAAAGGAAGCATTAAAATGGATAGATTGAGAGCCTTGTGAACACATCTATCTTCATACGTGTTGAATATTATGTCAATTATTCATCATTCACAGATATCATTGCAGGGAAAAATCACATTAAGAGGAGCCAGGAAAACTAAAGGTTATAAATTCCAATCCAGCATAGTCCCTAGTGGCTCTGGAATTCGGTGCCAGTTCCTCTGTGGTGATCTCATTGGAATGCAAGAGTCCCAGACCTTCTCTTAGGGATGTTTTTTCCCCAGCCTTACCCCCCATCAAGCATAGAGGTGGAAAAGAGTGAAATAAATCTGTAAACACAGTACTTCTAAGTTTCTTCTTAATTCTGACATCAACTTGAGTTTGATATGTGTGAAAAATATATTTTTCTCTCAGTTGACTCCTCAATGAAGTATTTTTTACAGCCCTAGATTATAATAAAAGTGGGCAATTGAGATGGCAAGAGGCACAAGATGAATATTAGAATGGTTGGCAGACAGATTCTAATATTCTGAATCTGGTGGGAGGGCACAGATTCTACCCTAGGCAGTGACTCAAGCTCTCCAAGCCTGACTTTCTTCATTTTGTGATTTAGGGATTATTCTGACTTCAGTGGCAAGTTGTGAAGAGTGAATTTGATAATCTAGATTGCATAACTCTGAGTCCCCTAACCTCATAAAGCTGCCTATTTTTTAATGCCACAGTTTGTGGGAGGGACACTGAACTGTTCTTCAGAGTTTCTGAGGATTCCTGGGTGAGGGGTGTGTGTCTCTGGAGGGCTCTGTGCTGTAGATGGTTCTCCTGGAGGCCTGGTCTGGCAGATACTGCTCCGCCTCCCTGTCTCCCTTCCTCCCACTAGATGTGACCCCTTTACTCCATTTGCTCAAAGAAGCACTAACCCAGGAACCATCTAACCATCTATTCACTCAGTAGATACTCCTTGAACTCCTACTATGTGCTATGGAGGAGCAGTTGTGAACCAGAGGGAAGCCCCTGCTCTCGTGAAGCCTGCATTCCAGTGGGAATGATGAAACGCAGGCACACGGGACATTTCAGGTACCGGTGGGTGCTGTGAGGGTGATGATGCCATGGAAGATGGGTAGGATGGGTGGTCAGGGAGGGCCCTTCCGAGGATATGACAGTGAAGGTAAAGAAAGAGCCAGTCACGTGAAGATCTGGGGAAAGAGTGTTCCAGGCAAGGGAGCTGTGAGTTCAAGCGTGGTAGGATAAAGAGACCGGGTCATTCAACAAACATGAAAGGAGAGAGTGTGGCAGGAAAGCGTGGTGTGAGATGATTAGAGAAGTGTGCAGTCCAGAGCTAAGAGTTCATAATAAGAAATTTGGATTGTATTCTAAGTACAGCTGGAGGATTTTATGTGGATGCTTGACATATTTTGGTTTATGGTGGTGGTGGGAAGGTCACTCTAGTTGCTGTGTGTGGACTAGGTTGTAGTTGTGGGGAGGAATGGGAGCGGGAAGGGCAGTTGGAGGCTTCTGCAGTGGTTAAGGTGAGAGATGACGGTGGCTTGGACCAGTGTAGTTATCAGTGGCATGATGGCAATAAATAGATGGGGTCACGAGTTTTTCTGGAGGCTCTGGAATTTGGTGGCCAGGTCTTATGTGTACAGAGAGAATCCGCCCATGGATTCAGTGTGGGCAAGAATGGAGTGAGGGAAACTGAGGATGGCTCCTAGGTGTTTTATGGGTTTTAGGTTTTGGCTACCCTCAAATCTAGAAAAATTTGGCAATTTCGGCTCACATAATATATCAGCCTTTTTCTGCCTTGAGGATTTTCTCATTAGCTATGTCTCTCCATGAGCCTCTCATCTTTTCTATGCTCTGGGCTTTCTCTTCTTATGTTCTCTGTTTTGTGGGCTGAATATTTTTGAGCAGGGATGGCATTATTTAGAGCTTTTTATTGGTAGCCTACTGAGTGCTCAAACCTGTGCTAGTCCCTATAGGGAATATGGAAAGACTTCTTGGAGCCATTATTATGCTAGTGTCCATTGTGATGCTCCTGGCAAGGGCATTCTCCTATTCCTATGACCACAGAGCTTCCCCTTCCCCTTTGCCCTGAAGATTCTCTCATGGGACTAGTGTTTCATTGAATAACATGTTGGTTATGTGTAGCATGCTGGTTACGTGTAGCATGCTGGTTATGTGTAGCATGCTGGTTATGTGTGGCATGCTGGTTACGTGTAGTGTGCTGGTTACGCGTAGCATCCTGGTTATGTGAGGCATGCTGGTTAGGAGCTCTAGGCTCAGGATCTTGATTCTGCCCTCTTTGGTTGCATGAGCTGTGCAAGCTGCTTAACATCTTTCAGGCTAACTTTCTATATTTGTAAAATGGGAAACAGACTTCTTAGGAAGATTTTAAGAGATGTCTTACAGGACCTGGCAGATATATGCTCAATAAAAAGTAAACTAGCTGGTGTTGCTGCTGTTGCTCTTACTGTTGTTTTTATTGACTTGAATAAAGGAATCTTGCACCTGTCAAAATGAAACACTACATAGTAGGTCCTGATATTTTGCCATACTCAGCTGGTGATAAGAATCAGAGAAGCCAGCCATTTGAATAACTATGATTTATTGAATTCTTACCATGTTCTAAGTTCTTTATGTATACTGTTTCGTTTAATCTTCACAACAATTCTAGGAGTCAGGTTCAATTGTTATTGCCATTTGATAGATGATGAGGGCAATGAGTCTTAGAGAGGTTAAATAATTTGCTAAAGGCCACACAGCCTGTAAAGTGGCAGAAGCTGGGACCATCCAACTCTAAAGCCCACATTCTTAGACATTAGGGGATATTGAATGAAGTGTGTGTATGTATGGGGGAATTTAAGAGAATATCAAACCATTTGTAGAGTTCTACCCAATATAGAGACCTTATCTAATGTAAGAGAACTCTGAAGACATCTCATTGATTGAATGCTCTCCCCTTCATAGCAACTTCTTCTGCGGCTTCCTTGCCTGGTGCTCCAGTCTTTGAGGTATGCTTGATGGTTCTGAATTCAGATTTGAATCATGTGTCTGCCTGGTTTTTGTACCCTTGGACAGCAAACTTAATCGCCAAGGCTCAGTTTTCTTCCCTTTTTTTTTTTAAAGTGGTTATAATGGTATCTATGCCACAGGCTTGTGGTAAAACTTAGTCTGATGAGATCTGATACATGCTGATGTTTATTGGGCACTTAATATTATTATTAGTGAAACCTGGCTAAATATAACTCTTTGATGAATGTATGTAATTTCAGGGAGTTAGTTTTACTAAAGTACTTGAAAATGTTAATTGATCTAGGATACTTTTATTTCATAGACAACGTATAGGTAAAGTCAATAACAGTTATTTTAGATTTTGTGAATTCTAGGGTAGTAGCATTAGAATGGAAGTTTTATTTCTTTTAATTGGACTACAGCCACCATTCCATAAATCTACTGCACACCTTAAGTCACCCAGTGCTCTTGCATTCATCTTTGTTCATTGCTTGGATGTCAAGCAGTCTGCCTGGAGCTGCTTATAGAGGCCTAAATTTAGAATCTGCCTACCTATAAATAAGGTCCAGAAAGATAGATGACTTCGGTCACCTGAAACTGTTATTAGAAAACACATAGACTAACCTATCAAGGGAATGAGAGGGAGGACAAGAGAGGTAGGCCTAGGGAGAGGGAGGACAGAGCTTAAAAGGAGGGGTTGTGATGGATTGTTTAGCACCTGTAAACAAAGAACTGTGCCTGGGGCTCTCCTGGCTGTTGGAAATCCAGCCCAAATGTTCAATGACTCACTCAATCGTTGTTCAGCTTGTTTAAGTCCATGCCATTTGTACATATGATGGGATTTTATGAGACATTTTACAACAATTCCCCACCAGTGTTTGGGGAAATCATGTCATAAGATTCAACCTTCTTTCTTTTTCCATTCTGAGATGGTTTCTCCTAAAATAGCTTTTATGTGCCCTGAGCAGTTGGCTACTCTGTTTCTACTAAGAAATACAGGCTGGCCTCACTGAGCAGGAGGCCCTTGCATTTGATTTTCAGAAGAGCACATGTATTTGAAAGGATTTCATTGTCCTTTGTGCCAGGAAGCAACAATGTCTGAGTCAGACTCTTCTGGGTGACCAAAAGAAAGACTCACCTTATTGTTTTGTTATTCTTTATAGGTGGTTAAGGGTATAAGCTTTGTAGTAAGATGCATTTGGATTCATGCTCTGCCTTCATGTCTCCCCAGCTCTTATCTTGGGCAAGTTAGAAACCTCTTGGAACTTATTTGTCCATCTAAAAAATGGGGATGATAACGTCATCTCATAGGTTTGTTGTGAGGGTATTTAAAATACTTAGCAGTGCCTGGCACAGAGTTAACCCCTTAATAAATGGTATTGATTATAAGTATGAGGCTGTCTTCTCTGCCTCACCTTTCTCCTTGTCTTATCTAGTAGTTTTGAGTGGCTGGTCTGTGTTTCCTTGTCATATATGATTTACTTCCTTGCATGTATCACTCTCTGAAACTATCTTATTTAAAATGTTTGTTGTTTCTCCCCTCCCACTATGATACAAGCATCATATGGCAAGCCTTTGTGCATCTGCTCATACTTGCCCACTCAGGGAGAGCACTGAGTATGCTCTCCATACATAATTATTGACTAACTCCCTTATCTGTTTCAGTAACTTTTCTTTCTTCTCCATGATTCCAATATTAAAAAAACCTTTTATTTTAGAATTGAGGGTCTAGACAAGGATGAGAATGAAAAGGTAATCATTGTTTTGGATTGGTTTGAGGTGGAATCTCAGTTTAGAAGAACTTCTTGGGGAAACTAGGATGAAGACCAGTGGGGCTTTCCCCTCCGCCCCTGTCAGAGATTGGTGTAAGTATATTCATTAGGACTCTAGTTTCAAGGCCCATAAAATTCACTGAGCAAACTTAAGCAAAAAAAGAGGTGTTCATTGTAAGGACTCAGGAATGTTTTTAGGAACTGAAGGGAATGGATGTCATCAGGCCCCAGGAATGGGTTGGAAATAGGAATTCTTTCACAAACATCTGTTTCTGCCTTTTCGCTCTGCAGATCCACTTTTGCCTCTCTAAAATCCAGCATTTTTCAAACTATCTGTGCTAACACACAGTAAAAATGAGTTATACTAAAATGAAATAAAATAAGTCCTGATTTTTTTATTATTAGATTCCACAGACATAAAATTATTCTGTTGAAGTGCTATAAAGGTTCCTAAGTGCTTCCTTACTCTCAGTATCTGTCCTTAATTCCTCGTGGACTGGTAACAGATGGCTTGTAAGCAGGCATGACTGCAGTTTACGCAGCAAATGTGGATCACTTACCCCTCATGCTCAGATCCGCACCCCTCCACAAGAAACCAGACCAAACTGAACAGTGATCTTTTAGCCTGCAAGTGTGATTCAGGCTTTGCTCAACGGTCTTTCATAATACTCTTGTCTATGCAGCTATGGCCACTAGGTGGGGGCAAAGAATAAAAACATGGCAGCCAGGGGTGTGTCCTTGTTGGGGCGGGGGAAACACTGTTAAGGGGTGAGCCGAGTGAACACCGGAAAATGGGTCTACGTAGGGAGGTTTTCAGCACTACTGATTCTATTTCTTCTGAAAACATGTCATTAAAAGACTTGTGATGCCTGGTGCAGGGGTACACTAATGGAAAGGCTTTGGTTTAAGAGACTTAGGCCAATTCAAGTCCAGCTTAAAAATGCAGAAAGTTACTGTGATATGGTAATTGCATGGATGAACTGTAAGCCATTAGAGATGAGTGATCAAGAGTGTGGACTTCAAACTGGGCATGGTGACTCACACCTGTAATCCCAGCACTTTGGGAGGCTGAGGCAGGCAGGTCACCTGAGGTCAGGAGTTTGGGACCAGCCTGGTCAACAAGGCAAAACCCTGTCTCTACTAAAAATACAAAAATTAGTTGGGCATGGTGGCGCACACCTGTAATCTCAGCTACTTAGGAGGCTGAGGCAGGAGAATCGCTTGAACCTGAGAGGTGGAGGTTGCAGTTAGCTGAGATTGTGCCACTGTACTCCAGTCTGGGCCACAGAGTGAGACTCCATCTGAAAAAATAAGTGTGGAACTTCAGGTTGGAATCTTTTCTCTCTATTTGTGTGTCCTTAGGCAAGACATTGGCTTCTCTGAGCATCAGTTCCCTTAGCTTCAAAATGAGCATAATCATTTCTTAGAGTTTTGGTAACTCACTCAGCAACTATTTTGTGGAGCACTCAGTAGCATCCAGATACTGGGCTAACACTGAGGGTGCAGTAGTGAACAAGAGAGAAATAGTTTTGCCTCTCCTCGGACCACAGGACATTATAGCAGAGCAAGCTTTGAATAATAATAATAATGACAGTAATAAAGTACTGTGATCAAACATAAGATATGGTCAAGCACAAGTGTCAAAGCTCATATGTCAAATCTTTTAGCAATCCTGATTCTGATTTAACTAATATCTGAATAATATTTACTATTTAGAGTTCGTAATCCTCTGAAGCCAGCTTTGTCCACATGTCATTAGAATTTTGCTTATGGATTTGTTTCCTTCCTCAGTTTTCCTATGTATTCTTTATGTGTAATCAAATGCATCATTTACTTTTTCTTTTTTTGAGACAGAGCATTGCTTTGTCACCCAGGTTGGAGTGCAGTGGCACAATCTCAGCTCAGTGCAACCTCCACCTCCTGGGTTCAAGCGATTCTCCTGCCTCAGCCTCCTGAGTAGCTGGGATTAGAGACATGAGCCACCACGCCCAGCTAATTTTTGTGTTTTTAGTAGAGATGGGATTTCACCATGTTGTCCAGGCGGGTCTCCAACTCCTGACCTCAAGTGAGCTGCCTGCCTCGGTCTCCCAAAGTGCTAGGATTACAGGTGTGAGCTACCGCGCCTGGCCCATTTACTTTTTCCAGAAGGTTTTAAATCAAGAAGGTGAAGAAAAAGCCTCTACTGAGAGATAATAAGGCCAAATTTATCCATTTGTTTGTTTGTCCGTTTGGTGTTTATGGAATATCTTTTGGTTGTTTGGCACTGAGGACATGGAGGTAAAATGACCACTTTTCAGTAGGAGGACAAATATTTAAATATGTAGGTGTCAATATTGTGGGGTTAGGCATTATAATAGAAATTATGATAGGTAAAATTCTTTTGTGTGTGTGTCTTTTTTTTTTTTTGTAGAGAAAGGGTCTTCTTGCTGTGTTGCCCAGGCTGGTCTCCTGGCCTCAAGTGATCCACCTGCCTTGGCCTCCCAAAGTGCTGGAGTTACAGGTGTGAGCCACTGCACCTGGCCGTGGGAGGCAAAATTCTGAGATGGCTCCCAGATTTCCTGGTGCCTTGGTGTATGCCCTCCCCTCTGCATCTGCATTCCCTTCCTCTTGAGTGTGGGTGGGACCTGTGAACATGATGGGATATTACTTCTGTGTTTAGGGTACTAACCAGTTGACTTTGAGTTAACAAAAAATGGCATTATTCTGGATGAACCAGACCTAATCAAGTGAGCCCTTAAAAGGGACTGAGCCCTTCCTGAAGTCAAAAGGGAGTCAAAGTGTGAGAGAGAAACTTTCCTGTTGACCTGGAAGATACAGACTTCATGAGCTCTATAAGTGCAAGAAAATGGGTTATCAAGTTCCATGTTAGCTTGGAAGAAGACCCCAGATCTAGCAACCTTGTGAGCAGAGGACTTAGCTAATCTTTACTCAGACTCCTGACCCAGGGAAACTGTGAGATAATAAGTCTGTGTTGTTTAAAGCCACTAAATTTGCAGTAATTTGTTACATGGCATAGAAAATGAATACAGAGGTATATATAGATAGCCATGACAGAATGACCTTTCTTAATTGTGCAAACAGATCTCTGCTGGACTATGTGGGACTGTGAATCAAACTGAAACTTCTGGATGCAGGTGGATTGTGAAATTTGTGAAGTATGAACTGTTGGTAGATTAAGGTCAATGGCAAAGAAACCAAGCATTTGAAGACTATTTCACGGATTATATATTTGTATTGTTTTAATTACATTAATATTTAATAATTTTATATGCTCCATATAGTGCCGGGTGGGGGTAAAGGGAAACAATGCAAAGATGTGTAACACAGACCTTGCCCTGAAGAAACTTGTTCTTTATTCAAGGAGACAGTTGTGTCAGCTGGCTACATTACAATAACTCCAAATGGAGATCTAAACAATTTACTGGGAAAGTATAATTCAGTCTGAAATGAGTTAGAAAAGCCTCCATTTGTTGCATTTGAACTAGGGCTTGAAGGATGTCCCCACTGATGCTGCTGGTTGCCTTTCTAAAAGCCATTTTCTGCTTCTTTCCTGGAAGAACTCTGATGTTTCTGGGGTTGGGGGTGGGGTGGCGGAATCTGTGTTTCTCCAGCATGACTCAAAGATTGATCCTGTTTGGCCTAAACCATGGGGTGGCTGACTGGGCCAAGCAGTCTGCCACGTGTTTTTGCAAATGAATTTTATTGGAACAAGTCACCCAGTGGTTTATGTATTATTGATGGCTATTTTCGTGCTACACAGGGAGAGTTAAGCAGTTGTGGCAGAGCCCATATGGCCCACACAAACTAAAATATTTACCATCTAGCCTTTTACAGGAAAAGTTTTTTGACCTCTGGTGATATGGTTAGGCTTTGTGTCCCTACCCAAATCTCATCTTGAATTGTAATCCCCAGGTGTTGAGGGATTACACCCTTGTGGGAGATGATTGGATCATGGGGGTGGTTCCCCTCATGCTGTTCTCATGATAGTGAGTGAGTTCTCATGAGATCTGATAGTTTTATAAGGCAGTTTTCCCTGCTCTTTCCCATGTGCTCACATTCTCTCTCACCTGCCTTCATTGAAGTGAGATGTGCTTGTTTCCCCTTCCACCATGATTGTAAGTTTCCTGAGGGCCTCCCTAGCCATGCAGAACTGTGAGTCAGTCAAACCTCTTTTCTTTATAAATTACCCAGTCTTGGGCAGTTCTTTATAGCAGCATGAGAACAGACTAATACACCTGGTCTAAGTCATCATGATAATTTCAATCCTCTTTTCAGTGCCTGATTTAGGAGTGGGAATGCAACACAAATTGGCCAAGGAAATAGGATGGGATCGTTGCTGGGTTTTTTTTAATAGACAAAAAGAGGCTTTCAAGAAGTTCCTGCTTCTCCTGCTAGATGTGTTTTTGACTGGATGTGATATTTCAAACTGCTAAAGCCTTTGTGACCTTAATGAGAATTAGCCTGAGAACAAGAGCATGTACTGAGGATATCAGATTGATACCTTGAAAATAACTTTTGTCTCTGACAGTGTCTTTGAGTTGCCAAATTAGCCATCTCTGGAGCCATCTTATCTCCAGACTTTTTATTCTGTGGTGTAATAATTTTCAGTATTGTGCAAGCCAGTGGAGTCAGGGTCTTCTTTATTTTTTAATTTTTTTAAGGGTCTTCTTACTTGCAGTCAGGATCAGTCATAGTGATTCTGATTTCATTGATTTCAGTAAATGGGGAAGGAGGAAAGGATGCTACAAGTTTAAGAAACAGCATGAGCAAAGTCCTAAAGCATAAATGAATATAGCTTGGCTGGGTATAGCAAGTATTTGCAGGACAGGTAACAGGGCATGTGGGGGGAAACAATGGGAAACTTGGAATCAGACTGTAAGAGAGCTAGAATGTGAGACTAAAGATTTTAAGATTTTGGAAATTTATGAGCAATAAGGTGTCATTGGAGCTTTTTGAGGAAGAAAGTAACCTTTTTCAACTCATATTTAGGAAAGTAACTGTAGATGCAGTGTAAAGGAGTGGTCCCCAACCTTTTTGGTACTAGGGTTCAGTTTCGTGGAAGATTATTTTTCCATGCGAATTGCGTGGGGCAATGGTTTCAGGATGAAACTGTTCCAACTCAGATCATCAGGCATTAGATTCTCATAAGGAACATGCAACCTAGATCCCTCGCATGCACAGTTCACAATCTTACTCCTATGAGAATCTGATGCCTCTGCTGATCTGATAGGAGGTGGAGTGCAGGCGGTAATGCTTGCTTGCCCACTGCTCACCTCCTGCTGTGTGGCCTGATTCCTAATAGGCCACAGACCAGTACTGGTCCATGGCCCAGAGGCTTGGGGACCCATGGTGTAAAGAATGGATCAGAGTGGTATAAAGTATAGGTTAGTGAAGATAGGCTTCCTTTTGCTTCACTGAATACCACTAGCCTAGAGCAAGACCTCTAGCTAGAGTAAGTCATTAGCCAGAGTGTGGTCCCTAAAACAACCGTATCAGAATCACCTGGGAACTAGTTAGAAATCCAAATTATCAGGTTCCACCCCAGAACTAGTGAATCAGAAACTCTGGAAGTGGGACCAACCAATCTTTTATCAAGCCGTCTAGGTGATTCCAACACACACTCAAGTTAGAAAACCACTGCTCCAGGCAGTTCATAGACAGCTGTAGAATAACTAGGGAGGCTTTCTTAACAAAGCGATGGCATCTCTATTTATCTCAGAGGAAGGTACAGAGTAGTTTTTCAGGGAAGTTGTAATAGTATTTGTACCATGTGGGTTAAGAATTGGGGAAGTATGGAATATTGCTAGCAATACACTAATTATATTTTTGAAGAAAAAAGAAAGTATTCCTGTCTTGTGCTGGCTTTAAAGGGGGAATGCTTCCAGCTTTTGCCCATTCATTATGATATTGGCTGTGGATTTGTCATAAATGGCTCTCATTATTATGAGGTATGTTCCTTCAATACCTAGTTTATTAAGAGTGTTTAACATGAAGGGATGTTGAATTTTATAGAAGGCCTTTTCTGCGTTTATTGAGATAAGCATGTGGTTTTTGTCCTTAGTTCTGTTTATGTGATTAATTATGTTTATTGACTTGCATATATTGAATCAGTCTTGCATCCCAAGGATGAAGCCAACTCGATCATGGTGGATAAGCTTTTTTATGTGCTGCTGGATTCGGTTTGCCAGTATTTTATTTAGGATTTTTGCATCGATGTTCATCAGGGATATTGGTCTGAAGTTCTCTTTTTTGTTGTTGTTGTATCTCTGCCAGGTTTGAATATCAGGATGATGCAGGCCTCATAAAATGACTTAGGGAGGACTCCTTCCTTTTCAATTTTTTGGAATAGTTTCAGAAGAAATGGTACCAGCTCCTCTTTGTACCTTTGATAGAATTCAGCTGTAAATCCATCTGGTCCTGGGCTTTCTTTGGTTGGTAGGCTATTTATTACTGCCTCAATTTCAGAACTTATTATTGGTCTATTCAGGGATTCAACTTCTTCCTGGTTCAGTCTTGGGAGGGTGTATGTGTCTAGTAATTTATCCATTTCTTTTAGATTTTGTAGTTTATTTGCACAGGTGTGTTTATAGAATTCTCTGATGGTGGTTTATATTTCTGTGGGTTCAGTGGTGATATCCTCTTTATCATTTTTTGTGTCTATTTGATTCTTCTCTATTAATCTAGCCAGAAGTCTATATATTTTATTAATTTTTTCAAAAACCCAACTCCTGGATTTATTGAGTTTTTGAAGGTTTTTTTGTGTCCCTATCTCCTTCAGTTCTGCTCTGATCCTGGTTATTTCTTGTCTTCTGCGAGCTTTGAAATTTGTTTGCTCTTGGTTCTCTAGTTCTTTGAGTTGTGATGTTAGGACGTCGATTTGAGATCTTTCTAGCTTTTTAATGTGGGCATTTAGTGCTAGAATTTTCCCTCTTAACACTGCTTTAACTGTGTCCCAGAGATTCTGGAATGCTTTCACACTGTTGTTGGGAATGTAAATTAGCTCAACTATTGTGGAAGACAATGTGATTCCTCAAAGACCTGGAACCAGAAATACCATTTGACCCAGCAATCCCATTACTGGGTATATACCCAAAGGAATATAAATAATTATATTATAAAGATATGTGCACATGTATGTTCATTGCTGCACTGTTCACAATAGCAAGGACATGGAATCAACCCAAATGCCCATCAATGATAGACTGGATAAAGAATATGTGGTACATATACACCATGAAATACTATGCAGCTATAAAAAGGAATGAGATCATGTCCTTTGCAGGGACATGGATAAAGCTGGAAGCCATTATTCTCGGCAAACTAACACAGGAACAGAAAACCAAGCACCATTTTTCTCGTTTGTAAGTGGGAGCTGAACAATAAGAACACATGGATACAGGGAGGGGAACAACACACACTGGGGCCTGTTGAGGGTGGGTGAGGAAGAGCATCAGAAAAAATAGCTAATGCATGCTGGGCTTGATACTTAGGTGATGGGTTGATAGGTGCAGCAAACCACATTGGCACATACTTACCTATGTAACAAACATGCACATCCTGCGCATGTACCCCAGAGCTTAAACAAAACAAAAAACCTTCACATTAACACCTGCGGAGTACTGGCTGATGACTTGGCTTTAAGTCTATTAATAGCTGGCCTTGTCATCTAAGTTGAAAGGGCTTACAAAAATCTGAACCCCTTTGAAATAAATAAGGTGAATGAGGGTCAAAAAGAAAAAGAAAAAACAAAGTATTAAGGTTACTGGCTCATTTGTATTCTGAATTTAAAAGCCCCTTATTTTATGAATGTAAAACACATCAAGTTAATTATTCCCTTGTTTTTCCACTGTAGATTAATGACGTTACATACATCAGTGACACTGTACATTTTAAAGTCTATTAATTTTATCACTTCTTGGGTCAGAGGAGAAACTTGTTCTTTAGCAGCCTCTGCTGACCTCTTTCAGGAAAATATTTATTGAGCACCTTCTTGAAGAAAGTCAGTTTGTAAAGATAAAAGAACTGTAGAGTGCTCCTGATATGGTTTGGCTGTGTCCTCATCCAGATCTCATCTTGAATTGTAATTCCCATAATCCTCACATGTCATGGGAGGGACCTGGTAGGAGATAATCGAATCATGGGGGCAGTTTCCCCCCATGCTGTTCTCGTGATAGTGAGCAAGTTCTCATGAGAGCTGGTGGTTTTATAAGGGGCTTCCCTCTTCGTTAGGCATTCATTCTGTCTCCTGTCACCCTCTAGAGAGGTGCCTTGCACCATGATTATAAGTTTCCTGAGGCCTCCCCAGCCATGCAGAACCATGAGTCAATTAAACCTCTCTACTTTCTAAACTACCCAGTCTTGGGTATTTCTTCATAGCAGCATGAGAATAAACTAATACAGCTCCCAAGTTTTTCTGCAAAGTATATGGGTTTGAAATAGAATGGAGTTTCACAAGTGAGGAGTTAGAAAAAGAGACCACACACCTAAGAATGTCTGTTTTTTTTGGAAAATTTTTATCTATTACAAAATATACTAGGAGGATGTTTACAAAGCTCATTAATATTACTGGAGATCAACTTTTAGAATTCTTGAACTAAAGCAGGGATAGAGAAGTTTCATTTCATATGCTGACTTTGATTGAACAGTAAAGATTGCTTAGAGTCCTGTTTTTGGGGAAAAACATGTCTGAGGCCCTCTCTGGGCTCAATGAGTGAGAATTCTGTGATTGATTGATTTCTGTGATGGGTGCTGAAATGAGAGAAGTTACGTTATAAGCATTAGGTGAATTGTCATCCCTGCCTTGATTTCCCTCATTTAGTCAGATGGGATGACTTTAGTTATAAGACAGAAAATCAACTCAGACTAATTTAAGCATAAAAGGAAATTTATTATCTCAGGTAACTAAATAGGCTGGGCTAACGGCTTTTAGCTCATTTTGATCTGGGAGTCAAATGACACGGGACTGGGTTTCTGTCTCTTGGCACCTTTGATAATGATCATGATGATAATGGTAATAACAGCTAACACATATAGTACTTCAATGTTTCAGATGCTTTTTATAAGCACATTACATTTACTAATTCACTTAACCCTCAAAATGAGTCT
This sequence comes from Homo sapiens, assembly GCF_000001405.40. NCBI lineage: Eukaryota > Metazoa > Chordata > Mammalia > Primates > Hominidae > Homo > Homo sapiens. The sequence continues at coordinate 146,574,350 of NC_000005.10, forward strand.
ATGAGGAGGTGGTAGTATTATCACTTGCATTTACAGTGGGGAAAGTGAAGCATAGAGAGATTAAGTAACTTGTTCAGGAGTGTGCAAATGATGGACTCAGGATTAGTATCCATGTAGTCTGTTTCTAAAGCCCATGTTCTAAACCAGGCTTAGGCAAACTATGTCCTGTGTGCCAAATCCTACCTGTGCCCATTCTTGTAAAAAAATTATTTTAAGTAACTTTAAAATAAATGTATTTGTTTGGAACACAGTCACACTCATGTATAGATTGTCAGTAGATGATTTCATACTGCAATGAGAGTTGAGCAGTCACAACAGAGACTGTATGGCCTGCTATATTATTCCGTTCTCAGACTGTAATAAAGAACTACCTGAGACTGGGTAATTTATGAAGAAAGAGCTTTAATTGACTCACAGTTCTGCAGGCTGTACAGGAAGCATGGCTGGAGGCCTCAGGTAACTTACAATTATGGTGGCAGGTAAAGGGAAAGTAAACACAACCTACTGTGGTGAAGCAGGAGAGAGAGCAAGCAAAACGGGAAGTACTACACACTTTCAAACTGCCAGATCTTATGAGAACTCACTATCATGAAAACAGGAAGGGGGAAATCTACCACCATGATCCAATCACCTCCCACCAAGTCCCTCCCCCAACATTGGGAATTACAATTCAACATGGGATTTGGGTGGGGACATAGAGCCAAACCATATCATACCACCCCCTGGTCCCTCCCAAATCTCATGTTCTTTTCATGTTTCATAGCACAATCATGCCTTCCCAACAGTCCCCCAAAGTCTTAACTTATTCCAGCATTAACTCAAAAGTCCAAGTCCTAAGTCTCATCTGAGATGAAACGAGTCCCTTCTGCCTATGAGCCTGTAAAATAAAAAATAAGTTTGTTACTTCCAAGATACAATGGGGTTACAGGCATTGGGTAAATGCCCCCATTCAAAAAGGGAGAAATTGGCTAAAATGAAGGGGCTACAGGCCCCATGCAAGTCTGAAATCCAGCAGGGCAGACATTAAATCTTAAAGCTTCAAAATAATCTCTTTTGACTCCATGTCTCACATCCAGGCCACACTGATGCAAGGGGTGGGCTCCTAAGGCCTTGGGAAGCTCTGCCTCTGTTGCTCCACAGGGGAAAGCCCCCACTGCTGCTTTCTTGGGCTAGCATTGAGTGCCTGCAGCTTTTCCAGGCACATGGTGCAAGCTGTTGGTGGATTTACCATTCTAGGCTCTAGAAGACCATGGCCCTCTTCTCACAGCTCCACTAGGCAGTGCCCCAGTGGGGACTCTGTGTGGGGGCTCTGACCCCACATTTACCCTCTATACTTCCCTAGTAGAGGTTCTCCATGAGGGCTCTGCCCCTGTAGCAGACTTCTGCCTGGACATCCAGGCATTTCCATACATCCCCTGAAATCTAGGTGGAAGCTCCCAAACCTCAACTGTTGCCTTCTGCACACCTGCAGGCCCAAGACCACATAGAAGCCACCAAGGCTTGGGTCTTGCACCCTCTGAAACAATGGTCAGAGGTGTACTTTGGCCCCATTTGCCATGGCTGGAGCTGGAGTGATGGGATGCAGGGCACCACATTCCAAGGCTGCACATAGCAGCAGGGCTGTGGTTCTGGCCCAGAAAACCATTTTTCCCTCCTAGGTCTCCAGGCCTGTGGTGGGAGGGCCTGCCGTGAAGGTCTCTGAAATGCCTTGGAAGCATTTTCCCTATTGTCTTGGATATTAACATTTGGCTCTTCTTTACACATATTTATGCAGCCTTAAATTCCTCCCCAGAAAATGGGTTTCTCTTTTCTGTTGCATGGTCAGGCTGCAAAATTTCCAAACTTTTATGCTCTGCTTTCCTTTTAAATGTAAGTTCTATTTTCAGGTCATTTCTTTGTTTATGCAAATGGGCATAGGCTTTTAGAAGCATCCAGGCCACATCCTGAACACTTTGCTGTTTAGAAATTTCTTCTGCCAGATACCCTAAATAATCTCTCTCAAGTTCAAAATTCCACAGATCTCTAGAGCAGGGGCCCAATGCCACCATTCTTTTTGCTAAAGCATAGTAAGAGTGACCCTTACTTCAGTTACCAATAAGTTCCTCATCTCCATCTGAGATCACCTCAGCCTGGGCTTTACTGTCTGTGTCACAATCAGCATTTTGGTCACAGCCATTTAACAAGTCTCTAGGAAGTTCCAAACTCTTCCTCAACTTCCTGTTGTCTTCTGAGCTCTCCAAACTCTACTAACTCCTGCCCATTACCCAGTTCCAAAGTCGGTTCCACATTTTCAGGTATCTGTATAGCAGTGCCCCACTTCTCTGGTACGAATTTTCTGTATTAGTCTGTTATTACACTGCTACAAAGAACTACCTGAGACTGGTTAATTTATGAAGAAAAGAGGTTTAATTGACCCACAGTTCTGCAGGCTGTACAGAAAGCATGACTGGGAAGTGAAGGGGAAGCAGCATGTCTTACATGACCAGAGAATAAGGAAGAGAGAACGAAGGGGGAGGTATACCACACTTTCAAATAACCAGATCTCCTGAGAACTCACTATCACAAGAACAGCAAGGGAGAAATTAGCTCCCATGATCCAATCACTTCCCACCAGGTCCCTCCCCAACATTGGGAATCACAATTCGACATGAGATTTGGTTGGCGACACACAGCAAACCATATCACCTGCTAAGCTTAAAATATTTACTATCTGACCCTTTATAAGAAGAATTTACCAACCTTTGCTCTAAACAACTGTGCCATATTGGATTCTACCATTCCTAGGCTTCATATGGTGGCAAGATGGCTGCAGCTGCTCCTACTCCTAATCCTTTTTTTTTCACCTTCATAAAGAACATATCTAGTTCCCTGATTCCTCAAATGAAGCCCTAGAATTGAGTCTTGCTTGCCCTGATTGGCCTGATTTTGGTCATCACTAAACTGCCCAGCCCCACTGCTCCATCCCTGAAACTAGGAATGAAGTCAGCTTCATTCACCGTATATGGCTGGAGGTCAAGAAAGAGTATTCCATCCTAAGATGACATCTAGAGAGTTTACTGTGGGAAAAACATCAGAATTCTGGGTAGTAAAAACAAATATTGATTGTATTAATAATGGCCTATTTAGTGCATTTGCTTATTTAATTACATGAATGTAAATATTTGATGTAAATGGAAAAATTGGATGGAAATATTTCAGTAATGTGCCCAGATAGCTATGCAGGAAGGCAACTTTTCTACCCCCATCTCTCATGAGAGGCCAGTTGCTAATTAGTGGCTATTCTTTCTAAGGATTGTCCCAAAAAGATCACTGAAAGTGGGAGAGTGAGGAAGAATTCTGAAAGGAGAGAAGTTAAACCTATCCCCAACTGCTAACTTGAGCACTGCTTCCCTTTCAGTCAAAGCTGCTGCAACCTTTGTAACTTTCCTTTATCCTGTTACGTATGCATTTCTTGGTTCCTTGCCTTGTCTAGCTGCAAATATGGCACTAACTTAATATGTTTTTCATGACTCATAGTTGTCATAAATATACTGTCCTTGGTTGTGGTGCAGTGAGGCGTTTCAGGGCTCATGACATGCATTTGGGACTGTTTTCCCCAAAAATCCTAACTTATGTTGTTAGGGTGTTTGGTCCCTGTGTTAGCCTTTTAAATATCTTTTTATGAAGTATAATACACAAACAGAAAATCACAAAGAACAAATCTAGAACTTAATGAATTATCATAAAGGGAAAGTCCTTTAAAATGGTAAATTTGTAGTGTGTCAGCCTCCCTGAAGCCCCTCTGAATCCCTCCACCTGGTCATTCTCTCTTCTTTCCCTTACAGACAACCATTGTCATTAATTCTAAAGTAACCACTTTCTTGCTTTTCTTTATAGTTTTACCACCTAAGTACCACCCTAAACACTATAGTCTTGTTTTGCACATTTGTGAATTTTATGTAATTGTAGTTGGAAAACGTATATTCTTTTGTCTGATTTCTTTTTCTCAACCTCATATTTGTAAGATTCATAAGGTTGCTGTGAAGAATTATCATTCATTCCTTTTCATTGATAGCATTCCATTTTGTGGGAAGAACATACTGTTTTGTTCTACTATTGATGGTCATTTGTATTTTCTAATTTTAGCGTTTGTGAATAGTGTTGCTATGAATTTCTCTCCTGGTGTACTATATGCGCATTTGTTGGATATTTACTTAGAAGTTGGTCATAAGGTATAACATAGGGTATTATATGTATTGCCATATGTTAGTATTGATTGATTTCATTGATTTCTATATTACTGGATTATAGAATCTGAGTATCTAATATTACTAGGTAATAACAAAGAGTTTTCCAAAGTGTGCTGGGTTATAATCTTGCCACTAGTGTATGAGAGTTCCAGCTGTAATATGTCTTTGCCAACGTTTGTTAGTGTCAAACCTTCTCATTTTTTATGTTCATTGATTCTTTTGAATATTGTCTTTTGTGAATTGCCTTCAAGTCCCATACCCACTTTTCTACCAGGTTTTTTTTTTTGTAAATATGATTTGGAGAAACTATTTTTCAAAGACAGAACGCTATTCTCTTATCTCCATCTCCATGATATCTGTTGCTAATGGTCCTTGTACCTGTGATGCCTCCTCCTCTTTTGCTTTGGGTGGTCTCCTTCCCCTGTATCCTGGGGTCCTCTCCTCACTAACATATTCAGATTCTGCATTTTCCCTGGGTCATCGCCTCCATGAAGACCACTACACACTGATGACTAACTCTCCATCATATTTAGTGACATTCCAGTGATAGATCTTTTTATCTTGAGGCCTGTTGGGGGATCTCTCTTCACCTCTCTGCTCCACTGGCTTCTCAAATCCAGTATGTCCAAAATTAGACTCTATCTTTTCCTCCCCCTTGAACCTACCACTGTTTCTTTATTCTCCGTCTCTGTTCATGCCTTTGTTTATCATCTTAGCTATCAATCTAGGCATCTTCATCCACTTCTCTTTCTTAGCACTCATCAAATCACTCTCTAAGTTATATTGATTTTACTTCTTCAGTTTTTCCCTCATCCCTAGTTCAGACTCTTATAATCTCTCTCCTGGACCACTTCAATAGCTTCCTAAGTAGGCTCCCTGCCTTCAATCTTGTCCACTACAAATGTGTCATTTACACAGTTGCCAAAGTGATCTTCAAAAATGTGATTCCAACGATGTCAATTCTCTTATAATCTTCCAGCAGCACTCCACAGCTTGAGTGAAGTCTAAGCTCTCTAAATGGCCCTCTGCAATCTGGGCCCTGCTACCTCACTAGCACTTGAGACAGTCTTAGCCAAGAGTCTTTCCTTTCAGCAAAATCAAACTGCTTGTGCTACTCAGAAAGAGGTAGTGCTTCTTAACCATTGCTCATGTTTGTGCTCCCCGATCGGCCCCGGTCATCTTTGAAGGTCTAATTCACTTTCATCTTCAGGGGATTAGATGTTCTAACTCTATGTACCCATAATAATCTATGTATATTTCTGCTATTGCATACACCATGTTGTATTTAAGTCATCCTGTTGAGATGGCATTCGTATTAGATGTTATTCCTTAAGGACAGGGATTGTGCCTTGTTTGTATCTTACACTGTGACATATGATCAGGTATGGAATACTTGGTTGCTCAGATGAAGGAAAAATAATATTTAATCTTGTGGGTAAATGATATTTAATGTGATAGATACATGCAGTGAGCCCATTTGTGTAAACATGGATGTCAGTGAGGCTTGGTGTGAGGCACTTCCCCCAGGGCTACTTGCAGACCTGTCTTTGAATGGTACACCAGGCAAAAATGCTGAATGTTCCTGGGTAGGAATTAAAACTTCTTATCAAGGATGTCGACTCATTGGTTTTAGGCACATGGAAAAATAAAGACAACAATAACAATGAAATAAAACTGATTTTAGAAGTTCAAAAGACCTGGTTTCTATCCTGGCCTTGGAATAATTCTTCATGTAACCTTGGGAAGTTGTCACCATCCTTCTGGTCACAAAAGTGCCTGAGTAAGTTGAAATGTCTCCAAAAGCAATAATGTTTAATTACTGCTCACCACCTGGACAGTTATGTAATAACGAGCATGTAAAAAAGGAAGTCGTTACAATCTTATGTGGAGTCATATAACCTTATTATCAACAAAGCCAGTGGAGCCTTAATTTGTAAATGGATCCCCAATCCTGATGTAAAATACAATAAAAAAATTTACAATCTTTGCTTCCAGTTTGGGTCCTTATGCAGCTGGGAAGCATCCTCCATTTCTACAAGGATAATGAATTCCGAGATGATTCCCTGAGAGGAAAGAAGCCTGTTAATGGGACACTGAGGCTGTGTGTGTGTGTGTGTGTGTGTGTGTGTGTGTGAGAGAGAGAGAGAGAGAGAGAGAGAGAGGTCACATTAGGAAGAATTTATTGAATGCTAGATAACATGGAAAAGCTATAATTACTGTTCTTGGTGAAGCCTCTCCAGAGTTTCTCTTGGGACACCGTGGGATTCATTTGAGAACAATGGAGTTAATGAATCAACCCCGTGCTGGTCAAAGTGAAGAGCTTCTTTGAGTCATGATCCATGCCTGAAATGGTATTTCATTTTGTACTTTGAAAAAATCAGCTTTTTGAGCTGAACTTTCTTGTTCCATGATGGATACTTTCTCGGTTTCTATGATATTTGTCTGATCTTCAATGAATGTATTAATTCTCGAGTTTCAGCTGATTCTTTCATCAAGAAACATCACAAATTACCTCTATTAGTCTGTTCTTGCATTGCTATAAAGAAAAACCCGAGACTGGGTAATTTGTAAAGGAATGAGGTTTAATTGGCTCATGGTTCCACAGGCTGTACAGGAAGCATGGTGCTGACATCTGCTCAGCTTCTGGAGAGGCCTCTGGATACTTACAATCATGGCAGAAGGCAAAGGGGGAGCCAGCATATCTTACATGGCAGGAACAGGAGCAAGAGAGACAGAGGGGAGGTTCTTCACACCTTTAAACAACCAGATCTCGTGAGAACTTACTCACTATCACGAGAATAGCACCAAGAAGATGGTGCTAAACCATGCATGAGAAATCCACCTCCACGATCCAATCACCTCCCACCTGGCCCCACCTCAAACACTGGGGATTACAATTTGACATGAGATTATGGTGAGGACACAGATCCAAATCATGTCAATATATAATTAACCTTTCTGCCTTTTCAAAAATAATATGAAAAATAAGAACTGTTGTCCTTCTTCTCGTCAGGGAGGAAATGAGGGGTTTAAATAAATGCACCATTGACCACCTTCTGCCTTTTTCCTGTTAGAGTCCAGCATAGACTGAAAGGCCATTCCGCAGTGTATTTCAGATCAGTTCTGTATTGTGGCTTGTATGTAATATGACTCACTTTACTTTCCTTTACGGAGAAATAGATTGTCTTTAATATGCAACTATGATTGTTTGCTGTTCTCTTTATATATTCAGGCTGAGTCTTCATAAGCCACCTGCATTTGGAGTTGAAAACCAATGGTCTAGATGAAATATGACTTTCAATTATGCCACAGTCAGAGAAGCTGAAATAAGAAAGCCACACTGGAGGAAGTCAAGTTTATCTTATTGGAGTGAATTGGGCATGTAGAATAAAATCCAGCATTCACTCAGCACACAGCCCCACTGACCCTATTGTTCATCCCCCTCCAATTTATTGTTGTATTTCCCAGCTGCCCACAGAGCTTCCCCTGCAATATTGTGGACACCCAGGCAAATGAAAATGCCAATCTTCTCCCATCCCTGTCTTGCTGTATTAGGCATGTGCTCAGCTCTGAAAGATTTCTTTGGGGGTCTTGCCTTTCCCTAAGAACATCTAGGGGAAGGTTTGTCTCACCTCTTGTTTCCAAGTGGGAGGGTTGAGAATAATAGCTCTTGTCACTTCCCTTTGCCTTGTTATGGGGAATATTTAGTGCTGCAGCCTGGGTGTGGGGGCAATATCTTGGATGTGATAATGTTGCTTCCTGCATCAGTGAACATGGTATTGATTGTAAGCTGTCAACCTTTCTGCATGCTTTTCAGGGTCCCAGAAGGCTAACTACTGCAGGGAAGGTAATGCATCAGGCAGGGACACATATGCTCTATTAACTAACACTGCAATCTAAGCTTGATCACTTGCTTTTAACACATCTTGGCTCACTGGCTCCCAATTTTTTCTTAATTCCCTGACTCCTCTGAGCAGTCCTCTGATGCCCTGTTTGGATCTCCATATATCATTCAAACTCCCAATGGCATGCCGCTCATCTTATAAGCTTCCTGTGGGCAAGTGCTGTGCCTGACTTCCTTACACGTTTATTTGTTCATTCATTCAACAAAACTTTTGAGCACCTACTATGAGCCAGACAATGTTCTGTGCTCTGGGGATACAGGAGTGGCCTAAACAATGATGCAGTCCTCATGGAACTAAGGGTGGTTGAGAAAGCATCTCTGAGGAGGTGACATTTGAGCTGAGTTTATCAGTATATCCCCTGTGGCTGGACTATAAGTATTTGCGAAGTTTGGAAACCATATTTCCTCATTTTAGTGCCTCATAGCCTGGCTATTGGAGAAGCTCCTGATATGTGAACCACACTAAGTCCATGCATTATTATTTTTCAGATCATGCATTATTGCCCACTCACCTTACCATGTCTCCTTATTTCTCTTGGTCTGCCTTCCTACTTTTTACTAATCAGTCATACCAGAGTGTTGTGAATTCCATATATATATAGCATATGCTGTTTTGCCTCCACTGTCCTATCCTGATGTCTGGAATATGCTTTTCCTTTCTCTTCTCCTGGATAACTCACTCCCTTTATCTTTCGGATTTCACCTTGGGAATCACCTCCTCTGGGAAGCTTCTGGTCTGGATGAGTTAGTGCTCCTTTGTGTCCTCCTGGCACCCAGACACATCCATCATAGTGCATATGTTTTATAGGATTAGCAGAACTGTAGCAAGAAATGTGCACTGAATGCATATTTGTGGGCCAGGCATCCTTCTAAGAGCTTTGTGCATATTAAATCATGCAATCTTCACAGCAATTTTATGAGATAGATGTCGTTTTTATCCTTATCTCATAATGAGAAAATCGAGGCACAGAGAGGTTGTCATTTTTCTAGGTTGCTCAGCTTTTACATGGTGGAGCTCAGATTTTAACCCAGGCAGGCAGGCTGGCAGGCTCGGTATCCTGGGCTCTTGACATTCCACTGCCACCATTGCCTGTGAGTTTGTCTGCACCTCCCGCTATCTGTGAGCTGTGTGAAGATGGAGCTGTCACTGCTGCTTCCACAGACCACCCTGGCATGGGCTTGGCAGGCAGTACATGAACAATCATTAACCATTTAGTAAATGAATGAATGAATGCATGAAATTCGCCCAACTGAGCAACTGTTTAGAGTTCCAAAATGTTGCTTTTCCTTTTACCACTGAGGAAAGCCCCTGTTCCCTTCTACTCCAGCTTCCTCAGTCTTCCATGACTCCCACAAGTATGTATTACTCTGGCTGGAAGGGAGGGCATCCCTAGCCAACCAGAGCAAGAATCACAGCAATCATGGCTTGTTCCTACAATTTCTGGGTTTCTGTCAAATATGAGTTATGAAGAAGTGTCCTCTCCACTCTTTCTCAAACCAAATACAGCAGCCAAAATGATTGGAGTGGCAACTGAGAGGGCTTGAGATGGGCAAGCAGGAGCTGTTCAGTGGGCACTGTTCACCCAGGAAAACCCAGGTTGACTTTTTGGGGAATGAGCAGCAGGGGCGGGAAGGCTGGGAGTGGACTGGGATCTGTCTTGGCAGTGGCTAAGCCCCTTCTTCTGGCCTGACAGTGATCATTGCTTTGATTGCAGCTGAGGCAGGGATCAGCGGAGATGGCAGATCATGATGGTTCTGCCACCAGCAGTTTAACCAATGGGGCATGGAATATCTAAATTGGGGGACAGTTAATCAGTCATAATAAGGTCAAAGTCAGAAGTTGGAGACCTGTGAGCCACTTGACTTCACTCTCTGCTTTGATGACAGACCAAATTTGTATTCTTGGTCAGCTGTCAGGCAATATTTAGTCACAGAGAAATGGCGTGTTTGTGAGTATCCACGCTAGGGAAAATAATCAAGCCAAGGTAACTCTGCATTACCAATAACTGTGATGGAAGAAGTATAGGATCTGGAACAGGATAGATCTAGATAAAACTTCCTGCTACGTCATCTAACCCTTTTGAGTCTGTTTCTCGCTATAAAAATGGAATAATACATCTACCTATCAGGTGATTAACAATGATTTAAAACAGTGCCTCTCCCAATGCCTGTCATTGCAATAACTACTCAGGAAATATTGGTTTCCTTTTATTCTTTCCGTCTACTTTACACTTAAATACAGTGCTTAAAATAAGGTTTAATAAATATTTGTTATTGGATGAACAAAAGGAAAAAGGGGTAGGCTAGTTCTAGTATGTCGAAAATGTGTTTCTAATGGAAGGAGAGAAACATTGGCTTTCTGTTTCCATGCCATATGGATTTTGCTTCATATTCTGGTATATGTTGGTCTACCTATTGGAAACGCTGTATCATGCTTTGTTGAGCAAATTTAGTTAAAATTCTGCTTAGATGACACATTCTGAGAACCTTTTCTTATCACTCATTGATTAACTATTTCTTCCTCTGTATGACTTCTGCCCTTCATAGATATCTCATTGTAAAAATGTTTACAGTATGCAAATATGCACTTTCTCCTATGTGAGTGTCATCTCTTGGAGGGCAGGGGCCAGTGGTTTAAATATCTTAGTAACTCCAGCCCCTTGTCTAGAACCTGGCTGCCTGACACATCCCAGGCAACCAATGAATCTTTAATTCATTGAGCTTATGGGTCATTACTGGGGCTTGTTTTCTGATCAGTAACTTCCATCTACATGCATACACACACACACACACACACACACACACACACACACACACACATAATGTATGATGGGGATAGTGGATAAGAACTTTAACTAAAACTGCCTGGCTTTGTCACTTGTGAACTGTGTAAATTTGGTTGTCATTCATCTGTTTCTGTATCTATAAAATGAGAACAACAATAGTATCTGCATCTGGAGTTTTAGGGGTAAATAAGTCAATACATGTGAAATTTGTAGAACAAAGCCTGGCTTATAATAAGTGCTCAATAAATGTTAGCAACTATTGTATGTTAGAGCTGTATTTTAACAGCTCTGGCTTTAGAGTCAGATACCTTGAGTTGGAGTCCTGGTTCCATCTCTCTCGGGCTTTGTGCCCTTGGCTAGGTTGACAACTTGAGTCTATTTTCTCATTTGCAAAATGGAAATACTAATGCCACCATGGGGTCTGGGAGAGGAGATAATGAGATGAGGCATGGAAAGCAATAGTATATTACCCATCACTGTTGTTGCTATTATTAGTTTATGGTGCTTTAAACCTATCAAAATAGTTGTAAGTAAATGGATTTCTTGTTCTCCCAATAACAATTCTCTGAGCTAGGATAGATGTCTTTCTGGCCATTTTACAGGTGATGACACTGACATAGGGACTGAGTGGGTAGCTTAAGTTCCATGGTTACCAGGAGCAGGACCCACGTTTCCTGTCTCCCAGTCTCATCCTTTTTCCACTGACCAGGTTGGTTGCTCCCTTGGAAAGCAGTCCCTGAGAGTTGACTTAGAAGTTCAGGGGGAAGAGGTGGATGAAGGCATGTTGGATGCACAGTGAATCAGGTTGCAGTGTGAATGTTTCTCAGTGGTGTGTCTAGACTTCCCCCATCCAAAGACTAACCAGGCCTGACTCCATTTCACTTCCAAGATCAGATGAGATCGGGTGCATTCAGGGTGGTATGTCCAAAGACTGTGTCAGGGGATTTGTTTTGGAAGTGGGGTGGCATTATTAAAAACACACCGGCTTCATCCACACATTCATCACGGAAGAGGGAAAATTAGTAAGGGTTCCACCATTCAGGCTGTGGACTATAGTGTCATCCCTAAATCCTCATTATGAGGCCTACCAGGGCTTTCTTGAGCCCTGCAGGCAGCTAGCAAAGGGACTGAAAAAGAAATGAGGCCTGGGGTTGTCTGGGGAGGGAAGCTTTAGGCAGTTGCTCTGTAGGCTTGAAGGGAGGGAAATTATGGCTTTTCAAGTCCTTAGAAATTGGGCATTTGAGTGTGTACCTTTTATTATAATGGACCCTAGAATATTCAAAGGAAGTTTAGTGGAGATAGCTGACTTATTTCATTGGGCCACTGAGCTAGCAGAATTTTAGCTTCATCTTTATTCCACCTTGCAATTGTTCCATCTTATATATGCTGGTTGCCTAATAGAAGTTGATTTGGTTGAATTAATTACAAGATCAATGAGAGGTTTAAAGGTGCTTTTTTTTCAATGGAAGAGTAAAGGCAGGAGCCAAACTTGAAGGAGTTAAGAAGCAACTTGATTCCCACTGCCCATCTGCCTTTATATATCCCACTTCTTGATGCTGGCTAGTATCTTCCTTTTTTGTTTTTTCTAACTAATCTTCCTCCTCCTGACAGAAGAGTACGAATGTCTACCAAAGTTCAGCTTTTTGCATTACTTGTTTTTAACGTCAGGAACTGAATGTTGCGCAAGGATGGTTTTTGTAAAAGCCAGGGATGGCGTGGCTTCCATTTTCCTTCATTCAACTGACACCCTCCAGTTGTAATCTGATGGCTCTTACCAAGCAGCAGGCCTTGTGGGGTAAAGTAGTATAGGGCCCTTAGAATCGAACCAACTGTTGCAAGGTAGCAAATCAGCCTTCAAGTAGTTTTTAGTGTCAGCAGGAAAACAGACTGACTTCTATGTGCCACTAACTAAGAAATATTGCCAGTACTGGGGCTGAAAGATCACACATGTAAAATACCTAGTTCAGTACCTGGTAAAGAACAGTTAATTTGTGAAACATCGTGGTGGTTATTGCTCCCTGAGGCCTAATCTCTAGGGCTTTCCCCTCCTGTTCCCGTCCAGGAGTCTTGGGTGTTTGCTCTAATGCATCCTTTGCAGGGGATGGAGGAGAGGATGGCTGCCCTCTGCTCTTTCTTCTCTGGCAAACTCATCCTACTCTGGATCCCAGTTTGTACATCTATATGCTAAGGGTGTTGGACTAGTGTAGGGGCTTTTATTTGGAGTTCGCAGATAAACTGCAAAGGGGCCTATGAACTCCTTAAACCATGACAAAAATTATTCCTGTGTGTGTTATGGGCAGCCCTGCTGACTCTAATATGTGAAGAACCACCATCTTTGATGCCCCTAAGGGCATAAATCTTCTGTCATATCAGTTACTCAGGGTCCCAAAGTTTGATACACATGCTCCTGGTGGTTCACAAAATGATTTCAGGTGGTATGTGGGTGCATGTTTGTTACATTGATAATTATGTGATTAATGTTAGGGAAAAACCTAGCATATCAGAGTTGAAATTTCATGCATATTATTTCTTTGGAGGAGGCTAAGTCTTGCTTTTAAGAAAAGGTGACTTAAAAAAATGTTACATGAGTAATAGTACAAATGTGAGTTGATTCTTAAGTTTGAGATACAATGATTGGTCCCAACCCCCGACGTGGTACAGACAGAGGAGCTGAGTCCGGAGAAGTGGAGAAAAGGCCATAAAGGAAGTCGGTGGTAAATGTAGGCCAATAACCCAGTGGCCTTCTGCAAAATCATCACTCTCTATGACTGGCAGAAGTTTCTGACTCTCTCATGTCTCCTCCAAGAACACTGTCCCAGTCAGGACAGAAATCTTGCCCAGAGAGTTTACACCTTAGCCACTTTACTTGAGATGCCTAAGGCGAGGCTTTCCTTGCAGGAAAAATGAGAAATACTGAGAAAGTCTCGTCTTTGTTCCCATGCTCCCTCAATTCTGAGACGTACTTTTTTACATTTTAATGTTCCTGAAATTGGGCTGCATCTAACAAGACTGTTTTTACCTAAGGTGACAGTTATTTCCTTGCCAAAAAGCTATTAGTAAATGGATAGTAGCTTAGAATTGAGATAAAATGATTCTTTCACTATTTTTTCCTCCTCCAAAGCAAATTACACTTGAAAGTCAGGACTTCTAATACATCTGTAAACTGAAAGAAAATTTCCCTTTCATTGAAAAACTCTCATCTCAAACCATTTACCCTGCACTAAATGGGAGTTAGGAGAAATGAGTCATCAAGACAGATGTAGAGATATTAACCCAGAACCAGTTTTCTGGACTCCACCCATCTACTTTCCTAAGTTTATAAATCCTTTGCATGCATTTAGTGCCTTTCCTAGGGGTGTGCCACATAGAACCTTCTGGAAATGGCTTTCTAGAAGTTATAAATCTGGATCCTCAACTGGGGAAAAGGATGAACCATCTTCCACAGCTTCAAGTGGACTTCATTCACTTCATGTCACAGCTGCTTGATTTCCCCACAGTTCATTTCTGTAGAAGAGAGCCTTCTGGTCTGTTTTTCCAGATGGCGAGCTTGGGGTGAGTTAGAAGTGCCTGATTGGACTTCACAACTCAGCGTTTTTATTGGCTATTTTTGTTCTAGGTACAATGGAGGTTGATGGATTGTTACTTTTGGTTACCAAAACCAGGAGGAGGGGAGGGTGCTGCTTAGGAGAAACACCCAAAAAGAACAGACCAGCCTTTCTCAGGGACTCAGGGGTGGTGGCACTGCTTCCAACTTACTGCTTCATTTAGAACACCAGATAATAAGCACCCAGGACTCGGCCTTTAGAAGTCAATGGAATAAATAAGCTGGAAAAGGTTGAAGAGAAAAAAGCCAAGGAACATGTAAGTAGAAGATTATATGGAGCCATTTAAGAGCACAAAAAGCAAGAGTAACAAGGCAGCAGATGGAATTTGGCCCCGCCTGGCCCTGCCAAGCTCACTCTGGGAAGCACTGTGTCGAAAGTGCTCTCTTTCTGTCCCCTGAAGCATTCAAGTTCCCTAGCCAAATTCTCAGGCTGTTTCTATGGAGCTTACAAAAAAAGAGCATAGCAGGGTTGATGTGCCCTTTCCTTGTCATTCTGCATCCTCTTCTCAGCTTCATGCAATAAATCTCTGGCTTAAATGAAATTGTTCAAAGGAAAATGGAAAATGGAAAAAAAAATGGTGGAGGGGCAGGAGATACTGACTAGTTCTGGTTTTTCACAAAACAAGAAGAATTTGTCTAAGAGTAAACGGTGTTTATTTTTTGTTGATTTTTTTCAATCAAATGGAATTGCTTAATTAAAAAAAACTTATCTCTTTTCTCCTTAAATACTACAGACAACCTCATTTTATCGCAGCAGACACCTAGGAACAAAACACTGGACCCACCAGAGAAAACTGGGCAATAAAAGCATCAGAAGTTCAAGTCAACTATGGAAGAATTACTGTTAGCTGGCAGCTTTCAATTCTAAACAGAAGTGTCCCAAACCTATTGGGTTTGACAAAAGTTTCTTAGAACTGGGGAGCTGGGAATGTTGGACTCCTTTTAATTCTATTCCAATCATTTCCTGTATAGGGAAATTAAAGTCAATGCATCAAATGAAGACCCAAAGAAACATTTAAAAACTTGTTTGACTAGTATTCAGTATGTGAGATTATTAAGTAATAACTTGTCCACCTAGTTAACCTTGTCCTGGAATATATATAGGTTATTTGTAGCCGCCACTGCTATAATATTTTCTGAAGGATGCCAAGCTGTATGCAAGATCTTTTTGCTAAAGTCCAGACTGTCGACACTGATCTCGTCTTTTCTCCGCTTGCCCCCCACACACACTTTTCGGGGTTTGAGGATAGCCCGGGGCTTGCTGTTTTCCCTCGAAGCCTCAAGGGTCACATCACGCTTGGTGTTTCTGTCGAACATCCTGAAGAAGTTGTTGTAGGAGCCTGTCATGATGACACTGCAAGGCAGAGAGCAAAGGCAATGACATATCTTCACTGTCTTTTCTTTTTGGAGCAAATGATACCATGTTATGGCCAGCTTATGACACCATAGGTTTTATTAAAAACAAAAACCAAAAAATGAGAACAGGCTCTGCAGTGTGATTATTGGCTTTTTGTTTTTTTTTTGTGTTTTTTTTTTTTTTTTTTGAATCACTGAAAGCAATAGGATTTTTGGCTGGGTTTGGAAATGAGGGATGGTGAGAACTCTCCTTGTAATTTGCTTTTGCTCAATAGATTCTTTTTGCTTCTTTGGCTCAGAAAAGGTGTCCACTGGTTTTAATGATCCCAGTCCTACCTACCTCCCATCAGGAATGTGAGACTAGAATGAGGTTTGTCGAAGTAGACACACTTTTGAAAACAATAAGCAGTTGTACGTGTTTAAGGTTTGGCCACTGTCAACAGGGTTCCTGGGCCGTCTGGCCTCTAAGGCTTCATGGCATCAGTGCAGTGAGGGGAGAGATGCTAGTGGCATCGTGCACGAACCCGGGGCGCGACCTCTCCCCTGCCGAGAACTAGCTCTGAATTCGGCCTTTTTAGAAAACTTATCTACGAAATGGATGTCATCATGGTCTTATCTAGGAAACAAGTAAGGAAATTCAAATTTTAAAAGAATCTGGGATGGAGAAATAAAAAGATTTTATATGGTTTTTTTCCCACACTTAATGGACAGATGGTTTCCACATTTTTATAAGTTATCCCCTCTTAGGCATAGCTGCAATCGATCAGGAGAGTGGCAAACACCCAATGTCTTCCAGAGGCAAGGTACTGAATGTTTAATGGTGACATTTCAGACACGGTGACAAGCTGAGGTGGGGAGGGAGAGATTCCTTGGGCCAGGGCAAGTACCCCAAGTGCCATCACACGGTGGTTCCCCTGGAGTGGGGGGCTCCTACTCATTTCTGGGTGGAGCTCTGACTGGCTCCTTAAGATGGGAGAGCAGGAACTCTCGTGTATTTCTCAAATGATTTGGGATGTGTAGAGAGGTGAAGGAAAAAGCTGACAAGATTGGGCCACAGCAAGGGGGATGTGTTTTTGGGCACGTTGTCACCTGTACCAGGTAAATTAAGCAAAGGTTAGATTTTGTTACTCTGGCTCATCAAACTGATACTGTGAACTGTGTCTGTGTACTCGAGTGGACTGTTATCACCTTGTCAGGCAGGGCGCTGAGGGCTTTGCCTCCATGATCTCGTTTCAACTTCTATTATCCCCTAAAAGGGTTTTACAGAGAAGTAATTTGCTCAGTGTCACATTGCTAATTGGTGGTAAAGTCCACCCTCAAACCCACATATGGTTGACTCTGGGGCATAAGTATTCAGCCGGTTGGCCTCACTGCTTCCCATACTTTGACGTTTGCTTGCCCACCATGACCCGACTTATTTTTAAACAAGTAAGAGATTATTTTCCAAAAAAAAAAAAAAAAAGACTACCAACCTTATCTGAAAGAGAAATTAAACTTCCCAGTTGTGATGTTATAGAAAGAGTGTTGATCTTAGGATTCAAACTCTAAACTTGTTACTTTTGTCTCTACTACTTACTACTTTATGAGGTTGGGCAGATTACTTTATCTTGCTAAGCCTCAGTTTCCTTAACTGTAAAATGAGAACGATGGAAGCAATCTTGTTAGACTGTGGTTGGGATTAAATAAAATGATGTGTACGAATGTGTTTGGTATATAGTAGGTGCCTAATAAGTGTAATTTTTGAATCAAGGCTAAGATAGAGGAAAAACTTGAGCAATAATAACAGATATGTAAATAATAATATATGAATAAATAAATACCTATAAATAAATAATAAAATGAGAGGGCTGGCTTCTTTTTCCCATGGTGGATTTTGTTCTTATGTCACAGTTGCTTTGCTCTCTGTCCTATACCAACTGGTCAGTGTGACTTGGGTCCTTTGCCACGTGGAGACTCCTTCCAAGCCTGCTAAGGAGGGGATTCATTTTGGATCAGTGGCAAAGAAAGCCAAGAAACAGGTGGAGTGTGAGAGAGAGACAGTTCATATTCACTGAAAGCTTGAATCTCTGAATGTCTTGCCATAACAGAATTTCTATGCTTTCAAACACTATTATTGGTGCCACCTTCATCAAGGAACGAAATCAGCCCCTGGTAGCTTGCACTTAGTTCTCATGGAAATCAGAGAATCATTTGTATTTGTCAAACTAAAAATGAACTATTGGGAGGTATTATGAAGCACTGTTCAAATCAAAGGCCTTAAAATAGTAATAAATCACTTTGAGGGAATGTGATAAATGAGGTTGACTAGAATTCAGTTAATGAACTACCAGGGCCGTTGGCCAGGTCTCCACTAGCAGCTTCAAGGGATAATTTTTGATCTGGAAAGCCTACTTGGCATTAATCTGAACTGTTCAGGCTGGAATTTGCTGGTGGATAAGTGATCTTCATTTAGGCATGTTGACCTAGTGCTGGAGGTGTCTTGTGTGAAAAAGATAGGACTTTCTTATTAACATTAAGGTGTTATCTGTGCCAGTTCAGAAACAGGATTCAAAGGCCTTACTACATCCTTCTCTTCTTTCCAGCCTTGACTTCAAGGGTCACTAGGGGCCCACATTATGCATTTCAGCCAGGTTTTGGGGCCCAATTTTGACCTCCCTTTGGCTGTACTCTACTTAGGATAAATTCCCTGAGCCTCTTCAAGACAATCTTTGGAAGGTTCTTCAGCCACAGAGCCTTTCTTACCTGTCTGACCCATTCCACACACACTCAAATTTATCAAAAATGCAGTCATTTTCATAGAGGGAACACAGCTTGCTGCGGAGGTAGTCATGAACCTGGAGAGGAAACATATCGAGAAGGTCAGTTATTATTTTAAACAGTAATTATTTCTGCAAACACCTCCTCTTCTGATGTGAGCTGTTAAATCTTTCATTGTACATGCTCTTTGAATCAGATGGCCTTGGATCTGAACCTAGGCTTGGCCCTTTTAGCTGTAGGACATTAGGATGGGTTGATGAGCTTCTCATGTAGATGATATGGATTAATCAAGCTTGCTTGTATAGACAGTGGCATCCAGTAAGACTAAATAAGTGGTAGATTCTCATTTTCTAAGCTGATTTGCTCACAGGCATTAGAGATCACCATTCATGCAGTCTTTTATTCAACAAATATTTACTGAATACCTACTACGCACTTGAGATGCAGCAGTGAGCCAAATATCCTTGCAGTGCTTTTGACCCAGTGTCAGGTGACAGATTATATAACCAAGTAAATAAATAAGATGTTTAGATGGTGATAAAATCATAGAACAAAAGTGTATGGAAAAAGAGCCTGGGAGATCTTGTCGGGGGTGTATTATTTTATACAGGGCAAGTAGTCAGGGCTTCACTGGATGAGGTAGCACTGGAGCAGAAGCCTGCAGGAGATGAATGAGCCACAGTGATGTCTGGGTTTGGGGTGAGGGGAAGGCTCTCCAAGCATAGGAAACAGCAAACATAAAGGCCTAGAGGCAGGAATCCTGGAGGGAGTGTGGTGGGAGAGGAGTGAGTAAGCAGCTGGGGGAGAGGATGATCAGTTTACATAGGCCCTTTATTCTGAGGAAGAAGAGACCTCACAGAAAGGATTGCTGAATCTGCTGTGTTGCAATGGATCCTAAGGGTGCAAAGGCAAAGGGAGGGAGACCAGTTATAACCTGAGTGATAGATTCTGGCCTGGACCAGGGCATGAGCAGTGATGGGGACTGGTCAGATTCTCCTTTTGTTTAGGGAAAGAGCAGATAGGACTTGGGTCAACTCTGAGGTGTGGAGAGAAAAACAGGAGTCAAAGATGACTCCCTGATCTTTCTCCTGAGCAAGTGGAAGGAGTAGGTACCATGTTCACTTTTGGGTACAATGGTTTAGAGATGTCTACATGTGGAGCTGTCGAGTAGACTCTGAGGTGAAAGGTGCTGTCCTGGAGTATGTGGCGATTCTTTCCTGGTTTCTCTTTTCCAGTGAAAGCAGCCAGCATGGTTATCAACTAAGAGTGAGCAGGAGAGAGAAAGGGTTGAGAAACAGTGTCAGATTTCTGGAAGGCACCAGGGGACACTTGACGTTGTTGGACATGTATGTCAAATAAGGCTCATCAAGCATAGTTGAATATTTTTCTCCAGCTACATTCAGCAACTCAGCTGTAGATGCCAAATAGATGAATAAGGTTCAGAGAGTAGTAGCCTGGGTTCTCTGTTTTGAAGGTAATCCTTCCTGAACCCACTAGCACGGAGTGGCAATAATAACGGGCATACCCAATATGCTGGCTTGTCATTATTAGCCAGGTGCTTTATCTGTCAAAACCTCATTTCATCTCTAAAGCCATCTTATGATGTAGGTACTTTCATTCTCTTTACTTTAATGGAGCATGAAGCACAGAGATATGACATCATTTGTCCAAGATCACACAGAAAAAGTGACAGAAGGGGAGGGAACTGAGCCCCGGTATCAGGCTCTGGAGTGCACACTCTGAGCTGCACTAGCAACCTGCCTCCAGCTTGCTCTGGTGGGTCCTCAGTCCTTGACAGGAGCTGTGATAATGAACTCAAGTGAGGCTGAGAGAGAAGGAGATAGAACTGTGTGAAAGCAGAGGGAGGCTACCAAGGGCATTGGTGTTTAAGTTAAGAGTGATGATTCGATCTCTTTTTTCCTGCAACTGCGGCTCTTTCTCTTCCTTCGACTCCAACAGTTCTGCTGGATGCAGAGCTTCAGGCTCTTAGTCTTGGGCAAAGGAACGAGGTCAGGCTCATCCTATGTTCCATTAGATGTTCTGGGTATTTGAAAAGCTCTGAGTTATTTGGACAGAGGAAGTTATTTCTAACTCTGCAAATTAATTTTCCCCCACCTTTACTCTCTCACTTCCAAACAGTTCCAGGCCTTGTCAGGGTAACAGCTTCAGTGCTTTGGTGACAAGGGAATACCCCTACAGCAGTGCTCTTGGCATTGTTAGGTGCATTTGGGGGCTGCAAGGGTGAGGCTGTGTCCTGCCCTTACAGAGGCATCTCTGCTATAAACTAACTCATTCACCTTCACTAGGGGGCACAGCAGTAAAGGTATATAAACTGGGCAGTGGCAAGGTTTTTAAGGTCTAGTTCCATATGTCTGCTTTGTGATGAACCTTTCCTCATCTGTCACCATTCACCTTCGGCATTTTGTCTTATTACTCACCTGCAGTGTTTCTATAAGTGTCAAAACATGTGTGCTTTGGAAGTCACGCCCATTAGCAGGAATGACATTGCTGAGAACTCTGTAAATAATTCTTGAAAGATAGAAGTTGGGATAGATTCAAGGGAAAACCTAGTCTGAACCATTATTTCTCCACCATACCTAAGGTCTGGGTAGCTCCTATCTGCCTCCAATTGACAGCATTTAAAGAAAAAGAATGTCTACTATGAAGGTATGCTGTATTTATGTTTTGTTGCACAGAAAAAAAGTCTTCTTAGGCAAACCAGAGGGACCTTTTTCTACTAGAGGAAAGAATAAAGTGAGATGTATACATGAGCAACCTCTAGAGCTTGGAGCAAGAGAGAACTTAAAACTCATCCTATTTGATGTTCTTTCTTCATGTTCCTAGTATGACTTTTCTATGATCCTATTAATTTGTGCATGGGATTTTGGACGCCAGACTGAGTGTCCCAGTACAGTGTTTCTCATATTTATTTGTGGGAGTCCAGTGTCATATAGTTAGTGGACTGCTATGAGGCAAACAAAGAGCCAACTCTATTGGTCCGTTCTTATATTTCAAGTGTTGACAAACTTTTTCTCCAAAGGGCCGGATAGTAAATATTTTAAGCTCTGTGGGCCGTATGGTCTCTGTGACAGCTACTCAACTCTGCCATTGTGCATGGAAGCAGCCATAGAAGATATGTAAATGACTGTACATGGCTGTGTCTTAATAAAATTTACCTACAAAGACAAATAGGGGGCTGGTTTGGAACACACGTTGCAGTCTGCCAACCCTTGTTCTATGGAAAAACTTGAAAATAGCTAATCATACTTAAGTCTGCAGCCTTTTATTCACGGAAATGTGATTGAGATCTGTGAATGCATGTATGAAAATGTATAATAGTAGCATTACCTGTCTCCTTGCCCAGGGCAGGCATTATTAACTGATCTTTCATTAACTAATTTCTTTCCCACTGGACCTCACAACCTATTAACTAATTTCTTTCCCACTGGACCTCACAATCTATCATGGTGTTCTGGAGGCTCACTGAATCAGAGTTTGTTTACCATCATCTTTAAATTACTTCACGTAAAAGCTAGCTGGCTGTGTTCTAAAACTAGCTTTGTCCTAAATCTACTCTTCCTAGTTAAGGCTCCCCAGCAGCCACACATGGGTCCTAGTTCCCACTGCCCTTTCTTTTGCATTAAGGATTCGAATCCTGTAAGGTTTGTCTTATGCAGCTGGAAGAGGACACTGAGGTGACTCTAGTCCTGGGCTAAAGATGAAGGGCTGCAAATGAAAGCTTGGGGGCAAGTGATGTGGAGCCAAGCCCTGAAGTCGAGGTAGGATTCAGGAGACAGGAACACTAAATAACAGGGAGTACGATGGACCACAGGGGAAACAAAGCTATCTCCACTACATATATGGCTGTGAATTCTGGCTCCCAAACCTTTCTCCAGCCCTGCTGGAACACAGAGTCATCAAAGTCTTCAACCTCCTCTCTGAACCTTTCCTTCTTCTTCCTCTGACTGGAATTTGGATCTCCTCTGAAGACACTCAAGTGGTAGCTAGAATTTTGCTGTCACTCCACATGCCAGTGTTGGGTAGCTGGGCTCCTTGTTGCTCCAGACAACTATTCCTATTTAAAGTCTTCAACTCCTTTGAAGTCATGCCATCAAACTAAGCTTCCTGCTACCTGTCCTTCTTTCAGCCATCAAAAGTTCTGAGTCCCTAATCCTCATCCCTTGAAGCAAGTTTGTATCTCTGTCTCTCTTCCATTACTATTCCTGCCACTATTTTTAGTTATTCAGGCACTCTAGTCTCTCTCTTACATGGTCTCATCTATTCAATGTGTTTTGTCCTTTGCTTCCTTGGTCATATTATGAACCTTGTCATTGCTATCCCTGTACCTGTCATTGCTATCCCTGTTGCTGTTGTTACCTCCTGTCTTTTTAGTTCACTCCTTCTAGTATGTTGATTCTATCAATTCTTAAAATTCATTATTTCCCCTTTTCCCTACCTTCGATTCAGCAGTACATCGTTACAATCAATCACTCCTTTAGCATATATATTCAACAAGCTTGCCTTTCTTGCTCTCTCTTTCCATTGTACTCATTTGGCAAAACTCCATCACTGGTTAAATCTTACTTTCTACCCTTTGTTTACCTGTACCAAGCAGGTGAATGTGGCTGGGAAGAAACATAAAATCATACAGGTTAATTTCCCTTTAAAGCAATTATATAGATTTCAAGTGGATCCCTGAGCAACCCTACCACCCTACAACATTTCTCTTAGATGAGTACTTTACCACTTTTCTTCCTTCCCATTCAGCTAATGACCTTACTACTTATTTTACTAAAGAAAACACCTACATGTTCCCATCACAAAATTCACAAACCTACTTCATCTATATAAGAAAACTACTCTCCTTCCTTTGATAGATGAATTATCTTTGCATCTTACCATCTACAGCCAATTCTGCAATGGACTCCATCCCCTCTGGCTTCCCCCAAGGGCTTTGCTCCTTCAGCGGTCTCTCTCTAATGGTCTCTCTCTCTAGTGGCTTATTCCTATCAGCAGAAAACATGCTGTAATAACTTCCTTCAGCCAGAATCCCATTTCAGCTACCCTTCCATTTCTCTGTTCTCCTTCAGAGCAAACTTGTTGAAACAGTTGTCTGTCCTCATAATGTTCCCATCTTCAGTTTCTTGAACTCACTCCAATTGGACATTTATTCACACTGCTCTACTGCTGTTCCTCTGTCATTCAGGTTACTGATAATCTCCACTTACTAAATCCAAGTTCGTAGTCTTCTGTACTTGATTCAGCAAAGCATTTGGCAGTTGATGACTTATTTTTCCTTAAGACAGTTTCTCTATTTGGCTTCCTAGTCACTCCTCTCATCTCACTGGCTAGTTTCCCCAAATCTCTCTTGCCAAATCCTCTTCCTATTCTCAACTAGGTCATATTTTCTGACCTCTTCTTTAATTATACTAATTGTCTAGAAGATCTCATCCAGTCCTATGGCTTTAAATACCCTCTACATACTTGTGAGTGTCAGATTTATATCTTGAAGCTAAATATATCCAGACTCACATTGAAGTGTCTACCTGCTGTGTCTGTTTGGATGTTTAATTGGCTTAACAGAGCCAAAACCAAACTTTCGATTTTCTCATCTAAATAACTTGGCAACTCTACTTTTCTAATTGCTCAGGACAAAAATTTTGGAGTAATCCTTGATGCTTCTTTCTTTTCCTGTTATATCCCGCATCAAATTTGTCCTCAAGCCTTATTGCTTTTACCTTGGAGATATATCAAGAATCTGGCTACCTTCATTGCTAATACACTCATCTAAGCTACTATTGCCGCTTGCCAGAATGTTATAACTATTCTCCTGTCTCTTCCAATGTCCCTCCCACAGTTTCTCCTCCCCAGCACAACCAGAATGTTCATTTAAAAATGTCAATGATGAAAATGATCTGGAATTAGATAATGGTGGTTTGTGAGTAAACTAAGATCATTGAATTGTGCACTTTGAAAGGCTGATTATTATGTACATTATATCTCAAGGAAAAAATGTAAGTCAAATCCTTCTGTCTAGAATCCCCCACTTCTTTTTATCTAACCCCAAATAGCTTAAAATAGGGTTAGTTTATCTCCAGCACTTGATCTTTGCTTTCATTATACTCTTGCTTGGACCTGGATTTTGCTTCTTTAAGTCCTCTCTACTTCAAAGTCTGGTCTTCCTCTTTCAACAAAACCACCCTATACAATGCCTTTTCCTTTGTTTCCTTGCATTTACACCATCCACCCAACACTTAAATCCAAAACTTCCACACAGTCTTCTTGATTCCCTCTCCCTGCACATTTGATCAGTAAGCAAACCTCACTGACTCTTCATCCTACCCATCCTTCCATCTGCACGCTACCATCACCAGACCAAATTGCCATCATCTCCTCTTATCTAAATTGTCTGTTTGGCAAACTGCAAAGTGAAACACACAGTAAAAAGTAAAACTCACAATGTTATTTCCTGGTGTAAAACTTTAATGGTCCTCCATTGTACCCAGTCCACAGGCAAAACAGCCTACTGTATATTACCAGGGCCTAGTGATCAGCCCCTTGCCTCTATCTCCAGGCTCATCCTTCTGCCTTTGTGATTCATATTCAAGGTGTAAGCACCCTGAACACACCTCATTTCTCTTGACACCAGGCCTTTGAACACACTGTGTTTTTAATTATTACACTGTAAGTTCTGAGATACATGTGCAGAACATGCAGGTTTGTTACATATGTATACATGTGCCATGGTGGTTTGCTGCACCCATCAACCCGTCATCTACATTAGGTATTTCTCCTAATGCTAGTCCTCCCTGAGCCCCCCACCCTCTGACAGGCCCCGGTGTATGATGTTCCCCTTCCTGCGTCCATGTGAACACACTATTTTAAGAGCATGCATTTCCTGACTAGTTCATGGCAGTTAAGACTCAGTTTAAGGGTCACTTCTTTGGGAAAACCTTTCTCACCTGGCTGGACCATCTCTTGCAGAGAGGCACACTCAATTCCTTGTTCATCATCTGACTTTTCCACCAGATGGTAAGCTGCATGAGAGCAGGACCATTTGTTTACCTCTATAGTGTCCATTCCACATGAAGTGCTCTGTCCATATCAATTAAATTGAATTCTAGCCTCTCCACATGTACCGTTATCTTAAATCCTGTGGCACTTATAGCCTGTACCATTTTACTGAATGTATCACCATGCATTGCCTTCCATTTTGCTGCACTGTAAACCTTTGGAAGCAGGGGCTGACTTAAAAGCTCATGAAGGGAATGTTCAATATACCTATGGGTGCCTGGGGTTCTATACCTGGTAAGTCTCGATGGGGCGGTTTTCCATGTTGAGATCCCAGACTTTGACGGTCAAGTAGTCCCTGGTCATGATATACCTCCCACTGTGGCTGAACTTCACATCCGAAATCGAAGAGATAATTTCAGAGAAAAATGATCTGTTGCTTGGATCTTCCGGCTCTTCAAAAACTGCAGAACAAAAGCAAAACAAGACAAATTTAGCAATCCTTATCAACTGACTCTAACATGTTTGGACTGGCTAGGAAGCTGACAGTGTAACTGAGAGTCTTAAGTAGGGCTGGTGTCTGCAGAATGTAAGTTGCTAATAGAGAACTGTCATCTCTCTGGTAGCGGAAAAAGCTGTCATTAGTTTCTGGATTTTAATTCTCATGGAAGGACTGGCATGGGACCCGTCCCATCATAGATCTGGCACTGACAGATCTATGTATCTAACTCTGTTTCTGTTTCCCTTGGTATCTGGGTGTCACTGCACAAAATCTGGAGTCATGTTAAGATAGTTAAAAAAATTTGTTTTACAGCTTTAGTGAGATACAATTCACATACCACAAAATGTAGAGTTCAGTAGTTTTTAGTATAATCACAAAATCATTGCTATAATCTAAATTTAGAATATGTTCTTTACCTCCCCCCAAAAACTCCATATCCATTGGCAGTTACTTTCCATTCCCTGCTCCTATAGTACTAGGTAAACACCATCTACTTTCTGATTCTCATTCTGGAAATTTCACATAAATAGAATCATAGAATATATGGTCATTTGGGACTGGCTCCTTTTACTTGGCATAAAATTTTCAAGGTTCATCCATGTCGTAGCATGTATCAGGTCTTCATTCTTCCTATGGCTGAATAGTATTCCATTGTATGAATATACCACATTTTGTTTATCCATTTTATGAGCATTTGAGTTGTTTCCACTTTTTAGCTGCTAGGAATAACACTGCTATGATTATACATGTATAAGTTTTTGTCTGGTCATATGTTTTCATTTCTCTTGTTGGCTCACGGTGTTTAATAGTGAAACTTTGGCCAGGTGTGGTGGCTCATGCCTGTATTCAGCACTTTGGGAGGCCTAGGCGGGAAGATCACTTAAACCCAAGATTTCAAGACCAGCCTGGATAACATAGGAAGATTCTATTGCTATAAAAAGTTAGCCAGGCATGGTGGGGCATGCCTGTGGTCCCAGCTACTTGGGTGGATGAGCTACTATTGGGCCACTGCACCCCAGCCTGGGCAACAGATCGAGATCCTGTCTTCAGAAAAGGAAGAAATAAAAAAAGTGGTGCTTTCTTACTGGACTGCCTTGGGTCTAAGCCTGTCATTTACTTGTTGTGTGACCTTAGGCAAGATACTTCTCTGTGCCTTAGGTTTCCTTATATGTAAACTGTAACTATGATGTCTTTTTAAAATTAACAAAATTTCTAAATTTGTATAAACTTAATGGGTACAAGTGTGGTTTTGTTACATAGATATATTGCATAGTGGTGAGGTCTGGACTTCTAGTGTAACCATTAGCCAAATAGTGTACATTGAACCCACAATGTCTTTTGTGTGGATTGTCTATTTGCACTGATATCCAGGTTCTTATTATCTCTCTCAATAGCTTCAGCTGATTTCCACTTACAGGAAAAAGGCATGGCTTCTCAGTATGTTATTGGAGCCCATCACAAACTGCCTCTAATTCTTTCTACCTTGATTTTAAGTTGGATGTATAGAGTATATCTCGATATTTCCCACTTCTATTCATTGCCTGATTCTTTCTTCACTGATCCAAATACTCTTTGATGCATATACCTCATCTACTACATATTATTTCACCCCAAATGATCTTTTCTTTTCTCTGAAGCCCTATCATGCTTGGTCTGGTCATTTATTTAGTATTTGCTCAGGTACTCTCTTACAATGGAACTATCATTTTTCACATTATTATTATTATTTTAACAACTGATGAGTTTGTTTTATCTCTTCAACTAGGACATAAGCTTCCTGAGAACAGGATTTTGGTCTTATTTTCGTATTCAGAGTCTTACTCACAAATGTTCAATGAATATTTGTTGCTTCACTGGAGCCAAAGCCAGATAAATTAACAGATTCTTTGCCTTCTGGGTGCTTAGCATGTATAGTATTCAGCTGAAACATATGCATTTGCTGACATTCAATTATTTTTGACCTACAAAGATGGCAATTGTGTATGGCTAAACCGAATAAGGGTTTATATCACAATTTTAGGCTGAACCAAACACTGGCCTGCAGGTTGCTGAGTTAACTTATCCTCCAAGACTACTTCTTTCCTGCCTGCTCAATGCACTCGCATAGTCAGTAATGAATTCTATATAAAGAACCCAAGTATATAATTAAGTTGCTGAATTAAACCGTGAACTAAGCCAAAACGTTAATTTTCACAGAACCATTGAAGAGAATAGCAACAAAAGCCCTGATCAATCAGAATTGAAATTGCAAAAATTTTAAAAAAATCATTGAAACAGAAAAACATGGCTTATTACAGCCTCTGACCCAATGTCTTAGTCTCTGCCCTCAGCTTTTGGGCTTCGGCTGAGTATTAGTGAAGGCCCCTGGATTCTGATTGGTATCTTCATAGTTGAGAACTAGATAGGAAGAAAATTTTCACATTAGTTTCAACTAACAGCTATGTCATTAGTATTGGAGGTTTGGAAATTCCAAGTAAAACACCTGATCCAGAGGCAGTAAAGTGGATGGGCTTAGTAAATTGTGCTCTGGAGTCATCAATTCCTGCCTCTGTCAGTTACTAGCCATGATCATTTTATTTACTACTCCAGCTTTAGTTTTCCCAGCTGCAAAAAGAGGAGCCACATTGCTTGGCATATAAGCTTGGTACGCAGTAGGTCCTCAGTATATGCCATCACTATTTTCATTTTCAGCATGCACTGCTTCTGTGCTGGCCAGTCATATCTCATTCAACAAGACTCTTGAGAATTTGGGACCAAGGAGTACAGAACCTGCGGACTATTTGAAAGACATAAAGAATGTTTACATTTTCTCTTCTTTAAACTCAAATCTATTTTATAATGTTTAAATTGACAACAAAATTGTATATGTTTATGGTGCCTTTCAATGTTATACATAGGAATCTGTTTCCCAAATACTTGGCATATTGGGAAGCCAGTGCAGCAACACTGTAAAGCCTCACAATGACACCTTCACAAGATGGATGTGAAATGAAAGATGACAATTCTTCAATCAACCTACCACCATTTATTTGTGGAGTGCCGGCTTTAGGTAGCACACAGAGGGCAAGGTACAGATAACATACCAGCACAGCACTTTGTAGTTCATGACATATCTATGTATATTCAAGTTTTAATAGCAGCTCCAGGAATTATTTTCCTTCCTTGGGTAATAGCATTTAATAGTATTAATAATTACTTTTGATGGGAAGCTTATAATACTGCAGGCCCTGTGCTTTACATGTTTTATTTCATTTAGTTGTTAAAACAGCCTATGAAGTAGGAATTATGATTCTTCATTTTATATATGTGGATAACTAAGGCACAGAGAGGTTTTATAACCAGTCCAGGGACACACTGAGATAGAGCTGCATTTTGAACTCACATCTATCTGACTTCAAAATCTTTGTTCTTAATCATGATGCCATGTAGAAGACCTTGCTGAGCATTCATTTATAAGTTAAGTGTCTTGTATGCACAGGCACACACACATGCACAATATAGTATATTAGCTAGAGTCCACAAGTAAAAAGTATTTCGATACGTGCCAGGCCCTGTACCAAATGCTAAAGACACAATAATGAACAAGACAGATCCAGCACTACTCCTAGTGAGCTCACAGGATAGAGGAGGGGACAAATGTTTAGCAATCACACAAATGTGGTTACAGTTGTGAATAAGTGTGATTTTACTGTGTTATCAGACGGAAATCATGGTGCTATGGAACTGGCTAGTGGAAGGTAAATGGAACACCAGTGTGTGTTCCATAAAATTTACTTCTCATGCCCCCTGCAATATCAGAGATGTGCAAAATTTGTTGAACAACAGTATCTGGTGCCTGAGTGATAGAACTTAGGACAAATCAACACTAGCCTTTCTCCTGGAGACCCTTGGCTTGGCATGACAGTAGAGAATCTGCTGACCTGCAAGGTTTCCAATTAGCTACCAGAAAATAGAGACATTGAGAGGAGAGAGGAAGAGAACTAAGGGAGAGACAAGAAGAGCTTTGCTCCCTTTGTAAGGAAGCAGTCTTGGTGAGAAACCTGATAGCCCAGTCCTAGCCACTGGGGGTATGTCAGGTTCACCAACAGGAGCGTATGTCTTGGAGACCCCAATAGTAACAGTAACAACAATAATGACATTTGCTACCACTTCTTGGTCCTCAAGCTTTAAATACATTATTGCATTTTAATGCTCAAACTTCTAAGGAAGGTACTATCACTCTTCTCATTTGTAGATAAGGAGACAGACCAGGAGGAAAGGTTCAGTAAGTCACCAGGATCATGCAGCTAGGCAGTGGTAGAGATGGGCTCTTGACTCTGCCCATCTGTCACACCACCTCCACAACAGGGCCTTGCCTTGCTTTGTCAATATTGTTTCCCTGTTCAAACAAGTCAAACCAGGATTCCTCACATTCTAGATATACCTTGTATAGTCCCACTTTGGTGCCTCTGTTGCTCCTCACCTCTTCCTGTGCCCATCCAGGTACACTGGAAAGAACATCAGACTCAGGGATGCTGGGCTGGAATCCAGGCTGGGCACAAGTCCAGGCTGGCTTTTGATAATACCTATCATCTACTGAGCTTTTGTGCTGTGTGCTCTACATGTATTAACTCACTCACTATTCATAGGTTTTAGTACTTTTCCACAAATTAGTCTAATCAGTCAACTCAGGTACAACTCACAGCTAGTAGGAACAGAGGCAGAATTTGAACTCAGTATACTTCCAGCTTATGTTCTTAACCTCTGTCCTACTCTCTCTCATCTGTGTGGCTTTCAGCAACTGTCAACTCTCTGACCCTGTTTCCTTCTCTGTAATATGAAGGAGTAAGTGTTGCCTACCAGGTCCCTCCCAGCTGTTGGATTCTAAAATCTATGAAATTCCACTGGCTTTTCCATTTCCCTTTCCTAATCCCCACTACTCTAGGTAGCCTTTCCAAAGTGACTTCAGCAAAATGTTCAACCTGTGATATGTCAGGCATTCCAGATTCCAAAGTCAAATAAGCTTGGGAAACCTCGACAATTTTGGGAGTTGACAACGCAATTACCCTATTGTTGGGGCATTATAGAATGTTCAGCAACATATCTGGCCTCTACTCACTAGATCTGCCCTGCTGACTCCATCTGCCCACATGTGGCAACCAAAATGTCTCTAGATATTGCCAAATGTTCCCCAGGGGGCATGACTGCCCCTGGTTGAGAATCACTGCTTTAATCCTACTTCAGAGTATTATTTGATCATACCTTTCTCCCCACTCCATTTTATTTTTATTTGGCAAATCATTTGCAGCTCAGTGTTTTTCTAGTACAGGCTTCCTCAGAATACACTTTGGGTTATATTGCTATAGTCAAAACAACTGAATACTGCCTTTAAAATTCCATAGGCTATCTTATGTGCCTTGTGTAGACGTGTTTTCTGTTATAACATGTACAGATATGAATAGATCTCCATGGAGCTGTAAGTATCTTGTGGGAGCCCCCTGAAAGGGCTCAGATGACTGGGTAAATAAATAAGGTTCCAGAATCTGGGGAAAATCTTGAATTCAGTTATTCAAGAATTCAAAAATAAGAGAAAGAATTAAGAAGAAGACTGCCAACTTTAGAGAAACCTAAAGTGAAACAGCATTCATTACAACTGGAGCAAGGGCAGAAAGGAGGCATGCAGTGAGCTGGTTGTGGACTCTGGGGATAGGAGAAGAGAGAGATTAGGTAACCACAGGTGCAGGCTGTTGCTGGGTGTGGCTCCTTTCTCTTGACCTTACACTGGACCTTCATTAATTTCACAGGAACTCATGCCCATGTAGAGGGGTTAGGAGGGGCCCAAGACCACTAACAGCTGATCCTGAAGGCCTGTTCACTCTGTCTTAGATGGTGTGGTGACTAACAGTATAGGTGGTTCCAAACACAGTGGCCTGGGTTGAAACTCCAGCTTTGCTGCTTATAAATGATGGAGCTTTGAACAAGCAGCTTGACTCCTTCCAAGCTTCATTTAATGGAGATAATAGTAGTACCTATGTTCTAGGGCGGTTGTGAGAATAGACGAGATCTTGCTTGTGAATCACTTAGCAAAGCGTCTGTACCCAAAACAATAGGGAAGGCAGCAGTAATGCAGAAGTAGGCATTGCTTAAGGCAAGCTTGGTGTGCAATGAGTCCAAAAGCCTAGTGTTTTTCCGTTTGAGGCAGATCTTAAGAACCAGTTGTGGTACTGATTTCTGGGTTTTCTGTCTGGGCTGCGACACAGACACATACTAGCTTGTTTCTGAACTATCCCTTGAAATACACCTCCTTGGTCCAAGTGTCTCTCATTTCAATGTCACCCCCACCCTGGCTGTGATGACGCGGGCAGATGAGAGTGAGTGTACAGGAAACAAGCCAGTGGGACATGAGGGTCCGCTCACGATGAAAAAGGAACGGGCTCGGAATCATGCGCAGGGCTTTAAATTGCTCACTTTTGCTGACATTTCTTCTACAGGGAAGCACGGCTGGCACGTTCTTCCGTTTGGAGACATGGTTGACAATTTCTCCATAATGGGGACACAACTGGCAATTTTCCTACAGAGTGAGGCAGATGGCAATTTTCCTTCAGAGACATGCAGGCAACAGTTTTGCCCCTGGAGAGAAAAGCCTCGCCGATTGAGATGCAGCCAGTAATTTTTACTATACAGAAGACACATCCAATAATTTTGCCCAGTGAGAGAAACGGCCAACAATTTTCCCACAGAGGGTAAGAACTCCCTCGGACTGACAATACTGGCCTTTATCCAGCTGAGGACAGTGAGAGAAGAGGTTTAAGATTTAATTAGTGGCTACTGTGCTACCAGGGGCCTAATGACATAGTCTCCAGACACAGATTGGAGACTGCAAATTTAGATCGTATTAAGACTCAGATGAAGGATTCTGAATTGGGAAATAATGAAACCAAGTTGCTTAACCCTTGCAGTTTGCTTTTCATATAGCCCTCCATTAATTCAACAAACAGTTGTTTGACAGTGACACTTTAACAAGACAAGGCATACAATGCATAGCGTGATGAAGAATGAAAAGTTAATCTAGAAGAAATTATATTGGTCCCTAAGTTTTACATAACTTTTCAAAATAATTCTGCATCTACTATACTTCTTTTACAACATGTCTTTTAACAACTAATCATTCATTCAAAGTTAAGAAATAATGAATCAAAACCTTTTCTTTTCCCAGACAGGAAAAACAGACCAAAAATTCATAGTGGGGAGAAGTGAGGAGCAAATGGGCTGGTATGACCAAGAAAGACTTAATAAGAAGCTGAGCCTTAAATGATCAAGAAGCACTGGATAGATAAGAGGTTAGTACATATTTTAGACTTTGAGGGCCATCTGGTCTCCATTACAACTGTTTAACTCTGCCTTTGTAGTGTGAAAGCAGCATAGACAATATGTAAACAGATGAGCATGTATCCCACATGAAGGCTTTGCATATGGACATTGAAATTTCAATTTTGTATAATTTTTATGTGTCATAAAACACTATTCTTTTTTGATTTCTTCAACTATTTGAAAATGTAAAAATACTGTTCTTTGCTAGAGTTGTAAAAAAGAAAAGTTGTGAGTCAGACTTGGCTGTATGCCATAGTTTGCTGAGCCCTGATAATGGTGTTTGAGGGGTAGGAGGGGGCATCCTATCTAGACAGGGGAATCAGCATGAATAAATGCCTGGGGTGATCAATGCATTTTTGTGGGACAGTGGGCCCCTAGGACTGGTAGCACCATGAGATCATGTAGAAGGGCTGGAAGATGAGATTTCTGCTTAAACTGCAAATTTCTTTCCTAAACTACATCTCTCAGGATGGTACATGGAATGAACTTAGGAGTCAGACATATTGGGGCTAGAACCTGGGCTTCATCATCTCCAGGTTGGATTGTCTTTGTCAGTTTTCCTTATCTTGTTAAGACGCAACTTATCTTTAAAATGTAGACATCAATATCTTATTTGCCTGGTTATAAAAATGAAAAGAGATAAAAGCAAATAAGACATGTAGCACAGGACAGGCATGGTGGCTCACACCTGTAATCCCAGCACTTTGGGAGGCCGAGGCAGGTAGATCACGAAGTCAGGAG
This sequence comes from Homo sapiens, assembly GCF_000001405.40. Lineage (NCBI taxonomy): Eukaryota > Metazoa > Chordata > Mammalia > Primates > Hominidae > Homo > Homo sapiens. The sequence continues at coordinate 146,608,590 of NC_000005.10, forward strand.
CTCGAGACCAACCTGGCCAATATGGTGAAACCCCATCTCTACTAAAAATACAAAAATTAGCTGGGCATAGTGGCGCATGCCTATAGTCCCAGCTACCTGGGAGAAGAATCGCTTGAACCCAGGAGGCGGAGGTTGCAGTGAGCCAAGATCATGCCACTGCACTCCAGCCTGGGCCACAGAGTAAGACTCTGTCTCAAAAACAAACAAGACATGTAGCACAGTGCCTGGTACACTGTCAGAAGTCACCAAGCCCATATCGAACATTTAAAGAAGAACTAATGTCAATTCTACTCCAACTGTTACAAAAAAATAGAGGAGGGAATACTTCCAAACTCCTTCTATGAGGCCAGTATTACCCTGATACCAAAACCGGACAAAGATATATCAAGAGAACTATAAGCCAATATCCCTGATGAATATATACAAAAATCCTCAAAAAAATACTAGCAAACCGAATTCAACAATACATTAAAAAGATCATTCATCATGACCAAGTGGAATTTATCCCAGGGATGCAAGACAGTTCACCATACGAAAATCAATGTGATATGTCATATCAACAGAATGAAGGAGAAAAACCCTCAAAAAACTGGATATAGAAGAAACGTACCTTAAAATAATAAAAGTCATATATGACAGAGCCACCGCTAGTATCACGCTGAATGGGGAAAAAACTGAAAGCCTTTCCTTTAAGATTTGGAACACGACAAAGATGCCCACTGTCACCACTGTTGCTCAACATAGTACTGAAAGTCCTAGATAGAGCAATCAGACAAAGGAAGAAAAGGCATCCAAATTGGAAAAGAAAAAGTAAAATTATCCTTGTTTGCCAATGATATGATCTTGTATTTGAAAAAACTTAAATATGCCACCAAAAAACTATTAGAACTGGATGTGGAGCCAAGATGGCCGAATAGGAACAGCTCCGGTCTACAGCTCCCAGCGTGAGCGACGCAGAAGACGGGTGATTTCTGCATTTCCATCTGAGGTACCGGGTTCATCTCACTAGGGAGTGCCAGACAGTGGGCGCAGGCCAGTGTGTGTGCGCACCGTGCGCGAGCCGAAGCAGGGCGAGGCATTGCCTCACCTGGGAAGCGCAAGGGGTCAGGGAGTTCCCTTTCCGAGTCAAAGAAAGGGGTGACGGACGCACCTGGAAAATCGGGTCACTCCCACCCGAATATTGCGCTTTTCAGACCGGCTTAAGAAACGGCGCACCACGAGACTATATCCCACACCTGGCTCAGAGGGTCCTACGCCCACGGAATCTCGCTGATTGCTAGCACAGCAGTCTGAGATCAAACTGCAAGGTGGCAACGAGGCTGGGGGAGGGGCGCCCGCCATTGATTGCCCAGGCTTGCTTAGGTAAACAAAGCAGCCGGGAAGCTCGAACTGGGTGGAGCCCACCACAGCTCAAGGAGGCCTGCCTGCCTCTGTGGGCTCCACCTCTGGGGGCAGGGCACAGACAAACAAAAAGACAGCAGTAACCTCTGCAGACTTAAGTGTCCCTGTCTGACAGCTTTGAAGAGAGCAGTGGTTCTCCCAGCACGCAGCTGGAGATCTGAGAACGGGCAGACTGCCTCCTCAAGTGGGTCCCTGACCCCTGACCCCCGAGCAGCCTAACTGGGAGGCACCCCCCAGCAGGGGCACACTGACACCTCACACGGCAGGGTATTCCAACAGACCTGCAGCTGAGGGTCCTGTCTGTTAGAAGGAAAACTAACAACCAGAAAGGACATCTACACCGAAAACCCATCTGTACATCACCATCATCAAAGACCAAAAGTAGATAAAACCACAAAGATGGGGAAAAAACAGAACAGAAAAACTGGAAACTCTAAAACGCAGAGCGCCTCTCCTCCTCCAAAGGAACGCAGTTCCTCACCAGCAACAGAACAAAGCTGGATGGAGAATGATTTTGACGAGCTGAGAGAAGAAGGCTTCAGACGATCAAATTACTCTGAGCTACGGGAGGACATTCAAACCAAAGGCAAAGAAGTTGAAAACTTTGAAAAAAATTTAGAAGAATGTATAACTAGAATAACCAATACAGAGAAGTGCTTAAAGGAGCTGATGGAGCTGAAAACCAAGGCTCGAGAACTACGTGAAGAATGCAGAAGCCTCAGGAGCCGATGCAATCAACTGGAAGAAAGGGTATCAGCAATGGAAGATGAAATGAATGAAATGAAGCGAGAAGGGAAGTTTAGAGAAAAAAGAATAAAAAGAAATGAGCAAAGCCTCCAAGAAATATGGGACTATGTGAAAAGACCAAATCTACGTCTGATTGGTGTACCTGAAAGTGATGTGGAGAATGGAACCAAGTTGGAAAACACTCTGCAGGATATTATCCAGGAGAACTTCCCCAATCTAGCAAGGCAGGCCAACGTTCAGATTCAGGAAATACAGAGAACGCCACAAAGATACTCCTCGAGAAGAGCAACTCCAAGACACATAATTGTCAGATTCACCAAAGTTGAAATGAAGGAAAAAACGTTAAGGGCAGCCAGAGAGAAAGGTCGGGTTACCCTCAAAGGAAAGCCCATCAGACTAACAGCGGATCTCTCGGCAGAAACCCTACAAGCCAGAAGAGAGTGGGGGCCAATATTCAACATTCTTAAAGAAAAGAATTTTCAACCCAGAATTTCATATCCAGCCAAACTAAGCTTCATAAGTGAAGGAGAAATAAAATACTTTATAGACAAGCAAATGCTGAGAGATTTTGTCACCACCAGGCCTGCCCTAAAAGAGCTCCTGAAGGAAGCGCTAAACATGGAAAGGAACAACCGGTACCAGCCGCTGCAAAATCATGCCAAAATGTAAAGACCATCGAGACTAGGAAGAAACTGCATCAACTAATGAGCAAAATCACCAGCTAACATCATAATGACAGGATCAAATTCACACATAACAATATTAACTTTAAATATAAATGGACTAAATTCTGCAATTAAAAGACACAGACTGGCAAGTTGGATAAAGAGTCAAGACCCATCAGTGTGCTGTATTCAGGAAACCCATCTCACGTGCAGAGACACACATAGGCTCAAAATAAAAGGATGGAGGAAGATCTACCAAGCAAATGGAAAACAAAAAAAGGCAGGGGTTGCAATCCTAGTCTCTGATAAAACAGACTTTAAACCAACAAAGATCAAAAGAGACAAAGAAGGCCATTACATAATGGTAAAGGGATCAATTCAACAAGAGGAGCTAACTATCCTAAATATTTATGCACCCAATACAGGAGCACCCAGATTCATAAAGCAAGTCCTGAGTGACCTACAAAGAGACTTAGACTCCCACACATTAATAATGGGAGACTTTAACACCCCACTGTCAACATTAGACAGATCAACGAGACAGAAAGTCAACAAGGATACCCAGGAATTGAACTCAGCTCTGCACCAAGCAGACCTAATAGACATCTACAGAGCTCTCCACCCCAAATCAACAGAATATACATTTTTTTCAGCACCACACCACACCTATTCCAAAATTGACCACATAGTTGGAAGTAAAGCTCTCCTCAGCAAATGTAAAAGAACAGAAATTATAACAAACTATCTCTCAGACCACAGTGCAATCAAACTAGAACTCAGGATTAAGAATCTCACTCAAAGCCGCTCAACTACATGGAAACTGAACAACCTGCTCCTGAATGACTACTGGGTACATAACGAAATGAAGGCAGAAATAAAGATGTTCTTTGAAACCAACGAGAACAAAGACACCACATACCAGAATCTCTGGGACGCATTCAAAGCAGTGTGTAGAGGGAAATTTATAGCACTAAATGCCTACAAGAGAAAGCAGGAAAGATCCAAAATTGACACCCTAACATCACAATTAAAAGAACTAGAAAAGCAAGAGCAAACACATTCAAAAGCTAGCAGAAGGCAAGAAATAACTAAAATCAGAGCAGAACTGAAGGAAATAGAGACACAAAAAACCCTTCAAAAAATCAATGAATCCAGGAGCTGGTTTTTTGAAAGGATCAACAAAATTGATAGACCGCTAGCAAGACTAATAAAGAAAAAAAGAGAGAAGAATCAAATAGACACAATAAAAAATGATAAAGGGGATATCACGACCGATCCCACAGAAATACAAACTACCATCAGAGAATACTACAAACACCTCTACGCAAATAAACTAGAAAATCTAGAAGAAATGGATACATTCCTCGACACATACACTCTCCCAAGACTAAACCAGGAAGAAGTTGAATCTCTGAATAGACCAATAACAGGCTCTGAAATTGTGGCAATAATCAATAGTTTACCAACCAAAAAGAGTCCAGGACCAGATGGATTCACAGCCGAATTCTACCAGAGGTACAAGGAGGAACTGGTACCATTCCTTCTGAAACTATTCCAATCAATAGAAAAAGAGGGAATCCTCCCTAACTCATTTTATGAGGCCAGCATCATTCTGATACCAAAGCCGGGCAGAGACACAACCAAAAAAGAGAATTTTAGACCAATATCCTTGATGAACATTGATGCAAAAATCCTCCATAAAATACTGGCAAACCGAATCCAGCAGCACATCAAAAAGCTTATCCACCATGATCAAGTGGGCTTCATCCCTGGGATGCAAGGCTGGTTCAATATACGCAAATCAATAAATGTAATCCAGCATATAAACAGAGCCAAAGACAAAAACCACATGATTATCTCAATAGATGCAGAAAAAGCCTTTGACAAAATTCAACAACCCTTCATGCTAAAAACTCTCAATAAATTAGGTATTGATGGGACGTATTTCAAAATAATAAGAGCTATCTATGACAAACCCACAGCCAATATCATACTGAATGGGCAAAAACTGGAAGCATTCCCTTTGAAAACTGGCACAAGACAGGGATGCCCTCTCTCACCACTCCTATTCAACATAGTGTTGGAAGTTCTGGCCAGGGCAATCAGGCAGGAGAAGGAAATAAAGGGTATTCAATTAGGAAAAGAGGAAGTCAAATTGTCCCTGTTTGCAGACGACATGACTGTTTATCTAGAAAACCCCATCGTCTCAGCCCAAAATCTCCTTAAGCTGATAAGCAACTTCAGCAAAGTCTCAGGATACAAAATCAATGTGCAAAAATCACAAGCATTCTTATACACCAACAACAGACAAACAGAGAGCCAAATCATGAGTGAACTCCCATTCACAATTGCTTCAAAGAGAATAAAATACCTAGGAATCCAACTTACAAGGGATAGGAAGGACCTCTTCAAGGAGAACTACAAACCACTGCTCAAGGAAATAAAAGAGGACACAAACAAATGGAAGAACATTCCATGCTCATGGGTAGGAAGAATCGATATCGTGAAAATGGCCATACTGCCCAAGGTAATTTACAGATTCAATGCCATCCCCATCAAGCTACCAATGACTTTCTTCACAGAATTGGAAAAAACTACTTTAAAGTTCATATGGAACCAAAAAAGAGCCCGCATCGCCAAGTCAATCCTAAGCCAAAAGAACAAAGCTGGAGGCATCACACTACCTGACTTCAAACTATACTACAAGGCTACAGTAACCAAAACAGCATGGTACTGGTACCAAAACAGAGATATAGATCAATGGAACAGAACAGAGCCCTCAGAAATAATGTCGCATATCTACAACTATCTGATCTTTGACAAACCTGAGAAAAACAAGCAATGGGGAAAGGATTCCCTATTTAATAAATGGTACTGGGAAAACTGGCTAGCCATATGTAGAAAGCTGAAACTGGATCCCTTCCTTACACCTTATACAAAAATCAATTCAAGATGGATTAAAGATTTAAACGTTAGACCTAAAACCATAAAAACCCTAGAAGAAAACCTAGGCATTACCATTCAGGACATAGGCGTGGGCAAGGACTTCATGTCCAAAACACCAAAAGCAATGGCAACAAAAGCCAAAATTGACAAATGGGATCTAATTAAACTAAAGAGCTTCTGCACAGCAAAAGAAACTACCATCAGAGTGAACAGGCAACCTACAACATGGGAGAAAATTTTCGCAACCTACTCATCTGACAAAGGGCTAATATCCAGAATCTACAATGAACTCAAACAAATTTACAAGAAAAAAACAAACAACCCCATCAAAAAGTGGGCGAAGGACATGAACAGACACTTCTCAAAAGAAGACATTTATGCAGCCAAAAAACACATGAAAAAATGCTCATCATCACTGGCCATCAGAGAAATGCAAATCAAAACCACTATGAGATATCATCTCACACCAGTTAGAATGGCAATCATTAAAAAGTCAGGAAACAACAGGTGCTGGAGAGGATGTGGAGAAATAGGAACACTTTTACACTGTTGGTGGGACTGTAAACTAGTTCAACCATTGTGGAAGTCAGTATGGCGATTCCTCAGGGATCTAGAACTAGAAATCCCATTTGACCCAGCCATCCCATTACTGGGTATATACCCAAATGACTATAAATCATGCTGCTATAAAGACACATGCACACGTATGTTTATTGCGGCACTATTCACAATAGCAAAGACTTGGAACCAACCCAAATGTCCAACAATGATAGACTGGATTAAGAAAATGTGGCACATATACACCATGGAATACTATGCAGCCATAAAAAATGATGAGTTCATGTCCTTTGTAGGGACATGGATGAAATTGGAAACCATCATTCTCAGTAAACTATCGCAAGAACAAAAAACCAAACACCGCATATTCTCACTCATAGGTGGGAATTGAACAATGAGATCACATGGACACAGGAAGGGGAATATCACACTCTGGGGACTGTGGTGGGGTCGGGGGAGGGGGGAGGGATAGCATTGGGAGATATACCTAATGCTAGATGACACGTTAGTGGGTGCAGCGCACCAGCATGGCACATGTATACATATGTAACTAACCTGCACAATGTTCACATGTACCCTAAAACTTAGAGTATAATAAAAAAAAAAATTAAAAAAAAAAAAAAAGAAAAAAAAAACTATTAGAACTGAAAACAAATTCAGTAAAACTGCAGGATACAAAATCAAGATACAAAAATGATCTCAACAGCAAATAATCTCAAGAAATTAAACCCATTTACAACAGCTACAAATTAAAAACCAAGGATTTAACTTACTTACCCAGAGAAGTAAAAGGTCTCTACAATGAAAATTAAAAAACACTGATGAAAGAAAAGGAAGGGGACACAAAAAATGGAAAGATATTCCACATTCATGAATTGGAAGAATCAATACTGCTAAAATGTCCATGCCACCCAAAGCAGTCTACAGATTTAATGGAATCCCTATCAAAATACCAATGACTTTACAGAAATAGAAAAAACAATCCTAAAATTTATATGAAACCACAAAAGACCCAGAATAGCCAAGGCTATCTTAAGCAAAAAACAAAACTGGAGGAATCACATTACCTGACTTCAAATTATACTACAGAGTTACAGTAACCAAAACAGCATGGTACTGGCATAAAAACAGACATATAGATCAATGGAACACAAGAACCCAGAAACAAATCTGTATATCTACAGTGAACTCATTTTCAACAAAGGTGCCAAGAACATACACTGGGGGAAAAGACAGTCTCTTCAACTATTTGTGCTAGAAAAACTGGATATCCATATGCAAAAGAATGAAACTAGATCCCAATCACTCAACATATACAAAAGTCAAATCAAAATGGATTGAAGACTTAAATCTAAGACCTTAGAGCATGAAACTACTACAAGAAAACACTGGGGAAAGTCTCCAGGACATTGGACTGGGCAAATATTTCTTGAGGGATACCCCGCAAGCACAAGCAACCAAAGCAAAAATGAACAAATGGGATCAAGTTAAAACATTTCTGCACAGCAAAGGAAACAGTCAACAAAATGAAAACCCATAGGATGAGGGAAAATATTTGCAAACTACCCATCTGACAAGGGATTAATTACCAGAATATAGAAGGAGCTCAAACAATTCTATAGGAAAAAAATATCTAATCCATTTAAAAAAATGAGCAAGTGATATGAATAGATATTTATCAAAAGAAGACATACACATGGCAGATAGGCATACAAAAAAGAGCTCAACATCACTGATCATTAGAGAACTGCAAATCAAAACTACAATTAGATATCATCTGACCCTAGTTAAAATGGCTTTCATCTAAAAGGCAATAATGCTGATGAGGATGTGGAGAAAAGGGAACACTTGTACATTGTTGGTGGGAATGAAAATTCGAAAAACCACTATGAATAACAGTTTCGAGATTCCTCAAAAAACTAAAAATTGAGCTACTATATGATCCAGCAATCCCACTCCTTATGTATATACCCCAAACAAAGAAAATCAGTATACTGAAGAAGTATTTGCGCTCCCGTGTTTGTTGCAGCACTGTTCACAATAGCCAAGATTTGGAAGCAACCTAAGTGTTCACCAACTGATGAATGGATAAAGAAAATGTGGTACTTATATACAATGAAGTACTATTCAGCCATGAAAAAGAATGAGATCCTGTCACTTGCAACAACATGGATGGAACTGCAGGTCTTTATGTTAAGTGAAATGAGCCAGGGACAGAAAGACAAACCTTGCATGTTCTCACTTATTTATGGAAGCTAAAAATCAAAACAATTGAGTTCATGGAGATAGAGAGTAGAAGGATGGTTACCAGAGGTTGGGGGGCAGGGGGAAGTGGGTTAATGGTTAATGGGTACAAAAAAATAGAAAGGATGAATAAGAACTAGTATGTGATAGCACAACAGGGTGATTATAGTCAATATTAATTTAATTGCACATTTAAAAATAAAGGAGTATAACCAGATCGTTTGTAACATAAAGAGTACATGCTTGAGGTGATGAATATACCGTTTACCCCAATGTGATTATTACTCATTGCATGTGTGAATCAAAATATCTCATGTACCTCATAAATATATACACCTCTGTACCCATAAAAAGACGTCAACAAGTTCTAGTGTCACACACCATTTAAACAACAGGTATTGAGTACCCAGTGTGTGTAAAGCACTATGATAGGTGCTAGAGTTACAAGAGTGAGCAAGAGATATACCATGCCTACGCTCCTTCAACAAAGAGTGGGGCTTCTTATCTACCATGGCTGGGGCTTCCTCTCATCTCTCTCTCTCTCTCTCTTTTTTTTTTTTTTGAAGCAGAGTCTCGCTCTGTCACCGAGGCTGGAGTGCAGTGGCGCGATCTCAGCTCACTGCAACCTCTGCCTCCTGGGTTCAAGCGATTCTTGTGCCTCAGCCTCCCCAGTAGCTGGGATTACAGACGTGTGCCACCACGCCCAGCTAATTTTTGTAGTTTTAGTAGAGATGGGGTTTCACCATGTTGGCCAGGCTGTCTCCAACTCCCGACCTCAGGTGATCCACCTGCCTTGGCCTCCCAAAGTGCTGGGATTACAGGAGTGAACCACCATGCCAGCCATCTCTTGCTCAATTCCCCTGTAGTAGGCAGAATAATGCCATTGCCCCCATCCCCAAATATGTCTACACCCTAATCCCTAGAACCTGTGACCACGTTATGTTACATGACAAGGGGGAATTAAGGTTGCTAATCAGCTAACCTTAAGACAGATTACGTTAGATTATCTGAGTGGGCTCAGTGTAATGACCATGGTCCTTATAAGTGAAATAGGAAGGCAAGAGGGTCAAAGTCTGAATAACCGTATATGAGAAAGACAAGACTGGTCACCGCTGTCTTTGAAGATGGAAAGGTGCCATGAGCCAAGGGAGGCAGGCAGCCTCTCGAAGCTCAAAAAGGCAGGTAGCCATTCTCCCCTAGAGCCTCCAGAAAGGAGCACAGCCCTGCTGACACCTTGACTTTAGCCCAGTGAGACCCACTTCTGACTTTTGACTTCCAGAACTGTAAGGACGTTAATCAATTTGTGTTATTTTAAGCCACTAAGTTCATTAAGTATGTGATAATTTGTTACAGCAGTGATAGAAAACTATCCTCCTCCGTTTGTCAACAAAGGGAGGGCTCAAAGTTCATGAATTCCCCCTTCAACTCTGCAAAGCCGCTGTTATTATTTCCCTGCACCCCAGGGCCAGTTCCCTTTCAGCAGCTGCCCCTATACAGCTGGACAGGGAAGGCAGGCCAGAGCGGGCTGCTTCTGGGCAGAGGCCATGAGAGGCTCACTGTCCAAGGGAGCTGGTGAACCCCAGCTCAGCCACTCTTTCCTCCCAGCATTCCTGATGCTGGTGCTGTACACCCATAAGCCGACACAGTTCAGAGAAACCAGAACCCAGCGGCTGCAAAGGCAGAGCAAGCCAAACTCCTCAGAGACATCAGGGCTTAGCAGCAGAACATGAAACGACCGGCAATCCTACCATGTGCTAAATATTTGAATCTTCCCAAAGCAATGCCACTTTGTGCTCAGACATCTACAGTGACTCTGTGTGGCTGATAGCCAACAGTCCTACCCCCTTGTCCTGGTTCAGGGGCTCCATATCAAGCCCTAGGTCAGCATTCCAATATTACTCTCTACTTCATTCTGCTGAAATGCTCCATTGAGGTCTGACCCATCTACTACTCATTTGCACCAGAGTTGAATAACTCCTACCTCCAGGGTCCAGGCAGGTAGTGAAATAGATGACACATTCATGGGTAGCAATAGGGAACAGTAGGGACTGTGGCAAACTAGAGTGTCCACACCCTATAAAAGGGGCAGTTTCCACCTGAGGTCAGCAGTTCGAAGCCAGCCTGGCCAACAAGGCAAAACCCCGTCTCTACTAAAAAAAAAAAAAAAAAAAATACAAACATTAGCTGGGTGCAGTGGTGTGTGCCTGTAATCCCAGCTCCTCCAGAGGCTGAGGCAGGAGAATTGCTTGAACCTGGTAGGCGGAGATTGCACTCCAGCCTGGGTGACAAAGCAAGACTCTCTCAAAAACAAACCCAAAATACAAACAAACAAAACAAAACCATAAAGGGGCAATTTCCACTCTGCTCCGGCTGAATGCAGCCATGCAGAAATGGGGCTCCAGCACAGCCAGACTAATTTGTAAGGCCTAAATTTTTTGAGGAACTCTAATTTTTTCATGTTAGCAACTAACTAAAGAAACTTGAGCGTGTGATCAAACATACGTCCTCTGTAAGCTATGCAGGCCACACCTGTGACCTGATTAACTCCCTGCAGTGATGATGGTGATGTCTGTGGTGCACTGGCATGTGCTGGGGCTGGATCCATGCTCCTTCCCTAACCTCTCCCTGCTCCCCTGTTTCTCTGGCTCCTATTCAACCTTCAGGGCTCACTGTCTTTTTCTAGAAAAACTTCCTGGACAATCTTGGCCCACTGCATCCTTTCTTCCTTACTGGTTAATTTGGCCACCTTCTAATCTTCCTCCTATTATTTTTAAATATTATCTGTTCAGGATTCACAATGAGTTAAAAAATTTTAGTTAGGGAATTGGCCCCACAGAAAGGCAACACCAGTGACAACAAGAGCACCTGTTACCTGCCGGGCACCATCTAGGGTAAGAATTATCTCTATATTATGGCTGAGGAAACAGAGGCTTGGAGAGATAGGGACCCAAAGGACCATATGGTCTCTGAGTGAGCCCAGCATTGGAAGGCTCATTATCTGTGGGGTTAGAACTTTCTTACGAAGGAGACTCAGCTGGAATCTGATCTAAAGAAAGGGGAAGCGAAAACCTGTGTTTGGCTTAGGGTTCGCCTGTCAATCTAAAGACTGAATTTGGGCTAATATGTACAGACAAGTTCATTAATTGTGGGTCTGTTTGTCTTTCTTTTGTGAGGAATAATCATTTATTAGCCAAGCGGGACTGGTGCCTTTTTGAGAACTGTCATTCTGGAAAGATATTGATTGAAGGAGGCCTCTGAGCACATTCTCTCCAGCAGGCAGCCGTAAGGGAGGCGGCTGCAGTCCAGACAAGATGATGAGTTGGCAGTGAGCATCTCGACAGGAGCCTAATGAAGAAATCTGGTAACAGCGAGGGCTGGCTTTATGAGCGCTCATATTTGGTCTTTCACTCTCTGCAAGGTTGGTGAGTGGCAAAAGTGTCCATGGGCCTCTACCTCCCACTGTGGAATTACACATTCCTACAGCCAGTGGGCTCCGGGAACCCAATGGCAGCATCCCCAGGCCCCTGGGCCCACTCCACACATCACAGGCTAGAGACTTCTTGTCTGCCTCCTTTCTCACGTCTCTCCCCCTGAGATAGCATGCTCTCCCCTCCCTCCTTCCCTCTCATAATTTGTTCCCAACAGGTAGCTTTGTGCAGTTACTCCAAGAGAAGCCCGAACTCCCTGGGGAGCCTCTGCCCAGGTGGAAGAGCTCTCGAGTGGCTATTATTAGGGGTGATTGCTGGGAAGCTGGTTGCCATGGCACCGCAGAGGCCAGTGCTGAACTCCCAAGCTGCCCCGTTTCCAAGGCTGTCTACATAATCACTGCAATGAGAGGCACAGGCACAGAAAGGGAGAGAGGAGCAGCTCCCCACTGACAGTGATCTCCCTGCAGAGCAAGGTGAGCAGTTCACAGCTGAGTACGACAGCCCATCTTGGCATGGGCCAAGCACTGCCTGGAGGGACCCTGGTGTGAGCTGGTCACTGCTTCACTGTCTTCTCATGGATCAGGCAGTCTGCCTCTGTGTTCCCAGTACTGGTTTTCTACAGGAAAACACTGCTCCTAATCCACTGATCCATTTCTTAAAGGTTCCTGGAGTTTGCAAACATCGAGTAGTGATAGTCTTCCATCTGCCAGGCACTGCGCTAAACTCTTTATGGAGACAAAGAAATGATGCTCAGAGAGTCATTTGCCCTTGGTCACAGGCTAAGAAGAGGCAGAGCTAGGACGTAAACCCAACTCTGGCTCTATGGCATCTCATATAGCATCATTTTTCCTCCAGTCCTCTGACTAGAAAGGGTGGCCCCTTCAACCTGGTGCTGAGAACAGACACTGGCGGCCCCACACCTCTGAAGGCATGGTTCCAGCAAATAGAAATTGGACTGGCAAGGATTAAACCGCTGGTTTGGGCTTCATTAGCTATGTGATCTCACCAACCACAGAGAATTAACCAGAGTGGAGCCATCTCTTTACAGACTTAACACAATGTACCGAGGCAATGTGGAGAACAGTCACTGAATTTATTGAGCACCTACTACCTGCTCCAGACATGCCATTAACACGTGGGCTATCCTTCCCTTCCACAGTCACTCTAGAACTTGAGGCCACTGTCCTCTGATGCAGAGAGAAGAAACATTTTATAATCACTGTAGACAATAAAGGCTTTATCTGTTAGCAAGCACTTTTGCTTAATGACTTGGTCATGGGGAAGGAGAGACAGGTTGTACTTGGTCCTCATTTTGCACTTGGTTAGAGAGTAAGAGGCCTTTCCATCTCCACTGCTGCTCAGGTACTTCCTCCCAGTGTACTCTAGCACTCCCCCAGCAGGTTCTGTAGAAACACAGACCCCAAGGCCTGGGCAGACTCTACCAGAAAAATACTTGTGTTCCTCTGTGCTCTGCCTAGTACATGGCTTCCCTGGCTACCTCTCCTACAGGCCTGGGGAGGCAAAGATGGGAAGTGTTTGTAGGTATTATCTACTGACAACATTCAACTTTAGACCTCGGTTCAAGCCCCCTCTACCTTTGCCTAGATCTTTGACTTTGTGTAAACAACATGCTTTTTCTGGGCCCAATTTTCTCATCTGTAACTCCAAGTTTATGAATTGTTTTGATAATAAAATACTAAAAAATATTGAGTGTTTGCTGTGGACCAGACATTTCATTGAATCTGCACAACAATCCAGTAATGCATGTGCCATTATTGTCCCCATTTTATAGAGGTGGATACTTAGCTGTACAGAGGGTAAATCCAAGGAGTTAAGTCCAAGTTACCCACACCTGGGCTTGTCTGACCCCAGAACCAGCACTATTGACCACTATGATATACAGCCTCTTTCTATCTTCATTAAAGCCAAGTTTCCAAGCCACAGGAATCTCACAAATACCTATAACCGGCCTTTATAATTTATGAACCTCAACAGAGTATCTGAAAGCCACCTAGTGGCTGGAAGTTGCTCAGTAGGATTTGAAATTCTCTAAAAGGCAAAATTGTTCCCATATTCCAGGCTCTGCTCCCTCTCCCCCTTCCACCACCCCTTGATATTCTTTCTGAAAAGTTGAGTTGGAAACAATCACTTTCTTCTCTGAACTTCTATAGAGCAAGGTTCCCAAGTTGTGATCAAGACACAAAAGTCATGGGGCAGAGCACCATAAAATATTGTGACATTATCTTTAAAGTAGCTTATATATAACTCAGTATACCATTTTGTACTGGGGTCTATTATATAGATCATACAAATTTCAGGAATACTTCCAGGAGAAAAGTTTAACATTGAGACAATTCTGAGTTTTAGCTTATAATTCATAGCCTTAGTGTATTCTGAGATACATATCACCTTTTATCTGATGTTAGATCTCATCTCATTCACTCATACATTCAATAACTACAATTTAGTATCCATGAAATGTCAGGGATGGCCCTTGGAATCTTCCGGTACTTAATAACCTCCCTAGGGGCAAGCAACAGTACGTTGGATTAACACAAATTTGTGGTTTTGTGGCCCCACAGTGACACGAACACAAAAGATTCTCAATAAACAGAAACTGAAAAATGCTACGCGTCAGAACTTTTGGGTACACATAGGATATGCTGAGGATAAGAACATTTGAAATCACTATTTCAACTGTCTAAAACAATATTCAGCATAAACACTTTTTAGTCAGCATTTTCTCTTTCTGATTATGGGAATCTAAATTTCATATTCAATTGAAAATGAACTTTATATTAGAAACATTTCATAATTTTATATTCTCTTGTCCCACCACGATAAGTGTACAAAGGCAGTAATTGCATAAGTCTGTCTATCCATTGTGCTTAGCACAATACTTTGTTAACACTTATTGACCAATTCATTGCTTTGTTTGATTTCAGTCTTTTTCCTAAGCTTGATGATTCTATTTTTCTCATATGTAACTCTTCAATGACAATTTCACTGCATTACAGACATTTTCAAATGGCACAAAAAATGTCAGAATATGCTATTTGACCCTGGGATTAAGGATGCCCATACATGAGATCAATCCTATTTAAATCCTTATGCTCAGGTTAAAAAGAGAAGATAAAGGCAAGTATCATTATGAGCTTCGTGGGGATAGCATTCCCCTGACCTCTGCTGTCTCCAGTCTGTGCTTGATAATGATGGAAGGCCAGCAGGTGCTTTGAGTAATTCAGCAGATAAAGAGACTTGCACTGATGGGGCTGGAAGCTGCTTGAGTGGACAGCAGATCTCACAATTCAGTTACTGATGCTACCTACTGAGCTGTCAAAATAGAATTATGAGAACTGCATGGGGGGCTTGAATTAACCGATATACTTAAACATGAGTCAATTACACACACGAGAGATCCCCCCTTCTCCATCTTACAGGGCCATGCAAGTCGTGAGGATGGTTGTATTCATTATATGATGTAAGAAAAAAAACCAATCATTGTCAGTGTTTCAGACTTAATGTTTTCTAAACCCTGATTTCCTCAGCTGCAAAAAGGAAGAGATACTGCAAACTTACTGGGTTTTCAGGAGGATCAATGAAGATAAATCAATGAGAAGGGGCTCTATAAATAGCAAAGGGCTAAACAGCAAAAGGTATCAACTTTTATCATTTTATGCCTTTTTAAAAACATAAATCTGAGAGTCCACAGAATTTGTAAATTTCCCCTGCAAACTGTTGTTGTGAACTCGCTCTATGGCACCTTCATCTAGGTGTGTGCTCAGGCCAAAAAGCTGGGAGCTGTCCTTGGTGCTTTCCTTTACTTCACCCTCTACATCTTTTTTTTAAAAAAACAGTTCTATTAACTTTACACTCAAAGTACGGCCCAAATCAATTCAATCTCACCATTTCCACTGTCACCATCTTAGTCTAAGCCATGCTCATCTCTTACCTGGAGCACTTTGATAGCTTTCTGACTCTTCTCCCAGCATCTACTCTTCCTCCTGAGGCTTCATTCTTAAATAGCCACAGAGTGACATATTAAAAGTATAATCAATCATCCTCTTTACACCAAGCCCTCCTGGATTTTCTCTTAATACAGCAATATCCAAACTCCTTACCATTGCCTACAGGTCTACCGTGTGGCCCAGCCCTTCAAGTCCTTTGCACAGAAGACAATGTGAATGGGGGCTGTGTGGTGCAAGGGGACTGCCCTGTATGTAGCTCTTCCTGCCTCCTCTCATGCTATTCCTCCTTATGGTACTGTACACAGCCCAGCTGGTCATCTTTCTGCCCTGTGACCTGCCAAGCACTGTCCAGATTCAGAGCCACTCCATTTGCTGTTGCTTCTTCCCCTGAAACATTTTCACTAAATCTCAATCTTATTTATGTGTGTGTTGTTAGATTCCTTCTCCTTCAATAAAGTGCTGCAAGGGCAGGGGGCATGATTTTCCTAGTGCCTGGAACAGTGCCTGGGACATGTGAAGCAACAATAAACATTCGTTGAATAAATAAGTAGCAGTTGATTACCTTTACTTCATGGACTTCTCTTTCTTTTACTTTGCCTGCAAACACCAAAACTTATGTTCTAGTTTTCCAATTTGTAAAAATATTGCAACTTTTAAAATCTTATTTTGTGCTTTTTTATTGCCATTTTCCCACTTGTGGTGCCTAGGAATGCGATTTAATTTTAATGTTCATGTAAGTTAAATATAACAAGGTAGGTATTTTATTATACTGTGTGTGTGTGTAATGTATTCTTAATGCTAGAAATGAGCAAACAGTGGGTCAACTACTCTTTACTGTTGGCTTTTACATATGTGTAAAGAGAAGTATCAGATGCAAATTTATCAGATTGAATGACTATAGTTGTTTACCTCTAAAAGCATTTCTTTAGCACTTTCACTGTCCTAAATGCTGAGGGGGTTTGAGAAAAGAGTCTAGCCATAATAATGGTCCCATCTAGTGAGAGAGACCAAAATAGAAAGAGGTAATTAAATGTATGGTATTAAGTGCTCTGAGACAGGGCATTTAATCCTATTTGGGGGTCCAGGAAGTCTTCCTGGAGGAATGTGCCTTAACTGAAACCTGAAGAATGTGTAGGCAGAATGATGGCTCCCCAAGGATGTCAAAATCCTAATGCCCGGAACCTGGGAATATCTTACCTTACATGGCAAAATGGAATAAAGATTGTGGATAGAATTATGATGCTAATCAGCTGACCTTAAGGTGGGGAGAGTATCTTGGATTACCCAGGTGGGCCCAGCGTAATCACAAAGGTCCTTAAAAGTGGAAGAGAGAGGCAGGAGAGAGACAGAGAGATGTGATATGAGAAGGACTCATCTTCCTGCTGCTAGCTTTGACAATGGAAGAAGGGGCCATTAGCCATGGAATGTGGGCAGCCTCTGAAAGCTGAAGAAATTGAGGAAACATTCCCCCCTAGAGCCTCTAGCAGGGAACACAACTTGATCAACACCTTGATTTTAGACAGTGAGACCAATGTCAGACTTCTGACCTGCAGAACTGCAGGATGGTAAGTTAGTGTTGTTTTAAGCCACTACATTTGTGAGAATTTGTTACAGCAGCCATAGGAAGCTAATACAGAGAGAAAGAGGTGAACTTTGATTTCACTGTGGAGGGGAAAAACGGGCAGCTAATACAGAGAGAAAGAGGTGAACTTTGATTTCACTGTGGAGGGGAAAAACGGGCTGTTGGAAGATCTATTATATATAAAGATTGTATGATAAAATTCCCACCTTGTTATGATACTTATATGAATGTTAAAAGATTAATTCCTTGGCACCACAAATGGAAAAATGGTCATAAAACACAGACTTAGATTTTAAAAGTTGCAACATATTTATAAATTGAAAAAATGGAAGATAATTTTTGGTTTTTGCAGGCAAAATACAGGGAATAGGAGGCCAGTGCCCTCCCTAGGCTCTAACAGGCCAATGCCTCTTTCTGGGGAAAATATTTCTGGGCATTTCCTTGACTGGGTTCTCCTGAACCTAGAATTCAGGATGCCCCCAGGTGCTTGTGGCTGCTTTGCTAGTGATAGCTTGTTACAGGGCATGACGACAGGTAAGTTGGCCTAAAATGTCCCAAGGCCAGAGCCATCTATAACCCTATGGCCAATCTTTCCCATTCTGCATGTCTTGGGGGCTGCAGCCATGTGTGGGAGCCAATTTTGACCTTCACTGCTGTCTCATTCAAGACCCCAAGTGAGGGAGAGGGCAAGACCTGGGAAGGTGTTAACTACTAATGAATAACACTCACTTCCAAAATTAATAAGCCTTCTGGTTCTTAGCAAAATCCACTCAACTGGATTCTCCAGGATGACTAATTGACAGAACTGGTTAAATTAATCAAAAATGGAAATGAGGATGGAAGAAGGGGGAAGGGATTCTATTTTTATTCGATGGCTTGGGCACTGCCTGCTCTGTTAATTGCTGCTAAGCTTGAATGGGATAGAGCAGCTTCAGACATGGGGGTGAGGTGGGGGTGGTGGTGGTATCAGTGAATTCTGCTCCTTGCAGCAAGGCTTTTGGCTTTTCTCCAGAGTGGGAAGTGTGTGTCTGTGTGTGTGTTTGCAATCCTGCCATCAGGCAAAAGCATTTTAATAAAGGACCTTGTCTTTTTAACCTAACCAAGCTCCCCTGAAATAAATACTGTTAATTATACCTCAGATCAATACTGAACCCCTTTTGGAAGATATGCCAAATCTCAGGGGCTTTAAGATTCATTGCAGTTGCTGTCTCAGCTGATGTCTTTGGACACATTCCATCAGGGACCTGGGGAATGAGCCACAGGTTTATTAGGGAGCTCTAGTGGCTTACTTACCAGGGGTTGGCAATTAAGTTTGTAGATGAGGGTGAAGAATGAGAGTGGATTTTATGTTCTGTGTAATGGCAGAATTAATTCTATGGTTGAAAATGGTCAGGCTGGGGAATCCAGCCAGATGGGGATTGTATAAAATGGACTCTTGTGAAATTATCCTTCTGGATTTTAGAAAAACATCATGCTCTTTATCCTGTCAGATGCCCAGCAGAGGAATAAATCTTCTGGAAGCAGACCTACATGGGTTCAAATCTTAGGTCCTCCACTGTGATCTGGGGCAAGTTTCCTCACCTCTCTGTGCCTCATCTATAAATTAGAGGTACTAATACCAATCTT
Organism: Homo sapiens; assembly: GCF_000001405.40. Taxonomy (NCBI): domain Eukaryota; kingdom Metazoa; phylum Chordata; class Mammalia; order Primates; family Hominidae; genus Homo; species Homo sapiens. The sequence goes on from NC_000005.10 coordinate 146,627,755, forward strand.
CATGGGTTGTTGTGAGAATTAAATGAGATACAGAAATGTTCAAAAATAGTACCCTCCCCCTCTACTACACCCACCTTTGGAGGACAATGAAATTTCTGATTTGCATTGTTGGACTGGGCATCAAACTTTGCCTTCTTCTCATTGGAACTCGGGCTGTTTCTCCAATGACTACACTGTTCACAGAAACATCTCAGATTTTTTTTTTTTTGAGATGGAGTCTCGCTCTATTGCCCAGGCTGGAGTGCAGTGGCACAATCTCAGCTCACCGCAACCTCCACCTCCTGGGCTCAAGTGATTCTCCTGCCTCAGCCTCCTGAGTAGTGGGGATTACAGGTGTGCGCTACCATGCCCAGCTAATTTTTATATTTTTAGTAGAGACAGGGTTTCACCTTGTTGGCCAGGCTGGTCTCGAACTCCTGACTTAAAGTGATCTGCCCGCCTCAGCCTCCTAAAGTTCTGGGATTATAGGTGTAAGCCACTGCACCTGGCCTAACATCTCAGATTTTAAGGTCTAAAGTGCTTATGCCATTTCCCCCTCAGCATGAAAAAGTCAGACTGCCCCTGGACAGGAAGGCTGCTTTGGTGTCATCCGAAGGAGGGGATTTCTGTGGCCAATCCTTGGGCTGCAGACTTGCCAATGCAGAAGGGCCTTGCTGCTAGAAGAGAGTGTCTACAGGCAGTGGACTTGCTGGTAGAGCCAGTGCAAGGATTGGTGCTGCAGGGCAGCCCCATCGCTACTGCTGAGGTGAACCCTGGCTCCTCACCCTGGCCCTCAAGACCTTCTCTGGCCAGATTCAGCTTCTGCAATTCCCCAGCACTAGACATTACCTCTCAATAAGATGGAAGCTCGAGGGGCAGGTGAGGAAGAAGGAAGGTCTGCCCAAACCACAATGGAATTAAGATGCTACTGCAGAACCTACCCTGTGCCACCACACACAAGATTGATTGCATTCAGCAAATGTGTACTGGGAACCTACTATGTGTCAGGCAGTGTGCTAACTGCTTTTACTTAAAGTAACTAATTAATGGACAAAGACTTCCATAAGCCCACATCCCATGATCACTTCACCCCTCTCATCTTTCTTGCCCTCTCAGAAGCATTTGACATAATTGATCCTAATGTATTTCTAAATCACTGTCTTCTCTCAGCTTACATGTGTTGGTTTTCTGCTCACTTCCCTGGTAGCTCATACTTGATCATCTGTAAAAAGCCACCTCCTCCTTTCCCCTACCCCATTGGTAAATGTCGGTGTGGCCTTCACCTCATTCCTGGGCCCTCAGTTATTCTCTATCCATACCTTCTGCCCTAATTGACATTATCCCATCCCATGGCTTAAAATAGCTATGACATGCTCGTGATTCCTAAATTTATACCTACAGCTCAGACCTCTCCCCAGACTTCCAGACTCATGTTATCTAATTGTCTGCCAGACTTCTCTAATTGGATGAATCACAGACATCTCAATCTGGACACATCCAAAAGAGAATGCTTGGTCTTTCCATGCCAAAACTGTTCCTTCCCCAGTCTCCTCGTTTCAGTGTATGGTACCGTACAGTAACTCAAGCACCAAACCTACGAGTTATCTTAGATTCTCCCTTTTCCATCACCTCTTCACTGCCAATCTCTCAGCAAGTCCTCTTAGCCTCACCTCCTAAGGTGATCCTGAATCTGCCCACTTACCACTACTTCACTGTGCCCACCCTGGTCAAAGCCATTATCATGTCTCCTCCAGACAGTGGCAACAACCTCTAAATGGTCTCTCTGCTTTCCAGGCCTGGCACCCCTTGTCTGAGAACTCTTTTAAGATCATAAACAGTATTCACTTCCTTCTTAGCACCATCTCATGGTTTCCCATCTCACTTAGAGTGAAATGCAAGTGCTCTGCTCTGGCCCATAAAGCTCTCAATGATCTAGACCCAGCCTACCTCTCTGGCTTCACTTTCCTTTTCCCCTCCCTCTCTTTCTCCCTCCCTCTCTTCCTCCCTTCCTCCCTCCCTCCCCTTTTCTTCCTTTTCTTTCCTTTCCCCTTTCCCCTTTCTCCTTTCTTTCCTTCCCCTCTCCCTCTCCCTCTCCCTTGCCCTCTCGTCTTGCTCTGTTGCCTAGGCTAGAGTGCAGTGGCACAATCTTGGCTCACTGCAACCTCTGCCTCCCAGGTTCAAGCGATTCTCCTACCTCAGCCTCCTGAGTAGCTGGGATTATAGGTGTGTGCAACCACACCCAGATAATTTTTGTATTTGTAGTAGAGATGGGGTTTTGCCATGTTGGCCAGGCTGGTCTCGAACCTCCTGGCCTCAAGCAACCCACCTGCCTCAGCCTCCCAAAGTGCTGGGATCACAGGCATAAGCCACCATGCCTGGCTGTGGCCTCACTTTCTATACTGTCCCTAGCCTACTTGTATCCATCCACTGATCTTTTTTCTCTATTCTTTGAACACACAAGTTTCCTCCTCTGTTAGGGCCTTCACACTTAGATGTTGGCTTTCTCTTTGGATCCGTCTGATAACAGGTCTTAATTCAAAGGCTTTGCCACATACCACTACTTCCTGACCCTGCTAATTTTCTTACAGCTTTTTTATCATGTCTGAAATGACCTCGGTTATTTGTACATTTGTGTTTTCTCTCATCCCTCCCCACAAGAAAGTATGGTCCTTAAAGGCAGAAACCAGCAGGTGTTTAATCAATCTTAGTTGAATAAGTAGTTTTTGGTGTTCTCTTGAAGAGCTACAGGTGGTCTGGCTCAAACCTCAACTTCATCACTTGCTCTTTGGTGGCCATAAGTGTATCTTTCCCCCTTTTAGCTAGTTGCCTCATCTCTAAGATGTGAATAATGGCAGTATGTACCTCATAGGGTTGTTATCAGGATTAAATGAGCTCATGCATGTATACTTGGCTTACTTCCTGGACACAGTAAAATGTCATGGAAGTTAGCTGTGAATACGGCTGTTGACATTACTACTTTTATGATTGCTTCTGCTCTTCCTGCTCCCACACTTAAAAGACACATGTGGTAGGGAAGCAAGACACCATCTTCACTCCAACCATAACACGATGCTTATACTATGTGCCAGGCATCATTCTAAGGCTCCACGGGTGTTATTTAATCCTCACAAGCACCCTATAAGGTAAATACTTTCATGACCCATATTTTATAGGTGAGTAAGTTGAAGCACAGAGGTTAGGTAACCTGCTCAAGATCACCAATTAGGCCATGGATACAAGCTGATAGTGGCTGCTCAACTATGTTGATTTGCCTCCCCTGTTTTGACCCAGTCCCTGAATTCACTCACTACTGTCAGTTTGGTTTGACAGAGGGGAAGAAACAAAACAAAATTGTCCTGGGCTGTGCTTACAGGGAACATCATGCTGGGCTCCTCACCGCCTTGCCTCATCCCAGTACCTATGACAGGGGCTGCTGGGGTGGGCAGGGAGTTTTGATCTTTCCTGCTGTCTCCACCCTGGAGGTAAGGCACCCGGTGGGGCTCTTCAGTCATTCATCAACTTTCTTCAAGTTATAGAAGTAAAACAACAACCTTGGAGAGAATCTAGAAAATAAGAGAACTGCCCACATTTCATGGCCCCTGACCTCATCCCTTTCATATAGCCTCTGCTAGTCTTTGTCCACATATACTTATCCTGACCTTGCTGCATTCATGGTGAGATTATCATTTCGCATGCTGCTTTAACATTCATAAACATCTCTCCACTTGCTCCATCTCTGTGTCCCCAGGTCTTTGGCAAGTCAAGTCTCTGTGGCCTTTCAAGGTATCACTTTTACTATTCCCAGTCCCACTTGAGGATTTCACCTGCTGCTTTTATGCTGCTAAACCACACCCTACTTATTGGGGAACCTCTCCCTTCAAGACTGGCTTTTGAATAGGAATCAGGTACCTCAATGCCTCTAAAATCAATTAAAGTCTGCTTTGTTCAGAAAGAAAGTGTTCTAGCTCCACAGGAAAGCCTCCAGGCATCACTGTCCTAACACACACGGACAACCTGCCTGGTGAAACTGTCGAGACCCAATGCACAGGTTTCTATCATCCTGGTCCTTTGGTCCTTTGTCTAGTTTCTCTCCTGCCTTTAATAAAAGTTATGCTCATTGTGTGCTTCCAATGTGTCAGGGGCTGTGCAAGAGCCCTGTGTCCATGACCTCTTTCCACTCTTACCTCCTGGAGGAAGGTGTCAACATCAGCACCTGCCCAGGCTTCTGGCGGCAATGAGGCCTGGAAACAATGTCTGGAACTGCTGGCTCCAGGGCTTGTGTTCTTGATGACTTTTATGTCTTTCCTCCTACTATGGGCTGAGTTGTGCCCCCCCCCCCGCCCATTCATATATTGAAGTCCTAACTCCCAGTACTGCAAAATATAACTGTATTTGGAGATAGAGCCTTTCAACAGGTAATTAAAATAAGGTAATCAGGGTGGGTCTTGATCTAATAGGACTGGTGTCCTCATAAGAAGAGGAATTTTGGACACAGACACTGATGGAAGGCAGTGTAAAGACACAGGGAGAAGACAGCCATCTACAAGCCAAGGAGAGCAGTGTGGAACTGATCCTTCTTTCGTAGCCTCCAGAAGAAACCAACCCTGCCAACACTTCATCTTGGGCTTCCAGCCTCCAGAACTTTGAAAAAATAGTTGAATTGTTTAAGCAGTGTAGTCCATGGTACTTTGTTGCAGCAGCCCTGGTAAACCAATATGTCTTTTTTCACCTGTCTTTTCCTATCTGCCTGCCTTTCCACCACAGATGTTCTATGAAGCCCCACCAGGTGCTATGTAAGTATTGTACAAATTCAGTAATTAGTGAGATAAAGTCCCTGTCTTCATAAAGATTGTATTCCAGTCAGCAAGACAGAGGCTAAGTAAAGCAAACAACTATAATGGAGGCTATGAAAGAAATAAAGAAATAGAGTGATGAGATTGAGAGATGGTAGGTGCAGATGGGGTGGACAGAGAAGTTAACTCTTAGGAAGTGACATTTTCTCAGAAACTTAAAAAGTCAGTACAGGCCAGACAGGTAGAGTGTGTGGGGGGCAGGGAGAATTCCAGGCAGAAAAGCATGTGCAAAGGCCCTGAGGTGGGAAAGGGCTGGATGTATTGGAGGTGTAGGAAGCAAGCCAGTGTGGCCAGGCTACAGGGAGCTGAGCCTGGAAATGTTGGCAGAGACCAGATTTACGGGGCACGTTGGAAAGGAGTTCAGGCTTAATTCCTTTCATTCCCCAGGTTGGTGTCCATTACACCTGGCCAGTTTCTTCACCCAGCCACCGATACTCATGCGTGGAAAGGGGAAAGAATAATCCACTCTAGCTAAGTACTGCTGCCATCAGCACCCTATTGTTTCAGACATCTAAACTGCAAACAAAGCCCTGTCACTACCGCCAGAAGTGGTAGAAAAAAATAGGCGAGGGAGAAAAGGAATCATCCTTTCCAACCCCTGCTGAGTATGCAGAGTGAGGGACATATGGAAATTAATAAATGCAGCTCTGATAACACGGTTCTCCTCGGCATTTTGATTAAATGCTGTTGGTTATTAAATACTCTCCTTCTCAGAGCTCATCTCCAAAAGCCAATGTTGCTTTTCATTTTGAACTCTGATGAACTGTCTCAATTCCGATCACACACCTCGGCTGAACTGCGGTTGACTGCAGGCTGCCGTTTGAGGAGGATGGAGAAAATCAATATGAAATGTCAGGCGAGGGGTCAGATTGAACTTGTTTTCCCAGCTGGCAGGAGCTGGGGCTCGTAGCCGCAGCAGCTGAACAAAGGGAGATGTGCACTGAAGAAGGTTGGTTCTTTGAAGGAGTCAGGAAAATGAATTTCATTTGCTTCTTAATTAGATTAGCAGGCTGGCAGCTTGCAATTCAGAACTCTGTTGGTGTTGGAATAGGGAGTGGGAGGACAGGGCTGGGCAGAGGCCTGAAGGCCAGTAGCTGGCTCCTCCGCCTCCTTCAGGACAGTCACCAGGGCTTTGCTTCTCTGGGGCTGTGTGGGGCTGAGGCTGGAGGGAGAAGCAGCTTCTGGGGCTCCCTGGGTGTGTGGCTTGACCGGCTTCCTGCTTCTGTATGACTGCATGATTCTTCCCTGGGCTCTCCCCGTCTGCTTCTCCATCCTTAGGTCTCAGCTCAGCAGTCACTGTCTTGTAGAGTCCTCAACACCTCTACTTGTACCAGCACATGCCTCTCTTTTATACATGTATTGCAGTTGCGATGCTATATTTGTTTCTGTTCTCTAACTAATGCATCTTCTCTCCTTAGACAGTGTGGTTAATGTTATGTATTAGCTTGACTGAGCCATGGGCTGCCCAGATATTTGGCTAGAAATTCTGGGTGTTTCTGTAAAGGTGTTTTTGGAATAGTTTAACATTTACATTAATAGACTGAGTAAAAGAGATTGTACTGCCTATTGTCAATGGGCCTCATCTCATCAGTTGAAGGCCTGAAGAGAATAAAAACGCTGACCCTCCTGCAAGGGAAAGAGAACTCCTCTGCCAGACTGCCTTCGAGCTGGAACATTGTATTTTTCCCCCCTTGCTTCTGGAATTGAATGGAAACACTGGTTTTTCCTGGGTCTTCAGCCTGAGGGTTTTGTTTATTTATTTTTTTGAGATAGAGTCTTGCTCTGTCGCCAAGGCTGGGGTGCAGTGGGGCAATCTCAGCTCACTGCAACCTCTGTATCCCAGGTTCAAGCGATGCTCCTGCCTCAGCCTCCTGAGTAACTGGGACTACAGGTGTGTGTCACCACACCTGGCTAATTTTTGTATTTTTAGTAGAGACGGGGTTTCACCATGTTGCCCAGGCTGTTCTCAGACTCCCAGCCTTGGGTGATCTGCCCGCCTCAGCCTCCTAAAGTGCTGGGATTACCTGTGTGAGCCACTGAGGCCGGTCTCTGATGGCTTTTAGATTAGAACACCACCATCGGCTCTCCTGGGTCTTCAGCTTGCTGGCTGCAGAGCTTGGGACTTGTCAGCCTTCATAACCATGTGATCTCATTCCTTATGATAAATCTCTTAACTTACACACACACACACACACACCCCCTACTGGTTCTGTTTGTCTGGAGAACCCTAATACAGAGAGTAAGCTCTAAGAGGGAGGAAACCAGGTCTGTTTTTGCTTACCCTTCTGTCTCCAGAGTCTGATACAGTACCTGACATAAAGTATGTGATTAACAAATATTGATTAAATAAATGAATAATGAGGCCTCCTATATCTGGCAAGAGGGTTGGGGTTTCGAACATCTTATGTCTGCAGGCCTAGAACCGGAGGAATCCAGGGTGAATAATTGTGATAACTGCTGCCGTCATTTATTGACTCCTTTGTGCCTGGCAGAGGGCTAGGATCTCACACACATGAAATTTAGTTCTTGTGAACAACCTGCCCTATGATGCTGTCCTTAATATTTCTACTTTCAAATGAGGAATCTGGGGCTCAAAATGATTAAATAACTTGCTTGAGGTCATGCAGGTACTGAGTATCAGAGCTGAGTTCTGATTCCAAAGCATCTGCTCTAAATCACTCTAGTTTTTTTTTTTTTTAACTTTTAAGTTCAGTGGTACATGTGCAGGTTTATTACATAGCTAAACATGTGTCATGGGTTTTTTTTTGTGTGTTTATTTCATCATCCAGGTATTAAGCCTAGTACCAATTAGTTATTTACCATTCTAGTTTTGAAAGCTTCTAAGGCCTTGCCCTTTTTCTATCTTGTGTTCAGTTCATCAAGCTTCCCAGTCAGTTGATTCCCCAATATCCAGAATGCATGTGGATCTGTCTGACTCCAAAGCTGAGGCTAGTGTCAGCCACACTGGGCTATGGGGATGCCAGGGCTTCCCGTGCCATCCCTGGCCTCCACCCTGGGTTGGTGGCCCAGAAAGCCCGGTTCTGCCTTCACTCACTAGAGAGGCCCTGCCTCCTTAGACAGCTCATGTCACCTCACCCACAGCATGTCCGGTACTGAGTCCCAACCCTTCACTCTCTGGGAGAGAGTTAGAGACTTTCCATCCATCCCCATTCCCACTTGTTATTTATGTCAACCCTTAGGCACACATTTATTAAATATTTCCTGACCTCTGCTTATGTGTCAGGGGTTCATATAATGTGACCAAGTCAGATTCAGTTCTTATCCTCAAGGCATTTACTATCTACAGGGGAATGACATTGAACAATTCATATCACGTCCATGTATGACGAATGCCAACCTTTAATATCACTAATGTCACTTATAACACCCATAGTTATTTTAAAAGAAAATGTTCATTTTCCCCCTTCTCTTTCTTTGGATTTCTATAGCCACCATTCTTGATCTAGGTTCCAAATTATCCTTGCATTGAGACTAAAGCAAAACCTTCTAACTTTCCTACCTTTATTCACATGACCACTGTGTTAATCTTCCATAAAACACAATTTTTATTAACTCTGCTGTCCAGCGAAATGCTCTCAAATTACCTCCCACATACTAGAAACTGTGCTTCTCCAACCGGGGTACCTGTATATATCCTTGGGCGTTAGGAAGAGGGGAGGATATGGGGGTATACTAAAAAGTACAGGAAGCCATAGGATAAATGTTACATCTTTTGGAAACACCAGTTTTGTTTAAAATTTGGGAGTGGGGGTAGAAACATAATTATTAAATTAAAGTGAAAATAGATTTTATATGGGTTAAAATGTAAAATTCACATGAATTTTTAGAAAGAAAAATAAGGCTTCAAAGAAAATCTGTTGTGGTCAGCACCTCCCCCAGGGTCGCTGGTCTCTGCCAGGCATGGGCTGTTTTGCCTTTGCTGGTAGGTTGGGCCAACCCAGAGCACATGGGAGGAACTGGATTCCTCTCTGTGCCCTCCTTCCATGGCAGCAGGGTTCATGGCTTGGCCCCACCAGAACTGTATTTGGTGGAACAGCTTAAGAAGGACTGGATACTATGGGAACCAGACTCTGGGTATAATATAAGTACTCACTGAATGCATGAATACATGACAGCATAAACTTTGGAATCTGATCTTCAAGGATCAACCTGATATGAACCATCATTGCTATTTAACCTCATTAACCCAAGATTCCCCTTTCCCCCAAGCCTGACACTTTTTATTTAACACCCTTCAAATGTTCCATTACTTTAGTAACTTCAGAATTTTGCCCATTCTGTGGTTGCTGCCAACAATACTCTTCTTTCTGTTTCCCACCTAACCAAATCCTACTTGTACTTCAACACTCAACTGCTCAGCCTCTGCCTTCCCTGTGAGGTCTGTTTCAAATGTCTCAACCGTCTCTGAATGGCCTAACCCATAATTATCTCCATCATTCACTTGAGTATTAAAACTAAACTGCCTTATACATTGTTCCTGAAATGCTTCCTGGGTGCATCTTGCCTCATTAGCCAAATTTTAAATTCCTTGAGTATAGGAGATAAGTCTTACCTTTCCATTGTACCCCTCAGAGTTCTTTATTGTAACAAATACATTGTAGATACAAGAATATCATGCAGTATCTGTGACTGAATGAATTGTAGTCTAGATCAGTGGTTCTCAACTGGGAGCAATGTTTTCACCAAGAGGGTATTTCACAGTGTCTGGAGACATTTTTGGTTATACAACTGGGCTTGGGTTATTGGCATCTAGTGGGTAAGGCCACAGATGCTGCTAAACATCCTACAATGTATAGGACAGCCCCTTCCCCGAAACAAAAATCTATGTAGCGCAAGATTCAATGGTGTACTGTTAAGAAATGCTTATCTATATTATAGTGGCTTCCTAACCTGTCTCCTTGTTTCTTTGTTCTCTCAGCCAGAATTTAACCTTTATCCTTCTGCCTTCCATCTGAACAATTTCCCTAACAACTAATTCTGATCATACTACTCCTCTGGTTACTTTTGTGGCTGTTCACTCACTTTGATGAAAAAAATTTGGGTTTTAAAAATCATGGTCATTATGACATGGCTCTGGCATCCTATAGTCACAATCTCTCCAAGAAGCCACCAGCTCCTTCCCCCAGCTGCTGTTCTAGATGGCTTTTATGTTCTCAGCCTCCCATGCAGTTCAGCAAGTCCTGTTAATTTTATTGCCAAGATCTGTGCAGTACTGTGCAGGTTACATGGATTAAAAAAAAAGATGTGTCCAGAACCCATCTGCCCTCTCAATTTCCACTCACCTCTTTGTCCAGGCCACCCTTCAACGGTCTCCTAACTGGTCCCCCTGCTATTCCTCAAAGTCATTCTCCCCATGGCAGCAAGCATGATTTCCTTAACACATAATTTGGATCACATCACACTGTTATTTAAACCCTTTTCTGATGAGGGTCATGTCTTATTTATTTTCATCTCTGGATGTTTTGGAATCGAACACAAATGTTCATCTTTACTGAAATATAAAATACGGAGCTGACTCCCACTTGTAGTTTCTTTACTCCTAGTGTGTCTGGTGTAGAAAGGGAGATCATAAGCTTCCAGGCTCTCCCCCAGCACATTGGGGCCAGTGGCCATGCCCCCCACCTCCCTTCAGTTGCTACTCACATTTGGTGTGCCTGTCACACAGGGCAGATGCCCGCATGTCACACAGCCGGATTGTCCCTTTGCTGCTGCTGTACACGAAGGTGTTGCAATGATGGGGGTGGAACTCGGCTGCTGTGATCACCTCCGTGAGCTCCTCCATGTTGGCTGGCTTAATGTCCACAATATCTGGCACAGACGAGTCAAGGAAGGAACCAGGAGAAGGAGGCAGGAACTTGGGGAAGGGGAGAATTAGCAATGGCACCATCTTATATTAGTAAAATATGTCAACATTTGCTATGCACATGGTAGATCCTCATCATAAACTTGTCCCAGGCAGATGAGGCTCAGGAACTTTAAGAAAATAGCCCAGGGTTACCCAGTAGTCAGAGGCAGCATTAGAACTCAGGTCTCTTGACTCCTCATTTGTGTTTTATCCTCTATAAACATGTAAAAGACATCCACTCATGACCAAAGTTAACTGCTTGTGCAATCAGGCTAAAATGTACCAAGTTGCAAAGATTTTGCTTCTCATTTTATAATAATGATTAAGGTACTGGTCCTATTATAACCAAATAATTCATTTTATCTGATTCCTTAATGGATTATTGGGCTGATAAGTGATATCTATAATAATAGAGTGCATATCTTCTTTCATGAAATCCCTAAGCCCTTCTTTATAATATGTTGATGATAATAATAATAGCTGCCACCAATAATGGAGCACTAGCTATAGGCCATTCACTGTACAAAGCATATCATGTACTTTATCTCATTTAATCCTTACAAGAACTCTATATAATTAGCGTTTTCCTTATCCTCATTTTTTCAGGGGTGGAAACGGATGCTCCATGTGCATAAAGAAACTTGCTTCAAGTCACATGGCTAAGTGACAACACTAGGATTTCATCCCAGGTGCAAAGTCTGTGCTCTTTCATAATTATGCAAAATTTCTCTCATGTATGATATATAAGACTTCTAGTCTCTGTAAGTTGTGATCTGCTTTTCAGCTTGTGAGGGAGTTTTTAAGTATCAGAAACAAGCCATCCAGTTGGAAAGTTTTAGGGTCCCGTGGAAAATATCCTTAGTTTTATCATCTGGGTTTTTTTTTCTCAGTATTTCCCTTTCTGATCAAGAATTATACCTCTATTTTTTAAAGACCATATCCTTGTATATTGGAATGAAACATTTAGTCTTTTATTTATGAAGGTGACTCAATGAAAATAAACCCCTTCACTGGGATGTCTGGCATGAGTGAAGGAGTGGGTTTGTACAGATCTCTTCACACCTCCACCCAGAGCTTGGGGGATCAGGACACAGAGGGGCCGAGGTACTGTCTGAGGACCCAGCAACATCCTGCAAAGAACAAGCCTTGTGATGTGGATGCTGTTACACAGTAAAGCTGACCAACAGGACTCCCACTTTTCCTAGATTTTCCTACTCGTGAGCCACCTTTGTGATTTTTGCCCTATCTGTGCATCATCAGATAGTACTTTTTACTTAACATTTTTCTTTCAGATCAACTTTAAATTGATTCACTTTTTTCTTTACTTAGCTTTATCTAAACAGTAACCCAATGTTCATAAAATCATGGGTTTAATAAGGTAGCTACATTTTAAGTAATATGCATAAAAATTGACATGTGATAACTGCAAATGCGTGTGCCAGGAGTTTATGCACCACATTTTGGACAACAATGTATTGAATCAACAAGCAATAACTTGATATAACTGCCCCATTAGACTGAGATGGATGAAAGTCTTGTATGCTTTTCATTAAGCTAGTAGCATAGTCCCCTCCTTAGAGTTTAGATGCGGTACAAGCAAATGCACTGATATTTTTAGTCCCGCTAGCACTAACAAAGTAATCATCTATGATCAAACATCACTATGCTCCTGCTACAACATTCCAACATGCAATTTGTTGCAACAATGGCTTTGTATTTGGTTGTGCCTCTTTCCCCTTCATTATCTCTTATAAACCCTATTGGGTTCTTTCTAAAATTGGCATGAGACTGAGCTAACAGTACATGTTACTACAATTTCTCCTACCAAACCCAGATGCAAATATTACTTGGGTCTCCGGGGCATGTGAGTCTCCTGGATTCACAAAATACTACCCTTCAACTCAACTTCTGCCAGAGTTATAAATATGATTGCAGTTAGCATCACATGCTGTGGAGCAAGAGCCTGTGCCCCTCAGGAGGAGGCTCTAGGCTGCAGCTCCGGTGCTCTCTCAGCCACTGACCCATGCCCTGGGCTTTATGGCCATGACGTGGCGTTGGGTAAACGGAGGTTAGTTTTCAGCTGCTGTTAGATTTCCTCATCCTCCAGAGCAAGCCTTGATATCCCACTGTGCCTGTGAACATGTTTCTCTTTTCTCCAAATAGGGAAAGAAAATCTGGTGTCAGCTTTCTCAACCTCTACCAGTATAGCTCTGAAAACAAGCTGAACTGGAAGGGATCTTCGCTGTGTGGGAGGGGGAGGTGCTACAGCTACAGTTATTTTTTCCCACCTAAAAATAAAGCCCCAAAGTAAGAATGTGCAAAAACAAAGTGCCTAAACATGTCTATGAAACCAGGCACATCCTCCACCATCAAGGATGCCAGTGGGGCTGTGCCCACGAGATCTGCCCAGAGCTGCCATCTCTGGATCTTTCCTTCCTTCACTGGACCTTCCAAGCCTACCCACCACCCAGCCCTCATCCCCAAGCCATTGGCTTCCTATCCCCAGCAGGTCTCAGTCTTCCTTTTTGAGTAGAGGGCTTGTTTAGTTTGACTCAAAGGGGTTCCAGGGATAAACCATGATTATCCCTCTTTTTAATCACTGGGATGATGAAGTTAAGAGGAAGATATGGCCAGTTGCTAATGCTGATCAGGGGCCAGGCCTGCCCTGTGCTAACACTTTCCATGTGTTGTCCCCCTTGCCCCTCATCTCAGCCTTATGAGGGCAGGATTATTAACAGGTCCATTTTACAGCCGAGGGAACTCAGATAAATTACTCAAGGTTATGTGACACAGTGGGCAGAGCTGGGATTTGAACCCAAGCTTGTCTGACTCCAGAGCCCGGGTTCTTTCTCACCATGCCACTCTGCCTCCCTTGAGGAATGGCCTCACAAAGCTGGCCAAAATGTGACAATTTTGGTTCCTTTGAAAAGACCCCCAGCTAATCTGAGAGGGCAGCCCCATCTCTTCTGGCTTTAGGCTTGTGCTCTCTTAATTTACCTACCACTTTGGTGACTGCATTTTCCAGAATCAGAATTTTTATGTGCTCTAAGATTTTTTTTTTTTTTTTTTTTTTTTTTGAAGCAGAATTTGGGACACAAGCCTGATAAGGGATTATTTGGATTTTTACCTGCTGGAGGATTTGGTGAGTTCTAGAAACATTTGAGAGAAGTCTAGTTGCTAAAAATTAAGTGACTTATGGGGATGATGGGAGAGGATATTCAACATCTGTATCCTCTAGAAACCCAGGCATTTTCCCCTGCACAACTCTAAAGGGCGATCCATGTTTTCAGCATATGTAATTTTGCCCTTCATGTTGGGAGGGAAGGAGAAAGAAGATGAGCAATTCGTGGCTCCACGTATAATCTTGAAAATGGAATGATGCATTTTGACAGTCACTTTTATTTTTTTTAATCCTTTAGAGCTCTCTATCCAAATTATTTCCCTGTTGTCCCAAATAACTAGATGGCAAAAGCAAAACAGAGCATTGAATTCATGGCTAATATACAACCCCGACAGCCAACAGATTGCCATTAAATTAACCCTGGGGCTTGACAGATCTGTTCTTCTTGACCTGACTGCTTACGGCATTTCTTATTAATGCTGAGCCCAGGCAAATTACATCTGCTAACAAAAGGGGTTAATCTGGCTCTCTGCTGGGACTCTGGAGGCAGCTCTGAGGACAGGAGGGGGCATAGCCAGCTTGGCAGCTGAGCTCCATGCTTGGAAGGCAGAAGAGGGGAAGGTGAGGGCACCGCTGTGCCAGGCAGTGGCCTAAGGCATCATTTAAAATAATAATTGAAGACACCAGGAGGTCACTCCTTAAGGGATCCACTTCAAACAAATGGGAAGCCAGAGCCACAAATGGTTCATCAGTGTGGGATGAGGGAATGGAGAGGGTCATGGCAGGATGGTAAGAGGTAGCATGGGGGCCATTCAAACATCATTTCCTAATCCCAAGTTTAGAAAAAGCTTTTTATGAAAACAAAAGTCCAGCATGATATTAGAAAAAGATTGACAACTTAAATAAATATACAGAACAAGGAAGTGATTAGATGAATTTTTATATATCTCATTAAATTGTTTTTGCAGTGAAATTTCCAAGTCTGTAAAAACCATAGTGCACAAAATTCTAACAACAGTTTGATGATGTCATTTAAAACTTATACTCTGAAAATGATGAGCTAAATGGGAAGACACTAAAACATTAGTGATAGTTCTATCAGGGTGGGTTTACGAATGGTTTTTCTTTTGATTTCAATGATCAGCACAATTTCCACATTTTCTTTTAATAAAGTTGTATTTCAGGCTGGAAAAAATCTTAGGGCCACGCATGGTGGCTCGCACCTGCAATCCCAACAAGTTGGGAGTCCAAGATGCGTGGATCATTTGAGCCTGGGAATTTGAGACCAGCCTGGGCAACGTGGTGAAACCCTATCTCTACCAAACATACAAAAATTAGCCAGGTGTGGTGGCATGCACCTGTAGTTCCAGCTACTGGGGAGGCTGAGGCAGGAGGATTGATTGAGCCTGGGAGGTTGAGGCTGCAGTGAGTGGTAATTGTGCCACTGCACTCCAGCCTGGGTAACACAGCCAGACCCTGTATTGAAAAACAAAACAAAAACTTAGGATACTTTCCATACTTATGATGTGTACTATTTTGGGTAAGGAAAGTTAGGTACAAAGTATATACAGTCTGACCAAGACCACGTAAAAGATATTACACACACACACGAGAGAGAGAGAGAGAGAGAGAGGGAGACAGACAAGGGCCCATTCACTCATTTCTTTCTTTGTGTATTCTATAAGTGTTTCCAAAGAATCTATACCCTGCCAGTACTCTTCTGGGTGCAGGAGATACAGTAGTGACCAAAGCAGGCCCCAAGCCCCCCTGATCCATGGAGCCTATATTCTAGTAGGGAACAGTCAATAAACAAGGTAAATGAGTATTATACACAGTATATTAGGCAGTGATAACTACTAAGCAGTAAAAGCAGGAAAGGGAGAGAGAAATTATGTCTCTATATGTCCTAGATTGAATAGAAGGAAGGTTCTTGGCATTGTATGTTCCCACTCATAAGTGGAAGCTAAGAGGATGCAAAGGCATAAGAATGACACAATGGACTTTGGGGACTCAGGGGGAAAGGGTGGGAAGGAGGTGAGGGATAAAAGACTACAAATTGGGTTCAGTGTATACTGCTTAGGAGATGGGTGCACCAAATTCTCACAAATCACCACTAAAGAACTTACTCATGTAACCAAATACCACCTGTTCCTTAAAACCTGTGGAAATAAAAAATTGTTTTAAAAAGAAAAAGGCATATGGTATAATCCCAACTATATACAAAATAAAATAGTCTGTGAATATGCCTGATATATAAATGGATAGAAAAAAGTGTGAGTCCATATCCTAAACTAGGCGAGCTTCCATAAGGACCATGCAGCAAGTATTTTCAGCCTTTTGGGCCTTTGCCACCGCTATTCAACTTTGCAGTTGCAGCAGGAAAGCAGCCATAGATAATATGTAACTGAAAGGGTGTGGCTGTGTTCCAACAAAACTTTACTTACAAAAACACTTTGGGATAGATCTGGTCTGTGGGCAGTTTGCCAACCTGTTCTAACCTTTTAGCAGAGTAAGAGGTGAATTGTTTATTGCTAAAGTAATTTACCAAAAAATAACTTGTATTCATGTATTATTTGTATTAAAAATAATATCAATAAAAGAATATCGTAATGCAAAAAAAAGTGGATTAGGAACCTGAACTTCTTCCCTTAGGAAAGTTTCAAAAAAAAAAAAAAAAAAAAAAAAAAAAAGAAGAAGAAAGATTCTTGGGTAAATCAGGAGTTTTAAATTGTTTTTGGCTTTGGCTTTTAAAATTTCTTTTATTTCCCCCTGAACCCACATTGTTGAATTAGCTAGCATTAAGTTAAAACTGTGATGCGAATCCAATGTATAGACAGCAAAATTGGTAGTAAGATTTTTGGTCATTTTATTTTCCCCAAATCTCTACAATGAATACATATTAAACAAAGAAAACAATAAGCATTAAAAAATAGCAGTTTCCCTGGCTTAAAATCATCTGTGAGAGAGCTGCGAGACCAGGAACCTCATCTCGATGGGTAAAGTTTGAGATAATATTGTGAAAAATACAGTGATTGTAACAAAATGGGGACCAGAGATTGGGATTCAGTTTTGATTCTATCTCCATTTTGCTAAGAGAATTTGGGAAAGTCATTTTATCTCTCTGGGTTTCCATTTCTTTGCC
This sequence comes from Homo sapiens, assembly GCF_000001405.40. Taxonomy (NCBI): domain Eukaryota; kingdom Metazoa; phylum Chordata; class Mammalia; order Primates; family Hominidae; genus Homo; species Homo sapiens. The sequence goes on from NC_000005.10 coordinate 146,644,716, forward strand.
TATAAATGGGTGTAACCCTATCAGCCTCTAAGAATTTTGATTATTAAACAAGATAATGGAAAAGATAATTTAAGTGGTTTTACACTGGAGTGAATATTCCTTCTTCTGAAGGAAGCACATATTTCTCCAAGGATAGGGTTTATATGCATTGCCTTTGTGAGGTGACTTTCATATGCCTCTGTCCCTTTGCTGCTGATTTTGCTAATACTGACATGCGTATTTCCCCAATTCCTGTCTAAGCCAATGGAGGATAAGAGAGCCAAGTAGGACGCTTTTCTGCAGGGCTGAGTATTATAAACATTGGCCAAGCTGAAGAGTGGAATCTATGTTTACCAGGGTAAAGTACCCACATTCAAAAGCAGCTGAGGCTTTTCATATCCCACTTAAAGTCTGCCAGTACTGAAGGTAGAAAATAGTAATATCTTTGTGTGAACACAGCGTATTTGTTTGATGAGTGTGATTTCCTTTTAGGGACATGAGTTGCTTTGAGATCTTTTTCCCTTTCCATGGTCTAAATTTAATCTTTGGATATTAAGCAATGATTATGAAACATAAAGATCTTATTAGCTGAAAGGACATGTTGCTTGATGATGAGACACTGGAAATCTCCAAAGAGGACTCCAAGGGATATTCCTCTCTTAAGAGCTTAAAAAAAAGTCAATGTGTAAATATTCATGGAGTGTTTGCCAATTCCTAGGCTCAATATGAGGAGACTGACAAAGAGACACATGGTGTCATATTAAATATGTATTGGGCAGGGTGAAAGCCACTGAAGCAGCAACAGGGGAGAAACTTGTACTAGACCCCACAGTTCCCCTGGAAGCCTGCCTGGCAGAATCCCACTGAATTAAAAGGAAGCTGCTGTCCATGGTAGTAATGAGTGCTAGAACCTGGAAGCCAAGAGTTGAGGCTACCTGGTCCCTTAATTAGGGAATCGACTCTAACAGGGCTTCAGCTTGGTTGACAAATAAAATGAAGCCACTGTACAGGGTTGTTAGGACCAAGGTCAAAGTTGAAGTATCCCTAGAGTCCAGCTGGCTTCTCCCAGATAAGTCCTCTATCTCATATTCAGAGACTGGACTTCTGAAAGGTGAGGCTTCTGCTACCCTTCCCAGCCTTGCTTACTCCATGCTCCACTTCACTCTCTGGGCTTCAAAAATAGTGGCCTTCTTAGAATTCCTCCAACATGTCATACTCTCTCCTGCCACAGGACCTCTGTACACACTGAACACATGTCTCCACACCTCTTTGCCAAGTTAGTTCATAGTCTTCCTCTTTCAGATCTTAACTAATTCTTCAGCAAAGCCTTCCCTGGTCTATAGCAGGATTTTTAAAAATGCATTCATAGAACCATATTCCCTGTCTTCACAGAAATTATCTCAGTTTGTAATTATATACTCAGTGTATTTGATGAACATTACTCTGAAAGCGGCAAATTTGTTTTTTCCCATTTTCATGCCTGGCACAAACTAGGTGCTCAATTTATCATCGTTGAGGGCTAGTCTTTATTTTTACTCGATATGGGCCTATTTAATAGATCCCATGTTGGACAAGGTAAGAACTCAGGTCAGTTCATTCTTAGTCCTGCAAAAAGAGTTCAAAGGATTCTAGGTATACCATAGTTTTCATAAAGAAGCAACATCTTTTAATATAAATTTTCATTTATTGCTATTGTCTCTTGCCCTAGAAAACTACTAATCTATTAATGAGTTGTTATAGTCCTGATGTAGTTAGCCTATTAAGACGAAAGTTTGACTGCTTATGTGGGAAACTGTTACACAAGACAAGGACAGACTGGCTATGGATGGAAGGGAGAGAATTCATGACCAGTTATCATGAGGTTTAGAAATGCCTTGCTCTGATCTGGTGCTAAACACAAGGCCCTAGACCTCAGAGTTCCTGAAAACATTTAGTAACTAGGGGGCAGCATCTTGCAAAGGACACCCAACTGCAGAACCAAAGGAAGAGTCTAGAATTGAAAAGACAATCCAGATAATAAAATTAGCAGAATAAAAGCTACCATTCTAATGTTCAACTTTTCTAGTTTCCTTGTTCTCTCAATAATTATCATGATTGTGCTAGTCCTGTTTACTGAGCATTTGCTTAGCAAGGCACTACCCTAAATGTGTGCGTGCGTATGTGTGTGTGTGTGTGTTTAATTTTCATAATCCTCTCGTGATAGAGCTGCTTTCTACAGATGAACAAAATGAGAAATGGAGGCTTGGATAGATTAAGAACATGTTAAAGCTTATACAGCCAGAAAAGTGGTAGGGCTGGGTGAGACCTCTATCACTTGTTGGACTCTGAAGCCTGAGTTCTCAACCGTAATGCCAAAGTCACACCAAATGCCAGTCACAGGAAGTCATGACTGTTTTCTAACCATATCTCCAGATCCCTTGTCTCACTATTTACTTAATGCTTTACATACACTTACTTTGTAATCTAAATAGATTTTGAATATCTATGAAATTGTAGGATATGATGGTTATGTTTTTTGACGTTCACTATTGCTTAGAAGCACATTGCTTACCATCCCCAGTAGTAGCCACACTATGCTTTGGGAATCCCAAATTATTCTATCCTGAACCATGTTTCTTCTGTCTCCTTTGTGAATAAGGGGCATTGTGGAAATGAGACCTGCCTGGTGGCTGGTATTTTTCTGAGACTGTTTTGAAAGATGGCCGCTTCCTACCCCAGAGGTGGCTATACTTCAGTGATGAGAGGCTCAGTGCTTAGGGCGGTCTGGTTGAAAAGAACTATATAGATATCACTTATCATCGTTCTCATGATGACAATGATTATTTTACATATGGCTGCTTTAAGGGTGAATGGCACGGTCTCATTTGTATGCCAGCATCTGGCAGTCTGTCACACATCTGCAGAATATAACCTAAACTGCGCTGTTAATATTTCCCCTTTGCATTCTCCCCAAGGCATCTGTCTCCCAAAATGCCTAAAGAAACTCCCCTCCCCCTTGAAGGCCTAGAGGCAAAATTCAGAAAACATGTCACCTAGACTGGGGAAGCAGAAGCTCAGAGTGACAGCCAGCTGAGCCTGAGCAGATTTCTGGCTCTTGGAATAGATGGAGAGAGAAAAAGGGAACCACCACCCACACTCATTCTATTAGCAGCTGCACTGCCAGGCAAAATCTGTAGGCAGGCCCAGACAGCATGTGGAGTCTGTTCCGTGATCAACAAAATATGCCAGGCATGGTCCTGATGGTCAGTTCTCATTGTCTCCAAATATATCTCATAATTGCCACTATCTGATTAAAGCTGCCTTCCCTGAAAGCCCTTGGAGACGGTTGAGTGCTCTCCATGGTGGAGACTAGCTAGCTGTGTACCAAAACCGGGTCTTTTTATCCTGGGCACACAGCCAGACTACATTTCCTAGGCTGCCTTGCAGTTAAGAGTTAGCCATGTGGCTGAATTCTAGCCAATGGAATGCATACTTTTTTAGGGCATGGCTCAGAGGAATCTCCCACTTGTGATCTTCCATGACCTTCCCCTTTTACAGTCCTGCTATAAACATGGTAACATTGGGGAGCTGCAAATGAAAGAGGCCCGAGTTTCTGAATTACTGATTGGAGGAGGCTGCCTGCTGATGGGGATCATCAATATTAGACTTCATACGAAAATAATCTTTTATTTGTTTGAGCCATTATGGGGTCTATTCTATAAACGAACCTTCAGAGCTTTACTATAACTCTTAAAATTAAATTTCCAGGTTAGATTTTATGAACTGTCTACTGGATAGCGCTACTTTGATGACCTACTATTATTTCGAACTTGACAGGTTCAATAATTTTCTGTATGTCAGAGTGTTCCACGTACTGGAATACAGCAATAGTTCATACAAGGCCCTTGCTCTTGTAGAATTTACATCCTAACATGAGGAAACCAAAAATACATAAGTAAAAAAATTTCAAATCATGGTAAGTACCATGACAATAACAGGGATAGTGTTATTGGTAGCTACTTAAGAGTTAATGGGAAAGAGTACCTCTGGGGCCTGAAGTGACATGTAACTAGCCATGTGAATGCTGTGGGCAAAATATTCTAGAAAGAGGGAACAGCAAATGCAAAGAATGGAAGAATAAGGTTTACTTAGGAACAGAAAAGTGATTAGTTGGCTGAAATGAAGTGAATTAGGGAAGCGTGACAAGACTGGATAACAAAGATGGAGACAGGTTCCAGATCACGCAGAATCTTATAGGCCAAGTTAAATAACTTGGATTTTATTCTGAGTTTAGTGGGAAGCTACTGGAATGTTTTTTATCAGGGAAGGAATGATATTTGAATTACATGTTGAAGGGTTCGTACTGTATAAAAGAGCAAGAATGAATGGAGACCAGATGAGATTATTGCAGTCACAGTGGTGAGAGACAACAGTGGCTTATGCTAGTGTAGGTAGGTAGATAGGGATATATGCGTTGATTTGACATATATTTTAGAGGCAGGGCTCATGGATAGATGGAGTTAGAGTAGGGGAGGCTGGTAAGTGGAAGAGAAAACTCCATATTGATACCTAGGTCAATTGTTCAGTTACCTGAGTTGTTCAGTGCCATTCCTCATAAATCTCATGCCTTAGGTTTGTGAGAAATGGAGCACATGATAGGTATTCAATAAATGACCAATTTTTACTATGAAATAGAGGGTCAACATAGTGGGGGTGAAAATACTGGCCCAGCTATTCAGCATTTTTTTTTTTTACCTTTCTATATATTTTTTATTTTTATTATTTTTTTGAGATGGAGTCTGGCTCTGTCACCCAGACTGGAGTGCAGTGGTACGATCTCGGCTTACTGCAACCTCTGCCTCCTCAGTTCAAGCGATTCTCCTGCCTCAGCCTCCCAAGTAACTGGGACTACAGGCGCCCGCCACCATGCCTGGCTAATTTCTTTTTTGTATTTTTAGTAAAGTTGGGGCCTTGCCACGTTGGCTAAGCTGGTCTTAAACCTCTGACCTGAAGCAATCCACCTACCTAGGCCTCCCAAAGTGCTGGGATTATAAGCATAAGCCACTGCGGCCAGCCGACTTTTCTATATTTTAATTAAACAGGAGATAATGATACTTACATTATGGGGTTGTTTTATCAAATATGTCCTTGGGGGTAGAAATTATTAATATAAAGAGGCATGATGGGGGCTTGAGAATTGTTAGCAAAGTTCTGTTTCTGGATGTCAATGCTGGTTATAGGTGAGTTCAACCTCTGAAATTTCATCAAACTGTATAATTATAATATGTATACTGTACATTTTATCAAACTGTACAATTATAATATGTATACTATACATTTCATCAAACTGTACAATTATAATATGTACTTTTCTATATGCATAATATACTTCAATGAGGTAAAAAATGTAATACTATAAAGTTCCCATTGCAAGTGCTTGGAACTCAATAAATGTCAGTCACTATTATTTTCACTATTATGAGACAATGGAAACCAGTATGTCTGTGGTCCATGCTGTCCATACAGATTTATGAATCCTTTAACAGAGAAAGAACCTGAACTCTAGGGTCTTATCCTATTGTTGATAAAATCACCTCTAATTTTAATTCGTGACATATAAATGCCTCTGTATGAAGGAATTGATTCAGAGTCCCAATCCAGAGCTAGCCCTGGCCTCCCACTTGTAATAACAATATTTCCCTAACTTTATTGTTATGATTAAAGAGTCTCATAGGTGCCAGTGTATTTTAAAAGGGGCAAGTTCTCCGCAAATGCTAGGTGTTGCATTTCTATTCCATATTTTCTCCCAGCCCACTCGCACCTGAATACTCTTAATTCAGGCCAGTTGATTCTTGATCACAAAGAAAGGATACTAAAACTTTGATTGGTTATTTCAAAGTTCCATAGGTTAATCCTCAGGTCATCAGCGGACATGTAGGTTTCATAGTCGCTGTTGACAGATATGGAGTTGATGTGATATGTGTGTGCGTTGGCAAATACTCTTCGTGGGGTGGCCTCCACCATCAGGTCCATGGGTCTCAGGACAGGCACCTGGGATGCAAGAGAAACAAATCACTTCAGAACCAAAGATCTTCCATAGGAAAAGAGTGTGCATGCTAATATCATTTATTATCACACACAAAATAATAGCCACATTGAAGAAACTCCAAGTTAGAGAAAGAAGAGGCTAATAACGAATCACACACTGTTCTTGTTCCATTCTGTTCCTCCTCTTTCAAAAGATATCACCATCACTTAGCCCTGGTGGGAAATTTCATTCTTTATAAATTCTAAACATTTTTCTAAGCCCCTCCAGGTAGCCTCATCTCAGGGGAACTTGGCTTCCATTGTGGAGTCATTACCTTCCAGAGACATTGTTCTATTTTTTTTTTAAACATGAAATCTATTTAAAAAAGGGAGTTGTGGGAAAATTTTAGAAATGTCTAGTTCAACTTTAATCTAAATTTATCTTTTATGTCTTTTCATCTCATGGCTTTGGAAGCTATACCCCTTCCTGGCTTTGTCCTTAATCCTTAAGGGCATTTTGGGAAACTTTAGCATCACCCAAGACTCTAATCGTCCAAATTCAGCCACTAATATATAGGGAACCCAATGACATCTGACTGAGAAAATCTTGGTTTATATTTGTCTTAGAGTGCGAACCAGGTAGTGTCCACTTTTACATGCAAAACTGTCCCAGTTTGAACATTAATGATATGGTCACCTTACTGATACATAAATACTTCTCAGTAAGTATTTGTTGAATGAGTAAGAATACATGATTAAATGATTTCTTTCTGGTGGATCAGAGAATCGGCAACTAAATAGTTTCCCACACATGACCGTCTTTCTGGCAAATGTGAACAAAGACCTATCACTCTTCCTCCTTTGAGTTCTGGGTGAACTGGCTACAAAGAAAGAGAATAAGAACACTAATGCCTGAGAGGGAACAAACTAAAAAAACACCCAAGACAGACAAAACCCCACAACACAGGTGTGGTCACTTAATAGAAACAAGATAATAAAATAACCAAAGCTATTTTCTTTTCAAGCAAATCATTTCTTGCAACTGAGCCCCGACTGATTTGATACCAGGTGGTAGATTAAGACTTCAACTTCTGGATTGGCTTCAACCCAGGTGGCGAGGAGAAGAAAAACAAAAGTTAAATTTTCTGAAGTGCAGTCACCTCACCAACATAACCTTTTAGAAAAAAGAATTCTCCCAGTTCAGACTTGAGGGACTTTAACTCACCTATGCGGGAGTTTTTAAATCAAATCAATGATTCAGAGGAAACACAGAATTCTAGACAGATGTGGTACTTGATAACCCAGAAACCACAGGTGACTTGAGGTGTGGCTGTAGAAGGGTCAGGGGTCCTCTGAATACTAGGAAAGGAAAGGGAAGGAAAGTCTTTGTGGTCCCCCATCCCAATTACGGATAAGGGCCTATAGATTAAGTGTGTGTGGCAGCGAATGGGAGACCAGGGTTCTGATCAGATTCACCACTAACCAATAGGCTATGAGGTCTGGGCAACTAACCTGCTCCTCCTAAGCTTGAGCTCAATTGCACTGTCTGCAAAACAGTGACCATGCTCCCTGTGCTCTCACTATCGCAAAGGGTGGTTTGGGGTTTTGTTGAGATGATCTGACCTCCAATGCATCCTCCTACCCACTCTTTCAACAATATTTACTGAGTGCCACACAAAGTCCTGGAGTGTTCAACTGGTAAGCAGAACCAGACACAGGTCCTGGCATCATATACCTGTTCTTGTCAGGGGAGATAGACATAATTAAAAGGGCTAGGTGCGCAAAAGAGAGGATATACTGCCAAGAGGGATTTAACCTGCTCAGGGAGAACTGAAGAGGCTTCCCTGAGAATGTATGTATTGGAATGTGAAAGATGGGTAGGGATTTAACCAGGCCAGGAGGGGAGTGAAAGGGAGAATGTGTCTGAGGGATGTGCAAAGGTCCCGTGATAGAGGTGAACAAGGCAAGAGTGAAAAACTGATAGGTCACTGTAGTTGAGACAGAAGTAGTGAAGGGAGCTATTGTGGGAGATGAGGTGACAGGCTAGGTAGGAGGCAACACCCCCCCCCAAAAAGTTTTGCCATTATTCCAAGTGAATAGGGAAAAAAATGAAAGGATTTGCAATGATTGTGATATAATCAAATCCAGGTTTTGACTAGATCAGTCCAGATGTACAATGGAAAACAAGTTAGAGGAAGAATGAGGTAGAATTTTTAAAGTGAAGATCATACACTTTTGGACATCAACTAAGGGCATGCCTGAGTTAAGGCATTGCGATGGATAAAAAAGTGACTTTGCCCTGAGAAACACTACACCAAAATATTTATTGGGCATTTTCTCTGTGTCAAGTATTCTTCATACATAATCTCAGGTAATTCTTTCAAAAGCTCTGTGAAATAGGTACTCATACAAACAGAAAACTCAGGCAGAGAGAGGCTAAGTCACTGGCCCAGGGTTGCCCAGCTACAGGAAGCATAGCTAGGTTTAATTCGGGGACTGGAAAGTGAATGTTCTTTCCACTGTACCACATCACATTGAAATATCACACAGGGTAGGTATGATAAATGCTCTGAAAGTGACATAAATTGCCAGGAGAATTTATGGAATAACTAGTGTTACTGGTAGTTATAATGGTAGTGGTATTCATAGTAGTGTGGTAGTTAAGAAACCTCAATTAGGTGTTGTAGGTGTTCATGGTATTTGAACAGGGCATCTATTTTTTCAGAAATGTGTGCCATGCTTTTATAGTTTGTCACAAAGGAGCTCCCCACCTGAAGCTTGTGGTTGCTACCTGGTTCCTCTGCCGTCAAGAGGTACCAGAGCTCAAAGCAGGACCCCAAGGGTCACAAAAGAAATGGAATCTGCAGGACTTCCTGTGGCTCCTCCTAAACTCTTCCCCGGGCCTCCTCAGTTACCGTGCATTGTCTGCAGAGATTTCTTGTGGCTGTGGCGACATGGGAGGGAGCATGCAGCCAGGAACAAGAGGCATTACAGAGTGGGAGCTGCCAGCCCACAGCTTCAGCTTAATGTGATGGGCCTGCCTGCTAATTTAGGCTGACATATTCCATGATGTACTACTTAATGGGGAAGGGCTCCGTGTAGGTATCTGGGGATGGAGCCTCTAATGCTTTGCTCAGATAAGACAGGGGGGATGGAGAGCTGAATGCCGCTCGTGGTATTCCAACATCAGTCCCAGGCCTACGTCAAGGCTTGTCTGCTGCCCAGTGACTCCCCTCACAAGGAGAAAGAGGGAAGTTTGGTGGTTCAAGCAGGACACGATGGACCGATTAGGAAACCACATTGCGACTGTGTTTTTCATCTGCTCTGGCCACATTCTCCCTTTAAGGCCAGGCAGGAAGGAGATCCGGACACTATTCCCTGAGTCAGGTCCACAGTCAATTGTTAAGGTTGTCTCTGGAAACATACACGGAGAGCTTCTTGTGCCAGTCACTGAGTTTAGAACCCCTGACTCCCTGCCCCACCCAACTCCAAGGTGTTATCTCCTCCAGCGCCCTCAGTAACCAACCTTCCAAGGAAGATTCCTCTGTTTGCCCCATTTTACAGGGGAGGTGGGGGGAGGTGGAGTATCCAGTCCAATGTCACACAAAGAATAAGCTGGGGGCTAGGATCTGAAGCCAGTTAATTTGGTTCCTGAATGAGCACACCTAGCCACTACTGTGAATGAAACTATTAGGTTGAAATACAAAACTGCCATGTTTGCAAGTCAAAAATTGTGAAATATCAGCAATCTCATGCGGTTTAACCTAACACTTTGGAAAGGCTCTGTGGTGTATGGATGTGACATCAAATCAGGGAACATTTTGCCTTAGAGCCTCTTCCTAGGACATCATCTGTGTGTGTGGTGGGAGTCTTACAGTGGGAGGCCATAGTGTCTAGGCCTCTCCTCCTTCATTATTCTTGGTATTATATGCTTGCATCCTCAATAATATCATGCTGAAAGAACTATTTCTGTGGATAAGCAAAGTATGAAAGTGAGTAGCCAGGGTAGTTCTTGAAATCTACAGATGAGGTCATTGAGGTCTGAGAGGTTAAGCACCTTGTCCATGGTCACCCTTCCGGGGTTGCTTGCACAGCCTAGGTCTCTGCTTCCTGTCCCAGACTTCTGCTCCCACACACCATCTGCCTGAGCCATCCTCCACAGGACCAGAATGCCCTTTTGCCAAATGACAAAAGCAGAGCCAGACAAAATTCAGATCAGGCCAGGACGTCTTAACTCAGTTCAAACCTTGTCTGAGCCATGTTGGCAGAGTAATTGATGGGGCTAGGATCAAGGCGGAGACAAGGGATGTGCTGAGTGAACAGTGGTCAGTCCTTGGCCCTCTGAGCGGTCAGTCCTTGGCCTGTCTGCAGGTGGTTCTGTGTTGAGCAGCTGGAATTCAGTGATGTCCCCCGATTCAGGTGCTTCACCCTCCTCTCTGACCCTGGTTGAGTTTCAGCTCATTCTCCTAGGCTGCTTTCAAAGGACGCACATCCCAGCACTGTGTCTTGCCTGGACACCCAGTATTATATTAGAATATCAACCGAATAATGTCCCAAGCCCCAAAAGAGCAGCCTGAATCTAATCTGCAATAAAGCTTACAGAGATATATTTCAGTTGTAATATTCCTGGGAAGCTCTTCCCCCCCAGAGAGTGGCACGGCTTCCCCGCTCACTTCAATCAGTCCCTGCTCAAATGTCACCCCCTCAGGGAGGCCTTCCGTGACCATCCCACCTCAAATCGCACAGCCTTCAGTCTATCCTCTTCCCCAACTGACTGCTCAGAGTTTTTTAAACACTTCAGCAGTTCCTCAGTGAATTTTCATCGCTATCCTATGATTAACTTGGTAGATGTTACAATCCCTATTGCACAGATGAGAAAGCTGAGGCAGAAAGGTGAAGTTGTCTGAAGGCTCACAGTGAGTCTGAGGCAGGGCGAGTACTCAGGCCTGGCACTCCTGCCACTCCTTGACTCAGGAGTCTATACCCTTAGTCGCTTAAGGCACACTCAGATGCTTGGGAGGCAGACAAGTAAATAGATCTTTCAGCGAGGGCGATCACGCTGCCATGGAGGTCATCAGGCACTGCCCAGGCCGTATGAACCAAACGGGTCCTGCCTGGGGATCCCAAGGCAGACCTCAGAAAGGAGAAGACTACCAAGCTAGGCAGGGCTTGAAGGGTGGGTGGGAGGTCCCCAAAGAGAGGTGGGGGGTAGGGAGGGGAGGGAACTGGGCTTCAGTCAGAGGGACCAGCAGTGTGCAAACTCAGAGGAGAGACAGCAAAGTATACACATAACGATGGGTAACTGTGCTTCTGGGGTGAGGTCAGTGATTTAGTTATTCATTCAACAAATACTTATTAAATCCCTCCTCAATAGCAGACATATTCTAGGGACCGGTGCCACAACAGTGAACTCTCTGTGGTACATAAGTTCTTGTGTGTATGTGTACATGAGGAAAACCTGAGTTGGGTAAGGGGCTAGCAAGCGAGAGGTATGCTCTTTGAGGTGGGGTGGTCATAGAAGGCCTCTCTGAGGGAGTGGGGTATGAACAGAGACCTGAATGAAGTGAGAGGGGGAGCCATGCAGCAATGTGGGGAGGAGCATTCCAGCCAGGGGGAACAGGAAATGCAAAGGCACTGAGGTTGGAGTGTGCTCAGAGTACAGGAGGAACAATAGCAAAGAGCTTTTTTTTTTTTTAAGTAAGAAATGGGGTCTTGCTATGTTGCCCAGGCTGGAGTGCACTGGTGATTCACAGGCACGATCCCACTACTGATCAATACGGGAGTTTTCACTTGTTCTGTTTCTGACCTGGGTAGGTTAACCCCTCCTTAGGCAGCCTGGTGGTCCCTCACTCCCGGGAGGCCACCATATTAATGTGAACTTAGTGTGGACATCCTAACAGCATAGGGCACTACAGCCCAGGACTCCTAGGCTCCAGTGATCTTCCTGCCTCAGCCTCCTGAGTAGCTGACTACAGGCACGTGCCATGTACCTGTCAGCAAAGAGCTTTTATGGCTGGAGAGGAGTGAGTAAGGAAGCATGGCAGTTGGAGAAGATGTTGGATCAGTAGTCAGGGCCGGATCACCACCTTCACTGTGCGGGTGAGGAAAGCTCAGGGAGGTGTGGCTACCTGTGAGTAGCTGCCTGATATGGGACTCTATCCTCCCTCACCATTCCTTCTGTCTCTGCTCACCCGCTTTGAGTCTTCCTCCCTCAGGTTCTTATTATCTTTCCCGCCTCTCCTCTTGGGAAATACCAGATCATCTTTAACTTCCCAGAACGCATTTACTAACAAAATGAATGTTGCTGTCATTTGGCTTATTTGGTGACCACACCAGCGATTCTTCACAATCTTCCATGACACCTAAGTGGGGGTTGGCGGGTCACAGTGCCTTGCTTCAGAGACATGCAATTAAAGCAGAGTAGAGCCCTAGAAAACAGGAAGCCCCTGAAGCCTCCACTTTAAAAAACATATGTGAAAAGGCACAGCAAGGGGAGGCCATGGGGAGGACTCCCCTCAATGCGCCTTCATGAGAGGAGTTTTTCACAGAGAAAAAACAACAGCTGTGTTTACCATGGCAACCTCCAGTAGCTCAGTAAATTGACAGATTCAAGGCAAGACTCGGAGAAGAGAGAAGAGATGGCCAGATAGGAGATAAAGAACAGAAAAGATGAAGTCATGGAGAAGGAAGAAAAGAGAGATGTCTGTCTGTAGGATGTGGATGGATTTTAGCTGTTTAGTAACTCTAGGTCAAATCTCATTGAGGTGAACAGACAAACCTTTGAATACCATTGCTTGTTACGTACAAGCATAATCAATTATGTTATGGAAGGAGCATCCACATTCTCCTTCCTAAAATCAGATCTCAGGAGTACCCACAGGGTAGGTTCTCCTTACTTTTGCAAAAGAAAGATATAGAAAATGTACCTTAACTTATCCTGAATCTTACTAAGGTGTACTATGCAATTCATAAACACTTCTGAGAGGGACATTTGCATGATACTTTTAATCAAGGCCCCATAGACGACCCCATCCCCAGCTCATTATGATACGTACAACATAATCAACATTATGGGGTCTTTTGAAAAAATTGCTGTCAATTTAAATCCACACTTGCTCCATATCTCCTTGTTAGTGTTCAACAGATGCTCCCCATTCCCCTCTCCAAATAATTGAGATTACATTTAGACTGACAGTATATATCAAGGTCATGGGGTTTGGTGGGTTCTGTATCATCAATTAGGAAGTGCACATAGGAAGGTTATAACCACACACTGGCCCCAGATAAGGCCTTCAACAAACATTTATTGAGCATCTACTACATGCTGAGAAGTTGCCACACAGAGTATCCTTGAGAAGCTTAGAGGAGGTAGGCAATATGTAACCCCCTCCTTCTTCTTACTCAAACCACCCCTTTTGGGAAGGCTGCTTGACCTAGAAAAGACAAAGATGAGAGCGGAAGTCCTGGGTGTCCACCTCATCCTAGGTATACGGAAACCCTGACCCTGGTGCTCTGGGACCACAGGTTTGAGGCCCAGTGGAGAATCTGAGGGTGAATATGTTATCCCATCTTGAGGCACTAGACGGTAAATCTCTCAGAGGGGCTTGGAAATTCCAGATTCCGGCCTCGCTTCAAATTTATCACCTTGCCTTTTCACTGGGCTTCCTTCAAGAAACAGCCTTCATGACTTTTTAGTAACAACTGGGACCCAGACTTCATTTTCAAGGAAGAGGGAGTAAGTTGTCATAAAAATGGGAGAGCATTGGGTCCTCCTATAAATATCCTAATTCCAAAGAATACAGCTCAGTGGTACAGAGCAGCCGTCTTCAATGAGAATACCATTCCCCTAGGAACAGCAGTGGTGGATGACTTCCTAAGAACTATGTGAAAAAGTTTTAAGGAAATTCATTTCTTCGTTCCTAACTTCCATGTTCTCCTTCCTAAAATCAGATCTTCTCAGGAGTACCCACAGCCTAGGTTCTCCTTCTTCCTTTTTCAAAAGAAAGATATAGAAGATGTACTTTAACTTATCCTGAATCTTACCAAGGTGTACTATGCAATTCATAAACATTCCTGAGAGGGACATTTGCATGATACTTTTAATCAAGGCCGCATAGACGCCCCCATCCCCAGATCATTATGAGATGCATTTCTAATAAAATGTTACTTTTTATATTTATTCATCATTTGTCAGAATTATATGTTTATGCTGTTTTGATGTATTGTGTTCTATTAATAGTCAAAGCAACAACTAAACCCAGAAGATAATTTTAAAGTCTTACAGTCATATATTCATAAAAGAAAAAGTCTATTTACATCTATATTTGTCATAGAAATGATCAAAAACCTTTTAACATGATTTAGGGGAAATGCAATAAAAATAGATGTTTGAAGAAGAAAAAATAATAATATGAAGCTTTTGACTTAAAAAAAATTTGTTCACATATTCTTTTAGTGGGTATTGGTGAGTATCCAGTAATGAGGTATTTAAATCCCACTGGATGCAACCAAAAGATGATATAAAAGCTTTATTTTAAACTGCCAATGTTTAAAATACTTTGAAATCACATTTTCTGCAATTATTTAACATTACAATGGAAATGCTTAGTTACCTACTTTAAAAAGCTCAGGAAAGTACATAGCTATTCAAAATTCTTCTGGAGGTACACAAGCACACAATTTGAATGGTATAAGAGGGTTTTTAGAGTTATGTGGACTTGGGCTTGGATCCTGGCTGTGCTAATTACCAACCATGTGGCCTTGGGTTTGCTGCTTAGTCTTTCTTGATATCAGTATTCCCCTCCTTAACGTTGGGGATATGTAACATTTTCAGTAGCACTGTTAGGAGAACTTAGCATGACGATTGACACATACCATCTAACGAAGAAACATTTATGGAGACATGATTTGTGCCAGGATTGTGCTAATCATTTATGCACATCATGTTATTGAATCTTCACAATGGCCTTATGAAGTAGGTACTAAGATCATTGTCATTTTATGGATGTAACTCCTGAAGCAACACAGGTCATGAAGTTTGCCCAAGGTCATATTGTTGCCAAGGGGTAGAATTGTCCCTGGATGTCAGCTGTCTGGCTCCAGCCCCTATGGTAGCTATTATTAGCATTCTTACCATTAACTTCCAATTGTAGAAAAATGGTCCATTCTGAAAGATTGCTTGGGGAAGATTTTCTGACTTTTCTATATTGACTATGAGGTTTTAGCATCTCTTCCATCCACCAAGGGAATTCAGTCATGATTATATAATGTTAAGGTTGCTTAGGAAAAGTAGCCAGGGGAATGATTGGTCATTGGATAGAGATTAACTTTATTGAGAATTTAAAAAGCTGAAAGCTCTCCTGGTTAGGAGTTTTGCAAATAGCTCCGTCCTCATTGTCATGAAAATCTTGAACAATATGGACGCTCATCCAATTATCAAAGCAACCTGGGGGGCAGAGTCTGGCATTGTGTGTACCCATTATTGAAGGGTAATTCAGTGTAACAAACCAAATAGAGTATGTACAATGACTGTCAAATAAAATAAACCACTAACAAATTAAATTACTTTTCATTTTCAGTAGGAAGAATGCCAGTCATTTTTCATTTTAAAAAATATGCATCTTAATTCCATTTTTTAAAAACGTGAAAAGAAGCATTTAAAGGCCTCTTGTGCTATCTATACTGATGTTTATTTTCTATAGATATATTTCTCCTGGTCCTGGGGCATTTTCCCTCAAAGAATTAGTGGAGCGTTAAACCTCACTTTGGTCAAAAAACCTGTTTCTTCCATGGATCAATGGTGGATGGTGTTCAGAAAGCAGGAGTGATAGGCTGGCTCTGGCTTACAGCGACATATCAGAGCTGTTGTTTCCAGAATGAAACTGCCACTCACCAGCACCCCGCCAAAACCCCCTGGGAATCCTATCCAAATAATATAATTTTGAGATTTCCCTGCTCACACCCTTCAACAGCCTCAATATGTCCCTAATTTCTTCTTTTACTGGCTTTGTCATACAGATTGAAATAAGCCTGAGAAGAAAAACCTCTTTGAACCAAGTCAGGCTTTGTGTTTCAGGTCATTAAATATCTTAGAATTATATTCTTTCATTTGACAAACATTTATTAAGTGCCAATCACTGTATTAGGTAGTATGTGTACACAGTGAACAAAAGAGATTAAGGGGTAGAATTTAAAGTCTAACAGGGAAGAAAGACATTAATGTCTCTAAGTAAATACATTGTTATAAACTGTCACTGATGCTACAAAGAGATGTATATTGTTTCATGAGAGAAAGAAATAGGGGCTCTAACTTAGACTGAGGAATCAGATAAGTTGTTTTTAAAGAAATGACAATTCATCCCACGAAAGCAGGGCCATAAGCATTCAATCCTCTAAATCAGTGTTTCTCAATTAGGAGCGATTTTGCCACTGGGCAGTGTCTGGAGGTATTTTTGGTTGCCACAATAGAGGGGATGTTACTGGCATCCGTGTGCAGGAGCTAGGGAGGTAGCTAAACTCATTTTGATGAACAAGGTAGCTCCTCCTGAAACAAAAAATTATCTAGCTTAAAATGTCAACAGTTCCAAGGCTGAAAAACCCAAGTCTTAAGGACACTCTCCTGGAACACAGTCCAAATCTAGGGTGCATAGAAGAAACCAAGTACTAACTTCTACAATAGACCAGCAATAAGTTTCAGTTCATGAAGACGTTTTGGATTAAAAGGTACTTCATATACAAAGATATATACATATATACATAAATATATAAAATATCTATGTTTAATATCTATATTTCAAAGACATATAAAATATATATTTGAAAGACTTATCCCCTATGGCCAGCTGTAAGAATAATAAATGCATAAAAGCTGCCTGGGGAATTAATGTATATATTTTAAATTCAGTGCATCAAAAATGGTTTGCATGGCAAAAAATTTCATGCTCTTTGTGTCATTGACTTCTTTTGGCCTGACTATAAAAAGGAGAGGAAAGATACCTTTTTCTCAGAAGATAAACTCGCTAATTACCAACTCATGCAGAAACCTGTAATTCTGCCAGTTTTATCTTATTTTTTCCCCAGACACTTACTTTTTATGCCAATATCACTATTTCTCAAAGTGTGTTTCCCTGTTCACTGCCTTTCCTGTTATTTCCTTTGATGTTTTACATTGTGTAATGCCACAAGAAAAAAAGAGACATCTTAAAATACCCCAGTAGAGGAAAATTTCAATTAACATTTATAGCTGGGGAGAGTGGGATTGGGAGAGGCGGTGGTTTAATTTTTGGTTAGTTTGGTTAGGATTAAGCACAAAAATTGTTTTTGCTGTTTTTTAACTGTTATTGATGAAGTATTACTTTTTCCTACTATTAGGATAAATATCACTGAATCTTTGATCACCGAGGATTGACCAAGCCTCCGAAGTATCACACTGCATTCTGTCATTTATTACCGTGGAATATACAGAACCAAGAAGATAAATACAAATTTGATATTAACTTCAAGAATCTTACAGCTGGAAGTTACCTGAGAAGTCATTTACATTAAAAAGGTCTGGATAAACACAAAGATGCATTTCTAAGAATTTAAAAAACATGGCCTTTCATAGATATCCATAGAATGTCAGTTCTGCCTCCCACCAACAGATGGCAGTAGTAATTACTAGCAACACTTTGATTTAGAAACAAATTGACTTAAGATTGACATTTCAGGGTTACATTGTCTGATTCCCAACCTTGGCTGCACATCAGAATCAAATAAGACCTCTTGTTAAAAACTGATGCCTGCCTCCCCGGGGTGCTCTTTTGCCCTTCTGCTTCTGCCATGGGGTGATGTTGCATGAAGACTCTCACAAGATGCTGGCACCTTGATATTGAACTTTCCAGCCTCTAATACTGTGAGAAATAAATTTCTTTTCTTTATAAATTACCCAGTCTGTGGTATTCTATTATACAAACACAAAATAGACTAAGACTATGGGTTTAAAATGATTTTTATAGTTCTATACTGATTGAAGGTTTATGTTAATTTTAAAAATTCTGATTATTTTTATAATCATAAAAAGAAAATCACTTATGGAAGATAAAAATGACAGGAAAAGGGTTACTATTTATGATATACAAAGAGTTCATGAAAATTAGTAAAAAGACAAACAGCTCAGTAAAAATATGGGCAAAAATAGGAATGAAAAATTCAGAAAAAGGGAAAAGAAAATGACCAAGACATAGATAGAAATATGCCCAACTCATTAGTAAAGAGATGTAAATTAAGATTTTTAAAATCTTTAATCTTATAAAAGATTAATCTGATGAATCTTTTAATTTTTAACCTTTATGCATAAAGAATTTACTCTATGCCAGTCACTGTTATAAGTCTTAAAACTATTAATTCATTTACACTCATAACAATTTTATGAGGTAGGTATTCATATCATCCTCTTTTTACAGATCAGCATATCTGAGACACAAAGCAGTAATGTGTCCTAGCTAAAAGTACACAACTAGTACTTGCTGGAGCTGAGACAGGTACTCAGTATTTCTAGCCAAGGGAGTCCTAACTCTAAACCACTATACTATGCTGCCTCTCAGTTGGAAGTATAAAAAGAAAAATATAACATTCTATCCTGGAGATGGAATAAACAACAAGCATTTACTCATGGAAGCATAAACTACAACAAGATTTTCAGAAGGTAATCTGGAAGTAGCTGTTAAAATAACATATACATCTTTTAACTTAGTAAACCTTACTTTAATGAAATCCATCCTATAAAAACATCCGTAAATAACAATATACAGGCATGTCCCAGAGATACTGCAAGTTCAGTTCCAGAACACCACAATAAAGTGAATATTGCAATAAAGTTGGACAAATTTTTTTGGTTTCCCAGTGTATATAAAGTTATGCTTATACTATACTGTAGTCTATTAAGTGTACAATAGCATTATGTTTAAAACAACAAGGTACATGCCTGAAGTAAAAAATACTTTTTGCTAAATAATACTAATGATCATCTGAGCCTTCTGTGAATCATAATCTTTTTGCGGGTAGATGGTCTTGACTCAATGTTGATGGATGCTGATTGATCAGGGTGGTAGTTGCTGAAGGTTGAGGTGGCTGTTGCAATTTATTTTATTTTATTATTTATTTATTTATTATTATTTTTTGAGATGGAATCTTGCTCTGTCATCCAGGATGGAGTATAGTGGCATGATCTTGACTCACTGCAACCTCTGCCTCCCGGGTTTAAGCAATTTTCTGCCTCAGCCTCCCGAGCAGCTGGGATTACAGGCACGTGCCACCACGCCTGGGTAATTTTTGTATTTTTAGTAGAGATGGGGTTTCACCATCTTGGCCAGGCTGGTCTTGAACTCCTGAACTTGTGATCCACCCACCTTGGACTCCCAAAGTGCTGGGATTACAGGCATGAGCCACCGCGCCTGGCTGGCTGTTGCAATTTTTAAAAGACAACAATGAAGTTTGCCATATCGATCGACTCTTCCTTTCATGAAAGATTTCTCTGTAGCATATTATGGTGTTTGACAGCACTTTATCCACAGAACTTCTTTCAAAATTAGAGACAATCCGCTCAAGCACTGTTGCTGCTTTATTAACTTTATTAACACAGCTTTATTAATATTGACGTGATATTCTAAATCCTTTGTTGTCATTTCAACAAGATTCACAGCATCTTCATCAGAGTAGATCCCACCTCAATAAACCACTCTTTGCTTATCCATAAGAAGCAATTCCTCATCTGTTAAAATTTTACCATGAGGCTGCAGCAATTAAGACCCATCTTCAGGCTCCATTTTTAGTTCTAGTTTTTTTTTTTTTCTATTTCCACCACAACTGCAGTGACTTCCTCCACTGAAGTCTTGAGCCCCTCAAAGTCATCTACGAGAGTTGGAATCAAGTGTTTCCAAACTCCTATTAATGTTGATATTTTGACCTCCTTCCTTAAATCATGAATGTTCTTAATGGCACCTAGAATGAATGGTGAGTGCGTCCCAGAAGATGTTCAATTTACTTTGTTCAGATCCATCAGAGGAACTATTTTTTGGTAGCGATAGCCTTTCAAAACGTATTTCTCAAATAATATTTCTCAAAAATGACTCCTTAATCTGTGGGCTGCAGAATGGATGTTGTTAGCAGGCCGGAAAACATTAATCTCCTTGTACTTCTCCATCAGAGCTCTTGGGTGACTAGGTGCATTGTCAATGAGCAGTAATATTTTGAAATAAATCTAGTTTTCTAGGCAGTAGGTCTCAACAGTGGGTTTAAAATATACAGTAAACCATGCTGTAAACAGATGTGCTCTATTCAGGCTTTGCTGTTCCATTTAGAGCACAGGCAGAATAGATTTAGTGTAATTCTTAAGGGCCCCAGGACTTTCAGAATGGTAAGTGAACATTAGCTTCAACTTAAAGTCACCAGCTGCATTAGCCCCTACTGAAAGGGTCAGCTTATCCTTTGAAGCTTTGAAGATAGCTATTGACTTCTCTCCAGCTATGAAAGTCCTAGATTGGATCTTCTTCCAACATAAGGCTCTCTTGTCTACACTGAAGCTCTGTTGTTTAGTGTAGCCACCGCCACCCATGATCTTAGCTAGATCTTCTGGATAGCTTTCTGCAGCTTCTACATCAGCACTTGCTGCTTCATGTTGTACTTTTATTTTATGGAGATGGCTTCTTACACCTCATGAACCAACCTTTGCTAGCTTCCAAATTTTTTATTCTGCAGCTTCCTCCCCTCTGTCAGCCTTCATAGAACAAAAGAGAGAGCCTTGCTCTAGGTTAGACTTCGGCTTAAGGAAATGTTGTGGCTGGTTTGATCTTCTATCCATACCACTCAAACCTTCTCTATGTCAGCAAGAAGGTTATTTTGCATTCTTATCATTTGTGTGCTCTCTGAAGTAGCATTTTTAATTTCCTCCAAGAACTTTTCCTTTGCATTCACAACCTGGCTAACTCTTTGGCACAAGAGGCCCAGTGTTGGGCCTGTGTTGGCTTTCGACATGTCTTCCTCACTAAGCTTAATCATTTCTAGCTTTTGATTTAAAATGAGAAACCCAAAACACCCCATAAGAATTCCAACATTAACATCAGAGATTAATGATCACAGATCTCTATAACAAGGATAATAATGAAAACATTTGAAATATTACAAGAATTACCAAAATGTGGCACAGAGACATGAAATGAGCACATGCTGCTCGAAAAATGGTGCTAATAGATTTGCTTGTTGCAGTGTTGCTACAAACCTTTAACTTGTAAAAAACATACTATCTGTGAAGCACAATAAAGCGAAATGTAATAAAACAAGGTATGGCTGTATGTCTGAGAACACGTATTGTAGCATTGTTAGTTATAGCAAAATTTAGAAACAATGTGAATATCTATCAATGGAGAAATGATTTAATGTCATAGCTTATCTATGCTTTAGAATATCTGCAGCTCTTTCAAGGAAGGTAAATTGGCCTGGAGGGATGTGTATATTACTGAGTAATATGTCTAGTGTGATCTCAGTTTTGTAAACAAAACAAAGTCATATCTGTTCATTCATTAATGTTAATATATGTATTCATAGATACAGAGAAAGGTATGGAAAGACATACACCAAACTAGCAACCTTAGTTACCCTGAGATATGGAACCGTAAATATAGTATTATTTGACTGGATGCTATAAACAAGCATTTCTTTTGTAAGAAAAGGAAGGGAAGACATCATGTTTAATGTTTTGTCAGGGCAGGATTCTTAAGATTCTTCAGTCTGCACTGGACTCTTCTTGGGAAAACTTAAGCATCTTTAATGAGCACAACTTTCTCATTCCTGTGAGCTTAATATCTGCTTTACTGAACTGTCCACCTGTTCCCAGAGTGGACAGGGAGTCAGCCCATTCCCTTTCTTTGCACAACAGCACTTCAGATACTTGAGGACAGCTCTCAACCCATCTCCTCTCCACTTTCATAGATTATACCAAGACTCAGCCTCCAATCTTCACACCTCAATAATGGTGAGCTCAGGCCACTTGGCCTCCACAAATGCTTTGCTTCACTGAACACAATCTACCAGCACAGGCATTTATTATTCCAAAGAAGACATGTGCTTTCTGTTTCTGTATGTTAAAACAGACTTCCCTTTGTAATCGTCCATATCATGTCATCAAGTAAAATTCCCAGGTCTTTTTTCAAATGAAGTAATATACCAAGTTGAATCTATTCTATACTATTTGACTGTTTTGAACTTGAATGTGATTTCCTAACCTCTCCTCCTAGATCTGTTGCTTTCTCTTAAAATGCAGAGGTAGGAAATGGTATGTGTGTGAATGTGGGAGATGGTGGTAGGAATCTACTGAACAGTAGATTCTGGATAATTGGATTTTTCTGTCTAATAAAGGCTATTGGTCAGAAGATGAACAAATGAGTTAGGGAGGTGGAGAAGACAATGGCAATGTTCTGAATTCAGGCATGAGGGTGGGAGAGACCGTAAATCTTCTCTTCCTCAATGGCTGAGCTGAATTTGAATGTAGTGATTCTAGAAAATAAATTGTTATATGAAGTGGATGAAGATGAAATAACTCCAGAGAAGAAGGTTTGCTGGTTCCAAGGAGAGACAGCAGGAATAGGCGTGCGCGCGCACACACACACACACACACACACACACACACACACACACAAAGGAGATAAAAAGTAAACAGGATGGGATGAGCAAGAGAAGAGAGTATCTGAGAAAAGAAGCAGAAATAAGACTCTATAGAATAAAAAGATGCCAAGCTTTCAGAAATAAGAATGGAGAAAAAGAAGAAAGCAGGGAGGTGAAGTAATATTCTAGTCTGGGCTCTTTAGATTTTAAGAACAGAAACCTTCCTAAACTTACTTAAAAAAAAAACCCAAAAGGATTACTGAAGTACAGAAAAATATTACAGATCATCGAGACTGAAATGGAGCATATGAAATAGAACAGGGACTTGGCAAGCTGTTAGGAACCTCGAAAAATGTGCTTTGTTTTTCTGTTTCTCTCTTTGTCTGTCTTGCTTAGGGGCCACCTGGTCTCTTAAACGCCTTCTCTCTGCATGTCTGGCCCTTTCTCCTCTTTTTACCAATGACTTCATCTGTTTACCAGTCTGAATATGGCCTCCAATGAGTCACTCCAGCCCAGATTTTATAACACTTTCAGCCCAATTGCTCAGTGCTATCAGAAAGGAGAGAAGGAAACAAGCAGGCAGAGAAACAAAGTGGGAAGAAGGAAGCATCAGAGCCCTGTAATTGGGTCTCATCCTTGTCCCTTGGACATCCCATATTCGTAATCACATCCACACCTTTTCCTAGGATATTCCTTTGTTCACCTCACTTCTATCCACCCATCCATATCCCTAAATCATCCCAGAACCTGACTGCTGCAGTTAACAGAGCTCATCTCATTCCTCCTTTCTTATATGTACCCACTGTGATGAAGAATAATTGGATACATTTAAGAGTCCTAAAGAAAACGATTAATTCTCTAGCTTCCTTCTTCAACCTGTCACTATTTTGACAACCCTCCTGGAATCATTTTGTAACTTGAGCTCCTAGTGTTTTAATCTAGATTTCTAACAGTGTCTTGTATAAGGAGGGCAAAGCACAAGTGGTCACTATTCCCTAGCTAGAAATTTTATTTTGTTTGGAATGTTATAATTGCCTTTCAATCTTCTTTAGGCAATGAACCCATTTATGTAATTCTCCCTCATAATTTCCCCCCACTTCCCTGCCAATCTTAGAAGTGCTATGAGCCCTTTTCATGGCAATCACATTCTTTTTAAAAACTAGATCCTCAAACCATATTAGAGTAAGAATTTATCCTGAACTGAAGAAAATTACGTAATTACTTCTTCTGGAACAACACACTATTTGGGGTGACTTATGCCTGGTCTACTTTTAAGTAACACTTTCATGTTATTCACTAAAACCCTGAGATCTTTTTTCTGCAACTTTACTTTGGCTGTGTTTCCACTTTCTACACATGAACTGTTGAGTTTTCTCCCCACATGTCCCAGCACTATGCTCTGTCCTTTTAGAACTCTGAATCCTATCTATTCCCTTCAAGTTTTCAAGGTTGTCATCCATTTCTGTACTGCTTTCTGACCTCTTTGCCCCCAAATGTTGTGAACTGCATTGCCATAGAATGGAAGGAAGCAGGGCACGGGTGGCATGGACAGAGGTTATTGCCTTTGAGGACTGTAGACTCCATTAATTCATTTTCTTCCTGAAGGAAGGAATATAAATTATTTTCTCCAATAGCCAAAGCAGAGGACCTTTTTAAAAAACCATCAAGCTCTGAGGCTAACAGAAAGGAAAGGAAAACCTAAAAAGAAGGGAAAACTAATCATAGAGAGGGAAAAGAGAACAAATGTGCAGTTCATTTAAAATCACTGTAGTTGAACATCAAATTATGGTACCTGACTTCCACCTATTTTACATTCTATTTAGTATTTATTTTGCCTCTAATCTAGGAATACAATTATGTACTGAATTGTATCACATATGCATTTAATATGTGAATTCAACTATATATGCTTAGAATAATATGAAAAAAGGAAAGAAGCAAATTTAAATAATGGGTCAGAGGTCCCAGGGAGTATGAGATGGGGGAGGGGAGTTAATCTGCTCTTTCTTCAGACCAATGGTCTGGGTGGATCTCATCTCTGAGCATCGTGGGATGTTGAATAAGTTACTAAGGTTTAAGGAAGTATATTTTTCACAAATGGCCCCTCATATTGTTTGCATAGTTTATATTCTACATTATTCTTTATATCCTATATATTTATATGTATATATTATTCTATATAGAGTTAATAAAAACAAACAAATCTTATGGGTGATTTATGGGATTTTTCAAGAGTATTTTTACCAAACCTGGTGCTTGCTTTATGGGGCGACTTTGGAACCTAACCTCTGTAAAACTGCCACTTTAATGACCCTTTAAAAAGTGCTTACTGTCCCCTGTATGCTTTACATACGTTACCTCCTTTAAGCTTCACAAAAATCCTGCATAGTTGATACCATACATATTTTACAGACTTTAAAGAGCTGAGGCTCAGTGAGGTTAAATGACATAATAAGTCATGAGGTCCTCGGGATCAGCAGAACTAGGATTCAAATACCATCTGAACCTTACAGAGAATGGTCAATACCATGGCATTTTTTTCTGGTGACGTTACTATATTTCCAGTATAAAGAAGATTTATGGATTATCTAGATCTTTAAACATGAATTCCTCTTGTATTAGAGGGAAAATAAGGCTAGCTTCAGGTTTCTCTCTGCAGTAAACTCAATGTCAGAATCATAACCAAAAAATGTTCACAAAATTATGACACTTTTATATCTTTCAGGTTGTGATTAGCATAGGAGTAAAGCTCATAAGCAGGCAAAAACTCAGTGAACACAGTATCTGTATTATTTTCCATCATATCCTTGGCATCCAGGACACAGGACATTACACAGAACAAATATTCAACAAATGTTTGTTGAATGAATTTAAAAGAATTTAAAAACAAAATCAGATTTTTCTCATTCAGAGATTCCTAAACTGGCTTTTAAAAAAATCAGAATCACCTGAGAGTTCTTAAAGAGCAATAGAAAATACAGACTTCGAGATGAACTCAGTTGGTCTGAGGTGAGGCTTAGGTATCCTGATTTTTTTTTAAAGCTCTCCAAATAATTGAGGGAAAATTAGAATAGTGTTTTCTAAAACTCAGTCCTTTTAGTACCCCTTCAGATTTTCTTATCTGTTTTATGTGTACTATTATTTATTTATTTATTTATTTATTTATTTATTTATTGAGACAGAATCTTGCTCTGTGACCCAGGTTGCAGTGCAGTGGCGCAATGTCGGCTCACTGCAACCTCCGCCTCCCGAGTTCAAACAATTCTCTTGTTTTAGCCTTCTGAGTAGCTGGGACTACATGCATGTGCCACCAGGCCTGGCTAATTTTTATATTTTTAGTGGAGACGGGGTTTCATCATGTCAGCCAGGCTGGTCTCGAACTCCTGACTTCAAGCGATCCGCATGCCTGGCCTCCTAAAGTACTGGGATTATAGGCATGAGCCACTGCACCCGGCCCACTTAGTATTTTCTTTAAACTGATTTGCTTTTAGTTAACTAACTTTATTTTGATAGGGAACTTTACACTGTAACACATGGAAAACCAGTTTTCTATGAATTGTCAAAAAAGAAGAAAATTATAAAAATAAATACAATAAAAATTGTTTTTAAATTCTAGCCAGATAGAGTCATCTGAAAAGACAGAGTGTAAGGTCAGTTCTCAGTTTAAAAAAATCAAGATTTGTAAGTGTTATGAGAGAGGTTAAAAAATATTAACATCAAACTGAGACTTTGGGCTTGATGTCATCAGAATAATTTATAAAGCAAGAAAGGAGGGAATAACTTCCTCAATTATGTGATTCAATATTACTTACAGTTGTGTCTTACATCAACAGAAACACATATCCTAGACTTTGGGAAACACAATGATATACACCAAGGTAGTATGTTAGGTGATTCATGTATGTTGATTTTAAGTATTTATAGAAAATGTACTGTGTCAGGCAAAATATTGGGTCTTGAGAATAGAAAAACACGTCTCTGTCCTTAGGTTGTCCAGTGTTATTTCACATACCTTCTCCCCATTAAGAACCGCTAAATGGTGGGTTTGATGAGTTATTTGCATAAACAAATAGAGCTGGGATTCCTGTCTGGACACTGAAGGCCTCTGTCTCTCAACCATATGTAACTGCAGCTTTCAAACCTGGTAAAGGGTAGGATTGTCTTTTACATTTGCTTCCTATAATCATGACACAGTAGTGCCTAATACTTACTGTGGGCTTTCTGTGTGCCACTCCATCAAACACATTGTGTAATTTATCCCATCTAATCCTCACAAGTACTGCATGAAGCAGATACTATAAGTGACGGCTGACTTCACTTCTCAGATGAGAAAACTGAGGCACAGCTGTAAAAGGAGACATTATACATCCCAGAGAGCACAAAACTACATCCTCTGTTTTACCTGACTGGCTGAATCCCTGCCTATGGCTTTTCTTCTATTGTATTACCTGCTATTGCTATTTAAATCCCATTTGCTTATCCTGGTGTGATCAGAAAAGGAGCATGTGACTCCAAGGGTGGTCTCATTAACTTCTGGTTATTAAAGAGGAAAATGTGGAGGACTCGGGGACAGGTACAGATGGGGATGGTTGGACTAAGAATTAAGTTAAACGATAAGCAAAACGGAGAGAATAAAGGGAATATTTCACTAGAGGTTAAGAGAAAAATAATGAGCTCTTTTTTAAACACAAAAGGAGAATATAAGTGGTGAAGACGGAAGCCAGGCTGCTGGAGCTTGGCAGGGGGTAATTTATTGATCGACAAGTAAGAATGTGCCAAAAAGAAAGACATAGGGAAGCAAAATTATTTGCTGCTGCTTTCACAATGGGAGACATCCAAGGAGGCAAGAGGAGATGTAAATTTCCCAGGGGAAGAAGATTATGAAGCAACATTCTTGTTTTCGAGTCCTCAAAAGGCAAAGCATTGGTTTTTGATGTTGAACAAGGATCAAACCACACAATTGCCCCTGGGTACTGACAGACATCTGAAGCTGTTTGGGGTACAGGAAACAGAGACTAAATATTCCTGAGTCTTGAGTAGAGTCAGAGAAGTCCTGAATTTGCTCAGGGAAGGGGCTCAAAGGGTTTCTGTGGATTTTCCTAGAGAAAGGGGTAGAGTCTGGAATTAGAGGCAAAAAAATAGCTCTCAAGGATACTGCTGGAGACATGGGGGTGGGGGGAATGCTTGAAAGACACATAAAGGGTAAGCAGACTTTGTTCGCATGTACCAGATTAAAGTTACATTATCTATCCCAACACAGAAAACTGCTTGCAGAAACTGAGATGGATAAAGACAGCTAGAGAAAATGGACACCATAGTTTGGTTCAGCATGCAAACAAATAAAGATGGCAGACCAACCTCCCTCCCTCTATAAGTAGTATATGCAGCTGTTCTATTTGAGTATTCATTTAACACTTTCTTGTTAATTTCCAAGTTCTATAAAGACTCTGACTCACAACTCTCTCCGACGATTTATTTTTTCCTTCACGAGAACTCTCTAGTTTAAAATGACATTCTATTCTAGATATATTTATAGGCATGTACATTTTTTTGTCTTGAAATATAGAAAATGGGATAAACCCAGATCCTGAGATATGACACCAAATATAGGGAGGCATTTTTATTTTTTAAGGTTGCAGGGAAGCTAAGTTTACAGACTGTTTGGAATTTTATTCTCTCAACATATATGGCACTTGCAAATGCTTCTGTTCATACATTTTTCTTTCTTTCCTAGAAGGGACCAGTGCCAATAAAGCTCATCTGTCTGAGTTATGGTTTTTTCCTTCTGATAATCAGCAAGAATTATGCAAAGGCACAGTGTTGTTATCAAACAGAAATATAGAGCAATCTAATTCTACCTGATAATTTGGCATGGCACATTGTTTTTCCAGAATCTATCTTACCACAGATGCTGGCGGGATGATTTTTATAGGAAAGCAGTCCAATTAAGAGGAAAATTTCTGTAAAGTAAGTACAAATGTCTAATGTTGTATCTTAATTTGCAAACGTTAACTGGGTTAATAATGAACTTGTGCTGGAAGAAAAGATTATTTTTTTCCCTTAGTGGTCAAGACAAAGGAGAAAATATCAACAGAACTTTTTTTGGGTTTGTTTTTATCTAAGGAAAAGTAACCTATTTAGAAGATTTTTTTTTTATTGCTACTAGAAAATAGACATAAAGTCTAATATTCGATAGTGGATCCTTTAACCTGAGGGGAAATGCATGGCCCAGGCTGAGAATTCTGCATTTTTGGTGACTAATGATTGAAGCAGAGAATCTAAAGGAAGATTCAAAACTAAGACCCTTGACTTTAACAGCTTTCCAGACAACTGTACCTGCCATCAGCCCAGAGGCCCCTCACATGAGACTTAACTGCAGCTTCTTCCCTAGAAAGGAGTGACTCCTGAGCATGTAACCTTTCTTAGCTCAGTGAGAACTTGAAAGTTTACTGAGCTTTCAAAAACAGGCATTAGAGGTTGAACTCACTTACCTCCCTTTATCCACAGAATCTCAAACTGAGGATTTTTTTCATCATCATCTTATCTGCACTTGCAGTTTCCCATTCTCAGGGGAATTTTCTTCCAGCAAGGGATAGAAATATTCACTAAGAAGTCTTACATGTTGAGGTCAGTATGTCTTAGGCAAATAAACTCTGACCATACGACCAAGTTAGAAGTCTCTTCCCTCTTATCTGTCCTTTTATAAATGTATTCTTCCATCCAAAAGTAGCAACTGGAGTCTCCCAGTTATCTCTCTGTTCTGAGCATTCCTGATTTCCATCTTGGAGCTAGCTACATATTATTGAATGGTTAGTACTAAAAGCCAGATACTGTGCTAATATTTTTTTCTGATAACAAGTCCTATGAGATACTTTAAATAATATTATCCCTACTTTGTTGATGATAAAACTGATATGGTGAGAGCTTAAGTAAAAGGCTCAGAGTCATACAAAGACAGAGCTAGGATATGAACCTGGAGTTGTCACTCTAAAGCCCTAGACTCTCTCCCATGACGATTTCAACTATGGGATTTCTGCCCCTATTACACAATAAGTAGAAATAAGTCTGCCCAACACTTCTCCTGGCAGTAAGAACATTTTGCTCACAATTTTGAACAAACAATTATTCTGTTTTAAAGTATCCATGTGACTCATTCCCTCAGCTCCTACATCCCTTTGTGTACTGTCTTGATGCACTTTTTGGGTCTGTTCATATATTTCCCTTCTGGTCCTAAGGAATGTAATTGACAGCTCATACATCTTGGGTTGTGTTGTAATTTTGAGAATATGCTTCCCTTTAAAATACACCAAGGTGGAATAAAATGTCTCCTCCATCATTGGCAGCAGGAATATCTGGGCTGGACAAACATGTGGCTCCCTTTCAATGTAGGTGCCAAACTCCCTCTCAAAAGTTCTGGGAACTTAGTTTACATCTATTCTGAAGAATGAACCAGTCTCCCCCAAAGTGTTATCCACTCTGTTTAGAGTAGCCCAGAAGAAGCACAAGACTTAGTATTTCTTGAGCTTTGCTGTACAAGTTAGTAGTTACTCAGTGTTGGCGCTTCTCCAACTAGGATCTTTCAGGCTTTCACATTCAGCTAGATACTTGGTGGTATTATATTATTATTATTGTTATTATTATTAGAGATGGAGTCTCGCTCTGTTGCCAGGCTGGAGTTCAGTGGCACGATCTCAGCTCACTGCAACCTCCACCTCCTGGGTTCAAGTGATTCTCGCACCTCAGCCTCCAAGTAGCTGGGATTACAGGCATGCGCCACCACACCCAGCTAATTTTTGTATTTTTAGTAGAGACGGGATTTCACCATGTTGGCCAGGATGGTTTCAATCTCCTGACCTCGTGATCCACCCGCCTCAGCCTCCTAAAGTGCTGTGATTACAGGTGTGAGCCACTGCACCCCGCCGATACTTGGTATTTTATACAACATAAATTGTGATGAAAATCTGAGTATTGCCCAAACAACTTAAGCTTTTGAATCTTTATTGAGCATCTTCTGACTTGCTATCTTTCATTCAATCTTTGTTTTTATGTTCCCCCTCACCCCGCTATAAATACCCTGGTATCCTGGACTGTGGGATAGCAGGTTAGTTGCAATTGGTCTGTCTCAGAGATTTTTGCCCAGTGAATGAAAGGAAAATGGCAACAATAACAACCATGATTGTTATGGCAATTACAAGGTAGAGAAATCTAGGATGAAACATATAGCAAGTGCAATATTAAGCATGCTCCCTGTTAAAGTCTGGGAAAGCCTTGGTGGCTGCTATTGTTAGATTAGCAGTAAATGCTGTTAGCAAATGCCATAGAAACAAATTGCCCCTTTCTGGAGCCAGTGGGCATTTGTCTTTGTCGTTCCTCTGGGCATGGGGCTCAGTTTTCTTTGCATGGACAGCAGAGGAAATCCTGCTTTGGAGGAAAGCAGCAGCTCTTTTTTATGGTTCTGCACTGTTAACCAACCTCAGTCACTTCTCTCTCTCTCTCTCTGGCCCACTGCTTGCACAGAAAATTGAGGTAATGATTTATATGTCGTAAGCAGTTCTGACAGGTGCACTCTATCTTGGCTTCCTCCTGCCCCAGGACTAATCGGAAGCTTATCTTTTCCTTTGTGTAATAGGGAGCTGTCAGGTTCTATGACCCTCCAAACAATTCAATCACTCATGGGCGGATTCACCTTGGAGGGAGGACGCCTTGATATTGGAGAAACCCGGTGGAGGCCATGCCCTGACATGTATTGAAACAATGGCAGCTGGGGGCTAGAGGGCAACATGGCCAAACTGACAAAATGTCATTTACTTCCTAAATTTAAACTCTTCTGCCAGGAACTATCTAGGCGGCTTTTCCATGTTGGTGAACATCCTGTCTTCAGTGCAGAACATTTAGCTATCTGGGCAAAGTAGGGCTGTTCCAAAAAATGACCTGTACAGAGAAGCGAGGGCTTGCATTGCTCATGGGGAAAAAAGCGAGTTCCTTAACAAGACCTATGGTGCCCAGCATGATCTGGCCATAAGCTGCCTCACCACCTGCATCTTACTGGTACCACACATCCCCTGCACTCAGCTTCAGCCACCTGGGCCCTCCTTCCACACTGTGTTTTTCTGTGCTACCTCCTACCTGATGGGCTTTGTGCATGTCACCGCCTCTGCCTAGAACATTCTTTCTGCTCCTCTTCTTACTTTCCTCCTGCTGTGGTTTAAATATTAATTGCTCAGGAAATTATCCTCTGCTCTCCCTGAAAAGATCAAATTCTCCCCATCATCTGCTCTCCTGTACACCATTCACCTTTCCTCTAGAGGCCCCATTACACTGTCGGCTTTACATTAGGAGCATTTTATGCATGCTTTTTCCAACCCAAAGAGATGGCTAGCTCCATGAAGGCAGGAACCATATCTTTCATGTTCACTTCTATAACTCCAGGACTAATCATAGTACCTGGCTTACAGTAGGGACTTAATAAGTGCTTGTGGAATTAGTTTTTAAAATGCATAGCAAGAAACCGAGGTGGTGCTTATGTTCTTAATTGGTTTGACCGTCAAGTAGTGCAACGGCATATCTAATTGGGACTGGTGTGGCGGTCACCTCTGAGTCCATCTGCGTAAAGGATTTTAGTATGGGAAGGAATAATGATAACCAAGTGTGGCTTTGTTTTGTCACTTCTATCTTAATCTCTAACCTTATAACTCCTGAACTCCTATCTTTGTTGTCTGCTTTGTCTGCTTTGACGATCTTATGTTTCCCTCATAGGATGCTTTTCTTAGATGCTCTTTGAATTTGGAGAGCCTATGATTTAAAAATTCAAGCTTTCAGAAGTTTCTAAACATCTGTATATTTGGTTTTGAACTGGCAAGATAATTGGACAGAGTTTTCGCTTTGTATCTGGATGTTTTCGCATTAAATAGTCAGTGTCCTTATTTAATTGAATGTTGCAGAACTCTCACTCCCTGAAAATAATGAGAGGAAGTGAGATCACAGAGTAGAGAAGAAAATGTTGAGAAAGAACTCAGGCAGTTTCTAAATACACAATGGGATTGACTGTAATGTTAGGCAGGGGCAAATGAAGTACATGCCGTCACCATTTTTTTTTGTTTGTTTGTTTGCGGTTCAGGATTGCTTTATTTTTCACATTAATGGTATCATGCTATGATCTTATACTTTTTAAAAAACTCATCCCTCCCTCCCTCCCTCCCTCCCTCCCTCCCTCTGTCTGAGACAGGGTCTCACTCTGTCACTCAGGCTGGAGTGCAGTGGCCTGATCTCGGCTCACTGCACCAGGCTCAAGTAGTTCTCCCACTGTAGCCTCTCAAGTAGTTGGGACTGCAAGTGTGCACCACCATGCCTGGCTAACTATTGTATTTTTTGTAGAGCTAGGGTTTCACCATGTTGCCCAGGCTAGTCTTGAACTCCTGAGCTCAAGCGATCCACCCACCCCAGCCTCCCAAAGTGCTGGGATTACAGGCGTGTACCACCACTCCTGGCCCGCTGTGACTATTTTCAAACCAAAGATTCCTAGTCACTGGATTACAAGCCCCATGAGAGCAGAGACCATACATGTCCATCATGACTATATGTATGGAATCCTTTTTAAATAAGTGGCAGGTAAGATTAATGTTAGGTTAGACAGAAGGAAACATTTGTGAACAGTGATTTGTTTTGGATTGGCTAATGGTTCTTTTCTGCTTCAAGAAGTCTCTAAAGTAGGATAAAGCCCCCATGGCTCAGAGGGTTAAAAGCCATTGCTGTTGGGAGGCCAGGTAACATGGTGGTTAAGAGAACATTGATGCAAAAATCCTCAATAAAATACTGGCAAAACGAATCCAGCAGCACCTCAAAAAGCTTATCCACCATGATCAAGTGGGCTTCATCCCTGGGATGCAAGGCTGGCTCAATATACGCAAATCAATAAATGTAATCCAGCATATAAACAGAGCCAAAGACAAAAACCACATGCTTATCTCAATAGATGCAGAAAAAGCCTTTGACAAAATTCAACAACACTTCATGCTAAAAACTCTCAATAAATTAGGTATTGATGGGACGTATTTCAAAATAATAAGAGCTATCTATGACAAACCCACAGCCAATATCATACTGAATGGGCAAAAACTGGAAGCATTCCCTTTGGAAACTGGCACAAGACAGGGATGCCCTCTCTCACCACTCCTATTCAACATAGTGTTGGAAGTTCTGGCCAGGGCAATTAGGCAGGAGAAGGAAATAAAGGGTATTCAATTAGGAAAAGAGGAAGTCAAATTGTCCCTGTTTGCAGATGACATGATTGTATATCTAGAAAACCCCATTGTCTCAGCCCAAAATCTCCTTAAGCTGATAAGCAACTTCAGCAAAGTTTCAGGACACAAAATCAATGTACAAAAATCACAAGCATTCTTATACACCAACAACAGACAAACAGAGAGCCAAATCATGAGTGAACTCCCATTCACAATTGCTTCAAAGAGAATAAAATACCTAGGAATCCAACTTACAAGGGATGTGAAGGACCTCTTGAAGGAGAACTACAAACCACTGCTCAAGGAAATAAAAGAGGATACAAACAAATGGAAGAACATTCCATGCTCATGGGTAGGAAGAATCAATATCGTGAAAATGGCCATACTGCCCAAGGTAATTTACAGATTCAATGCCATCCCCATCAAGCTACCAATGCCTTTCTTCACAGAATTGGAAAAAACTACTTTAAAGTTCATATGGAACCAAAAAAGAGCCCGCATCGCCAAGTCAATCCTAAGCCAAAAGAACAAAGCTGGAGGCATCATGCTACCTGACTTCAAACTATACTACAAGGCTACAGTAACCAAAACAGCATGGTACTGGTACCAAAACAGAGATATAGATCAATGGAACAGAACAGAGCCCTCAGAAATAACGCTGCATATCTACAACTATCTGATCTTTGACAAACCTGAGAAAAACAAGCAATGGGGAAAGGATTCCCTATTTAATAAATGGTGCTGGGAAAACTGGCTAGCCATATGCAGAAAGCTGAAACTGGATCCCTTCCTTACACCTTATACAAAAATCAATTCAAGATGGATTAAAGACTTAAACGTTAGACCTAAAACCATAAAAACCCTAGAAGAAAACCTAGGCATTACCATTCAGGACATAGGCATGGGCAAGGACTTCATGTCTAAAACACCAAAAGCAATGGCAACAAAAGCCAAAATTGACAAATGGGATCTAATTAAACTAAAGAGCTTCTGCACAGCAAAAGAAACTACCATCAGAGTGAACAGGCAACCTACAAAATGGGAGAAAATTTTCGCAACCTACTCATCTGACAAAGGGCTAATATCCAGAATCTACAATGAACTCAAACAAATTTACAAGAAAAAAACAAACAACCCCATCAAAAAGTGGGCGAAGGACATGAACAGACACTTCTCAAAAGAAGACATTTATGCAGCCAAAAAACACATGAAAAAATGCTCATCATCACTGGCCATCAGAGAAATGCAAATCAAAACCACAATGAGATACCATCTCACACCAGTTAGAATGGCAATCATTAAAAAGTCAGGAAACAACAGGTGCTGGAGAGGATGTGGAGAAATAGGAACACTTTTACACTGTTGGTGGGACTGTAAACTAGTTCAACCATTGTGGAAGTCAGTGTGGCGATTCCTCAGGGATCTAGAACTAGAAATCCCATTTGACCCAGCCATCCCATTACTGGGTATATACCCAAAGGACTATAAATCATGCTGCTATAAAGACACATGCACACTTATGTTTATTGTGGCATTATTCACGATAGCAAAGACTTGGAACCAACCCAAATGTCCAACAATGATAGACTGGATTAAGAAAATGTGGCACATATACACCATGGAATACTATGCAGCCATAAAAAATGATGAGTTCATGTCCTTTGTAGGGACATGGATGAAATTGGAAATCATCATTCTCAGTAAACTATCGCAAGAACAAAAAACCAAACACCGCATATTCTCACTCATAGGTGGGAATTGGACAATGAGATCACGTGGACACAGGAAGGGGAATATCACACTCTGGGGACTGTTGTGGGGTGGGGTGGGGAGGGAGGGATAGCATTGGGAGATATACCTAATGCTAGATGACGAGTTAGTGGGTGCAGCGCACCAGCATGGCACATGTATACATATGTGACTAACCTGCACAATGTGCACATGTACCCTAAAACTTAAAGTATAATAATAATAATAAAAAAAACCACAGCGTTGCACACACTTAAAAAAAAAAAGTTCCCAGAAATCCTGAAGTAAATAAATTTGCTTAACTGTGTTTAAGCTAGGGTTTCCTATATTACTTGAGCCAGAGACATTTGTGTGAGACAGTGTGTGTATGCATGTGTGTACCACTGCTTTTAACAGTTTTCTGGTAAAAAGAAAATAAACTCATCTGATCACAACAACAAATTACAAGAGCATGACCCACCTTCTTCCACCCAAACAAACACAAACCTAACACCTTTCAGGTAGAAAATTCCTTTCCTTGTTGCTAAACCATTCTAAGGAAACCAGAGAATAAAATATATTTTTCTGTTGAAAACAGTCTCCTTTAACATGAAACCACCCTTGTAAGTAGTTTTCTCCAACCAAGATCTTGTTTTTATGCGTCAAAGACAAGATAGTATCTTGCTATGCACACTACCCCTAGGGAAATATTTAAAATATTTTTCTCTGGTAAGGACTGGTATTTAAAATGCTTACATCAATGCATCAGTCGAAGCCCGGCTTGCAACGTACTAGGATCAAAGTGATCATGTCCTCTATTGAGTTGGATTCCAAATCCATTTGCACTAATTATTTTCTACAAAAATCCTAATGCATAATGAGCAGAGGCCCTAGAAGTCCTCTACTGATTTCAAATTAGTTCTTTGCATAACCTAGTAGCAAAAAGGGATCTAGGCATGTATTTTTGATCTTCTATTAGTAAAGTCTAGTTGAAAAATAAATAAAAGTCAGCTCTTTACTTTGTTAACATTTTTAGGATTCTTGAGCAATGCCCTGCTTGGGTGTTGTATGCCATGTACATGCCTGCACGCACCCACACATGCACGTGTAGTTTCGGGGACCGGAGACACACCCATTGCTCTAGCAACAGTGAGCTCACACTTCAGAAATGGGACCTGGTGTGGGCTGAATGTCTTTCCCATTACGCTTATAATTCAGATAATTTCATCTGAAAAATTCAGAAAATAAAAGTATTCTCTCCTTCAATCATCCAATTATCCTTGATTTTTCACTTCCTTTGAAAAGTATACAGAGAGCCCTTTAAATGAAAA
Organism: Homo sapiens; assembly: GCF_000001405.40. Classification (NCBI taxonomy): domain Eukaryota; kingdom Metazoa; phylum Chordata; class Mammalia; order Primates; family Hominidae; genus Homo; species Homo sapiens. The sequence continues at coordinate 146,681,638 of NC_000005.10, forward strand.
GATGGGAGAATCACTCTAATAACTTCTCATTTGAGAAAATCCTATCTGGGTCAGTGTGAATCAGGTTTGGAATGGTGACAAGATCCTTACTTGCAAAGCCCTAAAAAGGCCAGAACTCTGCCCTGTCAACCTTCCCACATCTCTGAAATTCAGACCATTTAACAACCAAGGTTAGGGAAAGACAATGTGTCAGAGCCTGTAACACTATCAGGCTTTATGGCCAGGGAATCTCAAGATAAATGGCACCAGAGGCCATGGAAACATCCAGATTTTCTTCTGTAATGTGATTCTTTTCTTTTTCTGACACTAGTGGACGTCTCAGCTTGCCACTGCCATTGAGTGTACATATGGGAGGTGTCCTTTATTAGTTCCTATCACATTCAAGAAGCCATGGACACCTTCCAAAGGGTTTGGGAGCAAAAGACAAAGAGAACTCGATCCTAAACCAGGTATAGGGTTCTGCTTATATTTACGTCTATGTTGGATCTAATTACTACATGGTAAGTGCAGCATAACAAAGGTACCTTTGGGATGAAAGAAAATATTTTATTGTCAGTGAATACACTCTGAATGCAAGGCAGCGTAGGAGAGTCAGTACAAAGGCAGATTCAAAGCATAATGAATTGCTAGTCTCTAGATGTAATACTACTTCGAACTTTTCAATATATTCATCATGCTTTCCTGAAACTCCTAGTCTCTAGGTAAAAGACAAGATGGGAAAAAAGAGGAGAAAGGGATTAACATAAACTAAGCGTCTATTGATGGCAAGATATTATGCTAAACACTTCAACAAGTGACTTTATCAGCCCAACCTCTGTAAGAAAGTATAGTTATTATTCTGGAGTCAGCTTGAACCTGGTTTAAAAATATGGCTGTGCCACTTAGTAGCTATAGACATGAGCATGTCACTATAGCTCTCTAGATCAAATGTCCTCATCTGCAAAATGGGAATAACAGTAGTACCCACTCCACAGGCTGCCGTCTGGGCATAGTGAGATGGTACCTGCCTAGCAGAAGGCCTGGCACATAATACATACTTAATAAATGTCTGCAATAGTGTTACTATTATAGCACACTGGCAACTAAGTAGGCTGTCCCCCATGACTTGACCAGGAGTAAGAAGGGGAAAGAAGTTGAGTTATAAAAGGCACTAACAGCTCACAATCACAGAATCATCATGGATGCTCATTCTAAATCAAATCACTCTCTTAGTGTAAAGGCAACCACATTTTGATAATAATGTTGTCCTCAGACTGATCTATACAGAACCTTGAGGCAGGAGGAGACAAGAGGAAAAAGGAAGGGATTTTAAAAATCAAATCTGAGAATCTCTACTTTTGAGTAGAGAGATCATTATGCCAAAGGGTCTCAAACCCATCTGATCTTCAGGATGGCCAAGAATATGGCCGAGAAATACGGGTGGGTGTCTTGGCCACACTCCTGGAGATTCTGAGTCACTTGGTTGGAGATGACTTAGATGTTCCCAGAGTCTGATGATCATCCAGCTTTGGTAAGCCATGACCTAGTTTCATGTACCCTTCCTACCCCGCCTTTTCCCAAAATTAAACAGAAAGCCCACCTGTGCCCAAGGCACCAGTAACTTTTACAATCTCCTTGAAAAGTTGTTTTCCAGCCCCTGCTTACTCATATGTGTTTTGGCTTACACTGAATATTCAGATGCATATATTAGGCATTCTATTTTAGTACAAGAGGCAGGACAGCAGCTTGGGTTTTAGAGTCATAAAGACGTGCACTCAAGTCCAAGCATTACCACTTACTAGCCGTCTAACCTAAGGCAAGTTCCTTAACTTCCCTGGCTTCAGCTATCACATCTCTACAATAAGGATAATATCAGTGCCTATGTTATAGGTTTATCTTGAAGATTAAATTAGCCAATGCATGCAAAATGTTCTTGGAACATTAGCATAAATGTTAGCTTCTCTTTTAATTCCAACTGAAGTAGTTCCTTTGGCTGACATGGAACTCAATTATCATCATGTCTCTGAACATTAGCCAAAAATATTAGCCAATGAGCAGAACAGAAACATCCCAAACTCTCATCCCCCAAAGGCGAAACATGTCAAAACACAAAGGCTTGTCAGTGAGGGTAGTGGTTAAATTCTCGTGGAGGGCTTTCTGATCCCATAACTGAAACCCCATGACACTGACAGATACAATCAGATAATGATGGCAATCAATAATGATAACAGAAATTATTATTTATTTTCATAAACACAGAGTATGTGCATCCCACTGAGTTACACACATCACATGCCAGCATTCACTTTCAGGGCAGTCAATCAATGAGAGATCTCAATATCCACCCGCCGAGGCAGGATGGGGAGGATAGAGCGAAGGTTGAGAAATTACCCATACTAGAATGACACATTCACAAAGTTAATCTAATCCAGGAGCCGTTGGTGCCATTGCAAGCCTGTGAATATGGAATAGGCTTGATTGATTTTTCACTGCAGTAGCTAAACACGCCATTGTTATATGCAACAAATGTAAGGAAAGGAAAGATGAAACCATAAAAGGATTGGATGTGAAGCCCCCAGAGCAGCAATAAATCACAAAATGAAGTCTAAAAAAATTAAAAATGGTAGAGGAAGGCTGTATCTATGTCCTAAGAGGCCTCAGTTATCAAAGCATATACCGAAAATTAAAACCTGGGGCAGTAAAGGCTGATCCTGACTCAACCAATAATTTGCACTAAATCTGGCCTGGGGTTCCCCCTCCTCCCAGAATGAGTATTACGACATAGGTACCTCAGAGGGAGCAAGAAAGCCTAAAGGCTATAGACAGACAGAACGTGCTTCATTCCCAGTTCTGCCTCTTTCTAGCTGTGTGATCCTGATTAGATACCTGGCCCCTCAGAGCCAGTTACCCTCTTTTATAAATGGGATAATCACATCCACACCACTAGAAAGAAAGAAATGGCAATGCACATCCTGTATGCCTCAAAGGATCCTTGGGAGCATCAAATGAGATGCCCAACATGAAAGCCCATCTACCCTCCAGATGCATCGTGGAAACTCCTTCCTAATCCCGTCTCCTCCCTTTGTGCTTCTTCTGAACTGCCATGGTTATCTTCTGTGCTTTTCTCAGGACAGTTATCCTTCTCCATGATTTCTCAAAGTGTGGTCCAGGGACCACCTGCACCAGAATCACCTGGGCATTTTCTGGGAGGGGCCTTGTCAAAGATGTCATTTCTTAGAGTCCAACTCAAACCTTCTAAACCAGCATCCCTAGTGACGAGGCCAGAAATTATGTTCTAGGCAGAGTCCCCGGTGACCATGAGGCACACAGTCATTTAAGAACCAATGATTGAATTCATTTTATGTTTCAGCCACTTGTAACTTGTCTCCTCCATGCCCCCTAAGGACAGAGAGTGTGTTTCATTCATCTTTGTAAGAGCCACACTTTGTAGTGCATGCTTAGTACAGTGTGTAGCATAGTAGACACTGAGATACAAAATACATGGAAAAGTCCTGTACATCAGATGTTGTCATCCTCACTGTTGTTTAAATCAAGTGCCATGCCATAAATAGTCCTAATAATAGTGAGGAACAGGAGCTCTGGAGTCAGACAGACTCTGGAGCTCTGGACTCCATTCTTGGCTTTGCTGTTTACTATTTGCAAGGCCTTAAGCCAGTACTTACCTTTCTGAGCCTCTGTTTATACATCTCTAAAATGGGCAGGATGCCTAAGTCACAGAATGATGATAAAGAAAGGACATCAAACAACTGCGCCCCAAGCCTGTCACTAAGAAAGGCTGAATATGCACAGTTGCTACTATTAGTAAGCCTAAACCAATAGTCTGTTTAATCAGTTCTCTAGGAGACAAATCAAGTAAACTGTTTCACTCAGAGGATCTCTCTTTTGGGAAAACTAGCTAGTCTTTTCAGTCAACTTGCCTAATCTCATGACCTTTTAGCAATGGTCCTCAGGAAGTCCTCATTCAGGAGTCAGAGCTGGTAAAACTGAATGCCAGTTGGCCAGTGTCTTAGACGGTACCTATGGTTGTGTCCAAATTGCCACCAATGGGATTTGCTAACATCAGGGTCATTTTAAGTGGAAAAAGTTTAGTTCTGGAGATTCATGAGACTGTGAGTGTCCTGTGCTGACAGGAGGACAGAAACAGCCATTGTGTAAAATATGATGTCATTTGATCTTTCCTTTAAAAATCAGTGCATCCCTTGTGTACCCACCCTGTGGCAGAAAAGGCTCTGCAGCCCTCACCCCCCGCCTTCCACCCCACCAAAATCTAGCTTGTATGTTAAGAGAGCTTTGATAAAACGTTCTGAGAGACATCAATCAATAATAAAACATTCCTGCCCCATGGTCAGGAATATTTTCTTAAAAAGCAGAGCTGTAGAGAATAAGATGAAAAACATCAGATTTGGAGTCATGCGGACTAGGTTTGAATTCCAGCTCTTCCGTTTTCTAGCCATGAGATTTTGGGCAAACTTCTTGGCTACTCTAAAACACGGTTTCCATTTCTGTGTAATCTGTTCACTTGACAGATATTTACTGAAAGTCTACCATGTGCCATGGATTGTTCCAGGTGCCGGAGTTGCAGGAGAGAACAAAACAGAGTCCCTGCTTTCATGGAGCTTACAGTTTACTGGGGGTGAAGAGGAGGCAGACAGCGAAGAAAATGCTAGACAGTGACAAGAGCTAAGCAAAAAAGGGCAGAGAGAATGAATGGGAAATGTGGGTGTGCTCTTTTCCATAGGATACCCTAGGAGGGCCTGATAGGTAGCACTTGAGCAGAGACTGAAATGAAGAGGAGGCTATGGCTTCAGATGATCTGGAGAGAAAAATAGAACCTAACCGAGAGAGATATTATGAGGACTATGTGATATTAAGGATATAAAATCTAGTACCTGGCACATAGTAAGCACTCAATAGATGGTTGCTATAATTATTTTTATTTGTTGTAAGGCATGTTTGAATAAAATCCATTCGAAAAATTGTATTCATCACATCACCTTCATTTTGGGAAGGTTATGACCAGTCACAGCTTGGGAGCTCATATTTGTAACAGGTAAAAATGCCGATTTCAACCTGGCCTAGGTTCCCAGGGCACTGGCAGCTGATAATAATGAGAAAAAGAATACCTCCAGGCTTACCCTGCAGGGAGAAGTATGCTAAGTGTGATTTCTCACCACCCAACTTCCATTTCAGGCTGATTAAGTCACTTTAACGATGAGCTCCCATTACCTAGAAAGAGCTCTAAGGGTCTGTTACTCCTGGGCAGCGGGAGGTTGGGGAAGAAGGGCATGGAGGGTCTTCTGAAGTAAAACTGCATAGGGACCTCAAGGCCTTTGTTTCTCCATTGCTGAGGTCAGAGATCTGGAAAGTCAATGTGTAAGTGTGTGTGTATGTGTGTGTGTGTGTGGCAGGGACAGTGGTAGCGGGGAGTGGTGGGGGGAGGGAGAGAGAGGGAGAGGAAGAGAGGGAGAGGGAGAGAGAGGGAGCGATTGATCGATTAATCCCCTCACCTGGAATAATAATGGCACTAATTATTAAGACAAACATTTCAAATGCCCAGATGTATATGTCTAAGTTTAAGAGCCTAACTCTTGATTTTTAGTCCCAGTCCTGGAATAACCAGTTGAGGGATACTGGGTAAGTCATTTTCCCTCTCTGAGGCTGCATCGGATCGAAGGGCTCAGGTCCCAGAGCAAAGTAGATCAAAGCTTGGTTCTCAGCCCTGCATGATCTTGGGTATTCTACTTAACTGCTTGGAGCCTCATTTGTTAAATGGGCATTTTAACACCCTTTGAGGTAGCTAGTGCAGATAGAGAGTGCAGCGTGGTGCATGGTATATGGCAAATGATCAATAAGTGCTAGATACCCGCATTTTCACCTGCTAAATACCTGTCCTGCCCTCCTCATTGGCTATTCTGAAGATGAATCAAGGGACTAGGTGAGAAAACGCTTGTAATAGAAATGGTACAACTGTAAGGCATTATTATTAAATTATTACCATGATTATTGCTTTATGTTAAGTTATGATATTGAGCAGGGGATATAGTTTTCATAGACATGCTTCTCATGGGCTCTTTTGGTAATGAGATTGATTTTGAAAGGCTATCTTCTATGAAAGATATAGTCACATTCTTGCTTTGAAAAGCTGAGTCTCTCAGCGCTGAAACAGAACAGGTTCATTACACAGTAAGGATTAATTAGCTGTCGGGTATTATTAAATGTTCTCACTCTCAATACCCACATAGAACTGGAAACTATGAAAGTGAGCAAGAAGTAATCATAGTACAGGGAAGGGAAAAAAAGACACAATTGCTGGCAATGCACATTTCAAGAGGAGAGCGTGTTAGTAAATTATAGTCTGATTAATATCACGTCAGCTCATTCTCTGTTTGGAGTCATTGTTCTGAATCTAGTCTTCAGGGTTGCCTGCTTTTTTTTTCTTCTACCACTGGGATCAAAAAGAAAAGGAAGCTGGACTTTTCAGTGTTTAAAGAGTGCTGTGGTGTGGATGTTTACACTGAAATGCAGGATATTTGAGAGCCTAGGAAAGGAGAGGAGGTAAATACAGATACTGGTATTTATAATTATATAGCAAATATAACATGTCCCTCCAAAATATAACAGAGGTTATATAGCAAATATAACATGTCTCTCCAAAAAATAACAGGTTCATAAAAATGATAGCTTGAAAAAAAAAATGATAGCTCGAATGGGCCTTAGGGATGATAGAGTCCAGTGACCGCAGACCCCCTTGTCTCAGCCACCAGGGTCAAGTGTTGAAAATGCAGATTCCTCTGGGCCTCCTCTCTGGAGTGGGTCTCAGGAATTTACATTTCCCAGTCCTCTGCTTGGCAGCTTAGAAACTAAGCTTGGAGGGAAGAAGTATAATTCATCAGTTAGGTTGTTAGGTTACACAGCTGGTTAGTAAGAAAGCAAGAACCAGAGTTGGAATTTTCCAACTCCCAGCCACACCTCAGGGCCTCCTTCTCTGTTTCATCTGAAGTCCACTTCATTGGCATCACTGGCTTGGCATGGGGAGGATCTCTGCTCTCGTGGAAACTGAATAGACCTTCTTTGCTCTTTATCATAGGGATGGAATTCTCCCAGGGGTTAAGCACAGATATATGAAATCCCATAGGATGCCATGGACAGTAGGATTCCACGGTGGGGTCTACAGATGTCATCTGAGAAATTCCATCCACATAGCAAACAAGGGCAAGGTAAAGTCTGGGCAGAAGTTCACGGTATAAACTCTACGTGGCACTTAATCCAGTTGTTTTCTCCATAAGATTGCCATGTCTCGAGGGGCAAAAGACAGTCTTATTCCCAATATATTGCCAGTACGGTGTTTGCCACTTAGTAAATCTCAGTGAGTAGTTTGTAGAATAAATACAACAGTATAAAAAGTATAAAAAGAAAAATAACTGAATTGTCTCATATATATAGGCCCACTATCAGTAGGGGGTAATAATAGCCATGATGACGATGATGTTATTAATACTAAAACAACAGAAGGGAACTAACATCATTGAGTGCTTTTTGTGAGCCAGCACTACACAGGCTAAGCTGTTTCTTACACAAAATAACTTATTGAATCCTCACAACAATTCCAGGAAGCAGTGACTATCATCATCCCCGTTATATAGATGAGACATTGGAGGCACAAGGTATTCAAATATAGCCACATGCCACATGATGTTTTGGTCAATAACACTGGTTCCATAAGATTATAATACTGTATTTGTACTGTGTCTTTTCTATGCTTAGATATGTTTATATACACAAATACCATTGTGTTATAATTGCTTACTATTCAACACAGGAACAGGCGTACAGGTTTGTAGCCGAGGACCAACAGGCAATGTAGTCTAGGTATATAGTAGGCTATACCATCTAGGTTTGCATAAGTATACTCTATGATGTTTTCACAACAATGAAGTCACCCAATGATGCATTTCTCAGAATATATTCCCATCATTAAGTGATATATGACTGTCATATGCCCAAGGTCACTAGCGGAAAGTAACGGAGCCAGAATTCTAACCCAGGCTGGACTGACTCAACAATAATACTCTTCACTACGCTACTTTCCAGCCTCCAAAACCCCTGCACATTCAGAGCATCAAGCCTGGATTTATGCCAAGTCCACCCAGAATGATAAGGTGGACTTACATGGAGGTTCTCCAGAGCTGAAAGCATAGGCTGATCAGAGGAAACAGAGTCGCCAATGCTTGTGAGCTCAGAAGCAGCTCAACTGAAGACCATGTGCCCATTAGGACAGGGTAAACACCTAATAGTCTAGCATGGTGGTCAGCACAGAGTCTATATTCAAAAAGTAACTGCTGAATAAGCAGATGTATCAATAAATGAATTATTAAACAAATAAACAAGTGAGCTAATTAAGCATACAATGACCATCCCATTTTGGCTTTCAAACATAGGGCAAGAACCTATTTTCCTCACATCTACTTCACTGTCTCCCTTCTTACTTTTGGTCTTTAGCAGAGCTGCTGGTGTCTGAAATCACATATTTTACACAGTTTTACAAGGCTGTTGGGGCTAGGGCTATCCCAACATGTGCCTGCTTTACTGCTCACATTGAACATGTTCATAACTGAGCTCATCATCCAGTCCTAAACCACTTTACCTTACATCTAGAGACCCTTCCCTTAAAAGATCGCTTTGAGAAATCCGTTTTTAATGCCACTTTCCTATGAGAACTTTTCTGGTCTCCAAAAACCACAGCTAATTTTTTCCTCCTTTTATCAAATTGCAACTCTCCAACACTTTCTCAATGCATTTATCTTACTATATTTAGTGCCATAATCATTTGTATATTAGTCTTACAAATCCTCTTTATCAGGCTATGTATTTCTGAGGAACAGGAAGGAAGCCACTCAGACTGAGTAGAGATCATATATTGAGGACCAGCCATAGAGGAAGGGTTTTCCATCCTTGCACTTCTTCCTCATAAGTCCACGAGCAGTACGTACTGTGTTCACTGTTTTGCAGATGGAGAAATTAAAATTAACTTGCATGTTGAAAGCTCGAAAAGGTTAAATGACTATTGGGAAATTTGGGTAAGTGGCAGAATTTGAAGCCAGGTCTGTTAGATTATTAAGTTTGTGTTCTGAATCACAAGACTGCAACTCGCCATCTGGATTCTCATCCCTGTACCTTCAGTACAGAAGGTGCTCAAGACATTTTAGATAACGTGAACAACAGAGGCTAAGATTATAGTAACGTCTGGCAGTGGCCATGTGGGCAAGTCTTCTGGGACAAAAGGAAAAGCATGGATTTGTAGTCATTAGAAGGCTTGGCACCTTTCCTGCTTCTCCATCTGCCACCAGAGAGAGACTGGGGTAGGCTGAGTCTCTGCCTACGTTCCCTCACTGGCCCATTATAGTTGCAACCTACAGTAACAACCAGCACATGGCCAACCTTAGGAGACCTGCCCCTGACTGTGGTGGCCAGGGCAGCTGTTTGCACTCACCCGCAGGGTTGTGATGGTGGCAGGATCCCGGAGCCGGCCCTCCTCATCTTTCAGATTGTAGCCTTCTGGCCTCTTATCACGCTCGCTGACTTTCCACAGCTTCACAGTTTTATCTGTAGTGGGCAACCAGATTAAGTCAGAATTATAGTGAAAAGCAAGCTCATAAGGGAGTTTTCCTGGGGGCAATGGGGAGAGGAAGAGGTAAGGATGGATAGAATTGCTACAGAAGCTGGCTCACATAAACGTTTGGCGTGCATAAATCCCATGTCATTTGAAGGCAGAGCTCATATTTCAAAACAAAAACATACATTATGCTGGGACAAATGGATTTCCCTGATAATGGGCTCTTAAATCTATAGCTTATACCTTAATTCAGCTCATTCAATAAAAGCATTTATTGAGCATTGAATAATAAGAGTGCAACATACACAGAGCTTACAATGTAACTAAGAATTTTACATGAAAAATTGGTTTAACAGTCATAACTCTGGAAGTAGGTGCTATTATCTCTATTTTAGCATCTCACCTCACTAACACATTGTCCTTACCATGTCCTAAAAGGCCCTTCATGACCTGCCCTCTCCACTTTCTCCACCTTTCTGACCCCCCTGTCCATCCTCTCCCTGCTCACTCACTGTGCTCCAGACACATGGCTTCCCTACTGCTCCAGGTACACATTAAGCTCACTAAGCCTCGGGGCCTTTGCACTTGCTGTGTCTTCTGTCTGGAAAGTCCTTTACCCTCTTTTTCGTATAATTTGCTCCTTTACTTTCCTCTTGCGCTTGCATCCCAACCTTAGAGAAGCTTATGTAATACCTACCTAAAAATGCTGTCCTCAGAACCATTCTCTATCTCCTCTCTCCTGCTTTATTTTTCTTCATGATACCTTTTACTACCTGACAATTGGTTGATTATTTATCAAATAACTATCTGTCTCTTTCACTAGAGTGTAAAATTGTTGAAGGCAGGGATTCTATCTATCTTGTTTATCACTGTACCACCAGCACCCAGAACAGTGCCTGGCACACAATAGCTGCTCAATAAACATTAGTAGGGCAAATGAACAAATCTCATCTACCTGCATAGTACATATTTCTAGCAATATTCAGGGAAATAAAATGGTAAGGAGATACACTGAAATGTTCCTTTCCTTTTGCTGCCTCTATGGAGTCTCCAGCTGGAAACTACCTTTCTCACCTTTGTACTGCCCCAGCACTTTTTACAACTTGATGACACCTGGCATTCTCTATAGCATTAAAACAGAGAACTCCTATCCCTACAGAACTCCCATGAGAACTCCCATCCCTACACCTGTCATGCAGGCCAAGGAAATGAGTAAAAAGGGCTAAAGGATCTGTGGAGCTGGAATGGCGTGCCCTACATGCAGGCTTTTAATTCAATTTTTTTTTTTTTTTTTTTTTTTTGAGACAGAGTCTCGCATTTTCACCCAGGCTGGAGCGCAGTGGCACAATCTCAGCTCACTGCAAGCTCTGCCTCCTGGGTTCATGACATTCTCCTACCTCAGCCTCCTGAGTAGGTGGGACTACAGGCACCCACCACCACGCCCGGCTAATTTTTTTGTATTTCTAGTAGAGACGGGGTTTCACCGTGTTAGCCAGGATGGTCTCGATCTCCTGACCTCTTGATCCGCCTGCCTCGGTCTCCCAAAGTGCTGGGATTACAGGCGGGAGCCACCACACCCGGCCTAATTCAATTATTTAAGGAGACAAGATCAGGCAAACAAATCATGTCTGCTGGCCACATGCTTTGGTGGGCTTGCCTTATCAGATCCAGTGTACATTTTTTATACTTGTTTTAACATATCTTTTTGAAGGCAGAACTTGGTTGCCTTCTTTGTATCTTCCTCTGTCTTGCACAAGGTAGGGTTTGGAATCAGACAACCTTGGGCCCAATCCCCACTCTGACGCCAGTCACATGTCCAAGGACGGGGATTCCCACTCAGTAGGTACATAACCCTTCCTCCCTTCCCTCTCTCCTTCCTTCCCTCCCTCCCTTTTTTCCTTCCTTCTTTCTTTCCTTCCTTCCCTTCTTCCTTCCCTTCCTCTCTCCTTTCTTCCCTTCCTCTCTTCTTCTTTTTTTAAATTGAGATAGAGTCTCACTCTGTCACCTAGGCTGGAGTGCATTGGCGAGATCATGGTTCACTGCAGCCTTGTCTTCCTGGGCTCAGGTGATTCTCTCATCTCAGCCTCCAGAGTAGCTAGGACCATAGTCACATGCCACCACGCCCAGAGAATTTTTCTATTTTTTATAGAGACATGATTTTTTCATGTTGCCCAGGCTGATCTCAAACTCCCAGGCTCAAGCAGTCTGCCCACCTTTGCCTCCCAAAGTGCTGGGATTACAGGCATGAGCCACCACACCCGACCACAACTAGTATTTCTTAAGCAACAAATAGGATTGCCAGATTTAGCAAGTAAAAAAATATAGAACACCCAGTTAAGTTTGAATTTCAGATAAGCAAAAAATAATTTAGTATGAGTATATCCCATATAGTTCAATCTTACAAAGAAAGATGGTGCCTCAGTTTCTTTATTTGTAAACTGGGGAAACAGTATCTTCCTCATGGGGCTCTGATGAGGATTAAATAAGTCACAGCATGGAGAATGTTTAACACAGTATTAGGCTTCTAATAATGGTCCGCAAATGACAGCTTTTATTAGAATTAGCAAATTGGGCAACTATTCTGCCATAATAACATGTTGCTCTGACAGCTTTAGCTTCAACCCTCAATGATGTCAGCACATCCTATTTCTTATCTGTAACACTGTCAGGGGAGAAAAGCCGTCCCTCTGGGAATTCCTTCCTCTTTTGCCCCTTGCTCCATTCCTCCACTTCTCCTCACCTGACTTTTTGCCACCACCTCCCACTTCTCATGCCTTTGGGCGGACAGATCTTCTAAGCAGGAGATGTGGATCACAGTACCATTCGCCTTGAAGCTGCCAGAAACAAATGCCTTGTTCTTGGAGGTCTTAATGAACCACATTGTGAAGTGGGCTTTCAGCAGCAAATAAGTGCCCCATTTTCTTGTATCTGGGCATCACTTGGGCTGCTCGTGTCTGACACACTGGCAAGGCTGCTAAGTGTATGATTTGTGCGCTCTGAATTGTGCCGTCACCCTGGCTTGCGCTGGAGCGAAAGGAGATCCTGCTGCATACCGAACTGCTTTTTAGGGTGAGAAAATGAACATGGGCCATATTTATATAGTCACGTGATTAGCTCTTGATCAGCTGTGGCTTAGAACATCCCCAAAATTTTAATACCAAATTTTTTTTGTTGCGTGGCTTTGGAATGTATCCCATCCCATTTGCAAAGTTAACATCGTATATTTTTCTTATCATGAATGATAAATTGCTATACAGAGAAACAGAGAAATCATGGGTATAACATGAAGAATAAAAATCACCTACAACCTCTCCAGTCAGGAACGATCATCGTCAACATTTTGCATAAATCCTTATAGTACTTTTTCTATGTACTTTGGGGGGAGAATACAAATCTGTAATATTGCATATATAGATTTTGTATTTTCTCATTTTATTTCCTTCTTTTTATTATACAAGCGATACATGGAATGTTTATTAAAATAATCATAAAGGTAAAAAAACTCCCTTAATTCCACTAGATAGAGATACCTATTATACAAATTTTGTGATTTCTTTTATATTTATGTATACAATTATGTAACTGTTTTTAGTAAACATAATATGGCATACTTAGTTTACAGTATGCATTTGCCTAATCATATTTATCTATACCAACGTCTATCCCTGCAAATATATTTATAGGGATAGAATATATTTGTATACTATAACGTATTGCATATATGATTTATAATAGTGAGAATTTGTTAACAGCTAAAGGACTAATCGTAGGAGGCTTACTAGTAAACTAAAGAAGAATCATACAAGGAAATACTATGTGGTCATTATGATATTTTAGAATATTTAACAATTGGGAAGATATTCCTATTATTAAGTGTTATATTAATAAAAACCTAGTTACAAAAGAGTTTGCAGAATATATCATATTTCCATTAAGAAACAAACAAATTTATTTGTATCTTTTTGCTTTTTACTTTAAAAGACTTAACAGTGGTTCTCTCTGGATGGGAACACTTTTATTATTTTTGTTTTTCTATATTTTTTTTTCCATGAACATGTACTAATTTCATAGTGAGAAAAACAAATTCAGTATACCCCACTTCTCATTATAGGTATTGAAGTGGAAGCAGAAAATGAGGTAAAACAATGTGTTTTTATGTCATAAATAATTTGAGAGTCTAGATTCACAATTGAATGTTGGTTTTATTTTTTATTGAAATTGTAAGTTTGAAAATATATTCTAGCAGAAAGTAAAAATTGTTCCTAACTATAATAAGATAAGCAGTATATTTTCTTAAAGATAATTGATAGTGAATTCAATCCAATTCCCCATGGTTGGGTTGCCTGGAGTCATTCTTGACTTTATTATCACACTTTTTTTCTTGACTCAGTATCTTGAAGCTTTGTGAATAAAAAAGTCTAAGGAACATGTGGCTGTTAATGAGTAATGACTTTTTCTTTCTTCTTGCTGGTTCTCTGAGTAGTTTATCATCGCTTGTGGCAGCTTTTAAACACAATCTTATCATCTATCTTCATTTTCTCTTTTGTACAGTAATTCCAATTGTCTTCCATTAACTTTTGCATGTTAACCTATTTGGCCTAAGGGGGATTCTCAACCTCAATATTAGTATAAAAAAGAAAATTACATAAGAACATGGGAATTTTTCTTAGAAGAATCATTTTGAGATGCTGTTGGCATATGAAACAGTATCCCAAATGGGAAGATAATATCCTTGTTAATCAAAAAACTATTTAAAAACTCAATTAACAGAATATTATGCTATATAATTAATCTTCATTGCATTTCACTGATTTTTTCCCATCCCCCCGCCAACAAAGTAGTTAATAAATCCTTGAGTTTTTTTTTTTTTTGAGATGGAGTCTTGCTCTGTCGCCCAGGGTAGAGTGCGGTGGAGTGATCTCGGCTTACTCCAAGCCCCGCCTCCTGGATTCACGCCATTATCCGGCCTCAGCCTCCCGAGTAGCCAGGACTACAGGTGCCGGCCACCACACCCGGCTAATTTTTTTGTATTTTTAGTAGGGACGGGGTTTCACCGTGTTAGCCAGGATGGTCTCGATCTCCTGACCTCATGATCTGCCCGCCTCGGCCTCCCAAAGTGCTGGGATTACAGGCGTGAGCCACCGCGCCTGGCCAAGTCTTCGAGTTTTAAATGCAATAATCAATAGGCTAAATTTGAGAATATAAAGTGAGTTAGCTATAGAAGACAATCAGACATTTTTCCTCTGCCTAAAGTAATTAAGTCAAAATCATCAGAAGTCTCTTTTATTCCAAGTAGTGTTGAATCTGCAAAGCCCGTTAGTGAAACTTAAATAGCAAAATTAAAAGGAAAGAAATTGAAACAAATTTATGTGGTTTGGCTTCCAAGAAATCAGGATTGCAAAACATAAACAGAACAATAAATATAGTTATGAGAAAGAATCAAACTACTTGGAGTCTGGAAAAACAGATGAGTAGAGATCTGGTCATGAGGAGATGAGATATGCTTGGATAATCCTAAACCAGCTGCGTCCGAATTGTCATTTTTTTAGACTTCTATGCTGGCTTTATATTTGAGAGATTTGGGGTTCAAATGCATTAAATAACTTTCCGCTTTTTTCCATAAGATTAATATGAGACTCATTGTAAAACTTTACAAATTAAAATGACAAAAGGAACAAATTGACAAGTTGCCCATACTGCACAAAAATTAATCATGATGAACCTTATGTTGTATTTCCTTCCAGTCTTTAAAAATATTCATGTATGTTTGATCACATTATTGACACTGTATTTTTTCACTTGAAATATGAACATTTCCCTTTCTTTTTAAATCCCTTGCTTCTTGCTTCTCGATTTAAATTAAAATGTATATTCCTCATAGACTCACATATGAGATAAAATGAATCATTCTCCAACTCATTTTCTTGGGAGAGAGTGTTTAATTTTTAAATACGAATCCTCTTAATTGTTATGCTATTCAATTAGCACCCTTTAACATGTGACTTTATGCCAAGTTGTTTTGAGCTTAGATGGCTTCTTTTAGCAAGGATTTAAGAACCTGGAGGTTAGGTAATTCCACTGTATAAAGACTTACCCAGTCATTATGTAATTTGTCTCTCTATTCAGTACCCAACATCCTCTCTCTCTGACCTATTTATGTCAACTCCTCCTCATCCAACAAATGGTGTTAAGTATGGAGGGAGATAGGAAAAGAAACCCTTTCTTGATCAGTTTTTTGATAAAGTCCCTATCTCTTCTTGCCTTGTGCTCCTATCATAGAAGTTAATTTTTGTCAGAGAGACACACAGCCATCTGCTTTACAGACCCTAAAATATATTCAGGGATTAATAACTTCTATTCAATATGCCAACCTCACAGAGACAGCATGTTGAGTTTCCTGAAATGTATTCCCAGAATAACATTCAGTGAATCTTAAGACAGGAAGTCACATTCCAAAAACACCTGCAAATAATCTGCAATAGTTGAAAACTGCAGATAATGGGTCTCACATAATTGGGTCATAAATTTAATATTTTAAAAAACAGTAGTTACTATTTATTGAGGGCCGAATCTGTGTGTGCCAGGCACTCTGCTAAGCATCTTGCAAATGTTATTTCTAAGTTTTTCAACAGCCCACACAGTTCAAAGGAAATTGAGGTTAAGAGAGATTGAAGTATATAGTTTGGCCGACTGTATCTCTGAAAATACCAAACAGGAATTCCACCTACCATTAGTAGACAGAAGAAAGTAAGCTGCATTCTGCTGGGGGAGCCATCTTATTTTATTGATTTTTTCTTCTATTTCTAAACTCTTCAGGTAATCGAACTCGGGTTCATGGCTCTGGAATGTGCTGTAAACATTGTATTCACCCCTACGATGAACCTGATTTTTACTCTGTAGGAAAGGAAAAAAATACACAACAGATTAAATCACAGTAGCCAACTGTAAAACTCGCCAACTCCCTTTTTTTTCCAGCAGTCA
This sequence comes from Homo sapiens, assembly GCF_000001405.40. Classification (NCBI taxonomy): domain Eukaryota; kingdom Metazoa; phylum Chordata; class Mammalia; order Primates; family Hominidae; genus Homo; species Homo sapiens. Next base: position 146,698,232 of record NC_000005.10, read on the forward strand.
TTGGGGGTGGGATGAGGGCAGGGCCATGAGGATGAGGGCAGGGCCATGATAGTCACTAGCACCTCTGAAAAAAAAAAAAAAAAAAAATATATATATATATATATATATATATATATATATACACACACATATAATTATACACATGAACTTCTGTACTATCATATAGTATACATAATACATACATAGAAATATTAAAATAGAACAAAATTTTAAAATCAATATAAATAGAAGTTCTAATATTTTCTTTTTGCATCCTAACAGATGCTGCAGTCACCCTTTGGAGTGAGTCATCCCACAGTGGCATTCGTAAATACTTACATCGACCCCTTAAAGAGAGTACAAAATTGTAGCATCTATGACTTTCATTGGCCTTTTAAGATCTCACCTGATTCTCATGAAATCTCTGAGGTAGGGTGGGGCAAGGAAATGGACAAAAGAGGCTCAGATATTAAATGACTTTCCCTAGGTCTCACAGCTCATAAGGAGCAGATTTGGGCATCAGATATGCCCCTGCTCCTTTTTTTTTTTTTTCTTTCCAACATGAGTGACAAAGCAGACAGGAGCTCAGGGATGCTACCTGCATCATTAAGGAATGATGAGACTTTACCTCTTGGCTTTCCTCTAGCGCTGATTATGCAATGAGCAAACAGCAGGGACTACATACATGATGAGAGAATTAAACACAAGGGCAAGGGTCTGCAGAAACAGGAAGAAAAAGAAGAAAGGAAGAGAGGAGAAAAAAAACAGGATGTGAAAGAAAGAAGAAGAAGAGGAGGAAAGTGGAAAGGGAAGTTTTATTTCAGATATTTTAGGTCCTTATTACCAAGAGCTTCAAGAAGCAGGCTTTGAAAAACTCAAAAATTCAAATATGAGTCTTATTAAACATTTGTTATAAAAGCTTGACTCTTAATAAAAGGGTTAATTTCCAAATGTATATTTCTAGGTGGATATAAAATATCCAAACCCAAATCTCAACTTACTGACCAGTGAGAGTGCTGAACCCTGGGTGTGTAATGTATTTGTGCAGACTCTCTGGGTGTGTGCCTCCTGAGAATTCACTCCTGGAGCTCACTCACTGAAGTCAAAAGCAGGTCTGCCCTAGATGATGTCACATGGGTTTGTTTCTCGGATTTAGTGCTCATTTTAATCCCAAGACTGGCCACAAAGCTTAACGCTTAACTGCAGGTTCTTTATCCTCACTGACATTTATTTTTTATTGAACAAAACTACCCTGCTTTAGAAAATGTGTCCCCCATCATTCTACGAATGAATCAGGCTTCCCAAATATTTCACTAAATTAAAATAGGTGAAACCTATAAATAGCTAATGGAAAATGTAGAGCAGAATATTACTGGCAACATGCTGCCTTGGGTAATTTATGCTAAATAGCTCCTCCGGTTCCTCTTTATCATCACTGCGAACTTAATTGGTTTTTTTTTTTTTTTTTTTTTTTAAGAAAAAGCTGGAAAAGGAGGTTTGAAAATGAGTGTTCAAAAGACTTTAAATGCTGACATACTTGGTACTATCCTGCTCATTTGCAGAGAGAGCCAGTCCACCTTAACAATACATTTATAAGAGTGTTGATTTGCTACCATCCAAATCAGACTGTCAAGTGTGTGTAGTATGTGCCAGACCAATTAGCACTAGGCAGCTCTGGAAAAGCAGGAAAAATTCCAGGTCATGAAGAGCTATTAGTTTCTACTTGCCAACCACATTTTCGTGTTTCCAGGGCCAATGGAATAGGCTGGATGCCTGATTTAATGCTGAACACTTGAATTTATATGGAACCCCGAGGGATTACGATGCCCTTATAGAAATTAATTGCAAATAATGTGCAATTACTAAATATATCACCTCTAAATGAGGCTTTCCTTTTTTGAGGGGAGGTGTACTGCAAGTGGCTTTGAGGCACAAAGCAGGCTTTAAATTGCTAGGGAAGTCTCTTGTGAAACCTTCCTCTCACACTGGGCCTCTCTCATGCTTCCCGAGTGCCCGGTGAATCTCAGAGGCAGGCAGTGGCAGATGGGAGAGCTACTAGAACACAGACTGGCCTGCTGGAAGCTCGAAGACCATGCCAGGGGAGGCCAAGGAAATCAAATTGGGCCATAATTCCATTTTGACAAACAGAAGCAGACACCAAAAACCTCAATTTATATGAAAAAGAGAAACAATTCCTAGTGAAACCCATGTCTCAGGAAGAAATGGGTTTATGAGAGTTACTGGAAGTTAGAACTCCTGCTCAGAAATGGTCCTATATGTAGCACTCAGCTCCAGGGCCCTCTGTGTCACCTACAGTGATACTGTGATGTGTGTCATAAGCTTTACTCAGACGCTAGTTTGTGGCCTTTTACCCCCTTAGGTGAGGTAAGCTATCATTTTCTTCTCTGCTGTCCCAAGTTGTCCTCTTCACATCTGTTGGCAAATAAACTATGTTTTTTTCCTCCTGCATATTCTGGCACACCTGAAATCAAGGGAGACTGAATTTCAATGGCTCTATGACAGATCCCATTGAAAAAGGAGGAGTTACGCTCAACAAGCACCCATGGAATTTTGCAGGTCAGGCGAGAAGTGAAGTTGTTTTGCAGGTGTAACATCCAGGCGTAGAAAGATAAGGCCATGCCCAGAAAAGGCTCTCTTTTACAGGGCTTTTATGAGTCTGAATGTATAACAGTTGATGTTAATGACTTTTTTGGCAGTTTTTAGTTTTCGAGCAAAGCAGCAAGGTTAAGGGCGACACATAAGGATTAAGGAACAGTAGGAGGCCTCCTTTAAAAAGTGAAGAAAATGGGCATTTTGCATTCACCACCACTTACCTCCTGCTCTCGTTGAAATATTACAACCCGACCCCCCTTGTCCCCTGTCGCTAGTAATTCTCCCGTGTGGTTGAATTCTACCGTAGAGATAATGTCAGCTGCAAAGAAGAAGACAAAGGCAATTTAAGTAACTGCACACTTACTTTGAAAGGATAGATAATAGATATACTTTTCTGTGCATTTAAGGGCTTAGGGCTTTGTCTCTGCAGTGGAATTTACAAGGATGTTATGTTCTGGGTTTTAAATGCCACCAGAAGTGGCACTTGGGAAGTAAATTTCCTAGATGCCCACACTGCACAGTGGTCTCCTGGAACATCTGGAGAGAATAAAAGGGAAAAACACATTTATACCCTTTTAAGGAAGAGAAAATTAACTTCATGATGGCTGAAGGAAATGGCTATTTTCTTTGATGATTTCTACCAACCACAGACCCTTCGTGCATCCACGGCCTTTACACCAAGAATCTTCCCCACACAGGCTTCAGTTCTGGCTATTCAAATCAGGGCTGGGGGCTGTGATGAAGCAGGGTTAGGATGCTTGAAGCTTAGACATGGAAAATGGAGGAACAGAGCACAAAGAAATCATTGGGAAAACTCTGCCAGTCGATAATTCAAGGAAGGAACTGACGAATGCTCCAGCTTGGCCCGTGCCCCTTCTTTTTTTGTGAGCCCAACACATCCTTCTGGAAGAGCATGACTTATTTCAACCCCAGGAGAAGGGTGCTGAGAAAACAAGGTCATAAGGGCAGAGAAGTGAGGGCAATTTGTACTCTGTATTTCTAATCAGAGAAAATGCACAGGCACCAGGAACTCAGATCACAGATAATTGCTGAAGGAATGCCAGCCTGCCAAGTCTTTCTTCTATGCTGGTTACCCCTGGAGGAACATGGACAGGTAAATTACCTATGATTGGATTTATTAGGGCTATTTTTAGAAAAATGTCAGAGGTTAATTCCCCCACAATTATTCCCCTGCAGGGCTCCAACAATTGCTACCAAGAGTGCAAATGAGTTAAAAAAAAAAAAAAAAAAAGAGGCAGGGGAATTATGACTATGGCCTTTGACAGGAACATTCTGAAGATAATGTCTAGGTAAGGAAAGCAAAGGGGAAACAGTGAGGTGGAAAACTAAGGCAATTACCCCTGAGTAATTCTGATCTCAAATCTTACTTTTATATCATTATTTCAGGATTTTCTTTGTATGCCTGATTTATTCAGGTAAGTAGTGTAAAATTCTCCACTTCACATATAACTGTTCTTTTCCATGTATGAAAAGGCTCCTTATGGTCATTCATTGTGCAGAAGTTAACAAAAATAAGGCATAAACCTTGGTCACTTTCAAGCTAGACACATTTAAAAGAACAATTCTTGATTTCTTGTTTTGACTTCTTAGATAATTGACCTCCTAGATAGCAAATACAAAGGCCTGCAGGGCCACAAAGTAACATAGGTGAACTAGAAGGACTATGTATGTCTCCTTTAAAGGGGCAAGAGGCTATTCAGCTTAAGCTGATTGGGGCCATGATTGCCTGTATTGCCATGTATTGCCTGATGTTCTCATTGTTTAAATATATATAGGAAGCTGGAAATCAGGACTTTTATGCAAAAATCTCTTAAAGTTTATACATTGGCAAGTATTTTTTCCAATGCCATGAGAATGAAAAAGTTAATCATATCTGTGGGCTGAATGTGGTTTGTGGGTTATCAGTTTATGACTTCTAATGTACAGAGTCTTCATTTGGAATAGGCTATCTCATTCCAATACTGATGCTCTTAACTAGAAATCTAGTTCATTTTCTCGAGAAGACTCCAGTGAATACTACCTTAAGGAAACACAAAATAAGCAATATGGTTACTAAGTTCCAGATGTAAGTTTAGAAGGTCCATTTATGTAACCAATGCCCATGAATTGAGAAGAAAGTCCAGCCAGTGAGAAAGCCAGACACCTCAAGTGAGTTATTTGACCACTTTCCTTTGTTACAGTTTGCCCATCTTAGCAAACTACTCCCATGTTTAGACGAGAGAAGGCATCTACTTAACATTTGCAGTTGCTTCAGATTGCCCTGCTTGAAAGTACCAGTGCTAAGTTACACTTCTAACATTAACCACTGCTTCTGGCTTTTCAATGAATGGTTAGCAAAGGGTTATTCATGGGGCTTCCAAATTTGGGTACAGCCTAAAGCGGGCATGTCTATTGCTTTTCACTTTTTGTCTTTGGTCAGGTACAAAGGCTGGTCCAGTTCAAGGCTCTTGAACTGCTCAAATACAAACATTTCTCAGAAAGAAAGAGTAGCAGGAAATAATGAGAGGGTGGTGGGAGCCAGGCCTGAGGTTTACAATGCCTGGCTCTTGTCTCAGAGCTACGTTCTAAAGTTCTGCTTACATGCAGTCTATGCCCTTTCACTGGACAGTGATTAATGCAGAACACTAGAGTTCTGGGTGGGCTGCAAGGGCCTTACAATGAGAACTAAAGATGGGCCTTTCCTTTTGGTGAAGTTGGGTATCAGAAGAGAGTTAAGTAGCTTTTCCCAGTGTGAGCTCTTGGCTCAGTTGCCAAGAAGATATTACTCCAAGGGCAACACTTGCTTTCCCAGGGGATGACACATACATTTTCCTTCTTCCTAGACTCTGAAAATGTCTTTACTCTCACTTTAAGACCCATGCAAGTCAAAACAAGGCAGGATTCAAGTGGAAGTCAAAGTCACATGATTTAAGCCAGTATTATTAGAATTCTGCATTATGGAGTATTAGGCATGGTCCCAGGTAATACAAATATTTCCTTTGTTTTCCAAGTGTTATTATTTTGCAATGCTATGTCTCCCTCAAGAACCTTGTAAGAGAAAGGGTGATTTGCATGGCAGGATTCTGAAATTCCTTAGCCCTCTTGCAGAGTCCTTACCTTTATTTTAATTCTACTAGCCAGCTGCTCTGTACATGAACCTGTTTATATCATGCTATTGTCTACTTCCCTTCAGAGAATAAGCCGTGGCAGCTCAAGTTAATACTTGTTTTGAACTTTCATGTTTCCTGACTCATTTATCATTGCTAAGCCAGTAGGTGTAACTGGAATACTTTACTGCCCCATCCATCTCTGCATATCTTCATCTATGACTGTTTAATAATTGATGCAAAACTCATGAATCATTATACATTCCAATTTCAAGATACTGAAACTTCTGATACAAATACTCTTGTGTTTGCAGCATGCTCTTTGGTAAGGCAGTTTAAACTGGAAAATATACTGCTCAAGACAAAATAATTTTGTGATATGGTAAGAGGATGTAGTAATAAGGTAGCAAGTTTAGAGATAATAACGTCATTTGAAATCATGATCCACAGAAATCAATTCATCAAGTTCAACATGGCTTTCACCTTTAAATTGTAAGTTTATATGACAATTCCACATTTCATTAACTGCTCAGCCTAATCATGCTGTTGATCAAGAAACTACAAACTTGAGCATTTTTCCTCTGTTGTATATAGATGTGGATAAAGTACACAATGACTAAAAACAAAAGCCAGAAACAGCTAGAAAGGTCAGATGTAGTTAAAGTGATTTTTAAAGGAAACCCTGGGTAGTGTGAAGTTTGCCTTGCTCCAAATCTATTTGTGCTGATTTAATTTCCACAAGATGGTGGCCTGGTAACCCCATTTCTAGCTCAATAGGCACTATTAAGGCTGAGTTTATTATTTTTTTTTTAAATCAATCTCAGCATCCTACAAAAGTTCTAGACTGGTAATTTCATACATAAAGTATTATTTACCTGAATAATAGATATTGACTTAACAATGATACGCATGTGAGGCTAATGATTGTGAGGCTTACGGAAACAGAGGAATCTCCTAGTTCATCCCTAGTCTCTTGCAGTATCATGCTAGGCTGGAGTCTATGCAATGCCAGAGAATTGAGTTGAGGCAGGCACCTGGATTATTAGGTGATATACAACTCACATAGGAGGGTGACTGTTTTGATAAAATGGAGACTCAGTTTAGACTTAGGATCTAAACTCAAAGTCTACAGATGGAATATCTTACTGACCAGGTCACTAGCACTGACCTCTCAACATCAATCATAGAGATGGAAATGCAAGGGTAATGCAATTTAGTTTTCAGAGCCCATTAAATGTTTTATCTTTCATCTAAGAAACATTTGGTAGATAATATCATAAAGTCATTTACCCTACTTGCATCAGCTGACTAGTTCTGCCTACTCAATACCTGGCTTTATTTCTGATGACTGGATTGGGTTTTGGTAGTTTTCGCCTTCAGCTAAGATAAGAACAGAAAATATATTTCATAGTGAATGATAATGGTGAAATGATCATAGTTACCAGGTTTGTGTTGAGAAGGTTTTGCGGGGTCACTTCTAGGCTGGGGTGCCATGATTAATGGGTAATGAATCTGGGTGGGTGGTGGGGGAGGTAGGATGTGTATCATTTGTCATCCCAGCACAGAGGCTTCTAGCTAGACTGGCAATGACTACTTTGTGGATCATTAAACAAACGGGATTCTTAGGTGTCCTGATGGGAATTACAGTTGTTCCTCCCATCCATATAAAACTGTGGTCTCCTTCTTGGGTCCTGGATCACGGTCCAAAGTCAGCATCCATTTTCTCTGATAAGGTTTACTTTACCAAAGTAACTTACCAAGTTTTGGTAACTGAAATAGTGCATTTGAGCATATTTTCCACAAATAGGGGGTTGGGGAGGGGATAGGAAAAAAGTCTGGTTATGGCCAAACCCAAATACTCCTACTGGGATTATGCCAAGATGACCTTGTTGAAAGATGTTAATATGTCATAAAATTTAGAAAATAATCAGTCAATAAAACAGTTTATGTCAAATGATTGCAATTTTGTCAAAGTGTTTTCATTTCAGAATATATCTTTTCTCTTTTTTTTTTTTTTGGCAGAGCTAGCTGAGGTTTTATTTTGGACAGAAAAACAAAACAAAACAAAACAAAAAACAATTGAATTGTTTTGTGGCTGGAGGCATGGGCAAGGGGCGGGGGTCCCCAGGCAGTGAACTCCCCCGCGGGTGGGCTGAGGGCTAGGGCTGAGCCTCAGGTAAGTCTCCTGTTCCCTGTGCTTCCTTGCACAGCAGCCTCCCTCCTAGGCTTTGGGGCAGCCGTAGGAGGGGCAGGCTGGGAGGGGCTGCCGCAGCTGTTCACTTGAGCAGGAAATCAGAGGACACCAGCTTCCCATCTCGGGTCTTGATCTTCTTCACAACCATGGCCCTGGTGGAGCTGGTGCGGCTGAAGGAGCTGGAACCTGCGCCAGAGCGAGAGCTGGAGCTCAGGCCGTAGCTGAGGCCAGAGCCTGTGAGGCCCCCATAGGCCAAGCTCACACCACCTGCATAGCCGCTGGTGGTCTTCGTATGGATACTCATGTTCTCCATCTTCCAGCAGCTTCCTGTAGGTGGCGATCTCGATGTCCAGGGTCAGCTTGATGTTCATCAGCTTCTGGTAGGCACGCAGCTGCCGCGCCATGTCCTACTTGGTCTGCTGAAGGGCGGCCTCCAGCTCGGACAGCTTAGCGTTGGCATCCTTAATGACCAGCTCCCTGCGCTGCTCCGCATCTGCGATGCCGGCCTCCAGGGAAATCCTCCCGCCTTTGAGGCCCTCAGTCTCAGCCTGGAGCCAGCTGATGTTCCGGTTCATCTCAGAGATCTCAGTCTTTGTAAGACGCAGGTCTTCCCAGCCAGCGTCTGCAGCTCCTCATACTTGATCTGATACATGCTCTCGGCCTCAGCCCGACTGCGGTTGGCGATCTCCTCGTACTGTACCTTGACCTCAGCGATGATGCTGTCCGTGTCCAGGGAGCGGCTGTTGTCAATGGACAGCACCACAGACGTGTCCGAGATCTGGGACTGCAGCTCCCGGATCTCCTCTTCATACAGCTGCCTGAGGAAGTTGATATCGTCAGCCCTTCCAGGCAAGACTCCAGCTCTACCTCGTTAATGTAAGCTTCATCCACATCCTTCTTGATGAGGACAAATTCATTCTCCGTCTCTGTACTCTTATTGATCTCATCCTCATAGTTGTTCTTGAAGTCCTCCACCAGCCCCTGCGTGTTGCCAAGCTCCGCCTCCAGCTTCAGCTTCTCCTGGCCCAGAGTCTCCAGCTGCCGCCTAAGGCTGTTGATGTAGCTCTCGAATATGTTGTCCATGTTGCTCCCAGCCGTCTTCTGCTGCTGCAGGAGGCTCCACTTGGTCTCCAGCATCTTGTTCTGCTGCTCCAGGAACCGTACCTTGTCGACGAAGGAGGCAAACTTGTTGTTGAAGGTCTTGATCTGCTCCTTCTCCTGGGTGCACACAGCATGGATGTTGGGGTTCACCTTCAGGTTAAGGGGGTTCAGCAGGCTCTGGTTGACTGGGACGGCAGTGATGCCTCCCATGCCACTGGCCCCACCATAGGCCACCCCGGAAGCTGCTGCTGCCCACTCAGGAGAAGCTCAAGGAGCTGATGCAGACACCAGGCCCACTCGTGTAGGAGCAGCTGCAGAAGGCCCGGGTGCCAGAGGTGGACACCTTGTAGGACTTCTGCACCCTGATGGACATGGTGGAGGCAGGAGTGGAGGCAGGCGGGCTGAACCAGGCGGAGATTCCAGAAGGAGTGGAGAAGCTGCTTCTTGGTAGAATATATCTTTTCTAACAGGTAAAGCAATATGTACACTTACAGAAACTTCTGTTAATGACAAGGTGGCACTTAAAATATAAAACTAAGTTTCCTTTACAATCTGACTCTCCTACAAGTAATTGTTAATGACTACACATACCCACACACTCTCTCTCTATAGACAAAAGTTTATCAGAGAGAATCCAAAATTGTACTTTTTGGTGTAGAACGTACATAATTTATTTTCTTATGGTCTTTTTCTAAATCTTCGGTATTTTCTATATTTTGCCATAACCATAAATACTTGAACAATTTTTAACTTGTAAACAATTTTAATTTGTTTTCAAACTGAATGAAAGATTTTAGCACTCATCTCAGCAGCTTTAAAACTTTTTAAAAATTTAAAATTTATATATAGGCTGGGCACGGTGGCTCACGCCTATAATCTCAGCACTTTGGGAGGCTGAGGCAGGTGGATCCCTTGAGCTCAGGAGTTCGAGACCAGGCTGGGCAGCATGGTGAAACACCATTTCTACCAAAAATAAAAAAAATTAGCTCGGCATGGTGGTGTATGTCTGTGGTCCCAGCTACTTGGGAGGCTGAGGTGGGAGGATCACTTGAGCCTGGGAGGCAGAGGTTGCAGTGAGCCGAGATCATGCCACTGCACTCACACCTGGGCGACAGAGCCAGACTTGGTCTCAAAAAAAAAAAAAACACTGTATATCTGTATATCTATGTATGTGTGTGTGTATGTGTGTGTGTGTGTGTGTGTGTGTGTGTGTGTAAAATTCACTTTTTGTGGCATCCAGTTCTAAAGGTTTTGACAAATGCATAGAGATATGTATCCATAACCACTATCATGATATAGAACAATTCCATTGACCCCAGAAAGTTCCTTCATACTGCTCTTTTTAGTGGACAATTCTTCCAAAAGAAGTAAAATTATGGGAATAAAATGAACTGATAGATATAAGAGCTTGTAAGAGTTAAAAATGCTGTGTAGATACAGTGTCTCTATTGATATGACTCAACTTGATTTGGCACCAATAATTATTTTCTTAGTACACAGAGTCAAAGATTTTTTTTAATCTTTCTGTCTAGATGTTATTACTATTTGGGATTCTGTTTGGATGGTATGGAGCTAAAAAAAATTCATCAATACACTTTTGCCAACCTGCATCCAAGCTACGTTATCCATGAAGTATTCTACCTTTTCACCTATGCCCTTGTCTAAATGGAACTATGTTTGAGTTCCTGATTCAGTAGCGTTACCTTCTTAACTTGACACTGCTTCTCACACTCATTTAGTTTGGTACTAAAGACAGAAGTAGTAAATACACAGTTCTGATTACACATGCCACATGCTTGCTATCCTTGACCTACTGTGTGTAATACGTTCTGTTTGATCCAGAATTGTTTCCTCTGTCATCCAATCAGTGTCTAGTATTTGGATACTGAATATTCTTCCTTTCATTTAATTAATTCTGTGCATACTGGTTTTATCTTCAACCTGGTGCTGGTTTACCTCTTAGATGAAAGAATACAGATAGAAGGGTCCAATAGCTCCAAGTCCCAAGCTCTTATCACAATGGCTGTTTCCTACTTAACCATAAGTGCAGTATTAAAAAATGGGCACTGCTTAAATGTCAGTCTGACCCTGTAGATCAAGCCCATTAATGGCATGTGTTATGTCATGGCAGATACTCTTGGTTGGCTACTCCTACTCAGAATCTTTCTTCCTTGCCTGCCTCCTACTGTCCCACTGTAGAGGCTGGAAAACCCACATACTTGCTTTTTAGCCTCCCTTGTGGCTAGGGGTAATTGTGTGACCCAGATCTGGCCAATGAGGCATACAGGAAAGTCTACTGGGGAAGCAGGAGCGGGACAGAGATTCTGGGAAAGAGTTTTCTTCCCTGAATAAAAGGAAGTAAGTGAGGGAAGGCCTTCTGACCGGACTCTTCATTGCTTCCTGCCTTTGTTTGTAATTAAATGTGTTCATAATACGTGGGGCTGTGGCAGCCATCATGTGACCATGAGGTAATAAGCCTATGGACTTTAAAAGGCTAAGAAGCTGAGTATGACAGATGGGAGAATGGGACAATATCTTTGATGACACTGTTGAACAACTAAAACCTACCTTAAGACAGCCTATGTCTGAAATTGTTAAACCCTGTGGTTTAAGCTACTGTTAGTAAGTTTTCTGTTATATTCATCTAAATTCATGCTACTATACATGTCTTTCCATCTTTGTTTTCCTTATAGCACTTTGCACAGGGCCAGGTTATTAATGCATGTTGAGTTGGAAACTCCCTTGCCTTACAACATATTTGCACAAACTCTCACATGCACATTTCCACTTTACTCTACCACACAACCAATTTTCCTTCCCACTTGCTTGATTCCTAGTATTAAGATGATTTGTGTTTTTCCTCCTTCCCCTGCTGTGGAGATGGTGTATTATTTTTCAACCATTCAGATATGAAAGCAGCTTACTGGGATAGAATGCCAACCCCAATTTATTCATGGTGTTCATTGTAAAATTATGACTTCAGAGGGACCTAGCCACACCCTCTTTAGGAGCCAAGCTTTCCCTGCTAATATGCAGGAAGCCCACCATGCTTGCTGAGCTGTGAAAATCCAGATGGTGGGAAGCAGGTGAGTAATGAATGCCATGCTGTTCCCCTTAAAATGCACACAGCTTCCCCAGGCTGACCAAATCTCCAACACTAAACAGGTTTGAATCAACCCAAGGACATGTGGGTTGATAAAGATTGCCTTTTATTCAAAACAAGTTCCTGCAACATAGAAGCCTAGAAGATAAAATTTTCCCATAGTTGGAACAAAACTTGCCTAAAGGGCAAAGGAGTCTTAAAAATTATAAGTCTCTGAGTACAGAAAAATCCAGTGGGAAATTGATAGCAGTCCAGACTTGCCTACATGCCTGTGTGGTTTACAGTGGAATCTGCTGTCAAGGTGTTTACCATCTGTCACCCAATTTTTCAAAAAGCAGAGGAGTAATTAACTGCTCAGGCAATACAAACTCTGTCAATCATTCAGATCTATTATCCGCACAACATGGGACATCTATGGCTGACCCCAAAGTCAGCAGGACTCCAGGTCCAAAATGAGAAAGTTCTCACATCTGTGGGGGAATGGGAGTTCTTGGGCAGGCCCTGTGCTACCTGCTACCCAAACACACATATTATGGCATCTGGCACATGTTTGGTCAGAAATTTTGCTTTGCCAGATGTTCTGAAGTCAGTAAGACATGGTATCCACTTTGTGGAAGCTAAAATTCCCCATATTTTGGGACTGGCTCAGGTATCACTTCCTTAAGAAGCCCTGTGTGACTTCTTTTAAGCCCAACACAGCTCCCTTTATTATGCAGCCTCATTGCTCCCCATACTTTGCCTTTATAAGTTATCACCACTAATCATTAGCATTTATCACAATGATATTAGAATCATTTATATGCCTGTTTCAGTCTCTTCATTGTAAACTTCACAAGGAACTTGTTCACCACTAAACCCTCAGTGCCTAGCTGAGTCTCTTAGTATATAACAGATGCTTCTCAATCTTTTTTTTTCTATGCTCACAAGTCATCAAGCAATCAATCTTTTTTCTTTAATGGATCACTGAATGGGCACTGAAGAGAGCCAATACCAAAGTGGACCAACATATAGAGAATGGATAACCCTAAACAAAGTATCAATAATCAAAATATGTATGCTGGGTAGATGTAAACATTTACTTAAGATGTGAAGCAAGAAAAAGTTCTCATTTGGAATAGTGAGTGTTTGATGATTTTAGAATGAGATACATTGCTCAATAAATAATAGATCTTGTCCTAAAAAGCCTTTGCAGCACTGTCAGGGATTCAGGGTCCTATGAATAACAGGAAGAGAAAGCAGATGGGTTGGGGGAGAGAGGATGTCCAGGTAGGGTCCTACTTGGGAGAGGGCATGGAGGTGGTAATAAGAAAGCCAAAGTGGATGAGCAAATACATCTGAGATGAAAGGACTCGATTTAATGAATGCCTATTATGTGCATGTCACTGGGCTGGGTACCAGAGATATAGTAATAAACAAACACTACTGGTACTTGCCCTTGTGAAACTCTCAGTTAGAGGACTGGGAGGTAATGGGAGGTTGGGATACAAGTACAATGTTGGGGAAAGGTTGTTCAAAGATTCTGATCATAGAGATTTTTAAGTCAAAGAATTTTTTTTTTCCTAGAGGGAAGCAGAAGTCCTTATCAGAACTCAAGGAAACACATCTCAGCCATATCCTTGCATGCAATAAATCTCTTTTATTTCTCTAAAGGACAAATTGAACACTAAATACAATGCATATTTTTGTTAAACTGTAGGTGGGCCTAAAGAAATGAATGAAGAATATGATAGGCAAGGATTTGATTTTTTCCTCCTAAAACATGAGGTCCCGATGTCAAACAAAATAAATATGTTGCTAATAGTTCACAAGGTATTATTATGTTACGATGGTTTTTCAAGGGTCTTAGCAAATAAAATGGAAAGTATTAGAAACAAGCGTGCCAGTTATAATACCATGAATCACTTAGTATTTTTTCTCTTTCTCCCTCCCTCCTTCTAGTTTCTGGCTAGGAGTTGTGGTATTTTGAAGAATATTATAAAGTATGCTCTCTTTTGGATAATATGCATATTTTAAAGCACTGAATGCAATACTGTACACACAGTAGGTAAGAGTAAAATACAGAATGAATAAACTAGTGTTGATTTTCATCAGCAGCAGGACCCAATCTTTAATAAATATTCATCAGGATAAAGGCAGTATAGTAAATACTTACTGCTTTTATCTATCCACTGAAAATCGGATATTTAGAAAATCTATTATATTTGACTTCATGGTCATGTAGCAGTTTAGATAACAATGAATAATATTAAAACTAGAAAAGTCAGGAAAGATTTAATGTTAATAGGACATAAGGGTGATCTGGTTGCAACATCTGTCACCCCACTGATCACCAGGGTTGATTTGGCTGATCCGGATGGCTAGGCAGGTGTCTCCTTCCTCCCTCACCACTCTGTGCATCCCTCCCAGAGCTGCACAATGGGTTGAAGAGCATGATCATCCCCAATAGAGGAGGACTGGTCTTCGGTCAAGGGTATATGAGTAGCTGTGTTCCCCTGCTAGAATCTCCAAACAACGTCTCAAGATTTAGGGTTAATTAATTCATTCATTGACCCATTTATTCACTCAACAAATGTACATTGAACACACCAACTACGTGTAAAGTACTATTCCAGATATTAAAGAAAGATCAATTAAAAATAGATAAGATATCTGTCCTCATGCATCTTACATTCTAGTTGTGGAGAAAAGAAAATCATCAATGAACATATTAAATTACATTGTATGTTATGTACTAAGGAAAACAAATAGAGCTGAGTAAGATGAACAGGACTGGCATTTTCAGGGAGGCTGCAATTTCAATAGGGTGGTTGTGACAGACTTCATGGGGGAGACTTGAAGGAGTGGAGGCGTTCACGATGCAGGTATCTGTAGGAAGAGTGTTCCAAAGAGATGAAACTGACAATGGAAAGACCCTAAGAGGGAAATGAACATGTGTTAAGGGATCAGTGTGCCTAGAGCAGAACAAACAAGGGGTAAATAGGTAGGAGAAATGGGAGGTTCACATGATATAGAGTCTTGTATAACACAGCAAGGACTCTCTTACTAAAAGTGAAATGGGCACAACAATGTGAATGTATTTGATGCCACCAAACTGTATACTGAAAAATAGTTAAAATGGTAAAGCTTATGTTACGTACATTTTACAACAAAAAAGTGAAAGGGATAGCTGTTGGAAGGATACTAAGTAGACAAGTGACTGCTTTTACAAGACTCAATTTGGCTACAGTGTTGATAACAGACTGTAGAGGGCTGAGGTAGAATTGGGAAGTGTATTGAGATAATCAAGGGGAGATAAACCATGGTGTAGGCTGTGGAGGTGAAGAGAACTGGCTATTTTCTGGATGATATTGAAAGTTGACCTGTGAGGATTTGCTGATGGATTGATTATAGGGTTTGAAAAAATACAAGAATCAAGGATGATCCCAAAGTTTTTGGTCTCAGCAACTGGCATGTTAGAGTTGCCATCACTGAGAATATTGTGAGTAAAGCAGGCTTTTTGAGGACCAGATGTTCAGTTTTATGCATGTGAAATGTGAGAGGTTTATAAGTACAGATGTTGAGGAGATAACTGGAAATAAGAATTTGGAGTTCAGGAGAGGGGATTGAGCTGGTGATATAAATTTGGGAGTTATTAGCATTCAGATAGTGTTTAAAGCAACAAGACCAGATGAGGTCTTGGGGAGTGAGTGCATTAAAATAAATGAAGAGGACCAAGAGCTGAACAGTAGGGCACTCCAACATTGAAAAAGTTGGGGACAGAAGAAGAAAATCCAGGGAAAAAAACAAAGAGAATGACCAGTGAGATAATAAGAAAATCAAAGAAACGTAATGTCCTGGAAACCAAGTGAAGTTCAGACAAGTGACCAACCATGTCAAATACTGCTCATAGGCAAGCTAAAAGTTTAGAGTAAAACTTTAAGCTTAGTACTGTGGAGCTCATTTTTAACTTTGAGTAATGTATAGTTTCTATGGGATGGTGGCCATAAAACTTGATCGGAGTAGGTTTCAGAGAGAATGGGAGGAGAGGAATTGGAGATGGTGACTATGTACAACTCCTTGAAGAGTAGCAAAGAAATGAGGTGAAAGATGGTAAGGAAAGTGGGATCAAGAGAGTACTTTCACAGTGTCATAGAAATAACAGCATGTTTATATGCTGGTGGGAAAGTTCCAACTGCCAGGAAAAAAATAACGATGAAGAAGAAAGAAGGTGGAATTGCTGAATGAATAAAAAAATAAATGTATAGATGAACAGGCCAGGAATGAGGACTGGTCGCCACTAACATTTGAAATAAAATCTGTACAGGTTCAAACCCTACCCACAGCCAAAATCTGGATAGTAAGAAAAATGCTATTGAAATCTTCTCTTCATATAAGGTTTAACAGGATTCTTAAAACATTTAGTATTACAAGAATTTCTCTCATATATCAGCATTTCAGAGATCCATGTGATTGCTATGAATAAAAGACCTCTTGATTTTTTTTTTGTTTCTTCCTCCTTATTCTCTCCCTCTCCCCTGACCTCACACCTCTTCTTTCTTTTCTGCTTTCCACTCATCTCTTCCTCCCTTCCCTTCTCCTTTTGAAGCTGAGAGCAGAAAGGACTCTGTTCTTTTAGCTACCTACTATCTGCCTACCAGGCAGAAGGCTGCTAACTCATATACACTTTAAAGTGATGAGAAATCTACTACAAGATCACTTCCACATGGGTAGGCTGACCTCCTTTTGGCCTTCCTTAACTTTCACCAGTATCCTTAATATCTTATAGAAACAAGTCTGTCAGAGTGGGGAAAAAAACCCTACACTCTCATCCTTTCCCTGTGCAAGATTTACAGACACATTGTAAATGGCCAGACCCAGGTGATGGTGCCAGGAACTTTCCAAGTGATTTGTAGATCTCCCTTCCAGGACATCAGTCTTTAATGGAAAACTCTTTTAGCTGCACATTCCTTTCCTGCAGTATGACTACAGGTAGAGAATTGCAACTGTCATAAAGAAGACTCACTGAAATTAACTAGCTATTGACTTGGTCTCAAGACATTACAGTCTAAGAGAAACACCAGCACTGCACAGTTTAGAAAAGCATAGTTTTTCTTTGAAACTACCATTTATTGAGTTGGCCTACTGCAAGCCAGGCACGGCGTTCGACCCTCTATATACATACACTCTCTTCCTAAATCTATAGATCCATCGTCATATATTGGATACTGACTTTGGTCATGATCTGTGCTTTGTGTTTTATGTTATATCACTTAATTGTCACTCAAACTCCATGAGTTTTAGTATCTTTCTCCATTTTTCAGTTGGGAAAATGGTGGCTCAGACAGGATAAATAACTTGCTCATGTTTGTAAGACTAGTCGTGGAGCTGGGATTTAAACCCAATTGTAGTTCCAAAGCTTGTGTTCAGAACCTGCCTTTTTGTGGGCTGCTTCTTTTCCCTCCACCTTCTATTATTTCTTGTTCCTATTCTCTTCTGTATACTATCTCTTCTTTTTTCTATATAAATTCTTTTTTCATCTTTCACTCACAGTTGTAGGTTTTACTTCTTAACACAGCAGAGTGTATCTTCTGGGCTCAGTCTTCACTTTTCCATCATTGTCACACACTCCATCAAAGTTTAACTCCTCAGACTCTCAAAGCAAATACAATCTTTGCTGACCAACTGTTCATGCCATTTCATTTATCTAATATATTCTTGTCATTAATTGTGCCTGTTGACATCTCATTCTTTGAGACAGCATGTCCCTTGTGGGCAGGATCTTCTGCATTATTATAATCTGAGGACCTAGCATAGGGACTGGCATCTAGTAGGTTTGCAAAAAACACTTGTTTACTGACTAAATAAAAAAGTAAATACACAAATCCTTCAAGGCCAGCTCAAATGTCACCTATTCCATGAAGCTTTTCTAAGCTTCATTGATTGGAAAAAATTCCTTCTTCCTCACAAAAACTGTAACTCTTTGTACTTTTACATGAGATCCATGACATTGTCACTTACATGTGTACTTGTTCTATTTTCCTAACTGAAATGTATTTCATTAAAGGCAGAATTCCTATTTTACTCAATTTTGACTCTACTAAGCACAATTAATGTTTGATGAATAAAAGAATGTAAAATCTGAACCTTTCTCTAATAATACAATTTAGCTCTTAACCTTTATTAGGAGATCTCGGACATCTTTGAGGATCCAATAAAAGCTATAAATCCTTTCCCCATAAATATGCATGTACTTATATTTGTGAAATTCTGCATCTTATTTTCATGGTACTTCTGAATCTCTGGATCCCTAGTGGGATCTGAGACCATCACTCAATACTACCCTGCATTCAGACCTTTGCTTAAACAATTCTTCAATCTGGAAATTATCCTCTTAGAACTTATCCTGTTTCCCTTCCCTTCTAACACCCAGTTGAAAATTATTCTCTTCTAGAAACCAAGTAAGGACAGTTTACATTTAAAACTTCACTAACTTAGCTGGCATCTTCTTATCAGGCATGACTCATTTCTATTGGATTATGGTCTGAATGTTGATAGATGGCTCAAATATACTTTGTGTATGTGTTATCTGTTTAACTAGATTATAAGTTCCCTGAAAACAGAATAATATTTATTTCTTTAGTAGAAAGCATCTTTTTCAGTACCTAGGATCTTATTCTGTGCATAGCAAACATGACATAAATGGTTCACAACTGGAGATTTAGGATTCTCATGGGGACAACTGACTTTGGGTTTATGTAATGCACATGACAGCTCTCTGCTTAGCTTAAAGTCACACATGTTCCATTTTTACCTACAACTTATTGTTATTTTTAATTGTTCATTGCTATAGGCTTATAGCCTGGGACACCTCTGAAATAAAACTAGTATTTGAGAAATCTAGTACCAAGGCCATTTTCAGAAATGCTTTCTCCAGGAATAGCAGATAGGAGAGGAGTGAAAATCAGATCACATTTCCATACCTCCAAGGACTCTATTTTTGGGGAACATTTCAAATACTGATTCCAACAACCTAAGTTATTGCCTCTGGAGGATATGAAAAAGCTTCAAACTTGAAAAAGTCCATAACTATTAAATGCGTTGGCAAAATTCCTTTCTTTCCAACACACACCATAGCAGGTTTCTAGCACTGACTGTGATGCATTGCTTTCTGCAAAGTTCTTGGGGAATAAAAAATGATATGTCAGTATTTTATCAGGTAACAGAAGGAACCAAACCATTAAGCACTGAAGATATAGACTCAACACTGGCCACAATCTCAAATATACCTCCTGCTTCTTCACCTGAACTTGTATCAACAGTAAAATGTACTAGACACCATTTTGGGGAAGCTTTGGGGTAATACAACCTTTTGGTAGGTCATCATTAAGAACACTTTGTGAACGGGCCCTTTCCTCCCTCGCAAACTATCCCCTGACCTCCCTCCTTACCATTTTCTAGCCCTACTTTTGCTTTCAGGATCTCATAAATTTCCTGCTTTCCCCCTTAATTTGGGGAAACATGCTTTGCCTAAACTAGTCCCCCGTCCTCCCTTTTCCTTAGCCAACATCTCTTCATTTTAAAAAATTTCAGCTTGAACAACAGCACTTCCTGAGAGTGGACTTTTCTGACAACCTATTTTAAAGTCTTCACATTGTTCTTTATAGTACTCTATCCTTTTTCTTTAATGCATCTACCATAATTCATCATTATGTATATTATGTATGTTTTTGAGTGTTTATTGTTAATGTCTGTCTCCCTTGTAAGACTACATAATTCACAAGAATTCATAATTCACAGGAAGCACAGCTGATTTTTTTTTTAACCAACGGTATTCCTGGCCCCTAGCCCAATGTTTGACACATAGTAGACATGCAAGCATTGTTCAAGGAAAGTATGGTTTTCTAATCCTATCTCTACAAAAAATACAAAGATTAGCCTGGCATGGTGGCACACGCCTATAGTCTCAGCTACTCAGGAGGCTGAGGTGGGAAGACAGATTGAGCCCAGGAGGTTGAGGCTGCAGTGAGCTGTGATCGCACCACTGTACTACAGCCTGGGTGACAGAGTGAGACCCCATCTTAAAAAAAAAAAAGTACGGTTTCCTAGAATATTTATTAATATTTGTAGCCTGATCATTTGGATTATATCCTCTAATGTTGTTCTTACACACACACGTACATTTGGTTTTCAGTTGAATTGAGTGTAGCAGAACTATGGGATCATGAAAATTTGAAAACCAATAAAATCCACATTTGCTTCATTCTAGTTAATAAGGTCTATGCTGAGCTAATCATATACACGAAAACACATGCATTATAAAATGCACACACACCCTTCTGCTACTTAAATTCCAGCCCTTGTCTAAACCAGTCTCCACCCTTTCAATTTGCAGGAAGAAAGGCAATCGAACACCAGAGACTGGGTGGGAAGATCTTTATATGCCAAGAAGTCTGACCCAGTGAACTATTTCAGTCACATACGCAGTTTGAATTGGATTGCCCGATCCCTGAGAAGGGATTTCTGGATTAGACAGTTCATTAGAGGCTGAGCCAGCTTCTAGGGCTTGTCAGTCTTTGCTCTGCATGCCTGGAATTAGCAAAGTGATGCAGTGAAGGCTGCCTGAGTGACAGCTGCCAGTGAGTCACATGAAATAATGGCTGAAATAGCAGCTACTTAGAGGCAACAACCACACCTGCAGCACAGAATCCCAAGACGAAAATGAGATTTGCTGTCCATTGAAAACTATTTACTGAGCACCTTCTATGTGCCTGACCTAGGACTTTGTCTTGAGAAATAATTCTAAGAGTTGATCAATAGCAGTCTTGTAATCCCAGGTTAAATTATAGCTTCCACATTTACTAGCTGGCAAATCTTGGGTTTATTATTTAACCTCTCTCTCTGCCCCCTACTTATTTAATCTGCAAAATGGAGATGATGATATTATGTTGAGAATTATGTACATAAATTTATGCAAAGCACTTAGAATGGTACCTGACACACATAAGCACTAAATGTTAGTATAGTATTTTACCTAGAAGTAACATAATGAATGGTTAACAGAATGACTTTAGGTGTCAGAAAGATACCATTCATCTCTGTCATTTACAAGTGATGTGCCTTTGGGCAAGTTACTTGAGTTCTCTGAATCTCAGTTTCTTTATCTGTAAAATAAGAATAATATTGGTACCATTTTGGAGGGGAATTATGAGGATTAAATGAGATAAGGATGGGGAGGAGCTTAGCATGATGCCTTGCACATTGTAGCTCCTCAATATATATAATTTGTTGTTGTTGTTCCCAGTGGATCACTCATCTGGATCCCAGATAAGGCAGAGCAAGGCTCCACAGCTCCACATCATGGGACCAAATAGCCCAGAGGATACCAGTTGGAGTGGATAGGTCATATCTGACAAGCAGATTTATTTTATTTGGACTAGTTTATTAACATTGCAGTATTAGCCCACACAAAGGTTTCCAACATTTTGAATGAGTTTCTATCATCTAAAAAGTATAAAGTTTCATTTTAAACAATTGAGATTTTTCAGTTTCTTTAGAAAAATGAAGATTGGCAACATCAAGCTGGCATTCCCATATGGCCATTCCTGACTTGAGTGGGGAAGCAGCTGCTCCCTTTAGAAGGGCATAGGTCTTGAATTTACTGCACCTCCTAACATTTCCTAGTGTACCCCCAGCCTTAGTGTCAAGTGCCAGCTCCCATTTACCCTCCTGAGGTTTTCCTCTACCTCTCTGCTTTCATCTTTTACGCTACTTTGCCTCTGTAGGCATCTGAGTTAGCAGCTGCTGGTCTTTACTGTTGAGTGGTATCCTCTGCAAACTGGTACCTCTCTACAGGGCTGCATGCAAGGTAGCAACACCTTTATCCACACAACGTTAGGTCATTTGTCAGCACTGCAAGTGCAAGTATGGAATGAAAAAACAGTCAAAACTGCAAATGCAAGTGTGGAATGAAAAAACAGTCAAATCACAACTAAGGGCTGGCCTAACCAGTAAGCTGAGCACATCCTTGGAGGACAGCCTCTTACCCAGAAGTTGACTGCATGAATTCACTATTCACTCACCCTGAATCTTCTCCAGTTTCATTTAGACTGAGGGTAGAGGATATGGGACAAAGGATAGGGGTGCTATACAACAATACTTCAAAACTTGGTTAATCTAAAATATATCATATGGACCATTAGTTCCTTAAGATGCTGTTTCTTGGGGGGAAGATGTCGAACACTGTTGGGAAATAGCTCATACACTGTCCCTCATCTTGGGGATTTATCTGGGTAAATATTGAGTTGTCCCATCAGAAAGAAGTTCACCCACAGTTCATACATTAACAGATATTTACTAAGGACTTACAGATATTTATTAAGGTTTTATTAAGGACTTGCCAGGCACTGTTCTTTTTGGTGTTGGAGATTCAGTATTGACAGTCAATATTAAATCTGAATATTGACAGATTCAGTTCAGACAATCCTGAACTCAGGTAACTTATTCTAGTGTGGAGTAAAGAAGACTTCACTCTCTTTCCAAATTTATCTGACTATAGAATGCTACTGAAAAATACTGCTTTATACATAGTGCATAGCCACTTGCAAATCCTATCTCTTGAGACTTTTCATGATAAAGGAATGATGGAGATTTTCACTTCTGTGAATACATAAGAGAATCAGACCACTCCAAAATGTTTTAGAGAAACAGATAATTTATTTTTTATTTCTTGAAAAGTCAATTAACCCACCAGAGCAGCCTTAATTTGGAAAGAACCACAGCCTCACCTGGGGACTCAGGCCTGGCTAAGTTTTCTGAGAATATCACATGAAGGGTTAACTTGACATTTACCTCCAAACTGGAGCTGTTTTTCTCTGCCTCTAATATGACCCTGTTGGAAATGTATTTGTTTTTCACTATTTAATCTTCTGCATCACCCACTGTTGATTAGATTTAATTAATTTATGTTTCTAATGAATTTAGAAACTTGCAGTGCTATAGCAGGAAAATTTTCAGACAGCATCTGGCCACCAAATGGATTGATTACCTTGTCTGCAAAAGTCTTTCAAACATCTGGGGCCTGATTTTGTGAAACATCCAGAGGCTCTTTCAAAGGTAAGAAAACCCACACAGAAGAATCTTGAGGGGAGAAAGAGAGAAGGTGCTAGAAATAGGTAGGATTCTCTTTGATTTGCAAACCAGGATCCTGGCACTCTCCCAACATGAAATCACATTTTGCTGCTCGTTGGCACAGTTTCAATGGCACCAAATAGACTGATCTGAATCTATTTTGTTCAACATCATTGGATTCCACCAGGCCCAAGCCAGGCTGCCGCCCTGTGCGCTTCTTTGGCACTTCCTTCTATGTGGAAGCTCCCAGTGATCATTAAGGCGAAACATTTACAGAAAACATTCAGAGAGAAGCACTTTGCTCTCATTCACTCAACAAACATTTATCAGGAGCCCACTGTGTGCCTGGCACTGAGCCACGCATACCTCTTAAGTAGCTCTTGCAACAACCTTGCAGGATAGGTAGGTACTGCTCTCCCATTCTCATAGATGGGACCAAGTAATAAGTAAAAATAACAATAATCATTAAGGTTAACAGGAACACTACTAATATAGATGTAGAGATATGCATACCCACACAGCAGGCTCTGTGTGAAGAACTTTACATGCATTAACTCATTTAACCCTCACAATAAAACCATAAGGTAGATGTCATTATTACTACCCCCATTTTACAGATGAGGAAACTGAGTCACTGTAAGCTTATGTTAACCCAGCTAGCCTTTGGCAGAACCAGCCTTCTAACATAGGCAGTCTAACTTGAGAGCTTTTTGCTATAAACCACTCAACTTTACTACCTCCAGATACTATTTACTGAAGACCTGCTATATGTTAGGTACTATCTTACAGCTTTTACAACATTAGATTTTAATGACATTTACGCCATATGCAGTGGATGCTATTATTCCCAGACAAGAAAACAAAAGCCTAGAAACATTAAGTAACTTGTTGAAGTCACAAAGAGAGTTAGTAAGACTTAGGCTATGGCTTAACTCAGGTCTGCGGAGCTACAAAGGCCACTTTCTGCTTACTGAGTTATCTGCTGATGAATCAGAGAAAAAATGAGTGTTGAGAACTCAATAGCTTTCTCAAAGCTGCCCCAGGAAACAAACTAAAAGTCAGAAGGCATAGCCTGGCTGCTTTGCACAGCCCAGCCCAGTCCAGAAAAGGGGAAGCTACAAAATATGCTACAAAGAATAAGAAAAACAGCTTCATCTAACAGAAGTAGGTGAAATCTTATTGCCTGACTGGTTTTTCTGGCTCAAATTCAGAGAAATGACTGACAAGCAAGTGGGTTGCCCACAGTATAAACAATAATGAAAAAGCCTGCAATGCTGAACATCTGAAATTTTTTGCAATGTTGCACAATCAGGTTAGTGCCTAATACATAGTATAAAACACAATTATATACAGTACCAGTGTTGAAGAAACCCAGTTTGACATGGTTCTTGTGATAGAATATAATTACTAAGTCTGGCCATTTCTTTTGATTAAAAAACTTACTTTCTTTGACTTCTCTCTTGTCTACTGCCACTACCTAAACATGAACAGGTCCTTGCTCCTCTTTGGGCCTTTGTATGTGCCTTTCTCTGCCTGGAACCTGGCTAATCTCTATTCATCCTCGATCCTCAGATTGTCGTCTCTTCCTCCAGGAAGTCTTCCTTGACTTTCCTATTCTGGGTTAGATGCCCATTTTAAGCACAATGTATATTTCCTCCTATTATAGCATTTATTACACCGTAAGGTAACTGTTTATTTGTTGGCCTCCTCATTGAGAGAGCATATGTTGGTTACCACTATATTCCCAGTGTATGGGTATGGTACATAATAAGTGTCCAATAAATATTTAATTGATTGGATGAATTGGAGTGAACCTCATAACATCCTCTTTGTTGGTCTCCCTGTTTGAAACCTCTCACCTCCACACTTTGTGCTACATCCCGTCAGTCATTCAGCTTTCCTTTAAACTTTCATAGTGTCATTTTAAGAAATCACTTCCCTTTGAACACTCACATAAAAGTCGGAATACTGATAATCTCTGGGCGAGGGAGAATTAAGTAAGAGTGGGCAAGAGAAAATCTTACGGAGTCCTAAAACTGTCCTGTACCTTTATGTGGGTAATGGTGACATGGTTGTATACATGTATAAAAGTCATTAAGCTGAATACAAAAGAATAATGCTCGTTATTGTGAGTAATTAACACCTCAGAATAAACACATGAATCCTTTGAAAGATCACTTGTGTTGATAGGATAAAATCCAGACCTCCTTGCCCCAGTTTTCATTGTTCTTTACTGATTGGCCCAATGGTCGATGTACTTGTTCAAACTCACTTTTCTAAAACACACGCCCTGATCTTCTAACAGGTCCTGAAACCCTTCTCACTCATTCCCATCTCTGTGCTTAAAATCATGTTTTCTTACCCTAAATGTTTATTTCTCTTCCTCCCACCTTACAAAAGCTCCTCCCCCTCTTGGAGGGCCAGGACAAATTCATCCATACAAACTCAACAAATCCACAAATCTCATTAATCCCTTTTTTCTCTGAACCTTTGACTATTTTGTCTGTTTCATTCATTCGTGCCAACATTTCCTGAGGACTGTAAGTTCCTTGAAGGCAGGGATGTTATCTTATTTTCAATTTTTATATTTAGGACAGTGCCTGGTACAATGGTAGATTCTCAATATATATTTGTTGTGAATATACCAAAGTCCTACTTACATGTCCAGACCCTGGGCAGCTATGAGTCTATACAGAGATTAAAAAGGCAGGTTGTCTATGTCCTTTAGAATGAAAACATAGTGGTGTTAAGCCCATGGACTTAGGATTCCCACATGATTTCAAATCCAGGTTTTGCAACTCACTGGCTCTGTGATCCAGTGTATTCGATGGCCATCCCAAAAACTCAGTTTCCTCAGCTGTAAAATGGGGACTGTCATAGGTTTTTTTTTTTGAGGGTTACATGAGAATATAAACATTTATTTTATTAGTGAGCTTTTATTGAATTTGTTGTTTTGCTAAATAATACACAATTCCACCCAAATAAAAGCTTATGCCCTTGATGTTATAATGCAAAGAATTCAGCATAGTGATCGACTCACAGGGAACACTGAACACATGGTAGCTATTCTTATCAGAGCTATTATAATCCAAATATATAGTTGCAGTGAGAAAAATCTATAAATTAGGAGGTAAAAATGTAGAAAGCAAGGAGAGTGGACTCGTTGTGAGATATATACATGTGCACACAAACACAGAGTGAATCTAATCTGTAACAAATTCCTTAGGGAAATTCCATCACATCCCATTAACACGGTCCCAAAGGCAGGAGCTGGGCTGATCTTGACATATTTAATATCTTTGAAAAAATTCTGAAACCATAATCATCTCAAAATGGTATACAAAAGCAAGTCTATCTGGGAGTTACATGCAAACACATTTTACCTTAGTTCTAGCTTACATAATTCTTTAATCATCATAATTCCTAGTGCTTCTCTTAAAACTTTTGACCTTAAGAGGATGATTGACAGTTAGGAAAGGGAGAACACCGCTCAATAGGGTTTTGACAGTTAGGAAGGGAGAACACTGAGGAACAAGTTCTCAGTGTGTTTTTACACACTCATTTAAAAGGCAACAGTTTAATAATTCTAATTCATATATACTTCTATTAATGCGATCAATAATTCATAGAAATTCCTCAGCAGCATTTTTAGTGACAACAGAAAGGGTAAAATATTTCTTCTCTTCCCTTTGCCTTCCTTTCCTCACTTAGTCATGCCTGGAGCCTGGAGAGCACACAATTTCAAGAAAACAGTTTCCATGGTGATTCTTCTTTTGAGTACCCGACTGTATTTTGCTCTTTCTGGAGTGAATTAATGCTTCTTATTGCTTTCATGCTAAATATATTGCAGATTAGATTTGATTTCCTTTGCAGTGATATAGTTTTATTGCGAAAATGGAAAGTAAAAACACAGCATGAAGAACCTATGTATTTCTGCCACTACACTGTCAGAAGGCTGGAAAAAAAATCCGTTTCAGAAAAAAATAACCAGCCATAGGGAAATGGATGCAGGTATCTGGAAGCTAGGATATGCATGCATGCATCTAAATGTTGGAAAGCCTGCCTTAGAAGATAATCTTAATTCTTCTATAAGTTGAAGGTGTTATAAGTTGACCATAAAACACTGAGTTACAAGACATATCGATTTTTAGTGTACTATCCTCTTCTCAGCACAGAAAATATATATCATATAGAACAAAGAAATCTTCAAACCCACAATATGGCACTTACTTTATATTTTATTAAGGAGAGCTTTGTTTCCTACTAAAGCTAAATAACTGGCCTTCTTTCACTTGTTAAAATAGTTATGTGACCTTCCTAAGATTCCCATAGCACCCTGCATTTCCTGACATAGAATTTATCACATGTACTTACTATCCACTATGTCCATCTTCCTCACTAGACTCTAAAAGGGCAGGGCCCATGTCTGTCCTGTTCACTGTTGTACCTTGTGCCTAGCATGGCACATGGGAAGCTGAAAATTATAACAAGAAAACTATGAAAGCTAACTCTGAGGCACTGAGGATTTTCTTGTAAAGCATCAGTGGGCTGGTGTGCTGGATAGAGATGGAATCTCATGTACATTATAAATACTCAAATCTTAGCAGCAGCTATTGGTTTTGATAGTCAGTCCTACCTGGAGCCTTGATCATTACTTGTCTTTGAGGCACTAAGGAGTTAAAGGGAAGAATCCATCATGCCAGAGGAGGAGGAACAAAAAGCAGGCACCATCCTCTAAAGCCTCCTTCTCCACCACTGCATCCCCACCTCTCAGAGCCTGGAGCCAAGCACTTACTGGGCGTCAAACAAGCAGGAAGAAAACTAGGATTTTGGCCAATTTAAGCCAACTAGGGAGTATTCAGCATCTATGCCAAACTAGATATGACTGTCCTAGGTGCTGCTGAGGACAAAGAGTGGAACACAGGACTTTTTGGCTCTAGCGAGTTTATAGTCTCAAAGGGATTCTTTTGGGATTGTGCAGAAGGGGAGTATGGCCAAGTATAAACACACACACATACCCTGATTATTAACAATAGTGACCATATTTATTGAACAACCCATTAGGCACACTTCTAAGCACCACATATGCATGAACTCACTTGATCCTCATAGCAAATCTGTTTATTCCTATTATTTTCATTTGACATATAAAGAAATTGAGACTTTGAAAGGCTAGGTAACTTGCCTAACATCCTAAAACCAGTTAGTAGTGGAGCTAAGATTCAAACCCACACAGTCTAGTCCTTGAGTCAATATCTTAACAACAAAACCATTCTGAATCTCAGGCTCATGGGATCTGATCTGAGAAATCTACTTTACAAAGGATTTCCCACAGTCTCTTTTGCTGTATAAATTATCCAAAGTCGCTTATGTTCATAAATGCTCCTGGGGAATCATCAGGATGCATAGAGGGCCATATACAGTTCTGGATTTCAAGAGGAAACCCAGTTCTGTGGCTATGTAAATGTTAGATTTGCATGGCTTTGTAACTAGGATACACATTATGGTAAGATTTCTCCTGGCTCAAGGAGGCGTTTCCATAAGAAGGGACAACTGGAGGATTACTGAATGCTAGGTTTCATCCTATAGAAGAGAGACACTCTAGTGTTTTGACACACTCTACAAAGGGGTTCTTTTGGAACTTCATTTTCTAAACTACCCTTCAGGGAATTCAAAATTGCTCAGCTGTATGCTGAATTTGATTCCACAAAAAACAGTGACAAGAACAAGGTCTCATTGTATTAGCTCACAGATATTTCCCTTCATTTCAGAGTGTGGATTCCTACAGCTATGTTAAACATTTATTTAAAAAAAAAAAAGGACAGGAAGGATGTGGATGAAGTCTTAAAGGGTAGGATTATGAGAGGTGTTTTTTTTTTACTTATTTAAAAATTTTATTTTTAATTGATGAATAATTGTACATATTTATGGGGTACAATGTGATATTTCAATATACATTTACATTGTGGATGGATTAAATAAAGCTAATTAACATAACTATCACCTCATATTTATCACTTTTTGTGGTGAGAATATTTTCAAATCTACTCTTTTAAGTGAAATAATAAACATTGGAGACTTCTAGAAGGTGGGAAGGTAGAATGGGGGTGAGGGATGAACTATTACCTATCAGGTAGAATGTACTCTATTTAGATAGGTGCAGTAACAGCCCGGACTTCACCACTATGCAATAGATCCATGGAACACAACTGCACTTGTACCCGTAAGTCAAAAAGAAATTTTAAAAAAATTATAAAAAATAAACAAAATACCCAAAATCTATTCTTTTAGCAATGTTGAGATATATAATACATTATTAACTATAATCACCAAGTTGTGCAGATCTCTAAAACTTCTTCTTCTTGTGTAATTGAAATGTTATATGCTTTGAATGACATCTTCCCATACCCAATTGCTCCCCCTTCCCCTATCTCAACCCCCAACTCCGAAAACCAGCCCCGGGTAACCACCATTTTACTTTATACTTCTATGAGTTTGACTTTTTTTAGATTCCACATATAAGTGAGATCATGCAGTATTTGTGTGCTTGGATGGAGTTTAAAATTTTACTTTTGCTCTTTTGAGATAATTCTATTTCTCAGTTTTCTGTAATAAGCATGTATAATTTTAAATACCACAAAGTAACTCACTCACTTTAAAAAACTTTTAGTTTCTCTGAATATGATGGCTAGGGAAACACTTACTTTTTTTTTTTTTTTTTTTTTTTTCAGATGCAATGATTTCCCAGCAAAAGGAAAGCAAGGACAGGGAATGGAGAGATACCAATGTAGCAAATGTTACCTATGAGATCTCAGAATCAGGAAGGGGAAAAATGTTTTCTTCTCAGTATTATCCATTCCACTGTGTGACTCCTATAAACAGAATATTTTTAAATAAGACCTTTTCCCCATGTTTAGTAATAAGAGAGATTATCACTTATTAAGCAGCAAAAACATTGAATAGGTGTGTTTATTTTTTCTCTCAGAAGAGAGAATGGGCTCAGAGATTATGTTCTGTACATGCTCAGAGTCACAGAGTTAACAGATCTCCGTGGGACTGCTGCACTCCACATCCTGTTGGTTAATACTTTGCTCTCCTGTCTTCGTGTGGAGCAAAATAATCCTCCAACAGTTGGGAAGTGATATGGTTTGGCTGTGTCCCCACTGAAATCTCAACTTGAATTGTATGTCCTAGAATTCCCATGTGTTGTGGGAGGGACCCAGGGGGAGTTAATTGAATCACGGGGACTGGTCTTTCCCGTGCTATTCTCATGATAGTGAATAAGTCTCATGAGATCTGATGGGTTTATCAGGGGTTTCCACTTTTGCTTCTTCGTCATTTTCTCTTGCCGCTACCAAGTAAGAAGTGCTTTTTGCCTATTGCCATGATTCTGAGGCCTCCCCAGCCATGTGGAACCATATAAGTCCAATTAAACCTCTTTTTATTTCCAGTCTCAGGTATGTCTTTATCAGCAGCATGAAAACAGACTAATACAGCAAATTGGTACCAGGAGTGGGGTGTTGCTGAAGAGATACCCCAAAATGTGGAAGCAACTTTGGAACTGGGTAACAGGCAGAGATTGGAAAAGTTTGAAGGGCTCAGAAGAAGAAAGGAAAATGTGGGAAAGTTTGGAACTTCCTAGAGACTTGTTGAATGGCTGTGTCCAAAATGCTGATAGCGATATGGACAATAAAATCCAAGTTGAGGTGGTCTCAGATGGAAATGAGGAACTTGTTGGGAACTGGAGCAAAGGTGACTCTTGTTATGTTTTAGCAAAGAGACTGGTGGCATTTTGCCCCTGCCCTAGAGATTTGTGAAACTTTGAACTTGAGAGAGATGATTTAGGGTATCTGGCAGAAGAAATTTCTAAGCAGCAAAGCATTCAAGAGGTGATGTCAGTACTGTTAAAGGCATTTAGTTTTAAAAGGGAAACAGAGCATAAAAGTTCAGAAAATTTGCAGCCTGAATATGCAAAAACCCATTTTCTGGGGAGAAATTCAAGCTGGCTGCAGTAATTTGCATAAGTAGCAGGAGCCTAATGTTAATCCCCAAGACCATGGGGAAAATGTCTCCAGGCCATGTGAGAGACCTTCATGACAGCCCCTCCCATCACAGGCCCAGAGGCCCAGGGGGAAAAAGTGGTTTCCAGGACTGGGCCCAGGTCCTCATGCTATGTGCAGTTTAGGGACTTGGTGCCCTGTATCCCAGCTGCTCCAGCTGTGGCTGAAAAGGGCCAACATACAGCTTGGGCCTGCGGTTTCAGAAGGTGGAAGCCTCAAGCCTTGGCAGCTTCCATGTGGTATTGAGCCTGTGGGTGCACAGAAGTGAAGAACTGAGGTTTGGGAACCTCCACCTAGATTTCAGAAGATGTATGGAAACACCTGGATGCCCAGGCAAAAGTTTGCTGCAGGGGCAGGGCCCTCATGGAGAACCTCTGCTAGGGCAGTGTGGAAGGGAAATGTGGGGTTGGAGCCCCCACACAGAGTCCCTACTGGGGTACTGCCTAGTGAAGCTGTGAAAAGAGGGCCACCATCCTCTAGACCCCATAATGGTAGATCCACTGACAGTTTGCACTATGTGCCTGGAAAAGCTGCAGACACTCAATGCCAACCCATGAAAGCAGCCAGGAGGGAGGCTATACCCTGCAAAGCCACAGGGGCAGAGCTGCCTAAGACTCTTACATCAGTGTGACCTGGATATGAGACCTGGAGTCAAAGGAGATCATTTTGGAGCTTTAAAATTTGACTGCCTCTCTGGATTTCAGACACTTGCATAGGCTCAGTAACCCCTTTGTTTTGGCCAGTATCTCACATTTTGAATAGCTGGATTTATCCAATACCTGTACCCCCATTGTATCTAGGAAGTAACTAGCTTGCTTTTGATTTTAAAGGCTCATAGGTAGAAGGGACTTACCTTGTCTCAGATGAGACTTTGGACTGTGGACTTTTGGGTTAATGCTGAAATGAGTTAAGACTTTGGGGGACTACTGGGGAGGCATGATTAGTTTTGAAATGTGGAGACGTGAAATTTGGAGGGGCCAAGGGCAGAATGATATGGTTTGGCTGTGTCCCCACCAAATCTCAACCTGAATTGTATCTCCCAGAATTCCCACATGTTGTGGGAGGGACCCAGGCAGAGGTAATTGCATCATGAGGGCCAGTCTTTCCCGTGCTAGTCTCATAATAGTGAATAAGTCTCATGAGAGCTAATGGGTTTATCAGGGGTTTTCACTTTTGCTTCTTCCTCATTTTCTCTTGCCGCCACCATGTAAGAAGTGCCTTTCACCTCCTGACATGCTTCTGAGGCCTCCCCAGACATGTGGAACTGTAAGTCCAATTAAACCTCTTTTTATTCCTAGTCTTGGGTATGTCTTCATCATCAGCATAAAAATGGACTAATACAGGGAAATTAAACTTATATCATTAAAAAGAGAGGTGATCAGGGAAGCCTGAATTGGCATGAGGAGTCTGACCAGGAAATGTAGCCAAAAGATATTCTCTGCATTCCAAGAAGAAACCGATGAGGCCTTCGAGGCTCACAGTGGAAAGGGTTAGAGAGGAAGATTCAGCCATGTACGAGGTGTGAGTTTGGAGAGAAAAACACAGATTAGATGTATCTTCCTGCTGAAGCCATACACAACACACCAGCTGGCTCCTTTTCCAATCCATGCTCTATCAGCTAATCCAACAATCATATTTTGTTATTCTTCTCATAAATAAAATGTTGTATGTGTGACAAAGACATCCCTGACAGGAGACTGCACTCCAAGTAAGTTAGAATGAATGGTGACAAAAATGGGATGTTTTCAGGTATACAGAATAATTGCCAGTTACTGGCACTTAAAATGGCTGCAAAATCTGTGGTACTGCTGGGTACCTGATGTTTGCTGCAGCCTCAGGACTCTGATGCCTGGACTTTTTCAGGGTCTTATAGTATCCATTGGCTTTCTGTTTATAGTGCTAATGGAAAATTAAAATTATTTTGCAAGAGACCTTAACTATACTGTACTATGAGTACTTTATGTGGCAGAGAGAAGGCCAACTTGCATTTCTGTATATTCTTCTCCTTTCCCTCTTCATTTTCCGTGGCTTCCCGTAGAGTTTAACTGACTAATTAAGAGCTTGGGCTTTGAAGTCAGATGGATCTGAGGGTCAAAGCACATTTCTGCCATCTATTAGCTGCAAAACCTTGGGAGAGTCAGTCACCCTCATTCTCAATTTCCTTCTCTGTAAAACAGTGAAGAAAATCTTTCCACTTTTCATGAAGGAGGTGTGCAGATGAAATGACATAATGCAAATAAAGGAGCTAGCACACTGCCTGACATCTGATAAATCCTCAATAAGTTTTAGGAAAACAACAATGTAACACAACTGACAAGAATTTGGACAGAGTGGGTATGTCCATTGAACTTTTTTTTTGTCTTTCCTCTATGAGAAGTTTGCCATCTCATCATGGGGTCATATTAATTTCTCTAACTATATTGTTAGCTATAGCCTTTCTTTTTGACCCCAAAGTTAGAGCGTAAATATCTCCCACTAACTTGATGATTAAGATAAGGTCCAGGAACTTTTTCCCGTTTACGGTTTAAAAACAACCTTCTGTGGAGATTTTTGATGGAATGTAGGGATATTTATGACTCAGGCCTCCTGGAAAAGTCCTTGATGCTGACTCATTCATTATCACAAGAAAGGAGGAGGCAGCTGAAATCACCACTCATTTATTCTGCTTCTAACTTACGGTGAAAGGTCAAAGGTAAGTCACTCCACATAGGGCTGAGTATGAGAATAAGAATTTCAATAACTTCTTTTGACCACAAGAGAAAACAGCATTTCTAATGCACATACATTGATAAAAATTTTTGCAAGGACCTCTTTAATACAAGTGCTATAGCACTGATAAATGATAATATTTAGTCTGAAGCCTCAGGCTTCCAGCTACCAATACACAGAAACTACGGTTTTTCCACAGAGCAAGTGAAAACCAATGGGAGGATGGACAAAAATAGAAAGGAGGCATGATTTGGAATTTCCACAGTGACTATGGCCTTGAAATCAGGAACAAAGGGCAATCTTGCAGAGGTATAAGAGGAAATATAAAAGGTTTTGTAGAACAAACCTGGAAGTGAATTCCAGTTGAAACCATGCTCATGGTAAAACATATTTTTACCACAAACAATAACAGCATTAATAGCACTGTCACCATCAGACTATAATAGGCAACAAATACAACATCAATAAAATTTATTGTATGTAAAAAGCTTAGGAATATGCAAATCAATAGAAGAGGAATACTACTAAGTAACAAGTATTTGAGTACTTTGTGTCAAGTGCTCAGCTACAAACTCTAAATGATTTTTTCATTTACTCCTCAAATAGCACTATGAGATTGACTCCACCTCCATATAGACTGTAGCTGGGGCACTCCAGGCTTATAGATGTTATACAACTTGTTCAAGACCACACAGTTAATGAAGGAGGCTGATTCTAAAGCCCATCTTCTGCTATTGCTGCTTCAGCAAAGTTGTGTTGAAAACAATGCTATCTATTGGCCATAAATTACTGATACACACTCACGGCAAAAATTATTTTTACATATTTAACATTATTCTTGGCTCTAGATACAGGATATAGGGGAGAATATGGGCCGAATTTGGACTTCTAGGTCACCATGAACTCTCAGCATCACTTCCTTTACAAATGTAAATCAGTGGGAGGTGCTGTTCCCGCAATCTGGTTACTCATATTCTTCCCTAAATATGCAAGTAACCCACTCAGTGCAAGTTATGTGGGAACATGGGATAAAACTTCCAGTATTTCCAAAGTACAGGGCTGGGTGGTCAAAAAACAGTGGCAGTATGGGACTGCTAAATGTTATTTGGTGCAATGCCAACATAAATAGTTTTGCAAGATATAAAATTAATTGGGGGTGAGGGGCTTCTTCCAGTTTCAACACAGCAGATACCCCAACAGAACTACCCTTGGCCCATATTTTAAATAAATGAATAAGCTCTCTAATTATAAATATTCTAAATGAGTAAATAGAAGACTACCCATTAACATTTGGCTTTCAGTAAGAAGTATGTGAACTAATACAAGTAGACTTGCTAAAGCTTGAGACTAGAGAGAGAAGATGACAGGATACTGAATTCCCATATTAAAGTTGTTCTAAGCTTGGGCTAGAGCTTTAGACTAACCTCCCTCCAAGTCTAGAATTGGCAACCAGTTTGAGAAGGTCATAAGTAGATCTGGGGCAAGGAAAACAAAACCACACACAGACACACACACACACAAACACACACACGTCATTTATATGGTAGCATAGGCTATAATTACTATCATGGGTGAATTCAGCTTACCAGGACCCTACTCAAGGTCTTTGCAATATATGTGCTGGAAAGTACTGATTTTGTATTGAATTTGAGTCATGACAATAGCAGCAGCAGCAGTAGTAGTGGTGGTGGTAGTAATAGTAGACAATAATAACGGCAGTAGTAGCAGTGGTGGTGGTAGTAATAGTAGTGGTAGTAATAACAGCTAACATTTATTGAGCATTTCCAGGAATTGTTTTAAGTGCTTTACATATATTACCTCATAGGGTTGTTGTGAAGATAAAATGAGTTAGGTTTTTTTTTTTTTTTTGAGACAGGGTTTTACTCTGTTGCTGAGGCTGGAGGGCAGTGGCATGATCACAGCTCACTGCAGCCTTAACTTCCCTGGCTCAAGCAGATCCTCCCACCTTCGCCTCCCAAGTAGCTGGGACTACAGATGCACACCACCATACCTGGCTAATGTTTTTATTTTTTTGTAGAGATGGGGCCTCCCTACATTGCCCAGGCTGGTCTTGAACTCCCGGGCTCAAGAATTCCTCCTGCCTTGGCCTCCCAATCTGCTGGGATTACAGGTATGAGCCTGGCCATTAGCCATTTTTAACAGATGGAGAAACTGTGTTAAATGCCCTGTATACAATATCTCATTCAGTTCTCATAACTACCTATCTACTTTATTATTCCCACTTTGCAGGTGAGGAAACTGAGGCACAGACTGGTTACTTATGGTCCTACAACTCAATAGGTTCAAGAACTAGAATTCACTTCCAGGATTGTTTGATTTCAAAGCTCATGTTCTGAACTGCTACATTACAGTTTTGGTACCAGTATTACCCCTCATCCTGGCCATATTCCAGACACCCCACCCCCTGGCCATGCTTCTCTCTCCCACTCTGTCTGTCCTCGTGAGACTGAGATGCAGCATCTTTCAAACTGAGACCCTCTGCTGTCAAATTGGATAAAATCAATGTCTACCTCAAAGTGCTGGTGTGACAACCAAATCCTATAACGTATAGAGAGGATTTGCCTGGTACCTTCCATATAAAGACCTGATGATACTTATGTTTTGGAATTCTATTAGACTGGTGCAAAAGTAATTGCAGATTTTGATGGCAAAAGCTACAATTACTGTTGCACCAACCTAAATCATCACTTTTATTACCCGCCCCTTTCTCTGCCAATAGCATTTCCTTCCAGGGATCAGAAGGAAGCTGAGGATGAATTTCTCTAGAAGAAGTAAGAAGGCCAAGGGTTAATGTGTAAGAGATGAACTGAGCTAGATGAGAGGGAAAGGAGAGGTGGAATTGCTTTGAATTTCATTGCTAGGAACCGCGATCTTTTTTATTATTTGTATAAATCACTTGGCTGTGAAGACACCACAGGCCAAGCCTCCGAGTGTGCCGATGATAATAAATTGGGTAGCACAATAAATAACAGGTAAAATCAGGCTGCCAAATGAAGCAGGATTTAGATCATTTAAATCCCAGGCTATGAGTTGTCAAATCCAGTTTAATACTGATAAGTGTGGGATAATAACTTTTAGCAAACAGTCCCCTCCCACCAAAACCCCCCCCACAATCCTTCTACTCTCTTCTCCCACCCCTTGCAAACAGACAGAGAACCCTGAGGGGATTTGCAGAATGAAAAGGCATGGTATATACTGACCAGATATGAGTCCAAGTTATTACATAATAATCCCAGAGCCTCAGCTTGGGCTGAGAGCAAATAGGAAGAGCTAATAGAATGCTGCAAGGTTCGATTAGCTGCAAAGGAGATTCTAAATCAGAGCAGGTTTTATATGATTAAATTGGATGGGGGAAAAAAAGAGTCTCACACTCAGGTATAATGGAAAAGTGGAAAGGATAAGGGAAATATAAAACCATGGACGTTGCTGGAATGGCTATGGAGTGGCCTGAGGGTAGAGTCAACGCTGAGGGACACTTGTCAAAACAAGAGACAACTTAGCCAGCAGTTCTCAGTAGCTGTGACTGTTCTTACAAGACTCACACCCACATTCAGAGATATAGCAGCAGGATCCTACCTGATGACACTGGAATTTCAGGAATAAAGAGTCATCTATTGCTTGATTTGATGATGATAACCTATTTCATTCATTCAACAAGTATTTATTGAATACCAAATATGTGGTGGGCATTATTATTTATGATTGCATAAAATAGACTGTGATGGTGACTGATTTAGTTTGGCTGTGTCCCCACCCAAATCTCATCTTGAATTGTAGTTCCCATAATCCCCACGTGTTATGGGAGGGACCAGGTGGAGATAATTGAATCATGGGAGCAGTTTCCCCCATCCTGTTCTTATGAGAGTGAGTTAGTTCTCATGAGATCTGATGGTTTCATAAGCAGCTTTTCCCTTCACTGGGCACACATTATTCTCCTTCCTGCCTCCATGTGAAGAAGGATGTGTTTGCTTCCCCTTTTGACACGATTTTAAGTTTCCTGAGGCCTCCCCAGCCATACTGAACTGTGAGTCAATTAAACCTCTTTCCTTTATAAGTTACCCATTCTTGGGTATGTCTTTATTAGCAGCGTGAGAACAGACTAATACAGTGACAATAACTAACAACTGAGCGTTATGCCCTGCCACATATTTTACATGCATTTGCTCCTTCAGTCATCACAGAAATCTTATGATCTAGTTGTTATTATTACCATCATTTTAAAAATGAGTAAACTGAGGCCCGGAGAGATAACTAACTTGCTCCAGATCGTGCAGGAAGAAATGATGCTGACATCCAAACCTCATATGTCTAAAGCCCATCTGCTTTAACATGCCTCCAAATGAAGAAGTGAATCATAGCAGCCATCGTAAGTCTTGAGGACATCTCTGCCATCTTCTTCCCAGCCCCCAGCACCACCCCCTTTCCTAGGTGTGTACATGGGTACATCCCACAATTGGTATTTGAACTAAAGTGAATGAGAATGTTCTGACTCCGGTGTAATCTGTTAATTACTATTAATACCACCATGAGGGCACAAAAGCAGGATTGCAGCTTTGTGTTTTCATCCCTGCTCAGTCATTACCTAGTGGTATACATTTCTGGATCACCTTTGGCATCTCTAGTTGGTTCTTTTTAGAACCTATAACATACATTTACTCTCTAACCCAGGACTGTTCAATAGAAATAATGTGAGCCATATATAATTTTTAATTTTCTAATGGTAACATTTAAAAAATAAAAACAGGTAAAATTAATCATATATAGCATTTTATTTAACTCAATTTATTGAAATATCCTTTTAACATGTAATGAATACAAAATATTACTAAGTTATTTTACTGTCTTATTTTCATGCTAAGTCTTCAAATCCTGGTGTGTATTTCATACTTACAGCACATCTCAATTTTGACTAGCCACATTTCAAGGGTTCAGTAGCTACTGGGGACTTCATACTGGCAGAGAGCTTTAGCTGCACTGTGAATGTTCATTGACTTGTCCTGATTAGGACAAGTGCCTTCTAGGCATATAGGAGCTGTGCCTTCTAGTAGTATTTTTTGGGTGTCTACTTCATGCAAAGACCTAGAGTGGGCATTTTGATACATATTATGCTTCATCTTGCCAGTAGCTTTCCAAGAAAACATCGTTGGCTCCACATTACAGATAAAGAGCCTGAAGAAAGTTACTGGAAGCTCCAAGACTGTAGAGAGTATTTACTTTTACCTCTTTAACACTTAGCACATTGCCTTGCACAGAGCATGATTCAACAAATATCTATGGAATCAATGGAAGGTTACTTGTCAAACCTGCAGAAGAGCTGGGATTTGAATCAGGTATGCCTGATTTTAAAGCTTGTACTTTTTGATCCATTCCGCTTTTTTTTGCCACATTAGTAATATACTAATTTGCCCCTAAGTAATATACAGTGAAGAATAAACAATGCTTATTTAGTATATAAGCCTTTCATCCCAGTGAAAAAATTTATAAATGGGAAACTCCAGTCAGGTGTTATATTTATGGTGGGTGTCACGGTCTTCTTTGAGTGTATTTGGTTTAACAAATGTTGTTGGAGGCCAGGTGTGGTGGCTCACACCTGTAGTCCCAGCTACTTGGGATGCTGAGGTGGGAGGATCACTTGAGCCCAGGAGGTGGACATTGCAGTGAGCTGAGATCACGCCACTGCACTCCAGCCTGGGTGACAGAGTGAGACCCTGTCTCAAAAAACAAAACAAAACAAAAAAAACGTTGTTAGAAACCTACTCAGACCTGGGGACTATGTTCGACCTTGAAGGTACAAAGACCATCAACACATGATTGTCACTCTCAGTGTGGTTTGGAAGATATGCCATAGAGTGTTTAGTACAGTTAGGTGATATAAAAAATCTTAGCTTCGGGCTGGGCGCGGTGGCTCACAACTGTAATCCCAGCACTTTGGGAGGCTGAGGCGGGCGGATCACGAGGTCAGGAGATCGAGACCATCGTGGCTAACACAGTGAAACCCCGTCTCTACTAAATATACAAAAAATTAGCCGGGCGTGATGGCGGGTGCCTGTAGTCCCAGCTACTCGGGAGGCTGAGGCAGGAGAACGGCATGAACTTGGGAGGCGGAGCTTGCAGTGAGCCGAGATCATGCCACTGCACTCCAGCCTGGGCGACAAAGTGAGACTCAGTCTCAAAAAAAAAAAAAAAAAAAAAATCTTAGCTTCACAGAAAAACTAGTTGGAAGTGACTTTAAACGTCATCTTATTTTATTCATAATTTGGTACTAAATTACATACTAGCAAGATTTCACCTGGGGAACTCTTGTATTCCCAACAGTAGGTTCTTGAAAGGAGGGAGAAATACATCTTTACTCCCCAAAGTATTTTGCACAGTGTTAAGCAAATGACGGTTGAACAACTCCTAGTTAACTGCCCTCAGCTCTCTGTCTCCTTCTGTGTGTACCAAGGAACCAAGAGTCAGATTCCTCATGGGCAGAGAGCACCTTGGTCAGATGTCGTTAAAGTTCTAATTATAGACCATACTTCTCAGGGAGGATATAGGTAGAGTTCTTTATTCTAGCTTATACTAGAGAACAATAAAACTAATTATACTGAGGGTTTTTTAATCAGATTAATTCATAAATTAATTCAAATATTTATTAACTATTAGTCATTAGTTGGTGTGACTAGAACTGTGAATATGATAGTCCCTGCCATTGAGGATATTACTGTCTGGTGAGGGACACAGACTAATGAAGACACATACATTGTAATATAATGCAATAGGAATTAAGATAAGGATAACATCTAAGAAGTGCACCTATTTTTTTTTTAAGAGACAGGATCTCACTGTGTTGCCCAGGCTGGAGTGTAGTGGTGTGATCACGGCTCACAGCAGCCTTGACCTCCTGAGCTCAAGTGATCCCCCATCCCCCGAACCTCTTGAGTAGCTAGGACTACAGGTATACACCACTGCACCCAAATAGTTTTTATTTATGTAAAGACAGGGTCTCAACTATGTTGCCCAAGCTGGTCTGGAACACTGGGGTTCAAACAATCCTCTTGCCTTGGCCTCCCAAAGTGCTGGGATTACAAGTGTGAGCCACTGTACTTGGGAAGAAGTGCATCTAAATGGAATTTAGAGAAATTAGGGGAAGCATCGTGGAGAAAGCATTCCAAACCCAGTGTTAAAAGACAAATGAGAGTCAGCCTGGCCAAAGGGCAAAGGATGGGGAGGAAAGAATGCCAGGGGTGGGGGACAACTCATATGAAGACTCATAGAACATGGTACATTTGGGGACCAACAGAGATTTCAATGAGACGGAAGCATGGAGTGCCAGGGCTGGGCAAAGGAAGGACACATGTTCAGAATATATTAGAGAAGTAAACTTGAGGTTCATGAGGAAGGTCTTTGTGCATGATAGGAAGAGGATGCATCAAAGATTTTAAGGAAAGAAGCTACGATTATAATTTAAGCACATTTTACTCTAGCCCTGCTGTGTTTCATGTACTTCTCACATTCCATGATCACTATTTATCCATCTGCTTCCATTTCTATCCTGAGATCCTTAAAACAAGGGCTCCTATGTTTCTCTTTGTATCACCAGTACCCCAATGCAGTGTCTGCTACATACTTGATGCTTAATACTTATTTTAATGAATAATGTCTGTGGGAATCCTTTGTAGATTTGAGGGAACTCAGTCTGCTGAGGACATACTACCAGGGAGTATCCTTAACCTAGATTCCTTGGACCTCTTGAAAATACTTGGAAAAATGTGGGTGCGAATATGTGCATTGGTTTTAGGAGTGAGATATTATCATTTTCATCAGATTCTCAAAGGAACCTAAGACCTCACAATGATTGCAAAGCACAATAAATGGGGATCCTTGGGAAATGTAGTTTGGGAGCCCTCTCTAGCTAGAAAAGACTTCTCAGAGGTGAAATGCTAAATGGTGGTTCTCACCAAAGGTAGAAAAATGAATAGGTGAAATGTTGATGTGACCTAACTTTTTCCAAGTGAAAGAGGTGTACAAGTGATAAAAGAGAACAGCTCTGTGGTGACAAGATAATGTTTGCAAGAAAAGAGAAAAGAATCTTGGAGATGATGGGCAATTTCCCTTATGTCTCCTAAGTTACTAAGAGCACCTGATAGTTAACCCAGTCTTTAAAGAAGAGTGCTCCAGGTAGAGGTGTAAATAAGGAGCTTTGAAACCACCATGGGAAGAGGCTGTTGTAAATGAAGGGCTCTTGGAGTCAGAGAACTCAAAGAAAAAGTTGTTACCTCTGGAAGAAAAAGGTCTTATGGAAGCTACCTCCCTCTTTCTTTTCCACAAATTTGGATCTGCCAAATTAATATTTTAAAATGAGATCACACACACACACACACACACACACACACACACACACACACACACACACAGATAAAAGTTCTTGATGGATGCCATTAAAATATATAGGGTAATTCCATCTCAGTGCTGAAAACCTGATGATTTTTACTCACACTGTCTGATTATTTTTTCACAATGAGCATATTTTTTCACAGATGAACATGAAAAAAAATTCCATTTTGAAAAAATGATGGTAGGATAATAATGCAAAAATTAGTGTTCTAAAAGAAAGAAGATCATAGGAGGGCAGAGTGCTGCTCAAAGTGTGTCTCATAGGCCATGAAGCTCACAATCACCAAAGGAACACATTAAAAATGCAGATTCCATCCCAGCTACTCAGGAGACTGAGGCAGGAGAATCACTTGAACCCGGGAGGCGGAGGTGGCAGTGAGCTGAGATCGTGCCACCGCACTCTAGCCAAGCGACAGAGCAAGACTCCGTCTCAAAAAAAAAAAAAAATGCAGATTTTTGGGTCCCACCCCAGTTCTACTGAATCAGATTCTTTAGGAATGGGGATCTAGGCATCCGCAATTTGAAAAATTCCCCAGGTAATTCCTATGCTTATCACAGAGATTTTGAAAAAACCTAGTTGATAAGGATGGAGCACATGCAGTAAGGAAGGTTCTTGTCTAGCAGGCAACCCCCCTTTCTCCATGTACATATGTGCCTTGGACACTAAGAGAGTACAGGACAGAGATGAGCTTAATACAGTGTCTTAACCTAATGAAACTGATTTTTTTCACCT
Organism: Homo sapiens; assembly: GCF_000001405.40. Lineage (NCBI taxonomy): Eukaryota > Metazoa > Chordata > Mammalia > Primates > Hominidae > Homo > Homo sapiens. The sequence goes on from NC_000005.10 coordinate 146,741,337, forward strand.
TCTAAAACATTTTCTTATACATTAAAAATGTACTTATAATCTGAAGTTGGACATGTTGGTGTCAGGGGAAGGTATAAATTATGAACTGACAGTGCTGCATATTCATAAAAATCCCGCCTTTCTAGGAGTGGAGGGTGAAACACTCCCGGTGTCCTTGTAGATGGCATGCTTCTTGGACACCTAAGGATTTTTCTACTCTCTCACCCCTCTACAGGGCAAATGGGAATCCATAGCTAGGGGTATAATACGAAGGGCGACCGCCTCTCGGGACGTGGGGACAGAACTCAGAGCTCCGAGAATCATGCCATCTCAAGAAGGACTGCGTCACCACCTGTCAGGTTTGTGAGAGCTGCCACTCCTGCCTGTGCTGGGAGGCCAGATTCTGATACTGACAGTACACAATTTTAGGCCACATAACTTTTAATGTAGTCTATCATGTCATATTTGATACATCCTTGAATGTCATCCTAAATTATTTTTGAAGCAGAGTACAGTAAAAATATTCTGGTTCAACAAGTCTGTTTTGACAGATCGATATTAGCCTAGTATCCAAATATAAACAGGTGAACTGAATGCTGTTTCTATGCCTTTAGGTAAGAAATTATATTTGTGTTTGTGTAGGAAGACTCGTCTGGGTCTTGGGATTTTCTTAATCGAGCCCATTAGACTATCTTCTTGTAATTATCTCAGGGGCCAATCTGTCTGTGTAATGGGCTCTGGAGGAATCAAACCTTCACGTTCTTACAAAGGAAAATGTTATGTATGTGTCAGAAAAAAATGTTTTGAAGAATTACTGGCTAACCATCTCAACAGCCGCCGGGGGGAACTTTGCTGTGATACTGCAGGAAATTGTTGGATTTGAGACTATATTGCTCCAAAGGGTATTTCTTTTTTTGTGGGCTTTTTAATAAATCTAAAATGCGCATGAAGCCTCTGATGCAGGGGACTCCACACCAACTGCCTCCTTACTGTATGAAAGGATACCAAAATCTTACCGTTGGAGAGACTGCCAACACTCTGGATGGCTAGGGTTTAACTAATGACTAGCTATGCTGCTTCACTGAATTGGGCTGGCCAGTTGTTCTGGATCCTTTTACCTGAAACATTAATGTCTGAATATGGTGGCTATGTCCAACAGTTCATTATTACTTGAAGATATTCACACTATGCATTGATATTCTGATTTCTTCACCTCCCTACTTTTTTCTGTTTTTGCGAATTTTTAATTCTCTGCAGGGTAGAGAATAGATTTATAGTATAAAGGAAACTATGAAAAGCTAAGAAATAATGAAGATATAATAATAAATGATAATAATTATTATGGGTTGAATTGTGCCCTCCCAAAATTTATATGAAGTTTTAACCCCCAATATCTCGGAATGTGACTTTATTTGGAAATAAGAGTCATTGCAGAAGTAGTTGCGATGAGGTCATTAGGGTGGGTCCTAATTCAATATGACTAGTGTCCTTATAAAAAGGGGAAACTGAAACACAGAGATGGGTATGCACACAGGGAGAATAGCACATGAAGGCGATGAAGGCGAAGGCAGAGATGGGGTGATGCATCTGCAAGCCAAGGACTGCCAAAAATTGCCTAAAGACCACAGGAGGCTAGGAGAGGGGCCTGGAACTGTTTCTCTGTCATAGCCTTAGAAGGAAGTAACTTTGCCAACACCTTGATCTTGGACTTTTAGCCTCCAGAACTGTGAGACAGTACAGTTCTGTTATTTACACCACCCACTTTGTGGTACTTTGCTATGGCAGCCCTAGCAAACTAATATAGTAATACACAAACCAGGTCCTATGGTAAGCACTTTGCTTATATCATTTTACTCTCTTAACAACAGCCTTTTGGTCTGAAGATTGTCATAAACGATTGATGGGTGGAATGGCTGGGTGGGTGGAGGAAGAATTCTTTTTCTTCCCTTTTCACCATTCAAATAGGATTTTTCAACATATGCTGGACTGAAAGGACTTGGGCAGTGATGCTGGATTTATATATTCCCTTCATGTGTGACTTCACCAGAAATTTATAAAACTATCATGCGAGGCTAAAGGAAGGCATCATATTCAGCACTCCCTTCACTTGTGGTACATAAAAGATATTCTTTACAAAAGAAGGAAAAGGTGAGGTGGCTGCTACTCACCTAATGAGAAGGAATTGGGATTAAATTTAGCTTAGTGACTCTGATGGCAATTTTTACTTCTGGACTAAATGTTATGACCTTCTCCATCCCCACGTCTAATCCAGTTCAAATTCCTTGAGCACTAAGGCTCTATATGCTTTAATTTTATTATTATTATTTCCCTTTCAGATTCAGTTTAAAACTTATTTCATTTCCCTTCCTGTCAAGTTTATTTTCCCCAAGCTTCCTTTGGAATAGGCCCTTTGCAGTATAAGAAAGAAAACAGGCACTAAACTCTAAAGGAGAAACTGTTACACCAAGTCGTAAGCTAAAATGTGCCTCAAATATGGCCACAAAATTATTGAGCAAATATTGCTGCCAATCAATCTGCCTCCATAGTGGGTGGTTTACAGCCAGGGTTACCAAGATTAAAACTAGGACCAATGATGTGCAAAAGTGGGCCCAACTGACCTTATTGATTATTTCCCACTGAGAGAGAATCACAGGTTAGCAGGCAGAAATCAATTCAACTGCATTAAGTTAAGCCAAGTGTAGATTTATTCATACCATGCCTGGAAATTATAAAGTGGCAAAAAATATTTAACTATACGTAGTATACATACTAACTTACAAATATATCTTTAAAGTACATAGATGCTTGCTCCTTCCTCCTTTTCATAATATTTAAAAATCTGAAATAAAATATAGAACATAAGGCTGTTCCTGCATTTCCTCCCACACCATCCCCTGCCCCCACCCTTTTAAATAAAAGAGGTTATTTGTGAATGCTCTTAACATGGCTACTTCAGCCACACCCCAGATTTCAGGATGGAGTGGCAGAGCAGATACAGATATGTCTCCGCAGCCAAAGAAGCAATGAAAGCTATTTGCTCTTGAGGAAATCATCATTTTTGGCTTTTTAGATGAAAGGAACTTGGCCCTTAGGCTTCAGTGCACCATGGGGAACACAGAATTCATTCTCTTTCCTCCTCCAGTGACAACACACAGGCTGGGACTGAAGAGAGCTTTCAGAATGAACAATGGGTGGAAAACACTGCCCTTCCAGCAGTGAGAAATGTGAAATTCCACTCCTACCCTCACATGTGTCACCAGGGAACCATCCTGTGTGCTCCATCAGCACTGGGATATGAGCCAGGCAATCATTTGTACTCAGGGACTCAGCCTTAACCTAAAAAATCATCAGAAGAGCCTAAGAAGGGTTCCTCCTCATTCCTCATATCTGAGAAACAAAGAACAACACATTTTACTGCAAGAAATTGTTTGTGGATCTTATTGAGAATAGCTTAGAGCTTGCTTTTCCTTTAAGCAGGCTATCTACTTCTTATTCTGCCTAGCCAGCTAAGATATTTATCTCCTACTTTCATGGTCATTCACAGCCACCCAGAACTTTCAAATGCATTGCTCAGGGCCTCTGGGGGTGGCCTGTAAACCAACAAAAATACTTTTATCAAACACACCATAGAGATCAGGCAGTTAAGAGACCAAGAGTCAAATTTATATTCAGTTTAGAATATAAATTGTCCATTCCCAGTTCAATGGGAAAATAGATAATTGACCAAAACCCTTTAGTTGCTCAAAGCTGGGCACTGTGGCAATAGAAGAAACCTGTGTCTTTGCAGCTCAGTGTCAGTTGTCTTGACTCATTTTCCCCCAACTCTAAAACGTGCAGAGAAAGACAGAGAGAGAGAGAGAGAGAGAGAGAGAGAGAGAGAGAGAGAGAGAGAAAGAGACTATAAGCATGGAATGATGTGAAGAACACTGGGTCAGCCAGTGGGCCTGAGTTCTTACCCTAGTTCTACCACTTGGTAACCCTGTGCCCTTGAACAAGCTCTCAACTCTAAAATGTGGCAGGATTTCAATCAATATTCCAAGATTTTGAGATTTTTGGCCATAAAAATGGGATCTAAAGAAGATCTGATTTGCAGGGTTGTTATGGAAGATCTAGAAAGAAAATAAATATATCAGCATTTTGTCAGCTGTTAAGTGAAAGACGAATGTTAGTTATTGTCATAGGGATAAGAGAAAAATCTTTAAGAACTTACTATGAGCAGCCTGGCACAATTATTAGAGTCCTCTAGATTGGTAAGTCACTGAATCTCTTTGAACTTCAGTTTCCCCACATAAACTGCTTGCCTTCTGGCATGAAGAGAAAATGAGGTAAAGAAAGTATGCTTTAAAATGATAAATTGTCGGCCAGGTGTGGTGGTGGCTCACGCCTGTAATCTCAGCACTTTGGGAGGCCAAGGTGGGTGGATCACAAGGTCAGGAGATCAAGAGCAGCCTGGACAACATGGTGAAATCCCATTTCTACTAAAAATACAAAAATCAGCCAGGCATGGTGGTGCATGCCTATAGTCCCAGCTACTTGGGAGGCTGAGGCAGGAGAATTGCTTGAACCCAGGAGGCGGAGGCTGCAGTGAGCCAAGATTGTGCCACTGCACTCCAGCCTGGGCGACAGAGAGAGACTTGGTCTCAAAGAAAAAAAAAAAAAGATAAATTGTCCTAGAAATGCAAGCAATTGTTATCTAGAGAACTCATTTTGACTTTTGGCATTATGATGCACACACAGTTAGTTCTTGGCTCAATGACAGACTTTAATTGGCTTGGCTATGAAAACCTTATAGCGCTATTATGTGCTACACCTGTGATGGCCATGCAGCGTGTTAATCAAGACAATTAGGCTGGGGACCCAGAGAACGGCTTTCCACCACTGTGCATAATCCTCCTCACTTTGAAAGGGAAATTAACTGCTGCTTTATGGTCTCTCATATTATCTCACTTTCTTGGAGAGAGATCCCAATCAGATCCACCTTGACTAAACAACACCTATCACTGGCGCATGGGATGACACAACATCTGTATTAACTTTGACTTTGAAACAGCTTTTGGACTGGGAGTTTAAAAAAAAAAAGTCATATGTAGCAATCATTAGACAAAGCAGCCACTGGGTGACAGCCAGAATCAGAGGCCAGAAAGTTGATCTCTTTCAAGTGACATATTCCAGAGGAGAAAGGAACAGGAGGATGAGCAGATCAATTTAGCTCTCAAAGTATTTATTCTCTAGCCTGCAAAAGGAGAACAGGGCTTCCAGGACGACTCTGTCTGCTCCTCAATTTCTCACTACAATTATAAAATCTTTTGGAATTTTCTTCCTTGCGCTACCCCTGCTATCCCCATTTCTTCTAAGAAGCATGAGAAGTATATTTTGTTGTTTGGATTTCTTTCACTCTTGGGCAAAGCTGCTTGAACTGATAATTAGTGATTTTAAAAAGCAGCACATCTAAATGGTGGCTATTCATTAATCATAACATTCTGAGTTTACATGCATTTATCTTATTAAATGCTGTGAGATAAAAGTGCTGTAGGGATATTTAAACTCCCATTATGCAGATACCAAAACTGAGGCTCAGGAAGGCCAACCTAACAAGTTCATATGGCGAGTCCGAATTTTCATTCGGGTCTCTTGGCTCCAAGGCTTTTCTATAACATCGTGCTGCATATCATCTGTGGAGGAAGCATTATTCAAGGGCTAAGGACTAGGCTCAATTTATTTCTGTGGCTCCAGTACCTACAACAGTGCTTGTCACCTTCTAGGTGCTTAATGTGGAATTAAATTTTAAGAGGAGCTTCCCAAATTGCTTAATATCTTTAGAATACCAGGAAAAAAAAGGTCCAGTACCCCATTCCTAATCATCCTCTGCTATCGCTGAGTCAGAAAAAATGGCTCTTGTCTCCCAATGGTAGGCAGTTTAGCTGTGAGACCATCCTGGGGACATGGGTGTAGATAGAAGCAGATGGATCATGACAACTGGAAAGATCCCAGTAGAGCAGCTTTGGGCCTTAGTCTACTTTGCTTTGCTCTGGAAGAGGCCAAAATGAACTGTTCAACCTATAATTCCCAATTTATGCACCAAAGCACTCCAGGGCATCATGGCATACTCACAGGGATGCTGCAGGATATTTTAAATTTTGAGTGAACAATAGTGATATTAAACCTCTGTCAGATAATGTGAGAATGAATAGCATGAGGGAACTTACCACTTCAACATTAGTACATAGTATATTCCCCTTAATTACAAAGTATTTTTGCAAAGCTGGAGTTTTGGTAGTTAATATAATTAAAAACAAGCACTGCATCAAAATCAATGTGGAGCAGATAATGAAGGTGACAGTATTCAATCTGATTCCAAGGTTTGGGAAGTGGTACAGACTATTAGGGACACATAATTCCATTGTAAGCAATTGTAGTTAAGAATGAAATAAAATTATTTCTTCAATTTATGTTACTATGTTTCAAACAGTTACTACATTGTTAGTGCAAACACACTTATTAAGTAGTTTGAACCTAACTACTTAGTAAACAGAACAGTTGTGAATTTTTTTTTGGCCCAAGAACAGCATGAAAAAAATTAGGACGATACGAAGGGTGATATGAACTGAGGTACTTGGGGAACCTCTGTTCTACACAAAGCATGGTTTAACCCGAGATGTTCCAGGGCTGAACCTGCCTCTGGATTCTCTATGTGGTACAGTGACAGCCACAAAAGCAGCTCCCATCTACTGAGCTCTTGGCCAAACATAGGCAAGCTCTTAAGCATTGTAACTGCATGACCTCATTTAATCTCCAGAGCACTGTGAGCATGGGTCTTTTATGATCCCCATTTAACCGATGAGTAACCTGAGGCCCCAAGAGGCTGCCCATGGTCATTTAGCTAGTAAGTGGCGTAGCAGGAATTTAAACCCATGGCTGGTTGATTTCCAAAGCTTGTACTTTTTTTTTTAGAAAAATTAAGCTTTTAATTTTGAGATTCACATGCAATTGTAAGAAATAATAGAGAGTTACTATGGAACATTCACCCAGTTCCCCCCATCACAATGGTAACATTTTGCAAAACTATAGGACTATATCACAGCCAGGATCTGACATTGATACAGTGGAGATACAGACAATTTCCATCACTATAAAAATCTCTCCTGTTGCCCTTTCATAGCCACACCAGTTTCCCTCCAGTCCCCATCCTTTCCTTATCCCCTGGCAACCATTAATCTGTTCTCCATTTCTACAACATTCTTGAAATGATGAAATCATAAAAATGGAGAACAGATTAGTGGTCACCTGGGGTTAAGAAGAGGTACATCCAGTAGTACATAAGCTTTTGGAATTGGCTTTTTTTTCCCTCAATATTTTCTGGAGATGCATTCAGATTGTTGATTGTATCAATAGCTCATTCCTTTTTAATTGCTGAATAGTATTCCATGGTATGGACGTACCACAGTTTGATGTGCTGTTCACACATCTAAGAACATCTGGGTTGTTTCCAGTTTTTTGGTAATTATGAATAATGCTGCTATAAACATTGTGTACAGGTTTGTATATAGGTTTTTGTGTGCACATACATTTTTTTTATTTTTCAAAGACAAATACCCAGAGGTGCAATTCTTGGGTCATATGGTATTATAGTTTCATGTTTAGGTTTTTAAGAAATTGCCAAGTTGTTTTCCAGAATTTTTTCCCTAGAATATTCAGAAGGTACATTTTACATTCCTATCAAAAATATATGAATGATGGACTTTCTCTGCATTCCAGCACTTGTATTGCTACCATTTCATTTTAGCCACTGTGATAGATATGTATCTCATTGTGCTTTAATTTGCATTTCCTTAATGGCTGATAGTGTTAAACATCATTTGCTGTGCTTATTGGTCATCTGTCTATCGTCTTTGGTGAAATATCTCAGGTCTTTTGCCCATTTTCTAATTGCATTTTTTTAATGCTGTTTTGAGAGTTCTTTATATATTTTGGTAACTAGTCTTTGTCCGACATGTGGTTTTCAAATATTTTCTTCCGGCCTGTAGTTTGTCATTTAATCCTCTAAACAGAATCTTTGGCTGAGCAAATGTTTTAATTGTGATGAGGTTCAATTTATGGACAGTGCATTTAGCATAAGAACTCTTTGCCTAGCCTAGATCACAGTGCATGTAGCATAAGAACTCTTTGCTTAGCCTAGATCACAGTGCATGTAGCATAAGAACTCTTTGCTTAGCCTTGATCACAGTGCATATAGCATAAGAACTCTTTGCTTAGCCTAGATCCTGAAGATTTCCTTTTTTTCTTTTCTTTTCTTTTTTTTTTTTTTTTTTTTCGAGATGGAGTCTCAGTCTGTCGCCCAGGCTGGAGTGCAGTGGCTTACTGCAAGCTCCGCCTCCCAGGTTCACGCCATTGTCCTGCCTCAGCCTCCCGAGTAGCTGGGACTACAGGCGCCTGCCACCATGCCCGGCTAATTTTTTGTATTTTTAGTAGAGACGGGGTTTCACCGTGTTAGCCAGGATGGTCTCGATCTCCTGACCTCGTGATCTGCCTGCCTTGGCCTCCCAAAGTGTTGGGATTACAGGCGTGAGCCACTGCGCCTGGCCAATTTCCTTTTTTTTCTAAGAATTTTATAGCTTCACATTTTATATCTAAGTCTGTGATCCATTTTGAGTTCATTAAGATTAGGTTGAGATTAATTTTGTGCCTATGGGAGTTCAATTGCACCAGTGCCATTTATTGAAAGGCTGTCTTTCCTCCGTTGAATTGCTTTTGCAATTTTGTAAAAAACAAACAAACAAACTGAGTTGAACATATTTGTGTGGGTTTGTTTTTGGATTCTTTATTCTGTTCATTGATCTATGCCTCTATCTGTCTGTTAATGTTACACAGTCTTTCATACTATAGCCATATAATAAATCTTAAAATCAAGGAGACTGATTCTTCCCAGTTTATTATTCTTTTAAAAATGATTTTTAGCTATTTTGGTTCCTTTGGTTTTCCATATACATTTTAGAATAATCAGATCTGTATTTATAAAAATCTTGGTGGGATTTTGATAGCAATCACATTAAACCTATATATCAATTTGGGAAGAATTAACATCTTTGCCTCGTTGGGTAGACAAGTCCTATGCCTTTATAAACACTTTTTTATTTTAGGACGAACTAGGGTAACAAATTCAGTTGCTCAAAAGAGGCCGCATGTATCAGGTTTAAGAACATGCAGGCTTCTTGTGATAGTAGATTGGATACAGAATATTTCTGTACTGTAAGAAAACAATAACTCAATCAGATGTTAAATGACCAGGAACACTTGAGCTCAGCATTAGAAACATAATAAGGAATGGTGGGGATTGTGGCTTGCTGGAGGAAAGCCATGTCCCCTATGAATGGAGCAGTTGCTACCCAAGTCTTCTCATGGTTAAGAACATGGGCACAGCATTGCTATGGCTTATATATTTTCAACATAAGCCAGAAATCTATTTTTTAAAAAACCTAAAATGTTGGCACCTACTTTGAATTAACATAAAATAAAACAGTTCAAATACACACGTTGGTACGCTGGATCCAGCAGCCTCTCTGTGGTCTCAGAATTAGAGACAACAAAGAAGGTCCCCACCCTCAGGGAACATACACTCCAGCTGGAGCAGCAGAGAGACACCACAAAGCAGCACTGTTCTGCTCTCAACAGTAGGAGCTGAAGAGCATGCAGGGGGATCCTGAACTCTGCCCTGGGAGGTCAGGGATGGCTCCCCAAAGAAGTGGATTTACACAGCAACTCCAAGGAGAGACATTTGGAACCAAGCTGTAAGCACATTAGGAAAGAGTAAGGGATACTTTCCAGAGAATCCAAATCGTGGCATGAGGTACTCTTGAGAAGGTTAATTCAGTTGATGATTCAACATGTGCTATTTAATCCATTGCCTCCAGAGCAAACATTGATAGGATTAAATAACAGTGCAGAGCTCTACTTCCGGGCATCACAGAACATAGCGGGGAAGAGGTCATAGAGTTCAGTGTTTCTCCAAGTGTTATGTCACCTGTTGGGAATTGCAAAGCTAAAGCTTTCCAGAGGTGAACAGTTTTCTGATGCTCTTGGAAGAAAATCAGAGCCCCTTCTAATTACTCACAAGGACCTATGTGGTCTGGCCCCTGCCTGCCTCTTTAGCCTCCTCTTCTCTCCTTATTCCTGTCTTCTTTCTGTCTTTGCAGCATATCATGACTCAAGGCCTTTGCATTTTGTCATTCTTTCATTTATTCTTCTGTTTATTCAAGAACTGTTGATTGAATAGAAATAAATATTCTAGGTATTGGGAATACAACAGTGAACAAAGTCAACTCAGTTCTTACCCTCATGGAGTTTACATTCTAATGGAGGAGGAAGACACACATAGATAATATCCTGCCTTGTGTGATGAGTTCTATGAAGAAATATTAAACAGAGTTAAGTCATAGGGAATAATGGTGATTGCCCCCAGAGGGTGGGGGCAGGTCTTCTGGTGAACATATGAGAAGAACTTGAATGAAGTGATGGAGCACAACACAAAAGCACATGGGCTTTTCCAGAAAGAGAAAACTACAAGTGCAAAGAGCCTGACGCAGGAGCACATTTGGCCTATTTGTGGGTAGCAAGAAGGGGAGTGTGCTAGGGCAGAAGAGTGGCAGGAAATGGGGGTAGGGAGGAGGCCAGATCATGTGAAACTGCAGGCCTTGGTTAGCACTGTGGCTTTTACCCTCAGTGTAAGGAGGAGCCACAGAGACATGATTTGACTTACAGAGAACAGATGGTGGATAGAAATCTGTTACAAGTTTATTAGAAAAGTCCAAGTGAGAGATGGTGGCAGCTTGGACTAGTGTGGTAGCAGTGAGGGTGGGGAGAGGCTGATCAGCTTGAGACGCTGTCAAGGTAGAGATACTGTAGGGTTGCCTTGCACTTGCCTTGGAGTATGAGAGGAAGGAGTCAAGGATGACTCCAGGGGTTTTGTTCTGAGTGATACATTTATTGAGATGAAAAAAAGCAGTGCCTGTAACATCACAATGTTGGCTCCTTATCATGATTCAGGTCTCCATCGAATGTCTTCTCTTTGGAGACATCTTCCCTGACCACCCCTCATCCTATCAGTGCTGCTCATTTTATTTCTCAGAACTTAACACATATCTGAAATTATCTTATTCATTTTATTTGACTCATTTATCATCCGGATTCCCCACTGAAATGCAAGACCTAAGAGAATAAGTGCCATGTCTGCTTAGTTTATTGCAATATCTTTAGTACCTAATTCAGTGCCTGGATCTTGAAATAAGATCAGTAAAAGTTTGCTGAATGAGGTTTGCAATGTGTGAGATAAGTTAAGTCCCCAGGTTTTTGGGGTGTGTGTGTGTAGTTCTTTTCAGAGCAATCAGTTAATGGATTAAATAGTATTGATTATCTGTGGCAGGCACTGTGCCAGGCTCTGGGAAAACAAAAATGAGCAGAAAAAAAGCATTGCCTGCAGCCTCATGGAGCTTCCAGCAGCCTGGCAGAGCCATAGTAAATAATCTCACCAACAGACTTTCACTGTGCTAAAAACTCTGAAGGAAAGACACATGGAGGTATGAAAGTGTATTATCTGGGGATCTGATCACTTCGGGGAACACAGGTGAAACTTCTCTGAGCTGAGATCCACAGGAGAAGCCACTGTGGGCCTCAGGGATCTCTGAGAAGCATAGATGCTGTGGCTATGACTTCAAATTTTTCATGGAGCTTCTTGTGGAAAGAAACACATTTTGGCAAAAGCAGAACTAGTACAACCTTCTCAAGCACTGGGGCTTAGCTGGGTTCAGAACCTGGATAAGATGAGCAGCTGCTCCATGACAGAACTAGGGTTTTGTATTTATCATGACACATGTGGGTAAAAAGGGAATGCTACCTACTTAACAGGGCTGCTATGAGAAGGAAAAGTTATTGTCCATGAAATGCTTAGCACAGTGTCTGGTACACAAGAAGTGCAAAATACTTGGTAATAATTATCATCAGACTTCAAATTTGTGAGGGTATAATGTGAATACTCTCCCACACACAGAGAATAGACAGTATAGAACCTTACACAGAGCAGGACCTCAATAAGTTTGTATTGAATAAATAAGTGCTGGTTGCCTTGGTGACACACCATTTTGAATCTGACCAAACATTTTCACCAAAGATGGACACAGTAAATAAGTAGAAATGAACTAGGCCAGTTCCTTTTGTCAGCTGTCTCAGGACTGGTAGCTGACATTAATTATTGATATTACAGGGAGGGAGATTCTTGCCAGCCAAGGACACTTGGCAGCTTGAATGTAAGGAATTCGGTCTGATGCTCGGTTTTAAACTAAAGATAAGTGAGAAGTGGGAGGACCCAGAGGATTCGATGATTTTATGCATCAATAATACTTGCCATAGGAAGGCTCAGCCAGAGTCCGGGAATAGCTGCTACTGAAATGGCATTTTCCTTTTCATTGAAATCCACATGCTTGATTTGTGCATGTGACTTCTCAGCTGCTACCATAATAGAGGAAGTGGTTTTGAATTAACACTAATCAACCTGAATCTCCAGGGGCAACTTGTACCTGAAAACCTCCAAGTCCTTTGTAAACAGCAGTTAAGCTTCCCTGTCTCCTGAGGGATGAGCTTCTGGATTTTTGCTTAAATCAAGCAGAATTGTAGGAAAGAGGTTGCAATTATGAGCAAAGTGGGTGTCAGACAGGATAATTTCTCATCATAAATCCAGGCTTGAAAAGGGCCAAAAATAATCTGAAAGTCCCCAAGATATTTTGCCCACCAAAGTTCTGCCACAAGCCCCCGCCACGTGTCAGATGAAGGATGATTGGAAATTACAACAGCCGTTCTGGAGGGCAATTTAGCCATAACTGTTATAATAAGCAGACCCTTCAACTCAGCAATTCTGCATCAATGCATTTTTACTAGAGAAATCCTGGCACATGTGCTGAGGAGTAAGCAAGTACCCCCATTGCTGTGTCATCTGCAGAAGTGAAAGTCTGGGAGCGATCTCGAGGTGTACTCATCAGGAGGAGAATGATTAAATAGGTAGTGGAATAGCATGCAGCAACTAAAGAGAATGAAGTTGACCCCCATGTATTGTCATGGAAAACTAAGATTGTTAAGCGAAAAAAGCAAATTTGCAGAAGCATATGTGCACTATGCCATATGTAGTGGTTTTAAAATACATACAGAAGTTCTTCGATACTCTTTCCCTTATGAGATGCAGCTTAATTCGCCTCCACTTGAGTTTGGGCCAGACTTAGTAATTCATTTCTAGTGGACAGAATATGGCATAAATGACAAGGTGCCACTTCCAAGACTAGGTAATAAAAAGGTATTGTGGCTTCCTTCTTGATCTCTCTCTTTCATTCTTTTACTCTCCCATCACTCACTCTAGAGGATGCCAACTACTGTGTTTTAAGGACACTCCAGGAACCCTGTGGAGAAGCCCATGTGGCAGCCTCCTGTCAATAGCCAGTGATGGACAGAAGACTCCAGGCAACAGCTGTGTTGGTGAGCCATGATGGAAGCACTTCCTCCAGTCCCAGTCAAGCTTCCAAATGACTGTAGTCCTGGCTTAGACCCTGACTACAACTTCAGGAGAGATCATGAACTAGAACCCCCCAGAGCTTAGTGCCCTTGGATTGCTCACTCTCAGAAAGTGTGAGAGATAGTAAATATTTGTTATTTCAAGTCACTGTTCATGGCAGCAATTGACAACAATACACCGTTTATATAAACATAAATTTTTAAATAACTTAACAATACACACATGGAGACAAATGTTTAGAGAAAGGTTTGGCAGGAGATGTGCCATAGTGATGAAGGGGTTACCTCTGAGAAGTGGAGAGGAGAGGGATGGAGGGTGGGGATAAGATTAGCTTCACCTGTTGTGTCTCTATTTTTGTTATACATGCATTCATACATGCATTACTGACATAATTTTAGAAAGCACTAAAAGGGAAGAAATACAATGTAAAATTCTACTACTTTGGAATTTCATGGCAAGTCAGATAAAGCTGAGGTTTACCTTTGATCACCTTCAAGTAAAAGGGTTGCTTAGCAAACTCATTTAATAATAAACAAGGTTATCAGCGGAGCTCTCCAACCTACTTAAGAAAGCCAACTCCTGTCAGTTACTCTTAAAAATCACCTTAGCATAAGTCATATATAATAAATGATCATTTTTACTCATGTTTCTTATCTATTATTAAAGCAGGTCAAAGAGACCTTTCTTTGGACAACACCAATTGGCAATATTTGTATTCCCAAAGAGCATCCAAATTATTTTGAAAATGACAAAGATAAGCTCTACTGAAAAAGCCAAGTTATATATTAATGCACTGTGGTTTCATCAAATGGTTTAAAATCAAAGAGGTTTTGTTGTCAGGTAAGGTTATGGAAAAGGTATTTTAAAAGTAAACTTTGTATTGGATTTCTTTTAGGCTTGTGCTAATTTGTTTTTCAACTTCGAGCCTGGGGGTCTGCATCATTTAATAGCAGTTCCAAGGCAAGGACCCTGATCCTCGTCTGTGGCTAGACTGGCTGCAGGCACCAAAGCTTATGCATTTTCAGTGGAATTGGGTCCAGAGCTTAGCTGCAAAATGCCTTCTGGGTGACTGACCAGAAATTCAATCACAGCACATTCATTTCAAAAATCCCTTTCATGTATCATTTAAAAGCAGCCTGCATACTTACATTTGCATATCTCTGACCCTGGATTTTGGAAATGCAGGAGAAGAATGGATTGCTGTTTAATTTTCAGGATGATGGGAAGGAACAAACCAGAGGCATTTCCTTCTCTTGACTACTGAGTAGATTTAGTACTTCTGAAAGATTCTGAATCAGTAGTTTTGTAACATAAGCCGCTGTTCCATAGAGCTTGGGAATAAGAATAACTAACATTTATAGGGCATTTTATACCCTACAAAGTGGGTTACCATTCATTGCCTCATTTAATGGGCAGAGGGGCTCTTAATTATCCTTTCTGATGAGGGGACAATGATTCTTTCAATCCCAGCATCTGCAGAGATTACTCTGGTTTTCCTTTCATATGGACACACTAAAGAAATAATGATACTGCATGCTAGCTTCCTCAGCCTGGGAAAGAATACACTACGGCAGATGTGAGGTTTCTTCATTTTCCCCATGCTGCAGTGTGTATTCCAAGTTTCTTTCGATTAACTGAAAAGTATATGTGAATCTTTTCTGCAGGAAGACAGGAAAGTTAAAAGGTAGCCTCTGGGATGCCTGGGTTTGAATCCTAGCTCTGTCATTTTCTGGCTGCAAAGTCTTAAGCAAATTATTTTTCTGTTAGATATTTAAAACCCTTTAACTTATCAGTTTTCTTATCTGAAAAATGGGGCTGATAATAATAGTACCAGCATCACATGGTTTCCATGAGAATTAAATGAGTGAATTCATGTCGTGTACTTAAAAGAATGCCTGATGCATAGTCAACATTCAGTGACTGTTGTTTGTATGTGCAGTGAGCTGCATTTTAGGCTGGATGGGTAACAAGGCACATCCACCATTCATTCAATTACTGCACAGCTCTCTGCCAGGCAGGCTGAAGCTCCAAGGATATGTCAAATGTGGTTCCTCTCCTTGCAACACTTACATTCTGGTGGAGGAGGCAGACAAATTAAGATTAAGGAGGGTAGACAATGGAGAGTGGAGCTAGAGAATGAAGCTCTGAGTGAGAGTGGGGTTTTCTTGTTTTTAGGATGTGAAAGGCCAGCCTTTCAAAACACATGGGGAAGAACAGTCCTGGTGGAGGGAAGATCAGGAGTGAGGGCTTGAAGGAGGAGAGAGCATGGCAAGTGTGAGGAACTGACAGGCAATGGAATTGGGGGCTGAGTGGAGAGGGAGGGAGGTAGGCAGGTTGCCCAGGCCATGGTGGAATGTGACAGTTTTGTGCTGTGTACAAAGGGAAGCCACAGAAGGTTTAGAAGTAGAGCGGGAACATGGTTTTATATAAATTTATGACATTTAGTGAAAACTTTATATAATGGTATCACATATAAATATCTATTGCATACACATATTTAAAGATAGTACTGGCTGCCATGTAGGGTGAGGATTGTGGAACGGAGGGACCACAGTAGGAACACAAAAATAGAAGAAAGAGACACATACCAGCAGAGAACTACAACTGCTTTGGAGTTTAAAGGAAAATGGGTGGAAGGCGAGAGATGGAAGCCCCATTTGAGGTGACTTTGAAGAGGACATTGTTTTGGACATGCAGGGGTGTCTGGAAAACATAGATGGCCTCACTAGTTGCTATGTGTCTTGCACAGAGGACATAGGGGTCTTCCCTGGAGTGTCCCAAATTTAATATATGGATCTCTGAAATCTGTACAAACATGCGATATGGGGGAAGGAAAGAATACAAGAATATTGCTTGTATCCCAAATCACACTGGTACTTAGACTATCCTGTGGAACCAAACTGCAAGAAAGTTCCAGAAATAACCAGTGACTTGATCTGCATCCAAGTGGAACCCTTTGCCCTGACATCACCTTGGCTTTTGAAGGCCAAGAAAACCTACAGGGTTTAAACTTCCATTTTCCACAAAGCTTTGAGGCCAAGCGGAACTCTTCCATGCACCTTGAAGGCTTGGTCGCCTGAAATGAAGCTGAGTAGACATAAGGAGATGTCCAAAGGAAAACAACCAAGGAAGGACATGAAACCTCTCAGCTACTCAGACCTGTCCAGATATGGAGCTTGGCATTGTGATGCTATTCCTCAGTTGATTTTGCTCACATTATGGTTCTGTTTATGTGATATTCTTTGTGACAGGCCACCCCTTCCTCTCAACATTAACATCAGTGATGTCTGCTTTCTCTGGAGTTACTCATACAAGCATTCTCCTTGGCTTAGAGATTTACAAATGATAGATAACCAAAATTTCAATGATTGCCCCAAAGGCTCAATCTGTAGCAGCAAAAGCAACAGGTGAACTAGCACCAGAGGAGCTAGGTTTCAGTCTCAGCTCTACCATGAAACAGCTTTGTGATCTGGGGCAAGAACCCTCATTCTTTGAATTTCTCTTTCCTCTTGGCTAAAAGTTACCAACATTACCTCAAAGGCTTGTTATGAGGATTCATTATGACATCTGTCCAAGTATTTTATTAAATTAATAAAATACAAATACGGCACTATCATGATGAAATAACAGCAAATGTTTACATGACATTTAAAAATATTTAAATATTTTCACGAGCTATATTTCATTAGCCAATTCACTAATGAATGAGTTCCCCATTAAGTTGGCTCCATGAGACGCCACAAACTTTGTCTGATTTTTCCCCATCCTGAATCCTTAGCATCTAAAGAAGTACCAGTACCTAGTAGGAGCTTAATACCTACGGGTCAAATGAAAGAAAGGAAGAATGAACAGAAACCACTCTGGGGAATGGAAGGACACTGGTTTGCAGAAGACAGAGAATATCTTCTGTAGGTCATAGGAATAATCCTGAGCAACAGAAAAATTTAGTTATCCTACAAACTAAAATTTCACAGCTACATTTATGATAGCACAGGCCCTAATCCTGTCTCTACAGACCCCTAGGTTTTTTTACTTCCAATCCCTGCCCTCTCTTACATGGAATTTTTTTTTTCCCAAATGGAATTAAAACCTAATACTTTCCTAATGCAGTCTTTCAGTTCTCTTCTTAAGCCATCTGCTCTTTTATCTACAAAAACTTACTTATTTTATTTGAAAACTTTTAATTAGATGCTTCCAGGCAGTGGCTGAGTTAAGTTTAGAAGCTTCAAGCTTGTCTCATACTCAGCAGCTGCAGTAAGGAAATAAGGCTTATGATTTAAATTCATTATTATCTCCATGTTGATGTCATTTTTCTCCCTTGCTATTGCATTGTTCCAGGAAGTTACATAAGGCTTAAGAACCACCAGACTAATAATATTGCTTCTTAGAAATGACCTTTCAGGGAATTTTCCTTATGTGATCAGATGCTGGTAAAGCTATGATAATAAGTAATATACTTCCCCTCTACCTCACCTTTTATCTGAAGATTACTGAAAGCTTTGCAAACATTAATTAAGCCAACCTCATAACACTCAGGGAAAAAGGAATTATCCATCGCAGAAAACTAAAACTGAGTTTAAAGGCACATTACTGACATGTTTAGAGTCAGCCAATCAGCAACAGAATTCTGATTGTTCTGTCCCCACCTTCACCCCCACCTCCCCTGTGGGCTTAAGAAACTCTTACTTATCCTCCAAGACTCTGCTCAGGCATCACCTCTAGAAAGCTCTCCTTGCCTCCACCTTCCAAGTTGAATTAGGTGCATCCCTTCCTGTTGCACTCTCAACATCCTCTGCAGGTATCTTCATCTATACACACCCTATTCTTCATAATAACATATATTAATGAAGTGTCCATATGGGTGGGTCTGACTGGCAAATCCATTTCTTCCCTTTTTTTTTTTTTCATTTGTGACGGAGGGTATAAGAACAGGAAGTGCTGGTATCATAATTATTTTGAATCTATATTAATTTATATAAAAGAGCAAAACATTTGTCAACTCCAGTGCTTTAGTTGTTGTTAGTAGTTATTGTGATGTCTTACAGTTATATGATGTGCCAATAGTGTATTACAATATCATATTTGTGCCTTCCCATCCTATGACACAACTCTGAAGACAGTGAGAGCATCTGATAATCTTAAATAACTTTTGGGTAACAAGAAAGGTGTGTTTGTTTAGAAGCTAAATCTGCTTCCTATATTATGTAAAAATTAAATGATAATTGCATACAAAGCATTTAGCACAGCATGTAACACACAGTAAACACGAATAAATTCAGCTGTTGTGTAATAACATCAATAATTACTATTTATTGAGTGCATATTATGTGTTAGGAACTATGCCAAGTGCTTTATATGTACCCTCTTAATATTCCTGGCAACCCTATAAGGTATTGCTTTAATCTCTATTTTGCAGATGAAGGAACTGAAGTATATGGAATTTTTATAATTTTCACTGCATAGCTAGTAAGTAGAAAATTAAGCTTGTCTGCCTCCAGAGTTCAGCAAACTATACTGCCTCTATTTAAGCAAACAAGCAGCATTTATTAAGTGTCTTTGTGGCCACCATGTGCTATTATGGGATGAAATGAACTCTCTGCTCTCCAGCAACTCATACTCTTGCTGGAAAAGACAGGCAAGATACCCAAGTGGAAGATGTGAGGTGATAAGACTGTATGTGATGAATTATCAAACTAAACAATTTAAAGCAAATATGCTCTAGATTTAAAGGAGGAAGAGACTGAGGAGCTGCAAGTCAGAAGAGACCTCAGAAGTTAAGGTGCACCTGGAATTATTAGTATGGTCTGCATGCTCTGCTGTGATTTTGTGGGTGAGGGATGCATTGGAAATACCTGGCTGAGGGGAGGGGTGCTTTTTCAAACTTCACTCTCACCCACCCTTGACTCGCATAGTTGAAAAATTGCTGTTGAAGTTTACCAGGGGTATTGAAGAAAATATTTGAGGGTTGTCCCATCAAAAAGTGGGCAAAGGATATGAACAGACAGTTCTCAAAGAAGACATTTATGCAGCCAAAAAACACATGAAAAAATGCTCATCATCACTGGCCATCAGAGAAATGCAAATCAAAACCACAATGAGATACCATCTCACACCAGTTAGAATAGCGATCATTAAAAAGTCAGGAAACAACAGGTGCTGGAGAGGTTGTGGAGAAATAGGAACACTTTTGCACTGTTGGTGGGACTGTAAACTAGGTCAACCATTGTGGAAGTCAGTGTGGCGATTCCTCAGGGATCTAGAACTAGAAATACCATTTGACCCAGCCATCCCATTACTGGATATATACCCAAAGGATTATAAATCATGCTGCTATAAAGACACATGCACATGTATGTTTATTGCGGCACTGCTCACAACAGCAAAGACTTGGAACCAACCCAAATGTCCAACAACGATAGACTGGATTAAGAAAATGTGGCACATATACACCATGGAATACTATGCAGCCATAAAAAATGATGAGTTCATGTCCTTTGTAGGGACATGGATGAAGCTGGAAACCATCATTCTCAGCAAACTATCACAAGGACAAAAATCCAAACACCACAAGTTTTCACTCATAGGTGGGAATTGAACAATGAGAACACATGGACACAGGAAGGGGAACATCACACACTGGGGACTGTTGTGGGGTGTGGGAAGTGGGGGGTGCAGCACACCAACATGGCACATGTATACATATGTAACAAACCTGCACGTTGTGCACATGTACCCTAAAACTTAAAGTATAGTAATAATAAAATTTAAAAAAAAAAAAGAAAATATTTGAGGGTTGTAACTGTCTGGATTTTGTAGTCAGATTGCCTGAGCTGAAATTTTGGCCATGTCTCATTTCTTTTTTAACCTCAGTTTTCTGATCAATAAGATGGAAAATAATAATTACAGTATGAGGAGATGTTTGTAAAACACCTAGCATGGTGCCTGGTGTGTAACATGTTTAATGTGTGATAATTTAGTAATGTTTCCCTGGCTTGATGAGGGATAAAAAAAGATGGGACTCACTAATCTAGGATGTTTGTCAGATAGCAAACCGCATTGAGCTCTCTGCAGAGTGTATGTGGGAATGATGGCAGAGAAGGGCTGTAGGAGGAGCTGACAAGCACTACATTTCCAATCTGTCTTGGGACCTAAACCTTCCAGCCTGAAGACATCTTAGCATCTTAGCCTGACAGTATTTCTTAAACAGCTCTGACTCCAAATGGCCACTCAAACATAATGGAATGATATGATTTCATACAACATGCTCTTGGGACTGGTAGAATTCCTTTAATGGACAAAATGTTAAAGAAAAAAGTTACTGATATTGGCTAAAACAAAAGAACAGTTTACTGCAGAATATAGAATAATCTTTCATAGATTTTAGGAAGCAACAATAAGCAGTTATGAACAACGTGGACTCAATGGGAAGACTACACTTGAATTCACTCACTTCAGCATTCTCTGAAGGCATCAGTTTCCCCATCTATTAAATGGAGAAGAAAATAGTACCGAAAGCTGCACAGAAGGCAGTTATGAGGATTAAATGAGATAGTGAATATAAAACACATAACACAGTTCCAGGCATACAGTCAGCACTCAGTTCTGTTCACTACTCTTTCTATTCAAGGTGCTGTGCTAAGATTTTGGGTAATAGAGATGAAAAATATCTAAGCATTCTCACAACAGTTTTTAGTAGTTATTTCTTACATATCTACATACTCTTTGGGAACAGATTTCTGGTCTAATCCATTCTATTCATCTCCATATATCCAGAGTCAGGCACAGAACTTGAAGTACAGTCTGTGCTTAACAGTTGTGACTTGAATAAATAAATAGGGATGCACGGCACCCAACCATCATGCTTAAGAAACTCATAGGAATGAAGACAGGCACCTAGACAAGTAATTATAATGCAGTGTAATTGTTGTGGTCAAGAGGCTGTGGATTCATAGAAGGCCTGGGCGACTAGCATCATTGTCCTGGAAGCAAACCAGACCAAGTCCAGGTCTGCCCTGCTTCAGGCTGGTAGGTAATAAGGAACATGTGTGGAATATCACCAACATCTGACTACGGTCACTTTGAGTTCTCTAGTTGAGCCTCTGTCATTTGGCTAATGTGCCCCGCACATCAGTGGAGTGACCTGTGACCCGCCTGGCTCCAAGAGCAGCTCTGTGAGCCTGTTTTGCTAGATTTCTGCCTGGAGCACTTGGCCATAACAAAGTGGAGAGGAGAGAAATCAATAACAACCTGAACTGAACGCACAGTTAAAACATCAGCCTTCAACTCTGGAATCACACCCTTGTCACTGGCATCCAAAGTGCTTTTGCTCCACGACCTGCTCAGGGTCTAGTAAGCAAACATGAAGGAGGAAATGGAAATAGCTCCAGGGCACAGACAGGGAAATGTGCTATTTGATAAACGGGAACCCACCAAGGGACAGCTTCCTAGCGTATAGGATAGAAATAACGCAGCTGGTTCAAATGCTGGTTGAGGATCTTCCGGTATGTTTCTCAACCTCTCTGAGCCTCTGGTTTCTTGTTTGGAAAGGATGATGATGATGATAATCTTACCCAAGAGTGGTATGACTCTTTTGGCAATTCAGTAAGCATTAATGCATGTGACATACCCAACACACGAACTGACTCTTGGCTGGTGCTCAATAAATGGTAGCTTATTACAACTGCTTTTCTGCTGCTCATAAGGAGGTAAGCAAGACCAAATGCAGTGAAAATAATTTATTAGCCACAGAAATAAAAGCTACAGCAATTTAGGTTTCCCACAGTTCTGTTAAAAGAATGCTTACCAAGCACCTGTCATGTGCCACCTGCTATGTTAAGGACTGGGACCCAAAAATGAGTTAAGACAAGGACCCTTCTTTCCAAAGGTCTTGCTCTGTCTCTCAGGCTGGAATGCACTGGTGCTATCATGGCTCACTGCAACTTTGACTTTATGGACTCAAGTGATCCTACTGTCTCAGCCTCCCAAGTAGGTGGGACTACAGGCATGTGCTACCATGCCTGGCTAATTTTTATATTTTATTTTTTGTAGAGGGGGGTCTCACTATATTGCACAGGCTAGTCTTGAACTTCTGCCCTCAAACTATCTTCTTGCCTTGGCCTCCCAAAGTGCTGGGATTACAGGTGTGAGCCACTGATCCTGGCAACAATTTTAATATAATTATTAAAAGGAATTTCACAGAAAAGAGAAACGTACAGGTGGCAGAACACACAGAGAGGGGCAACCAGCTCAACACAGAGAAGATGGAAGCTGGTTTGAGTCTGAAGGACTTCATGGAGCCAGCCCCATGACGGAAAGTGGAAGGGGCACTCCAGCTGTGGGCTGTAGGGACCTGAGTCTGGAGGGGGGTGGGCAGGCACCAGATGACAAAAGCCTTGTGGGCCCACTTTTGAAGGAATTTACCCTGAGAAGCCAGGAGCCACTGAAGATTTTTAAGTAGGAACAGATTTACATTTGGATATATCACTTTGGCTTTAGGGTGGAATGAAAGTTATTATTTCGCAGGAGTATTTAGGGCGCTATTTCTTCATTCCTTTCCAACTCAAGCAAATACACAAGTCTATTGCCTCTTCTGGATGGCTCAAGTCAGTAATTATACAACCAAACATAACTTTTGGACCCAGAATCATTCCCCTAATGGATAAAATGTTTTAAGCAGGCATCTCTCAGCTCTCATGCTCCATTTCCCCAGAGTCCTTATCCCTTGATCACATACTTGTCTACTTCTGCTGCACCTGCAAGAGTGAGTTCATTACTCTCCATTATACATCTCCATTCAGTCATAGGCAACCTCAGTGGGAATGTCACAGGTCCCAGGCCTTTTGGTGGCTGCTACAGTTAAGATAATTTAAGTCCTTCTAATCTCAAGAGGTGATCTTGCTAGCCAAGAGATGTCTCTTTATGGAACATCTCTATCCCGAGAGAGAGAGAGAGAGAGAGAGAGAGATACACGCACACACACACGCACACGCACACGTACTCTGCCCCATCTAAACCATCCTAGTGGATCTTCCTAGTTATTGCCAAAATATTAAGCTACTTGAATCATATGTCATTGCAGTACAATTAAGAATTTAATTATCCTCAGGTATAAAAAGAGTTAATAAGGCCAATAATTAAACTCTTGGTAGAAAACACATAGAGGTTTCAGAAGAATAAGTAGATTTTGTTAAAAGTGTGTCATACATACTATTTTATGACAAATGTATCTTCTTTTTTAAGTTCCAAATCAGTGAAGATTTCTTATATGCTATAGAAAATGTGATATCAAATTTTAAAAGGTTGCTTGGAAACACAGATGTAAATAATAACTATATTTCACATTCATACATTATAAGATGTAGTTTTCATATGATATCTGAATGCTTTCACATCCCTTAGCTAGACTGAGCACAGGAAATCCACGTCTAGGCAGTGTGTGTTTTCACACCTTGTACTAGGGTAATTTTCAGAGTCATTACCATTCTGGTAAGAAAGTTTCATAAGGGCTTTAACAACATATGAGAAATAAGGAAAATCTATCTCTTTTTCCTTATTCCTCTGAGCCTCAAAGTTAAGCCTGCATTTGAAGAACAGTGCCCAGAACATGGAAGGAGCAACATAAACCACATATTATGAGAAGTGGCCAAAACCCTTTGTGTTAGCATCTGACTTATTATTGGTAACATCTAAATTGCCACTCTAAATTATAAATAGTTAAACTGTGCGCAATGTGAAATAATCAAGACCATGCTTTGTTTCTTAACATCTACTACACTGGCTCAAATACTTTTATCCAGATTCTTCCAACATGACACACATTACATTTAGAACTTGGTTTTCTCATCAGATTTGTAGAGAAGATAGTTAATGCATATTTCACACCACAGGAAGTGATTGGGGTAAACTTAATATCATAGGAGCTTTTGGATTTAGACAAAGAAACCCATTAGTTTTCTCAAACAGCCATCAGAGAGACTTTAATTAAGTCACCCTGACACACGTATGCCTTCACTGGATCACGATTTCTCATGCTGGTAACTTTCAAGCCCGGAAAATAGTCACTTTGGGAAAGTGTTTAGACTGGTTGTTTTGGACAGAACTTTTTAGACTCTCCATTTATTATCATCTGGTGATTAAAGAATTAAGATGGTGATACCTAAACATGTTCTTTTAAAGGAAAATAAGTATCATTAAATCATTAATAATTATTTGAGGAAAAAGGAGCCAATGGCATCTCTTGAAAAGCCCTCATTATACTTTCTGTAATGTGCTCCTAGCTTAAATGCAGAAAGATGTCTTTGCTAACTTTAACAGCTCATGAAAAGTTACTGTACCACATACTTAGTAGTCTTTGATGTATTTTGCTGATGATAAAGAATCAAATTCCATTCTTCCCACAAAAATTTATTCCAGTATTTTTAGGTTTAAAAAAGATGTCTGGGAAAAAAAAGAGAAAATGTCTCTAAATTAGCATTTGAGATGAATTACCATTTTCCAGAGATATCACTCCCTACAATATTCCACCCCAAATAAACCGGAGGAAGAACTGTGGCTAAATGCCTAAGCCAGGAGTGAGTGGGGAGTGGGAAAAGGCTCCAGGCAGGTGAAAAGAACCAAGTTAAAGTCTGACCAAGACTGAGGTAAAAAACACATAATTCCTTCTGATAACACAGCAGCCATTATTATAGCTAGTGTTGTGCTCAGTACTTTCCCTGAGTAATTTCACTAATCCTTGTAAGTACTTCATGAGGTGATTTCTATTATTTATACTTTCAAATGAGAAAACAGGCTCAGAGAGGTTAAGTTCTCAAAGTCTCACAGACAGCAAGTTCTTGTCTTAGCTTCTGGAACAGTGAATGCTACCACAACACCGTGGGCCCTACGGCACCATAAAAAAGCTTGGCAGAAGGTGGGGCACGGTGGCTCATGTCTGTAATCCTAGCACTTTGGGAGGCCAAGGCGGGAGAATCACTTGAGGTCAGGAGTTCAAGACCAGCCTGGCCAATATGGTGAAACCCCGTCTCTACTAAAAATACAAAAATTGGCCAGGTGAGGTGGCGCATGCCTGTTGTCCCAGCTACTTGGGAGGCTGAGGCAGGAGAATCACTTGAACCTGGGAGGCAGAGGTTGCAGTGAGCCGAGACCACACCATTGCACTCCAGCCTGGGCATAGAAGTGTCTCAAAAAAAAAAAAAAAAAAAAAAAAAAAGGCTCAGCAGAGACAGTAACAGCACAGAATATCTTAGGTAGCATTAGTTTCTCCTTGCATATATCCAGACTTCACTAAATGTTTAGGCCAAGAAGAAAATCACAAAACAGGAATACTTGAGAATATATAAAAGTGGCTCATATCCTTCAAAATTTGAACCCCGAGGCCCACCCCTTGTCTCCTGTTTGGGGAGTCCAAAGAATTCACAGACACATCAGTCATTTAGTCTGTAAGCAAATTTCATTTAATTCATACTTTGCCTGGGGTTAGCAGTCCATGGTCAGAAATGCTCCTGGTACCATATTCCTAAGACTGTCACTGACTCTGCAGCTGGTTCTTCCGTGGTATAGAGTGAATCTTTCAGTAGGAAGTGTTTCTAACAAGTTCCCATGCTGCTGAAGCCAACACAAGGCAAGAAGCTTTGAAATGGCTGATGTTTAAATTATGACTCCAATACACACATACATACACACACACACACACACCTATATATATATATTTAGTAGACTTTTTTAGAGCAGTTTTAAGTTCACAGAAAAATTGAGTACAAGCTATAGAGATTTCCCATACACTCCCTGCTTCCACACATGCACAGCCTCCCCATTATCAACAACCTCCACCACAGTGGTTCATTTGTTGCAATCGATGAACCTCTGTTGACACATCATTATCACCCAAAGTCCATAGTTTACATTAGGGTTCACTCTTCGCATTGCACATTCCAGGGTTTGGACAAATGTAGCATGACACGTATCTACCACTATAGAATCATATACAGTAGTTCCACCACCCTAAAAATGATCTGTGCCTAACCTATTCACTCCTCCCTCTCCCCAAACCCTGGCAACTGCTGATCTTTTGACTGTCTCTATAGCTTTTTCCAGAGCCATATATTTTTTAAAACAATTACCTGAGGTCCTCTGGGGAAAAATATCTTATTAGAGATTCACAATAAGCATTGTCATTTGAAAGGATCTGAAAACTCTAGCAGTTAACAATTGGTTTTCTTTTTTTTTTTTGAAACAGGGTCTTACTCCGTCACCCAGGTTGGAGTGCAGTGGCACACTCACAGCTCACTACAGTCTCCACCTCCCAGGCTCAAGCAATCCTCCCACCCCAGCCTCCCGAGTAGCTGGGACTACAGGTGCATGCCACCATACCCAGCTAATTTTTTTATTTTTTGTAGAGACAGTGTTTCGCTATGTTGCCCAGGCTGGTCTTGAACTCCTGAACTCAAACAATCCATCTGCCCTGGACTCCCAAAGTCCCAAAGAGCCACCATGCAAGTCCTAAGAACTGGTTGTAATTTTGTTGTAGCCAATGCTTCCCAAGAAATTCCTGGGGGTGAAATGGTTAACAGTTTTATTCCCTCCTCTTCTCACTATCTCCACTGTCACTCCCCAGCTCAGACCAACCTCATCTCTCACTGTCCACTGTCATGGCCTCCAAATCTGGTCTCTCCATTCACCTCCTGCTTATTTTGCATCCTTTTTCCTCTTAACACAGAGTGATCTCTTTAGAATATAAACTGGCTTTCCACTGCATTAAGGTAAAATCCAAACTTCTTCCCATGATCTATAAGGTCCCATACCATCTGACGCTGGGCCCACACCATCTGACATTGGGCCCACATCTCCAACTTTGACTATTATTTTCTTCCTCATTAACTGCAAGTCTCACTGGCCTCCTCCCAGCTCTTTCCTGTTCCTGGAGATTTGCTGTCGCATCTGCCTAGTGTTTCTGAGACTTTTTACAGCTCTTAATCCTTCAGGTGTCAGCTTAACTATCTTATCGTCAGGCAAAGATTTGTTGTTACTTTTTTTTTTTTTTGAGACAGTCTCTCACTCTGCCTCTCACTGAGGCTGAGGCTGAATTGCTCACTTTAACCTCTGCTTCTCAGGTTCAAGTGATTCTCCTGCCTCAGCCTCCCAAGTAGGTGGGAAAGCAGGTATGTGCCACCATGCCTGGCTAATTTTTGTATTTTTAGTAGAGGCAGGGTTTTGCCATGTTGGCCAGGCTGGTCTTGAACTCCTGGCCTCAAGCAATCTGCCTGCCACAGCCTCCCAAAGTGCTGGGATTACAGGCCAGGCAAAGCTTTTGTAACCACCTAAAGCACAGCCTTCTCCCTTGCCCTTCTCGATGTTACTCCCTATCACAGTAGTTTTCAAAATGTGGTCCTGAAACCAACAGCATCAGGAACATCTGGGAACTTGTTAGGAATGCAAGTTCTCAGGCCCCACCCTAGACCTGCTGAATCAGAAACTCTGGGGTGTGGCAAATCCATGTGTATTAGCGAGCCCTTCAGGTGATTCTGATACAGGCTAAAGTTTGCGCAGTTCTATGGCAGTATCCTGTTTATTTCCTACATGTTTATCGTAAACTATAATCGTTTCTTCTTATTATTTAATGCATTTAGCTTTTCTCACTAGATTTGCAAGCACTGTAAGGATCAGCAATCATTGTTGAGGTACAAGACAATATCTGAGGCTGATTAATATTTGCTGAATGAATGAATGACACGGAACATATCTTGGAAAATACTGCTTTACATAGGATCTATATTAGCTTATGGCTAAACTTCAATTGCCGTGAACCACCTTACCAATATTTCTTTCCATTCATTTATTCAACATTTATTGACATTTGTAATATGCTAGGCACTATCCCAAATGCTATAAATACAAACACGAGCAAGTCCTTGTTCTGAAAGAACTTATAGACAAGTGAGATAAAAACAGGTAAATACACAATTATTTTATTCTGATAAGTGTTATTATAAGGCCTAGAAAAACCTACCAAAAGCATTAAAAATACACATGTACTTGTCTTTGACCTAGTTATTCTAGTTCTAAAAATTAATTCTAAAAAAAACCCAGGGATGCATACACAGATTTATCAAAACGATGTTTGTCAGCATTATTTATACTAGCAAAAAAAATCAGAAATAACCTAAATGTAAAAGAATGGAGAATTTGGCTGGGTGTAGTGGCTCATGCCTGTAATCCTAGCATTTTGGGAGGCCGAGGCAGGCAGATCACTTGAGGTCAGCAGTTCGAGACCAGCCTGGCCAACACTGTGAAACCCCGTCTCTACTAAAAATACAAAAATTAGCCAGACTTGGTAGTGCACACCTGTAATCCTAGATACTCGGGAGAGGCTGAGGCAGGAGAATCATTTGAACCAGGCAGGCGGAGGTTGCAGTAAGCCAAGATCACACCACTGCACTCCAGAGTGGGTGACAGAGTGAGATTCCGTCTCAAAAAAAAAAAAAAAAAAAAAAAAAGAATGAAGAATTCAAAAATTATCCTAGACATAGGCCAGAACACTAAAAAATTATTGCAATTAAAAAGAATCCTTAATGATGTGAAATTGTTCACAATATACTACTAAGTAAGAAACTATATAATATAGTTTTTAATTCTATATAAAAATAAATGTATTGGGAAAATGTATTAAAAATGTTAACAGAAATTACTAGGTGTTATGATAACAGGTAATTTAACGTTTCTACTTTTATGCTTCTCTTTATTTCCAAATGTTTTGCAATGCACTATGATACTAAGAGAAAAATGTTAAGGGCAACAAGTCAGAGTTGAGGGAGCAAGTAAATCTGCTATGTGGGTTGGGAGGTATCATCACACAGGAGGTGTCGTCTGAGTTGGGACTTGAGAATGCATGGGAGCTGTTATCAGGAAGAGTTGTCAGTAAAGCAGGATTCAGGGAAGTGCTGAGTGCCTTTGGGGGCCAAGAAATAGCTCAATGAGGCTCAAGCAGTTGCAGAGGGGATTTGCAGCTCTCCACCAAATTTAGTTTACAGAGAACAACCTATTTACTTTCTCAAAAGAAAACAAAGTTTCATATGGACAGTGACATTCTTTTTTAATAAAAATCAGAATTTACCTATGCATGATGGGCCATCCATGCTCTACCAGGCGCATTTTGAAAAGCCACAGACAGCTTTCCTGCTGCATAAAGAATAATACAAATAAATAGAAATTATAACGTTTCACTTTGGCTGATTATGAGATAACATCAGATGGGAGAAGGAGGAGGATATATCTTTATATCTTAGACCCAAAGCTCCCAGTGCCAGAATTCTAGAAGCAGGCCTAATCCCATGGTCTGGCTCTCATCAGTGGCCAAGAAGACTGAATGAGCAGTGAAATACCTCTTTGATGCTTGTTCATCACTCAGCACCAGCACAGAAATTTCAAAGGCCATGTTAAGTGACTTGACAATCTGGAGACAGATGATAAAGTCTCAGCTTCTGATCACTAAACACAATAAATCCCTTGCGAACAGGTGCTACTAATTTTTTTTAAAAAGATCCATCTTGTGCTGTCAGTCATTTTCAGATCAACTACAAGTGAGCCTGTTGACCTGAGGTATACTCAGATTGGGCTAAAATTCAGTAAAATATGAGTTTTGAGAAGGGTACATGTGATTTAAATAGATGGGATTGCCCCAGAGATGCCTTCCATAAGAGTTACAAACTCAAGTGTCAATAGAGCAGTGGCAGATGATGAGCTGTCTACCAATATCAGTCCTGCCCTTCTTGAACAATAAGAAAGTTTTAGCTGGGCACATGATTAGGTAGAACATTTGCTAGCTTCTCTTGCTATGACAGACATGTGAGAAACTCTCCAAACAATTTTTCTATTTTTCTTCGGTATATAGCTAATCTGTGTTTCCCAATCCCCTACTGCAGTTAAAAGAGGGCATGTGACTAATTTCTAGCCAATGCAATGTGGGTGGGGATGAGATACCCAATATCCTGGCCCATAAAAAGTATTCCATGCTCTTTTCACTTGCAGGAGAAGAGAAAGGAATCCACAAACCTAGAGGAGATCAGAATGTGTGTACCTTCAGAGATACAAATTCTATTTCAAAAAAGCCACCTTACTGAAACACTTGCACATGTACACAGAGAATCATTTTCATGGGTGTTCGTTGCAGCATTGCTTATACTAGCAGAAAATTGGAAACAACCTGAATTACATCTACAGGAAAATGGTAAAGCAAATTCTGGAATATCCATACTAAAAAACATAATGCAACCTTTAAAAAGGTTCTATATGGGCTATCATGGAAAGATCTCCAAGACCTATTGCTGATCATAAAAGCAAGCTGCAGGATAATTTATCCCCTAAAACAGCAAACATTTATAGATGATTTATATGTCAGGTACTGTTTAGGGAGTGGGGATAAAGTAGTGAACCACAGACAAAAATCCTTGCCTATATAAAACTTATGAGCACGTAGAATGTATATTTTAACATCCTAAAATTATATATTAGTTAATAACTTGTGCATATATATATATATATATATATATATATATATATATATATATATATATACTTATTTCTAAATACAGAGAGAAGATCCAGAATGAGACCCACCAAATTGTTCATGGTGGTAATCTCTAGAGAGGGGAGTGGGGTCAAAGAGGGGATAACAACTTCTTTGTCTATATTCTTCTGTGTTTCCATGTTTATAGGAATGCATTTGTGAATTTGAATTCTTTTTAGTGGAATGCATTCCACTAATGCAACCAAAAAAACTGCTCTTCAGGGGCCTAGCCATGGAACTCCTCAAGGGCCACCACCATAGAAGGATGAACAATGTGTCCATTTTCCTCAACTGGTGTCTTCATCTGCTTTATTTATTTATGCCCATAAGTGAGGTTTCTTTTGATCAAAGGTTTCTGTGGCCACAAACGTTTAAGAACAGCCAACATTGCTCATAATCAGAAAATTAAAATACACAAAGGAATATGGATAGAAATCTCACTTGGGCATAACACTAGACTAATCCCATATCATTTAAGGGTTTTGATTGTCTAGCTCTTTTGTTACTAAGGCTCCTCTGCCTGTAAAGGACAAGACTTAAGCTTTTCAGATGTCAAATAGCACTCAATAAACATCACAAATGAGTTCTGATGTGGAAAATGCATTCTCAAATAGAAGAGTTTTTGTTTTATTTTAAAATTGTGTTAGCACCTAAAAGACCCCTGTAATAGTGAAGATAAAGTTAATCCAGTAATGCATTTACCATAGTAAACCTCCAGAACAGAAACACATTACTTCCCTCTGATGGAATTTTAAATCAGCGTAAGGGATTAAACAGTATTATCCAGCTGATGGAGAGCAACTTGGAAATTATGGGAAATGGCCATACTGCACAGCCGTTTGCATTCCAGGAATTCCGTTTGGACCTTCCATGATTAATATGTCTGATATAATTCTGGGGAGCTGGTGTCTTTTCTCCTTTGACTTTTTCATTTCATCTTTTCAAAAGGCTTGCACAAAGCAGAGCCAGGCTTCATGCTCTTCTTTCAGACTGTGGTTTATTATGATCTAGATTTGAATTAAAGCAGTGGAAATGGCCTCACAATTCTACAACTCCACTTTTAGTATTTGGTTGAAACAGAATGCATTCTCCATTGTATTAGCACATGCACAAAATAATGAATTATGGCCTATCTACAAAAATAAACATTGTCTGACAGATTATAGGGTGAGTGGATTGGATGATACAGAGCCTGAAGGTAATCAAAGTTCATTCCTTCTTTTGCCACCTTCCCTTTCAGCTTGCTTTCCTGAGCAGCAGGGTTTGAGAATTCTCTTTTTTTCTGCATGTTTAAATTAAGGCACAACTCAACAGCTATTTCAGATAAAATAGTCTCCCAATTTATCCATCTTTTCCTGAAATATTTTTACCGTAGAGGCCAATTTTAATTGCCATGAGTTTTTTGTTTAATGTGAATTATTTATATAATTAATCTGTTTTTCTTAGCACTTATTGACAGCCTACCTTCACAGACCATCTCTTCTCCCAAATACCTCATCCTTGTTTCTCCTATCTGTAAACATTCCCACTGCAACCCGTCGTAATAGGTAATGTCAGCCACAGAAGGAAATAAAATATCTTAGTATCCATAAGCAAAACAAGAGAGAAAACTGTATATTTTGTAGGCTTGGTGAATTCTGTGGACTTATAAGCCTTGGACTAATCCTAATCAAAATTAAATCTTTCTTTGATTTTCCTGGATACTCTAACTTGATGAATGACTTAACTGCTTTGTGTTTTAGTTTTCTGAAAATTGATAGGATAAGATGATAATACCTAACTCATGGGGTTAAGAGTTGAGTGAGATGATATAGGAAGCTATTTCACATATAATGCCTGGCATGTGGAAAGCATTTAGTAAATGGGAGCTGTTATTGCTGTCATTATTATCATCACTATCAGCAATGTGTTTTTGTCTTAAACTGACCAAAAAATAATAAAGTCTGAGAACCAGGACCAAATGTCAGAAAGGTTCTTGGATCCAGATTTTAGTAAAAATCAAGGAAAACCTCTCTAATGATGAGAGAGACAAAAATAAAGTGGGGGGTTGTATACTAACATTATTACTGAGTTTACAGAAAAAAAAAATGGATGTAAGAGAATATTATAAGGCTGGGTGTGGTGACTCATGCCTATAATCCCAGCACTTTGGGAGGCCAAGGTGGGCGGATCACCTGAGGTCTGGAGTTCGAGACCAGCCTGGCCAACACGGCAAAACCCCGTCTCTACTAAAAGTACAAAAATTAGCTGGGCGTGGTGGTGCATGCCAGTAGCCCCAGCTACTTGGGAGGCTGAGGCAGGATAATCGCTTGAGCCTGGGAGATAGAGGCTGCAGTGAGCTGAGATCATGCCACTGCACTCCAGCCTGGGAGATAGAGCAAGACTCTGTCTCAAAAAAAAAAAAAAAAGAAAAGAGAGAGAATATTATGAATAACTGTATGCCAACAAATTGGGTAACCTAGATTAACTGGACAAATTCCTAGAAACACAGACATTACCAAAACTGACTTAAGGAGAAATAGAAAATCCAAGTAGACCTGTATCAAGCAAGGAAATGAAATCAGTAATTAGAAATCTTCCAGAGAAAAGCCCAAGACTAGATGTCTTCACAGGTGAATTCTAAACATTTAAAGAAGAATTAACACCAATCCTTCTCAAACTCTTTCAAAAAAACGAAAACAAAAACACAGAAACAAAAACACTTTCTTAATTACTTTATGAGACCAGCATTACTTTGATACTAAAGTCAGACAGACAACACAAGCAAAGAAAACTATAAACTAACACATTTTATGAATACCGATGTAAAAATTCTCAACAAAATACTAGGAAACCAAGCTCAACAGCATATTGAAAGGATTATACACCCTGAGCAAGTGAAATTTATCCCAGGATTGCAAAAGTGGTAAAATGTATGAAAATCAATGAGTGTAATATACCACATTAATAGAATAAAGGAAAAAACTATGTGATTGTCTCAATTGACAAAGAAAAAGCATTTGACAAAATCTAACAAATATCCTTTCATGATAAAACCCTCAATACATTAGAAATAGAAGGGAACATCCTCAATTTGATAAAAGCCATGTAGCCCCTAAGATTAGGAACAAGACAAAGATGTCTGCTTTTATCACTTATATTCAACAAAGATGCCTGCTTTTATCACTTATATTCAACATAATACTGAAAGACCTAGCCAGAGCAATTAGGCAGGAAAAATAAATAAAAGGCACCTAAATTAGAAAGGAAGAAGTAAAACTATCTTCGCCTGCAGATGATATGATCTTACATTTAAAAACCTTAAGAACACAAACACACACACGCAAATCTGTCATAGCTAATAAAATGAATTCAGCAAAGTTGCAGAATACAAATCAACAACAAAAGAAGTTGTATTTTTATGAACTGGCAATGAACACTCTGAGAAGGAAGTTTATAAAAACGCTGTTTACAATAGCATAAAAAATAATAAAATGCTTAGGAATAAATTTAACTAAGGAGGTACAAGACTTGTACACTGAAAACTACAAAACATTGCTTAAAGAAATGCAAGACAAAAATAAATGGAAACACATTCAGTGTTCATGGATGGGAAGACTTAATACTGTTAAGATGATAATGCTGCCCCAATGTGGTATATCTGTTCAAAGTGACACACAGATTCAATGCGATCCCTATCAAAATCCTAATGGTGTTTCTTGAAGAAATGTGAAAACTGATTCTAAAATTCATATGGAATTTCAGAGGACCAAGAATACAAGAATAGTCAATTCATCTTGAAAAAGAATAAAGTTGGAGAACTCACATTTCCTAATTTCAAAACTTACTTACTGCAAAGCTATATTAATCAAAATGATGTGGTACAGGGATAACAACGGTTTTATATAACAATATAGAATTGAGAGCCCAGAAATAAACCATCATCTCTATGGTCAAATGATTTTCTACAAGGGTGTCAAGACCATTCATTGAGGAAAGAATACTCTCCTCAACAAATGGTGCTAGGAAAAAACCAGACATCCACATTCAAAAGAATGAAGTTGGGCCCTACCCAAATATGAACAAGAAATTAACTCAAAATAAACTACAAACTTCAATTTAAGAGCTGAAACTATAAAACTGTTGCAAGAAAATATAATGGCAAATGTGTATTATGTCAGACTTGGCAATAGTTTTAATATGACACCAAAAGCACAGGTAACAATAACAAAAATATATAAAATTGGACTTCACCGAAATAAAAATTTCTGTATATCAAAAGACACTATCAAGAGAGTGAAAATACAACCCACAGAATAGGAAAAAAATTTGCAAATCATACATTTGGTAAGGTTTTAATATCCAGAGTAAAAAAATAACTCTTATAACTCAGCAACAAAAAGACAAACAACCCAAATAAAAAATGGGCAAAGGAATTGAATACATGTTTTCTTATAAAAGATATACAAATGGCCAATATGTACATGAAAAGATGCTCAACATTATTAATTATTAGGAAAATGCAAAAAATACCACACTAAGATACTACTTCACATCTACTAAGATGGCTATAATTTTTAAAAAGGAAAATAAGTATTGTCAAGGATGTGGAAAAATTGGAATCCCCACACATTGCTGGAGGAATGTAAAATAATGCAGCTTCCATCCTCAAAAAGTTATACACAGAGTTAGGATATGGCCCAGCAATTCCACTCCTAGGCATGCACCCCAAATAATTGAAAACAGTGACTCAAATAGATACTTATATACCAATGTTCATGCAGCATTATTCACAATAACCAAAAGGTAGAAACACCTAAGTGCTCATCAACAGAAGAACGAATAAATAAAATGTGGCGCATATGTAAATGAAATATTATCCAGCCATAAAAAGGAATGAAGTTCTAATACATGGTAAACATGGATGAACCTCAAAAACATTCTAAGTGAATGAAGTTACACACAAAAAGACAATTATTGTATGATTCTACTTGAATGAAATATCTAGAATAGGCAAACTCATAGAGATAGAATATATAGTAGAGGTTACCAGAGACTACGGAAAGGGAGAAATGAGAAGTTATCACTTAATGGGTGCAGTTTCTGTTTGGGGTAATGAGTATTTTTGGAAATAATAGTGATAATTGCACAACACTGTGAATGTAATTAACGCCACTAAATATGCACTTAAAAGTGGTTAAAATGGTAAATTTTATGTTATATATATTTTACCACAGTAAAAAGGTAAATTAAGAAGTCTATTATAAACATCATTGTTGGTATTTGTAATGGCACCATACTATGACATATACAAAACCATTCAGTTTTTCTATGCACAATTGAGAAAAGGAAAAGTGGCCCTTATAAACTGGAACTTAAACATATTTTTGGCCAGATAGCTGGAACAGGCAAAATGTAATTGGTTAAATTGTTTGTATCAGTTCTACCTAAACATATTAATCCATGTCTATAAATGTTTAAAAAGATGAATGCACTGTTACGAGGGAGTAAAATTCCCAGCACTGAAGATACTAATAAAAAATTGTATGGTAGCCCAGCAGGGAAATTGTAGAAGGAATTTATACACATGGCAGGATGTTAGACAAGATGAGGGTCTCAAAGGCCTTCCACTTTTTAAGAGTTTAAAGTTCTATGAGAATTGTGTACAACTAGAAACTTTCCCAAGGTTAAATAATTTTCCTTTTTCCAGAGGCAATGGAAAATGGCAATTTGGGTTCCGGCATTCCTGATAAAAATTTACTGTTTTTGTCTGGTGATGTCTCTACTGAAAATATTCTTTGCTATAAATCTCTTGCCTGAAATTTCCATAGAGCTTATCAGGTTTCATAAAGCAGATCACCTTAAAATGGCTTTTAAAAATTCAGAGTGGAACAGATTCCTCTATGAAATTGTAATATGGAAAATAAAGTTCTCCTAACCCTAATTGTCTTCACAAAAGTGTTTCCAAGGAGAACACCCAGGGATATGACATAAGTAGCAAGGCCATAATAAAGATGTGAGTGTAATTTCCACACATGCTGTCAACCTCAAATATGCAGCCTACTCAGAGGCAATTTGGGTAAAAATTGTCATAGCTATTGCCAGTGTTGTCACTTCTTGATTTTTTCATCCTAGGGACTGTGTCTTATTCATTCTTGGTCTCACTGATGGTGCCACAGTACCATCTTTCAGGCATTCAGTCAAAGTCTCCTGAGTTGAATTTTCACTCTTCCTAGATTTCCTTTGTTATCATGAGTTTTTGATAACAAAGGGGATTGTGAAGAGAGGAGATGGGTCAGTGACTCAAATTTATAAAGCAGGGGTAAATGACACAGTCATCAGAATACATAACTGGGCCACAGAAGGCACATTTAAGTAACAATTTGGAAAACTCAGAATCTAATCAACACATCTGTGCTTTATATTCTCTACCTGCTGTCTTGCCTAAAATGAAGATGCTTAAATCCCCATTAGTGGGGCAGGGCTGCCCATCTATGGAAAAACAGAGCCGGACTCCAATCTGCTTTGTGTGTCTTCAGAACAGCTGCCAGCTGATCAGAAAACATTTAATGTGGGGGATCCAGTGTGGGGCAGGACGAACACAGCTGGTTGACACAGCAAGCAGTTAGAAACAACAACAACAAAAATGCCATTTGATTCGTGGGCTGAGCCAATCCATCTGGGAAATCTCTCAAAGAAAGTAGCTGGAAATGACATTTCAGCTCTGATTTTCCTAGTCAAGTCTGCACCTTAAGCCAAAGACTCAAAAATAGCACTCCATCTAGATGGTGTAAATACAGTGACACTTGAGTCTCTTCACTTTGGTCTTTTAAGAGTGATTTTAACTCTTTCAGAGATAACATGGGAGACTGAAGGGGCTGGATGCTGGAAACGAGACTGTCCACATCTTGTTTCCAGAAAACGGATTACTCTGCTGGCGGTTGATTCTTGGATTTCCTATCATAAGATCTGAACCCTGGGCCTGATGTACAGTGAGGCGTGCGATTGGCATTTGCAGAAGCCTTGACATCCCACACTGCAGTTCATGATTGGTGTCAGACAAAGAAGCATATTAAATGACTGCCGGCCCGGTGATAAGGCCGGTTATTACCGAGGTGTAGTTTCCCCAGGTCTAAAGACTCATAGTGGTACCACTGAAGCATGCTGGGGAGAAGATAAAATTTAATTAATAATTTCCTTAGAGGCCAACAGTCTATTACAACTATGTTCCTTGCTGTTCTCTGCAATGACCTTATAGCTCATAAACATTATAGATGCATGCTTGGTCATAGTCTCATCCCCGGGTTTAATTTATGGCTCAGGTTGCACTGTATAATTAGCTAGTCTGAAATGAAGGTTTTCAGATGCTGAAAACATTTAAAATAGACTCTGCATAAGGTAGGGTGTGCCTCCCTCCCTTCTGTTCAGTTTAATGCCTGTAATACATAGTATAATTTCCTGGATTAATAATACACATATGATGAAGCTGGGGATGAAGGTGAAGTCTGCTTTTGAGTTACATATAGGGGACGAATTTTGGTTTATGTTAGATTTGGAGATTCTGGACACTAAATTAGGTAGCTTTTTCTGTATTCCATAGAGTAGCTCAAACTAAGTGTTTTTAGAAACACAAAATTGCAAAACAATGATGTAACGTGGGGTTAAATTTTTCTCCACTACAGTAAAACACTTGTCTCTTTGTATGTGACTACAATTTATTTTGGACCTATTATGTGGCCAACACTTTGTAGAGCTGTGGTAGAAACAAACAAACAAAAAGCCTCAATTATCTCTGGGATTAGTGCCTCAAAATCAGAGAAGTAGTACATGTTTAATAAATATCTGTTGACTGCATGAGTCAATGAATTGATTGTGGGATATTTTATACATTAAATTATTTTTTAAAATGGGCAATGTTTATATGGTCAGAAAAGTAATAATAAAGTAGATTAAAAATGATAGTTGCTATCTTCCTAAAATTGAGAACCAATGTTTGCTGAATGCCTCCATCCAGGCCCTGCGGTACGAGGAATACAGAGAATACAGCAGTGAATACTGATTCAGACTTTAAAGGCTGACTGTCCGATAGCAAAAATGACTCCCTCAACTTGCCAGAGTCAAGCCCAAACTCTAAGTATTACATTTTCTACAATTATCTTTGGCATATTCCCCTTTCCAGCCTATGCTATATCCAAATTAGATGGCCTTTGTTCTAGTGCCTGGCTAGAATAGAGTCTGAAATACCTGTTGAATATATAACATAAAAAGAAAACTAATCACTAGGAATCCCTGTGCTGTTTGCTGTTGGTGACCCCTCTAGTTAGATATTCTTCCTCAGTTGCTAGTCCATGAGTCCATGACAATTCTCTCTGCCTGTTCTTCAAGATCTACTTCAAACACCATCTAGAATATAGAAGTGCATTGTTGGTATTTGTGTCATTTGATCACTCAGTCACTCATTTGTATATATCTCACACCTCTTTCTAAAATGGCTAAGGCATCACATGATAGAACTGCATAGAAGTAGAAGAATATCTATGCTTTGTAAAGATACAGTTTTCAGTGCCAAAGCAAGCCACTTTATTCCAATTCTCATCCACATTTCAGATGATGATGATGATATTAGTTAATACAGTTAACACTATTGACAGAGCATTTATTATTTGCTCTGGACTATGTTAACTTCTTCCTATATAATTATTTCACTTACATACATAATGCCACCATGATATATATATATATATATATATATATATATATATATATATATATAAAATTATTCTCATGATATAAGTGAAGAAACTAAAACAGACACACTAAGTAAACCTGCCCCAAATCACATCATAACAGTAGTGTGAGTATATCAACCCAGGTCTAAGTCTAAATCTTTGCTCTTAGCCACTACATTATCCTGCCTCTCTCATAATTCTCAGCTAATGACAAACAGATGTGAAAGTGTGTATATTGAACTGTATCCTTGAAGAAGGCAACTTGAATATTCCATTTGCCTGTCTGATGCCAACTACCCAAATTTGTGTAGTCACTCGACCACCTGGATATTTAGTTTACGTTAACACAAAAATCTGGATATTTGAAAAACTGTGGTGCTCAAGCAAGCATTTCAAATCTCATCTAAATTCCTAGCTTCATATAATACTCAGGCAAGGCATTTTTCATGAAAACAGAACATAAGAGATCTGAGCCAAGAAAAAAAAAAAAGAGACAAAATTTTAGACAAAAAGTATGTATTGCTTAATCAATACCAGTTAAAAAAATGAATTTTCCTGTAGCCCACCACCACATTTCACAGAATCATAGTTGTCCCAATGTGATACTTTATGAAAACAGTATATTTCAGGATATTACAACCAGACTAAATCCAACTGAAAGTCAAATAAAGGAAGAAAGACGCTAGGAATGAAATAAATTTTGGATCAATCCAGATTCATCACCAACTGATATGATTGGGATCTGTGTCACCACCAAATCTCATGTTGAATTGCAATCCGTAAAGTTGGAGGTGGGGCCTGGTGAGAGGTGATAGGATCATGGGGGCAGTTTCTGTTGAATGGTTTAACACCATTTCCCTTGGTACTGTTGTCACGATAATAAGCTCTTTTGAGATCTGGTTGTTTGAAAGTGTGTAGCACCTCCCCCACCCATGCTCCAGCGATTTGAATACTGGCTCCCCCTTTGCCCTCCACCATGACTGCAAGTTTCCTGAGGCCTCCCCAGGAGCTGAGGAGATGCTAGCATCACGCTTCCTGTACAGGCTGCAGAACTGTGAGCCAGTTAAACCTCATTTGTTTATAAATTACCCAGTCTCAGGTATTTATTTATAGCAATGCAGGAACGATCTATTACATTATCCATTGTCATAATTGAACCAGAACTCTCCTATAGCTATTGAGGATCTTAACATGTTGTTTCAAATAAAAATAAAGACACCATTCTGAACCAACTTTACATTTAGAATATGCCAGTTTCTATATTAATCCAGGAAACTCAGCATCTAAGTTTCCCCTAAAGCATCTGTTCCTGGGGTGTACCCACAAATTTATAAAGTTATAAAGCCCAAAGAGATGGCCCACATGAATTCACTTCAGCCTGAGTGATGACTACCTGATTCCTCCAGTTATTAGCAAATTTTTCTGTTTGCTCTCTCTTGATTTTTAATTCTTGCACAAGTCACATCATACATTGCAAAAGATATAATATTCTTCAAACCTAATACCTCAGTACTCAATAGTTGTTTTTTTCCTTGCCCATTTTTTTTTAAAGAGTTGATCCATAGTTTTTCAAGCTATGCTTCATGTATGGTGACCACCTTGGTTTCTGTACTTTTCTTGGTTATTTCAATATGTAAAATGCTTGAACTTAATTGAAGGGTGAGAGAGAGAAGGGAGAGGAAACAGAAGAAAGAAGGAAAAAGAAAGAAGAGAGGAGAGACAGAGAGAAACAGAGGGGGAAGGAAGGGAGGCAGAAAAGGAGAGAGAGAAAGAAAGGGGAATGTGGCTAGAAATGTGGATACAAAAGTGTCATAGAATCGATATGGAAAAAAAATCCTTTAACCTGCTATCACATATACTGGCTCAAATTCTGCTTTTAGTGAATTTCCCCCAAATATGAAAAAGTAAGTAGGTATAGGAAGAGTTTTTAAGAATATTGAAAAACTAAAAACCATAAAATGTCTGAGAATAAAGGATAGGTTAAACAAATTAAGATTAATGTCATGGGCTTTATAAACTACTGAAAATCACATGATATAAGAGTATTTGATGACATATTTGTGATCTATTCCTAATACAGAAGCATGCATGGTCATAGTCTCATCCCCAGGTTTAATTTATGGCCCAGGTTACACTGCATAATCAGCTGGACTAAAATGAAGATTTTCAGATGCTGTGAACATTACAAATTCTGCATAAGTTACAGTGTGGTATAGCATAAGCCCTGATTTCATTTAAAAGATATATGCATTGAATAAAGAGATAATAATTTCCACAAAAATGCTCATAAAACCTACCTTTGGGTGCTTTAAGCATCTGTCTGGACCCGTCATTTTCTCTTTAGTTGATTAAATAGCATAAGCAATTTAAAATTTTTCTACTTATGCTTTTTCCATTTTCCAAAGTCCATAC
Source organism: Homo sapiens (assembly GCF_000001405.40). NCBI lineage: Eukaryota > Metazoa > Chordata > Mammalia > Primates > Hominidae > Homo > Homo sapiens. The sequence goes on from NC_000005.10 coordinate 146,783,545, forward strand.
AACTTTTATAATCAGTTAAACATCATGCTATTTTAAAAAATAATTAATGTCAGAGGCTGTAAATTTTTTTAAGACACTCCTCTAACACAAAGCACCCAAAAGGAACTTCTTGGAGGTGGATGCTTGTCTTTGCAATGGTCAACAGATACAAGATTGCAGACAACGCATTTGTAAGTCTCTGGCAGATGTTATGAGAATTTCCCATGAACCAGAAATGAAGCCTCTGAGGAACAAGGACCTGAATCACTAAATATCAATTCCATCCCAGAGCACTGCAGAAATTTTGCTACTGTCTGATCGGGGGATAGGAAGAGCAAGAAGGCTGTGCTTCTGCCTCGGAGAATGATGTTATTAACTTATCACATTAGAATATCAAGGAAGATCAGAGTATGTATATATCTTTGTGTGTGTACCTGTCTATATGAGCTTAGCACGTAATTCCCAGACCTACAAAACTTGGCACACAAAGGAAGCAGAAGCACCGAAATAGTGAAGGATTGACTGGAGTACCCCAAAATCTTATGCAATAAAAAGAACCTCAGCTGGTTAACATTTTACCCTTTCTCTCTTTAATTGTGAATAATAACATTGAATGTTTCAGCCTATTTTTCCCCAAAATGGTCTCCAACTTCTAGTTTTTTCTGTAAATAGCATGCATGATATGCAGAAGTTTTCTCAATAAACAGCTATAGAAACAAAACAAAACAAAAATTTAGTCACAACTAAAAGTGTGAGAAGAGGACAGCCTCAGTCCTCTAAATGACTGGATTGGATTCTTACATATTTAAAAAATAAATGTAGCCATTATTTTAAAGTCAAGGATGTTTCCATATTACCTACAAAATAGATGTGATGAAGAAATATATTGGCACTTATAACACTGATGGGAAAATTGATTCAACACAACATTCCTTGGGATTATTAGATATTTTTACCCCACTACAATCTTATTTATCCTATTCACACCTTCAGTAAATATCATACCTTCTCGTAATAGTAAATCAGAATGAATATCAATTAGAACTGGAATTCTAAATATATACAATCTGTAATGTATATAATATATACAGTCTGTAGGTTGCTCTTAAATATACTATTAAAAGTGCTAGTTCAAGTTGGTAAACATATCAATACAATTTCTTTTTGTGTGGCTCTCAGCTCTTCAGAAGGATGACTGCCGTGTTGATTTTAAAACATTGTCCATTTTTCTAGTTAAATAAATATTTCCACATCAGAAAAGAAGGTTCTATTATGTTAACTTTACAGAATATCAGTTTCCTGGTGAGTTCAGAATCAGACATACTTGACTTGTCAGAATCATGAAATTGTAGGATTAGACATACGTAAGTTAGATACCAATTTACAAAGGAATAAAATAGATGGAGTATCAACTTTTGGAATATATGATTGCGAAGAAAAAAGCAAACAGAAAATAAGAGTCACCCAAGAGTGCATCACACCCATGGAGAATAAAGTACAATCGTAGCACTCCATTTTACTTAGCAATAAATAAAAAGTAAATTGTTTAAATATTATTTATTGCTTTTCAACTTTATGAGATAACTCATTGAATAAACCCTCAACCTTAATAGTGGTTACAAAAGAGAATATAAACACAATCAACCCTGATGATATAAAAGGAGAAGAGTATAGAAAAGGAGGAAGGAAGTGGGAGCTAACTTTCTCATCTGACACAGTGGGAAGTCAAGATAAAATAGCTGGCCAGGCACCGTGTCTCATGCCTGTAACCCAAGCACTCTAGGAGGCCGAGGCAGGCAGATTGCTTGAGCCCAGGAGCTCAAGACCAGCTTGGGCAACATAGTGAAACGCTGTCTCTACAAAAAAATACAAAAATTAGCTGGGCATGGTAGTGCACACCTGTAATCCCTGGTACTTGGGAGGCTGAGGTAGGAGGATCACTTGAGACCAGGAGGTGGAGGCTACAGTGAGCTTTGATTGTACCACTGCACTCCAGCCTGGGCAACAGAGTGAGACCCTGTCTCAAAAACAAACAAACAAAAAACAAAAACAACTTAATAGCTTAAGTTGGTGAAACAAGAAATAGAAGTTTCATGGTGACATTTAAACTTACAAAGGCAAGCAACGGAACTAAAATAATAACTAGCAAAAATCAGAATGGAGTAATTTTTAAAAAGTCAGATAAGTTTTGGAAGTAAATCCTTATTTTTCACAGTTGAGGAGTTAATAGAAATATATTAAATGTATATATCAAGAAATAGTGATATATGCATGTTCTCACTGATACATGGGAGCTAAAAAAGTTGATCTCATGGAGGTAGATAGTAGAGTGGCAGTTGCCAGTGGTTGGGAAGGGCATAGGGGAGGGGAGAATAAAGAGAAGTAGATTAATGAGTACAAAAATATAGTCAGATAGAAGAAATAAGTTCTAGTGTTCGATAGCACAGTAGGGTGACTACAGTTATCAATAATTTGTTATATATTTAAAAATAGCTAAGAGAGAAGATTTGGTATCTTCTCAACATGAAGGAATAATAAAATCTTTGAGGTGATGGATATCCCAAGTTACCCTGATATGACGATTACACATTGTATGCATGTATCAAAATATCACATGTACCCCATAAATATGAACAATTACTATATATCAATAAAACTATAATAAATGGAAGGAAAAAAAGAATCACTCAAGATATGTAGAATACTATTGAGAAGGACTCATTTCAAAGGTCATTTCTGAGCTTTAGGATAACTCTAGACACTGTCCCCCACCCCACTTTTCTGTGATACACACATCAGGAAACACTACTTTAAATGCATTATCATGGTTCACCCAGGTTGCCAAGTGAAGCGCTCCTGGAGACAGTCAGCCAGGTGCCAATTATGAAGTTGGCACCTTCCTGATTATCCCACATCCTGATAAGGAAGACAGATGCTGCCACTTCCTGAAACCCCTGGCTGTACCCACCTGGGCCTCCTGACAACCACCAACTATCACTGAAGTGCTGTTCATGGGGGCCAGGTTACTTCCAGACAATTTAAGATATTTACATTGCCCTCTGCTTTCTCCGAGCTCTTAATTTATAACTCCTTTCTGTTTGTGTATAAACCCTTTTAGTCCTTTGCCCATATTAATCCTTCTTGGTATCATTTGGAAAGAGATGATATTGGTTTGATTCTCTCTGGCTCTCCCCACCTCCCAAACTGGTAGGGAAAAAAATGAAGACACATTTGGGTATGATGTAATCTAGCAAGTTCCTTTTTATTACAGATCAATCTTTAGAGAAAGATGAAGTTGCCTGAAAGCAATAAAAAGGTGAGGCCTGTAAAATTTTCTTTAATTCAATCATCTCAGGAAGCTTTTCTTTATAACGAAGCTAACAACAACTCTTGTTATCTATGCTTATAATAATTCCAGTCAAATGCATAAGGCTTTAGGGTTTATCTTGTTCATTTTTCATAATAAATCCCTATTTTACAGATAAAAAACTGAAGCATAGAGAGGTTAAGGATTTTCCTATGGCCATGTGGATCTTTAGTAGCAGATGTGGGATTTTAACTTTAGATTTGTCAAAAATCAAACACACACACAAAAATAGTGCTTACAACTGCCCTATTATTTTCCTTGCCATGGCCTTTGTTGAGGGTTGCAAACTCAGATGCCAGGCAGATAATCTCCATGAGGGGAGCAGGCTGGAAGGGAAATATGGCAACCTGGAATACTCCTACATGATCTACAGGGTGATCACTATTGGCCAACTCCAGCTAACTGTGGTCATGAAGGTTGTATGTACACACTGTGGCCACAGGATCAGATTTGTCAAGGGAAGATAGACGCATAGATTTTTTTAACATTTAAAAATTGTATGTTTTTCAAATGTTGGCAGCTCATTTAAAATATTTTAACTGGCTGAACAAAAGCCTTCTGTAGGGAGAGTTCAGATCTTGGGCCACCAGAGCTCTTCCTTCCTTTCCTCTCTTTTCTCTTCTCTCCTCTCCTCTCTTTTCTCCTCCCCTCTCGCCTCTCCCCTCTCCCTTCTCTCTTGTCTTCTCTTTCTTCTTGAGATGGAGTCTCACTGTGTCACCCAGGCTGGAGTGCAATGGGGTGATCTCAGCTCACTGCAACCTTCACCTCCCAGATTGAAGTGATTATCTTGCCTCAGCCTCCTGAGTACCTGGGACTACAGGCGCACACCACTATGCCTGGCTAAGTTTTGTATTTTTAGTAAAGATGGGGTTTCACCATGTTGGTCAGGCTAGTCTCGAACTCCTGACCTCAGGTGATCCACCCACCTCGGACTCCCAAAGTGCTGGGATTACAGGCGTGAGCCACCATGTCCAGCCTATTCTTTCTTTCTTTAGGCTCAAATCTTAACAGGTGTGATAATAACATGCTGCTTCAATGAAACACTGCATCTTTGGCTTTTAAATTTCTCTGTCTCTCTACTATAGTTAAGGAGTTGAGTGACAAACTGTCTTTCTCATGTCTGCTTTCGGAGGCAAAGTCAAAACTGAGCAGGCTTGGTGGAAGCCTGATTTTCCAGCTGGAAATGAGAATCCCTCCCTCTGCCTCCTCCATGCCGTTGTGTGAGCATTTGCGCAAGTTGCCTCCAGTTTTCTCATGTGGTTCGGATATATAGTGTCTTCTACTGAGTCTAGCTATATTTTGTCTTGGAGGAGGAAGAAAAATAAATCCATATTAGACTCCAAAAAATATAGCTTGGCTTCAATCTCCTCTGCCCAAATTTTGGGGATAATGGTAAATTCCACACTCACCAGCCACATTTTTTTTTTCTTTAGCACACCCTGGTTTAAAGAAAAAAAAAAAGGGAACAGTAACCTCCAAAGTAGGGAGGTTTAGGTTGGACAGAGCAACCTACAATCTTAACATTAAGTAATTTGGAAAATTACTTTAAAAATCTACGGTGGGGCTGGGCACAGTGGCTCACGCCTCCCAGCACGTTTGGGAGGCCGAGGTGGGCAGACCACCTGAGGCCAGGAGTTCAAGACCAGCCCAGCCAACAAGACGAAACCCCGTCGCTACTGAAAATACAAATATTAGCCAGGCGTGGTGGCACATGCCTGTAATCCCAGCTACTTGGGAGGCTGAGGCAAGAGAATCCCTTGAACCCAGGAGGCAGATGTTGCAGTGGTCCGAGATCGTGCATCATTGCATTTCAGCCTGGGTGACAGAGAAAGGCTCTATCTCAACAACACAACAACAAAAATTATGGTGAAGGGTACTCTTTAAATATAATCCTTTGGGTTACACTTAAACACTCTGCAACAACAGAAACAAAACTCTCTGCCTTGGGGTTTTGACTCACACAGACCTCTAAATTCATTCATCCCTCTCAGTTTCTTCCAGAGACCTTAGCATCAGCAAATCAATCTTGCTCACTGTTGTACCCCAGCACCTGGCACAAACATTGGTAAATATTTGTTGAATAAATGAATAAAATGAAAAAAGGGCTCAGATCAGTTGGGACCAAGATAACATCTATGCAGTGATTTATTCATTCAAATATGTTGGAATGAACTCAGGTCCCTAAGGAGCGTGCTCCAGGAACAAAAGGTGGCCACTGTTGAGATCACTGTGAGGCTTTTGTTTTGCTCTGTAGGGTGGAATCCGAGGGCAACAGCTGATTGTGTCTTGACAAAAGAGTAGGAAGGAGGATTTCTGAGTGAATATGTGGGTGGAAAGGCAAGAGAAAATAGCCAAAAACTTGGGGGGCAAATGGGTAAGACTTGGAAAAGAAAAAAGATGTTGGGTATGTGACATAACCCTTTCAGTCTCTCCATAAAACTTTCAGTAACATGTTCACTATCATCAATGATTTTAGAATCGAGTAACATGGTCAGTATTAATAATATAGCTATCACACATGCTTAACATAGAGAAGCAAATATAAATACAAAAATACAACAAAATCTCTGGAGCAGTCTCAGGTGAAACAGCCAAAGAAATAAAACCTTATACTTCAACATGAAAATCACTCAAAGGTACTTGGAAAACACTGTTGATTTACGCAAAGACATTTACTGAGCATTTACTATGGGCCTGGTGATGTTATGGCAAACGAGACAGTCACGGGCATGGTCCCTGCCCTCAAGGAGAGAGAGGCAATACATCTAAGAAATAGGACTGTATCAGTGATGGGGGCTCTGAAGGGAATAAAGAGGAGGTGGTATAAGATAATGATAATGGATTGGATTTAATATTAAATAGGTGGTCAGGGCTGACCTCTCTGAGGAGTGACAACTGAGCCTAAATGTGAAGGATAAAAAGAGGCCAGACATAAGAATGTCTGTGGATAAACCTTTCCAAGAAGAAAAAAGAGAGATGTGCAAATGGCCGGATGTAGCAGATGGTCAGGCAGGCAGGGGCCAGATCAGGGAGACAGAGAACATAACTAGGTCTGCAAGGATAATGGGTAGAGGGGCAAAGTCTCAGGGAAGTTGACTGAAATGCAGAGGTAAAATGTAATCACAACACAAGGGCCTTGACATGCCCCATCTCTGGGGGAAATGTTCTCAAACACTAGCCCTCCAGGGGGCAGGAAATAATGTAGTCTAGTTAATTGCCCTTCGGGACTGCTCTGTGTATGAATGTAAAACTAGGGATTATCCAGCCCCAGATGCAAATGAAAAGGGCACAGTGGGTCACTGGTTTTCCTGAAGACTCTTCTCACTTGAGATAGAAGTGAAAATGCCAATTACCCTCATTTCTGTGGAAGGGAACTGGGAGAGGAGAAACACCAGAGAATTGTGCTTCCGATTGGCTTGAAAATCATAACAACCACCCCAAAATTAAGAGAACAGGAAAAAAGCCCTTTGCTCTTGGGACCTTAAGTGATTAGAAAGAGTTGTTATTTGGCTGATTTTCACACTTCATTAGCATATGCATGATTTAATGAGGGAACATGCTGGGGGGTTGGCACGGGTGAGGGCAGCTCTTTCTACCCACAGACTAGAAACTGGGGCAGTAGCATTGGGAGCGCTTAATTACGCCAGCAAGGCAACAGAGATCAGTGCACAAAGGGGGATGAGCATATGATGGGGACTTGGAACAAGTACAGAAAGATACCCCAATGTCTGTCTTCACCTCTGAGCACACCTGCACTGAGCCATAAGGCAGCATTGCCTAATATCCCTCCCAAGGATAAATCCACCTGTGATAAACCTCACACTCTCCTTCTCTTGCCTCAGACACCTAGATTTTCTTCTCTGAAAATCCTACAATGGCAGGAAGAGTGAAGCATTATATTATGATTGTCCACATTCCATTTAGCATTGAAGAGAGGAGGAAGAAAGTGGGACAGTGTTTTGGGGACAGAATAAAATGAACTCTTGAGGAACAGTCAGACCTTCACATTTTGATTCTGAACTATACTAGAGTAGATACACAAGTGGAGCAGAAAGGACAAAAGTCACAACGAATGCTGCAAATCGGTCAATGTTTAGGCTTTCTTTTTCTCCATTCAAAACACCCCAAAGGAAGATGAAAAAGAAGAAAAGGCAAAGAGAGACTACCTGCAAAGGAAGGACTCAACTATGCCCAGTCACCTATCTTTTAGGACCTGTTTCTCTTCTTGTGTCCTTTGGAAGGACATATATATAACACAAAAAGTAAGGAGTAGAATGGTGCGGGTCTTTTTGAAAAGTGGCAGGGAATTTTACAACTGTCACACCATATCTTACATTAGCACCACGTTCAATGTCATGTAACTATCATACTGCTATATCTTAGTCCATTGGTCTATTCTGAGATATTTTGCCAATCTTTTTCTGCTTCTTATAACTCTTCAGTGTCGATCCCCCCTTTTTCTATTAAGAAAATATTATTTTTCATTTTTCAGCCCAATCTGCTGTGTGTATGTGTGTGTGGTGTGTGCACGTGTGCGTGTGCGTCTGTACAGCTTACAGGTCTGAGCTAATCGGCATATTCCCTGCCCCTGGCAACAGTGATTGGTTCAGGCATTAAAAAAAAATCCAACTTGGACCAATGAGAGTTAGGTCCAGATTTTCACTGCTACATTGAGAAGATTCCAACATATTACTTTTACTCTCTTCACACTCACTCCTCAAAGCTCTCCAAACATGTCAAACATTTTCATACCTCTGTGCTTTTGCAGATGCTATTCCACTTCTTGAATGAATGAAGAAATCCATCAGTTCTTCCATATGTTATTTTGGCTTGAATCCCCAAACCTTATGCTACCATATTTAATTTAATAAGCACACACTCACTACTATTTATTATACCAGACCACTGGCTGTCTCCCAGCAACCCATTCTTTTCTTCTTCTGCCAATAATCCCCTGACTTTCCCTTTTCTTATCCTCAAGTAAAATTTGAGAGGTGCTGATTCCTCCCGCCACATGAGAGTGAGGCCCTAATTGGCCTAATTCATCAGGTATTCCATCTTACTGAATATAGGGAATAGATTTAGGGATAAGCACAGAATCCAAACAGAGCTAATGAGATGTTAGGAGATGTTTCCTAAGGATTTAAGGAGATGTGGAACCCTGCACTATGGCAGACAATTTTCTACCACAAAGAGGCTGGAACAGCTGCTGGGTCTACATAGAAAGCAGAGGACAGAGACTATTGAACCCGGGTAACATAGCTAGGCTCTAGATCAAGCCTTACTCAAAACTAGTGTTCTTTAGATCTTTTAAGGTGTGTGTGCCTAATTTTTGATTAAGCAAACTTTTAGTAGGATTTTTTAGCCTGTTTAACCAAAAAATTACTGGCCAATACAGTGACAAAATGTTAAATAGTTCAAGAGCCCAGCCAAAAACCTGTGGGAAATTATAAACTATCTTCTGAGTCAATGCCACATTGTTCATGCATTCATCCATTCAACATGTAGTTGACCACCACTTACTATATGCCAAGTACTGTCCTAGGATGTTGGGGGTATAACAATGAACAAAACAAACAAGTGTCCTTTTGGAACACAGATTCTGGTGGAGGGAGATATGTAACAAACAATAAATAAGTAAGGTATGTAGTATGTTAGAAGGTGACTATGGGAAAGCAGAATAGGTTAATGCAGATCAGAAAGACTAAAGGTGCAAGGGGACTTCAATTTCAAATAGGTACTCAAGAAAGGCTTCATTGAAAAGGCAACACTTAAAGCCTTGAAGAAGTAAGGAAATTGGCTATGCAGATGTCTGGAAGAAGAGCAGCCCAGGTAGAAGAAACTGCCAATGTTAAGGCCTTCCAGACTGGGGAGTTCAAGCAGCAGCAAGAAGGCTACGGGACAGGCAGAAAGCAGTAGGAAGTGAGGTTAGAGAATAAACCGAAGGACAGATGATGTAGGGTCTTGCAGGCCATCATAAGGGCCCTTTTTTACACTGGGTGAGGTGGGGAGTCATTGAAAGATTTTGAACAGAAGAGTGACATGATCTGACCTAATTTTTTATAGGAATCAATATGGCTACTGTGTGGAGAAGAGATTTGGGGGTCAGTGGTAAAAGTGGAAGCAGGGAACTGCTACAACAAAGTATGTTAGATACTTGCTTGCATCAGCACGGTAGCAGTGGAAGTGATGAAAAAAGATTAGATTCTGGGTAGATTTTAAAAATAGAGCCAATATGATTTTCTGATGCATTGCATGTGGAGTGTGAATAAAGAATGACTGCAAGGTTTTTGGCCTGAAGAACTAGAAGGATGAAGTTGTTATCAACTGAGGAAGGGACAGTTGTAGGTGAAAAAGGTTTGTTCAGGAGATGATCAGAAGTTCAGTCGGAAATATTAAGTCTGCGATATTTTATTAGACATCCAAATAGAAATTTTGAAGCAGCAGTTGCATAAGAAAATATGGAATTCAGGACTGGACTAAAAACATGAATTTGGGAGTTGCTGACATATAGATACTATTTCAAGTCACAAGAGTAGATGAAATAATAAAGGGAGAATTGTACATAACAGTGGATCCAAGTACTAATTCATTTAAGTCACTTATTTAATCCCTATAACCTTGTTAAGTCAGTTATTTTTATCCTAATTTTATAATTAAGGAAATCGAGGCTCATGGATATTAAGATCACACAACAGCTTGGCCAAGAGCATATATGCTCACCTGTGTATAAAGACATAAATAGCTGAGCTGGGACTGAAACCCAGGCAGTCTGACTCTAGAGTCTGTGTTCCTGTCACCCAATATTGCTGCCTATTCCCAAGTGGAATTTTTAAATCAGCTGATACATGTTTAGGGTTAGAAATAACGAGAATATAAAGGACCTAAGTGTGGGCAACAGAGCCAAAAGAATTCAGTTCCCTGTCTCTAGGGTTATACTGAGCTGCAACTACAATGCTGAGACAAAGGTAAGGGCTGAGGTATCTAAACACAGGGAGACCAGTTTGCTCAGTGGTCCCCACACTTAGTCAAATTCACTAGATGCAGCTTTCTAGGTGACCATGCCTAGACATTGATTCAGTAGATATTGAGTAGAGCTCAGAAATTTCATTTTGACACATATCTCAGGAAATTCTGAACACTTTTTGAGAAATGCTATTATAGAAAATAGACTTAGTTTGACTCTGTCCAATAACTCTCCATTCCCAAAGACCAATAAAACTGGCCTTTATCTTAACTTCACAAGTAGGATTGTGACTGAAGAAAGATATCTGTACATGGCTAATGACTACAGCTTAGCTTGAAAAAATAGTTTGATACTCTTTATGAAGGTCTTCAGTCTTCTTTTGTCAATCATAATCAATTTCCTACTTGAACTGAAATTGATCTTTTATTTAGTCATGTTAGTAAATAAAATAACCTTGAACTTTGCAGAGCAAATGGTAGGTTTGCACTAATTACTCATTAAAAGTGTGTGAGAAATTTACATCTTTCATTTGTCAGTGGAGACCCAAGCTTATTCAGATAACTTTACCTAATGATAGTTGCAATCAAAGTGTAATAGCTTTTAACTTATGCTAACAAGTGACTGTACTTACAATAAACTGCCACAGCAGAGCTATAAATAAAATGGGTTGCTATGAATGCCCACTTCCTTTTTAGTTCTGACTAAATAGACAAGTACAGAGCTTCTCAGAAATGCGCATATAACTCCAATAATTCTACAGTTGAGTAAGCCCAGAAAAACATGGAAAAAAGAGCTGATATTTGCTTGAATCAAAGGTAACTGCACAAATGATTTCCTTCAATACCAAATGCCATTACCAACTGTTTGCACATCCTATTGCTTTATGTTTTTACTTAGGGTTTTGAAAACAGCCCTTATGAATTGTCTCTATTTTAGTGATATGACTAATCATATTAATATGGTGCAGTTTTATTTTAAGAATTTTTCCAGAACCACTGACTCATCCAATTTATTGGTTCCACTGGGAGGCAATCAAATGGGACTGGACTAATTTCTAAAACAGGAAAATCAAGACAATGAATAGTGGTGTCTTCCTCCTGCCCCCTATTTTTTTTGTGCAAAATGAAAATATGGGGGCAAAGGAGAAATAATTTCTTAATCACATTATATTAAATACTTACATAGTAATTTAGTGTAGTGATTAAGAAAATGGGTTCTTAGTTGCAATGGTCATAAGCAGGTTATCAGTTTCTTTATCTATAAAATGGGGCTGGTGAAAGTACCCACCTCATAAGGACTGTTAAGGAGATTAGATAGGCTCCCACTTCTGACTATATATCCAAAGGAAATAAAATCACTATCTTGAAGAGACATGTAAACTTCCATATTAATTGCAGCATTATTCACAATAGATAAGATATAGAAACAACTTAAGTGTCTATCAACAGATTAATTAATAAAGAAAATGTGGTATACATGCAAAACAAATATTATTCAGCCTTAAAAAAGGAAACCCTCCCATTTGTGACCACATGGAAGAACCTAATACATTACGCCAAATGAAATGAACCACACACAGAAAGACAATACTGCATGATCTCACTTATATGGGAAATCTAAAAAAGTTGAACTCATAGAAACAGAGTAGAAGGGTGATTACCAGGGGTTGAGGAGTGAGGTATTGGGGAGCTGTTGGCCTAATAAATTCCAGAGACCTAATATACAACATGGTGACTACAGTTAGTAATGTGTTATATACTTGAAATTTGCTAAGAGTAGATGTTATTCTCATCACATATGCATAAAACAAAACAGAAAAAACCACAAAACATAAGCATGTGAGGTGATAGATAATTAGCTTGATTGTGGACTCATTTCACTAGGTATAGTATATCAAAACGTCAGGTTGTGCAACTTAAATACAAACTGTTTTGTCAATTACATCTCAAAGCTGAAAAAGTCAATTTGCATGACTAAAAAACAGAAGATTCGATGGAATAACGCACATAAAATGACCAGCGTAGTATCTGGCACATGATAAAAATTCTTTGTCATCATTAGTGACTATCATTTTTATCTATGCACATTTTTATCTATGCTCAACTGGGTATAAACATGCCTGCATATAGACTATCCCTACGTTTTGTCACTATTGAACTCAGCTGCCTAGTTACTGCCTAATAAGCATCTCTGTTTCACCTCTTCCACTGTAGGCATTCAGTGTGTTTTGCTGCTGACTCAAACAATGGTACACCAACAGAAAACACCCATATAAAAATGTCATTGCAATGATATGACATCTGAGGAGGATTTTAAAATGCAGAAGCATCTTGTTCTTATCCAATTGGGCAATGAAAAAAACCAATGAGAATCTTCATGATAGGTCCACGTATGCTCCCATACGTCCAAGTGTATACATATCTGTTCCTCGAGTCATCACAAACAGAAGTCATCACAAAGGACAGAGTGAGCAGAACTTAAAACCACCCACCTGGCCTATGTGCAATGCACTTTTTACCAAGTGATAAGTTTAAGTTATTATGAGATAGAACACCACTTCCGTGGCATCTGACTGCTCTAGTAGCTACAAATGGCAAACATTCTTCTTCTTTTAATTTACACTCAGAGTGCCCACAATGTGCCATATACTGTGCCAAGGGCCCTGGGGAAAGGTAAGGCAAATAAGGCAAAATCTCTGAGCTAAAGATAAGCCACAGAATATACTATTTCTCCAACAAATACCTAGCAGAGGACCTGGCTCATAATTGATGATTAATAAGGATTTGCTGAATGAACAAATGTACAATTTGGGAAGTCCTATTTACAAACCTAGGGTAGAAAAGGAAACTAATCAAGCCAAATTTAGGAAGTCTCTGTTCCCAGTTACCACTGCCAAAAACCATTATTTGTTTTGTAGCTTCTAAGTCTGGCCAGGAAGCACATGTTTTTTCTTAGTTAGGCCATTGATTCTTAGTGAGTACCATCACCTTGTGATTATTGCTACTAATTAAGGTCCACTCTGAACTTTTATAGTAGTGAGAGTGACTTAATATACCACCATTGGCAATGAGAAGAATCAGCTTGATTTCACCAGCCTGTAACTCCATCCCATAAGTTCTCCACCTTTTAAGGTGGAAGTAGTAAATCAGCTAAACTCTTCCAAAAGTTTTGGGAGTTGACCCTTTGTTAGCTCTCAACGTTCCCACTGTGTTCTCACAGCATGAAAGTGCTCCACCATGATCCATACAATAACAGGCACTGTTCCACTGAAATCAACAGAATAAAGGGCTCTTACATACCCCTTTTCAGCTATTATTTGTAGTGTGACTACAATCATGCTTTAGCTTTCAAGACACTCAAGAACTTAAGGATGCACCATCTGTGGATTCTTGTCATCACATAAAGCAAATAATTGCTTTTTAAAAAATCCATGCCACTATTGCTAATTTTTTCATTTCCACAAGCTACCCTGCTAAACAACCTCTGGGTATTTACATAGCATATTTGATTATGCAGTGGTTTTGTGTGTACTGAACATTATACAGTGAGTCCATGTATCCTGAACTCACCATCTGGATTTTTCAAACCAACTTGCCTGCTTTCTTTTATTTTTAGCAGGAGGATGATAACACCCATCTTTCTGGCCTCTGGAGGGATTAATACTCACAAAAGCTGTAAAGCTGAAAGACTCTGCATCTGTGCTGAATATGATATAACAAGGTATATTTGTAACCTCGTGCTTAAAGAGACCTATCTACTGGGCATCTCCGACTACCAGCAGCTAAGCACATTATTGTCATCAAATGGTATTTATTGAACATGCAGTAACTGTCTGGTGAGCTCCAAATTAATGGGGGACTCCTGAGAACCTAATTTTAAAACATTATCTCCCTCTTTGTTATCTGTATTTGTTTGTTTCAGAGCCTGACATGTTAATTGGGGCTCAGGACTCCAACGCACAACTGCAATTTTCCTTTTGAAAGCAAGAAAGCGGCTGCCTAAAGACAGCTGGCTTAGCTCCTGGAGTTCAGAGGTTGGCAGGGAGCTGTGCAGCCACAAGTGCCAGTAAGTGCCATGAATACGGCAGAAAACTGGAGCTTGTCTCAGGTACAGGCTGAGAAATAGACAAACAAACCGTCAATCTCCTTTCAGAGTCTCCCTTCCCATAACTACTCCATCCGAGACAGGCATTTGTCTTATTTTTAGTCTCCTCCTCAGGAGCTTTCCATTTTTATCCCTAGTATCTTTGGGGACTTGGTGAGTCTGGTTTTGAGCCTCTAATTGGCTTTTACCCTCTAATTCTTTTTCATTCACCCAGAAGGCAAATTGGCCCTTTCCTTGTCTACTTTATCCCAATTTCTTTCACTCGGTTGCCTCATTTTGTTTTTCATCTTCCAAGGAGACTTACCCTCTTCTCTCCTCTCACGTATCACTGGAGATCTGTCAAGCCTGCCTTAACCCTGACTTCCTTAACCTTCCCCTGATGAAGGCTTCCCCAGCTGGTAATTTATTTCTCTAATCCACAGCTTCCACAGTACTTGGTTTGGATTTTCTCTGTAATACATTCTAAGATGATTTATACCCATTGATAGGCATATGCAGAAGATAAATCTTCACACACCATACAGCACTCACCAGCATACTGAGCCTAGAGCAGGAGCTTAAATTATTCTTAGACAAATGAATGCTATCATTTAAATATTATAAGTACTTTACAAAAAGAATGTTTTACCAATGATAAAATCAACACCTAACATAATCTAACAGTGCATTAACACTGAGAACAAACAAAATTATCAACAGTAGCAACTAATATTGACTCAGCACTTAAGAATGCTCTAGGCACATAGCGAGATGCTTTGCTTGGATTATCTCTTTGAATCCTATCAATAACTTGATGAGGTAGGCACTAATATTATAGAAGGGAATTGTAGCTTCAGGAATTAACTTTCTCCAGGGTATACAGCTAACAAATAGTAGATCTGGGAATCAGGTCCATGTCTGTCTGACCTCAGAATTTGCTATCTTAGCCACTTCACTTCTGTCTTCTTTTTCCTTGTGAGCCTGTTTAAAGGGATCTAGTCAGGCTCAACCAGAGTGACTTTGAGAATTTATAAAACCATATATATAAAAATAGGTGACAGATACACTGAATACTCCGAGGTGACTTTTTAATTTCTGTAGAAAATATCCTCTGATTCCCATTCCGGGGCAGCCAGAACAAAGCAATGGCCAAAGAAAGTTTACTTACTCCCCAGTTCTTAGATGGAGTTATGATTTCTTCACTAAACAATGAGGAGGCCAACCTAGGTTCTTAGAGCAAATCTTGTTTTCTAGCGATGAACATATTTCTCCTTGTCTTTGACTTAGATGTTATTTGCACTAGCCTAATTTAAATTGTTAACACAGTACAAATTTTAACAGAAAGACAGAAAGAGAATGAATATGAAAGATTTGGGCTGCTGCTGGTGATAGTGGGGAGCTCTATTTACTTTTGGTTAAATGCCAGTGCTGTAAGAGTCCAAGGTCAGTAAAAGAGGTGTGAAACCAATTAGGGTTTCTCAGCTTCTGGCTGCTGGAAGATATGCATATTGCACACCCAAAATATACAGTTTTGTAAGGAGGTATCGACAGGCTACAGTCACTCTGCCATGCTGCACAATGGCATGGTGCCAATCTAGCCTGAGACAACACATGTCCACTCATGAGTTTTGGGTTAAAAGTGCTGCAACCCAAAAGAACAGAGGTGAACAAAAGAGATTCAGCAAGACTGGGAATGAAGCATGAATCACAGATAGAGGAGATCACCATCAAAAGCTTAGGAAAAAATCTGCCAAAGCTATATAGCTCTCTGCTAATGACTATGATTGTAATTTCTGCATATTTTAACAGATGTTCTGTTTATAAAACTGCAAACGAATTTAGGGGTTATGAGTAAAGCCAGGAGGCCCTGGAGATGTTTCTTTGTATGATTAACTGACCACAGGCCATTTGTTTTACAACAAAGATGCACAATGATCCATAGTCCATGATTTATACCAGCCCATGTATACTAACGGCTGATGTCTCCATGGTACTTCTCATTAGCATCAGAAGAGGGATTGCAGGGAAACAGATTATGGGAATTGCTCTCCCATTGCTCAACACGATAGTTCATTAGTGGGTGTGGAATCGATCTGAAAAAAAACCTAAGACGATAATCATAAGCTGAAATTTGAATTATTATAACAATTAAGGAAGTCAATTCAATCATGAAAGAAATAATATGGATTTTTATAGCTCTAGGTCCATGCATCTTGATAATTGGAAATGAGAGGATTTTCTGTAATTTCCAAATAAAAGATAAATATAAATAAAAGATAATAATAATAAACATAATATTACTGACTTGTACTGATTACCTATCTATGGATCAAGCATTCTGGTGGGTAATTTATATAAATTATCTCACTTCATCCTCACAACTGTGTATTGTAAGGATCCCCGGGTACTGGTACCAGAATGGCATCAAGGTTAGGGGCATCCCAGGCTGCTGGCTATTTCTTTTCCTCCTCAAGACCCTTCTTCTTGGAGGGCACTCTCTAATGCTGTCTCTACCAAATTAATTTTCTCTGCTTCCTCATAGCCACTGCTGCCTCATTACTTCACAGCTCAGACTTGCTCTCATAGTCTCATTTCACCTTAAGTTCTCAGAGCTAAATACCCTGATGGTATTTTTTTCTGGTCTCAACTCCCAAGAGAAGAAATCTGATAGACTCAGCTAATTTTTTTTGGGGGGTGGGGGGGTGGACTAGGTCACATAAAAAGTCATAAGCCCATCTATCGATTGGTTACCTTTCTGTACTCCTGCCCTTCGGTCTAATCAGCTGTGCTTGGATGGGGTAGGAATGACTAGGGGTTCAAAATAGGGGGGCTCTCCAAGGAAGTGAAATCAGGATCTCCAAGAGAGATCCACATTCTCATGCTCATTGCAACACCATTCCCAATAGCCAGATATGGAAGCAACCTAAATGTCTGTCAACAGATGAATGGATGAAGAAAATGTGGGGTATGTGTACATACACACACACACACACACACACACACACATATACACACATGTATATATATGTGTGTATACACTGGGATATCATTCAGCCTTTAAAAGGAAGGAAATCCTGGCATTTACAACAACATGGATGAACCTGGAGGACATTATGCAAAGTGAAATAAGTCAGATGCAGAATGACAAATATTGCATGATCTCACTTATATGTGGAATCTAAAATAGCTAAACATAAAAACAGAGTAGGATAGCAGTTACCAGGGCCTGAGGGGGTGGGGAAGGAGAACATGTTGGTTAAGGGGTACAAAGCTTCAGTTATACAAAATGAATAATTTCTGAAGATCTGATGTACAGCAATGTGACTATAGTTAACATTATTGTATTGTAGACTTGAAATTTGCTAAAAGGGCAGATATTAAGTGTTCTTGCCATATATACACAGAAAAAGAGGCAACTATGTGAGGTGATATATATGTTAATTTGACTGTGGCTAATATTTTATGACACATACATCAAATCAAGTTGTATACCTTAAATATACACAATTTTAACTGTCAAATATACAATAAAACTAGAAAAAGAATAGGGCCCCTTTATAACCTTTTAAGTGGAGACTGGAGCACAGAAGATGCCCTTGGATGGGGAAATCACCATCAGTAAATACAGTTCATGCTGAGGGTGATGGGAAGATACAGGCTGTGGGGTCAGGCCGCCTGCCTCTGCCTCTTATTGGCTGTAGGACCTTAGGCACTTATGTTAAAAGACTGAGCTTTATTCACTCACCCATAAAATGGAAATATTACAATTACCTACTTAATAAGGGTGCTATGAGAGTGAAAGGGATGTACAAATGCTTAGCACAGTGCCTGGTGCAGAATCCCCACTTAATAAATGCTGGCTATTATCATAATCCCGTTAATACATTTTATTAATAACAAATTATAATTGCAATAACAACTTCTCCAGAGCTAAGCCCAAATTCGAAGATGAGTTAGTGCTCCAAGTGGCCCCACTTAACCATGCTGGAATGAAAGGGAGGAGCAGCTGCATGTGTCTGTCATTCAAATCAATGGGGTAATTCTGTTTTTATTGTGAACAGACAAAAGCTGTGTCCTCGGCTGGGTCCAAATGATGAGATTCTTTATGACTAACTGAGGCAGAGGTGATATTCTCAGACCTTCCTGAATGACCCACACAAACACCCAATGGTTCTTGGAGCTTAAGGAGTAACAATCTGACTGAGGAAGTCACCACAAATTTCATGCTCTAGTCCCAGTTTCACGCCCCCTTTTCTCGCATCCAGAGTCTTATTTCCCAAATTTGCTTTCCCTGCTCTCTCTAGAATGCATTGGATACTTCCATTGGAAATGTCTAGGTCAGTACCTAACATCTGGCATAGCTATCTCCAAATTTGTTGGATAATTAAATTCTACCCAAGAACTCAACAGGGGGGTGGCAAATGAATACCTGAGGGCACTGCCTGGCTTTGGAAATTTGAGTGCATATTATCACTATTTGTGTGTATTTGTGAGCACAAAAGAATTAGTAAGTGCTCCTGAAGCATCATCTCATTCCATCTGTTGTCAAAGTTCACATTAAGCACCAAATCCAAGGGAGCATAATGAGTTATGTGAAAATGAACTTGTGCTTGGAATTTCAGTATCCCCAGGTGATGCAAATAGGCACATTTCAGCTTGTTCTGAAGAATCCCAGGCTCTGGGACCTGAACATATGGTCTAAGTTATTTAGCCAGATAAGACATGGGATTTCCTACAAGTAGGGTTTTGTCAGCAGGTTGGTAAACAGTTTTTCCTCAGCTTGGACACTCCATATCATGGTGGGGATGGGATAAGTATATAGTGAGGTCTTTCCATAAAGGACATGTTTACAAAAAAGGAGATCAAGCCTTTAACTTGTGCCCCAAGGCTCAGAAGCCAGCACTAGTTAGTTATGCAAGTATTTTGAACCCACAGGACTTCTGGGGAATTGGAAGGAGTCCAACCTGGCTATTAGAACTAAGCTTCGGATAAATTTTACTCCTGTCCTCACTATCAACATTAATAAAATGTTCAAGGAGCTGGAACCAGAGCCATAAAGAATGTTCATGTCAGAGAAAGCAGGATACACAGGGACAAGAGGAGTGAAATTCAGCTTATGAATTGTTCCCTTCATATGCTCCAAATGCTACTTCTCTCTCCAAAACATGTTTATTCCATAGAGCGCATGCCTAATGCCATCCACACCTAAATGCTTTACAGCTACTATTATTTAGCTGAAATTAGAACACTTTTTAAGTATTAGGAGATCAAATCCCCAGGCAATTTGTAATGCAAAATTTCCCCACATTTTGTATTTCTCAGTGCTGCCTGAAACCCGACATTAGAACTATGTAAGCCCCAGCAAATGCCTCATGTCAGGGAATGTTCTAAGAGAGTGCTGGGGATTATCAGCCACATTTGTTAACTTTAGTACAATTTAGACACTTTTAAAGATAAAGGTCATTAATATTTTAACATAACATTAAGTTTAAATTCAGAACTGAGAACTGTTATGAGAATCTAACCAGTTTTAATTCGGCATTTAATAAAATTTATTTATGTTAAAAGAAATACTGGGTATCAGGAGAAAAAAACACAATAGAATGAATATTTGAAAATATTATATTCTAGCTAAGTCATGCAGCTTTATTTAAGTCATCATTAGCAGGCCTAGCAAGTTAAATTTTTCAAAGCCCTATGACATGTGCAGCTCCTAAAAATATAAGGAAAGCTTAGCCCAGTCACCCTGGGGTAATGGTAAGGAATACAAGACCAAGTTAGGCATCCCTGGGTTAAAGCCTGCCATTTATAAACTATGTGGTTTTTGGCAAATTATTTTGCATCTCTAGACCTTGGTTTTTCTATCTGCAAAGTAGGGAGAAATAACAGTGCTTGCTTCATGTAGTTGTTGTGAGGAAATCAGGTAATAATTATATAGTTAAGCTGGTTGGGCACGGTGGCTCATGCCTGTAATCCCAGCACTTTGGGAGGCCGAGGCAGGCAGATCACAAGGTCAGGAGATAAAGACCATCCTGGCTAATACGGTGAAACCCCGTCTCTACTAGAAATAAAAAAAATTAGACGGGCGTGGTGGCCAGTGCCTGTAGTCCCAGCTACTTGGGAGGCTGAGGGAGAAGAATCGCTTGAACCCGGGAGGTGGAGGTTGCAGCGAGCAGAGATCATGCCACTGCACTCCAGCCTGGGTGACAGAGGGAGACTCTGTCTCAAAAAAAAAAAATTATATTATATAATTATAATTATTGCTAACATTTATTGAGCACTACTTCCTATGCACTAGGCATTGTTATAGGCATTTTAAGATACATTATTTAATCCTCACAATAACCCAATGAAGTAGGTACTTTCATCTCTGTTTTTAAAGATGAGAGGAATCCGATGCTTAGAGAAGACCAGTGACTTGCTCCAGGTGTCACTACTAGCATCTGGCAGACCCGGGACTGGAACCCAAGGCCATCTGTGTACAAAGTTTGTAGTTCTGTTGCCTGCCCTCTCCCCTCCATCCCCTCTAACCCTGCTCTGATCCATTGCCTTTTAAATTGACTATATTTTCAATAACAACATAAACACCTTGAGAGCCAGGGTTGTGACTTGTCACTCAATAAATATTCGCCGGATGGATTACTGACTCTTCTGATGTTGTTTAGAAAGACAAAATCAGAATCTGTTTAGAAGCAATGAGGAGTCCCTTAGAAAGCTTAAACTGAAGTGAGGATGGAGACTGTGGATTTTCTGATATTATTATATATTAGACATGAATCTCTTCAAACTGGAACAAAAACTGGTAAACAGAATAATTGCAAAATATGTGCCAATGGCCTTGAAATCAAAGAGGAGCAGGTCGCCTGAGGAGAAGCATATGTTTAATGCTTCACACTCCATGATGAGTCCTGGAGAAGAAATGAGGCTGGGCAGAAACAAGGCAGCCTATGTGGGGTTCACATCCAGAAATGAAGAAAAGCATTCTAATAATTTAATTTGAGGGGAATATAATTTCTCAAACTCCAAGAGTTGCTTCAGCCTTCAGAAAAAAGCTGTTGGGTCCCAAGATGGCACCATAAACAACGGCAATTCTCCTCCTCAAGCTGTGAGGTCAGATTTTATGTGCTGGGAAGAGATTAACTTTATTGCAAGGAGAAGGATTTAATTGCAGAGAGTGATTAGCCAAATGCTTAGATCAATAGAATGCAGGTCAAACTGTGCTCAGAAATATCCATGGCTCTTATTACATAGAAAGTTGAGGACACAGAAACCATTTGGGGACCCTGAGCCATTTGTGCATGAAGTCATCTGCAAACCTTTCCCTAGACCGCAGAAGCATCCTTCTCTTTACCCAGCAATGATGGCATGCTGACTCAAGGAACATTCACCCCTCCCCCCAACTCTTGGCATTAGAGAAAGTCAATAAAACAGCTGGGATCCTTGAATGCTGTTTTCAAAAGTAGAGAAAGGATCCTGCCTGGTCTAGCTCTTTGTTGTCTAATTGCAACAAAAATCAATGGTTTTGAAAATGGAAAGCAGATAGATCATTCCTCATTTATCCAAGATATTTGAGCAGAAGATGGAGTGACATTGTCTAACATGCTTTAATTTTTGCTCTCACCAAAGCCCTCTTTATTCAATGAGTCTGTGTTTGCACTGTTCTTATGAAGAAATTCATTGATAGCAATGGAATATGGTAAAGCAGATGAGCCTGTAGTACAAATTGCACCCTAGGAAAAAAATGGAGTGGTTTAAAAGTGGTATTTTACGTAAATGATACCTTACTGGCTAACCAGGCATCCCAACAAGTTGAGACTATGCAGAGGGGATGTGGCTTAAGGGGAAGGCTGTGTTTGCCAACTGGGAGCTCTAAATATGTTGCTTCACCTGTGATCTACACCTGACAAGCAGAGGCCCCAAATTCCCTTAATTATCGGCAGCTCGATGAGTCTGACTTCCTAGTTCTTATTTATTTCCTAGAATCCAAATCACATGATGGAAAAGACCTAGAAAAGTGTCAAATCCCTACCTTGGCGAATAAAGCCAATAAAGAAGTAACATCAAGAAAAAGGCCAACTCTTTCAGAATTTTCTGGGAGGCTTGCAGATAACATTTTACTCATCCTGAAAATACATTTGTGAATTTGGTGGATGACAAAATGAACTGAGTGTGCCACTGAACATATGAAGAAGCTAGGGAGACAGTGTGTGTGATGCGCACATACACACATGTGCACAAGCAGAAACACGCCTTTATGCAAGGTCACCTAGAGTCAGTGATAGGGCTATGAATTGTGCTAAGTTTCAATCTCTCCCACCAAGTTGTTTTAAGAAACTGTGCATCTCAGGCCTACCAAGGAAATGTATTCTTCTCCCTGATAGTTTGATGCTTCATTTCCACCTTTCCTAATAAGAGCTGTCATTAATTTTAGGTTGCCTAGGACTAAAACATACCTCCAGGAAATAGCTTGTGTATAACCTTTAAGGTATTGCTCAGCTTGTAAAATGCCTCTAGAATCTTGCTTGTAATATAAAAAAAAGAAAAAAAAGAGGTACCTGACTCTTTCCATTCCTTCATGCTTTTGCTGCATGGTCTGCTATGCAGACTGACCCCAAAGTCCTTATAAAGTCTTATGTTGTTGGCCATCATCATATCCAGCCTGGAGCTTTCCCAACATTAAAAATGAAGCAACAGAGGTGCTGTGATATAATGGAAGGTACTCTGGGAGAAGAGTCAGCATACTGGAATTTTTGCTGCAGCTTAACTAGCAGTCACCAACCAGGATAGTATGAATGAGTGGAGTAATCTCTGCCCTTTTTTATCCTTGGCTGACAAATGGAAAAAGGACATGACAGAATGTCGTTTTGCAAACTGCTGAGTGTCATGTAATGCAAGACACTGCCGCCACCTGAGGAAGTATAAAAGTGCCCCCGACAGGGGAGCAGGCAATAGGGGACCTTAGTTTTAGCCTTGGCTCTACTTCTCATTGTCCCATGACCTTAGGTCTACCCCTGTGGGTCTCCATTTCCCTATCTGAAAAAGAGGGTATTGGTCTTATGACCTAGGTGCTCTGAAACCTTGTTACCCTAAGTATGGATCCTAGACTAGGAGCCTTTGGGAGACCTGGGGGCCTGGCAGAAATGCAGAATCTTGGCCTCCACCCAGACCAACTGAATCTGAACTTGCATTTTAACAAGCTCCTCAGATGATTTGTTTGTACATGAAAGCTTAAGAATCACTGGTCTTCAAGATCTCTTCCAGATTTTTCATTCTATAATTATACTATAAGTGGTCCAGTGTAGTGCACTGTCACAGAACATCTATTTCATGAGACAGTGGCATAACTTGCTATTCATGGCTAAGGAGGCATGGCAGTATGTTTTTGCTTATAGGTGTACTTCAGCACAGTCACATGAGACCAGTCAGTTCTGGCAGAGGAAAAGTTTGTCTTGGTTCTTCCCTATCTTTTTCTCTCTGATCACAAAGCTCACCAACACTGCTATCCAGTTGTGGGTTTAGATATACAAGATGATCATATTTCATATTAAAAGATAATGTCAAAGTTGCTAAGATAATAACTTATGCCAGGCACAGTATTAAGTACTTTCATATAGACCTCATTTCATACTTAAAACAGCCCTGGGAGTAGGTTCTATTGTTATGTTCATTTCACAGATGAGAAATGTGGATCTTGGAGATGTAACTTGCCCAAATTCCAAGCCAGAACGTGACAGAGCTGGGATTTGAATACAGATCTGACTCACACCAGAGTATGTGCTTAACCACCAGGGATATGCCCTCTCCAACTCCTTGGTTAAACCTCCTGGGGTGCCTTCTTTTTTTTTTTTTTTTTTTTTTTTTTTTTTTTTTTTTTTGAGAAGACAGTTTTGCTCTTGTTGCCCAGGCTGGAGTGCAATGGCACGATCTCAGCTCACTGCAACCTCCGCCTGGTGGGTTCAAGCAATTCTCCTGCCTCAGCCTCCCAAGTAGGTGAGATTACATGTGCCTACCACCACGCCCAGCTAATTTTTTGTATTTTTAGTAGAGACAGGGTTTCACCATGTTGGCCAGGCTGTTCTTGAACTCCTGATCTCAGGTGATCTGCCTGCCTCAGCCTCCCAAAGTGCTAGGATTACAGACGTGAGCCACCGCACCCAGCTATCTTCTCTTAAATATTCTCACTCCACCTTTGTGTCCTCACATCATTCTTGCTATTTCAAACCCAGTCATACAATATTTTAGGTTTGTGCCGTCCAATGGGTTAATCAGTAGCCACATACAGTGATTCAAATTTAAATTAAAAACTCAGTTTCTTATTTGCACTAGATGACATTTCAAGGGCTCAACAGTCACATGTGCCTAGCGGCTACCATGTTGAATAGCACAGATATAGAATATTTCCATCGTCAGAGCAAGTTCTATTGCATAGTGTTGTTTTAGAGAATCCAATTGCTGAAAATCATCACTCTATCACTGGCCTTGTTCTGTGTTTCACTGCTTCTCAGTATTGAAAGCTCTACTGTTAAATGCACACATTTAGAAAAGATACCTCAGAGCCCCATTCACTAAGAGGTAAGAGGCTGTCTGGAAAGGAAGAACTGACCAATCCTGAATAGCCAACAAACTGGGAGTCCTAAAACTTGACCCTGACTTCAAGTTCAAAGACAGCATCCTAGAAGCCGGGGCTCTGGCGTGTGTTGCCAGCCTTGCCAGCCTTGGCTCTCATGGTTCACTGTGACAACTCCTCATTTCTATCAGGGGAAAGAAAGTCCAATCAGGCAAGTTTTATTTCCTCTCTGAAATAAAACAGAATTGACTTGCCAAGGTATCTGCAGGGACATCAACTGTTGGGCCTTAAATTACCTGGTAACTCTTCTAGTCAATTCTACTTTCATGTTGGAGTTTGCAATCAACATTTATCTCTATAGGACAGACCGTCTGCAGGTTTCTAATACCATTTTTATTATTACCTTGTAAATGTAAAATCCTCGAGGCAGAAATGCCAGCTGCTAACACTGGTGTGTGTGTGTGTGTGTGTGTGTGTGTGTGTGTGTGCGCGCGCACCCACTTCTCCAGTGATGAATGTCCTTGGGTCCTGGAGTTTCCAACAGCAACAAAAAGACATACCAAGGACTTGCCTAGAAATTATGTATTGTATGGATCCAATGTCAGGGGCTTTGGGGGCAGCTTTCTCTAGTAGACCTGCTGAGACAGAATGACCTTCCCTTTCTCCGCCAGGGTAAAGCCTTCTATGTGGCCGTCAGGCTTTCTGCTTTGGAAATTAAGGCAAATAATGGAGACAGAAATTCTTGGCAAATGCTCACAAGCAGACACTTCACAACTGTCTCTCTGACAGGTATTAATAAATAATAGTTATCATTTATTGAAGCCCAACTTTAATTTCTCTGCTAATTTAGAAATTCATCAAGTCTCTACTAGAATAGTTCTGGGTCTCAAAGAGCAGCCAACCCAATGAGGAAGGTAGGTATTTAATCTAGTAAGCACCCAAATAAATGTATATTGACTAATTATAATAATGGCTGGGAATGAAAAAAATAAGGCACTATGGTAGCAATGAAGAAAGGAGGCCTTATTTAGAGGGAGTGGTCAGAGAAGACCCTCTCTGAGGAAATGACGTATCAGCTAAAACTGGAAGGACGAAGCAGCTAGCCTGCAGCCAGAGCTTAGTAAGCAAGGAGTGGGCCACGAGGCTGTGGGCACACAGAGACCAGATCTTGCGAGGTGAGTCTTGGTAAGGCGTTTGCTACTAAGAACAACGGGAAATGATTGGAGGGTTTGAGGCAGCAGGCTGACAAGTGCTTCATGTTTTTAGAAGATCACTCTAGCTAAAGTGTGAAGAATGGATTGGAGGTTACATGGAGCAGAGAGTGGAAGCAGGGAGACCCGGTAGGGGCTCTGTCTGTAGTGCAGGTGGGAAATGGCAGTGGCTTAGACTCACATGGTAGTACTGGGGATAGAGATAAGTGAAGAAATCTGTGAGATATCTTGGGGGAGTACAAAAAAGGACTTGCTAGCCAATCTGTTGTGTGGGGGTAGAGTAAGGAAAATCAGAAATCAAAGATGACTCTCAAGTTTCAGGCTTGAGAAGCTGGTGGGTAGTGGTGCTGTGTGCCAGAACTGGTTTTGCATTCATAATTTGCAAGCCTGACAATTAGCCTTGTGAAAGTCAGGTATTGTTACTAACATCTCCCTTTACAGATTGTGTATTAGTTCGTTTTCACACTGCTGATAAAGATATACCTGAGACTGGGCAATTTACAAAACAAAGAGGCTTAATGGACTCACAGTTCCATGTGGCTGGGGAGGCCTCACAATCATGGTGGAAGGTGAAAGTCACGTCTCATATGGTGGCGGGCAAGAGAAGACAATGAGAGCCGAGTGAAAGGAGTTTCCCGTTATAAAACCATCAGATTGCGTGAGACTTACTCACTACCATGAAAACAGTATGGAGAAAACCACCCCCATGATTCAGTTATATTCCGCTGGGTCCATCTCACAACAGGAGGCAATTATGGGAGCTACAATTCAAGATGAGATTTGGGTAGGGACACAGCCAAACCATACCAGATGCGGAAACTCAGATAGAGCAAGTAATTTGCCCAAAGTCACACAGCTGGTGAATCGTCCAGCCAGGATTTGAACGCTTGTCTATGAGCAAAGTTCATGTATGCTCTTTCCTTCACCTTCACTGCCTCATGACTGTGTTTTCTCATTCACTGACTTCCAGTCTCTATGGCTCCTGTCTTTTTTTTTCTTTTTAATATATATATTTTTTATTATACTTTAAGTTCTAGGGTACATGTGCACAATGTGTGGGTTTGTTACATATGTATACATGTGCCATGTTGGTGTGCTGCACCCATTAACTAGTCATTTACATTAGGTATATCTCCTAATGCTATCCGTCCCCCCTCCCCCCACCCCACAACAGGCCCCAGTGTGTGATGTTCCCCTTCCTGTGTCCAAGTGTTCTCATTGTTCAATTCCCACCTATGAGTGAGAACATGCGGTGTTTGGTTTTTTGTCCTTGTGATAGTTTGCCGAGAATGATGGTTTTTAGATGGAGTCTTGCCCTGTCGCCACCCAGGCTGGAGTGCAATGGTGCGATCTCAGCTCACTGCAACCTCCGCCTCCCGGGTTCAAGTAATTCTCCTGCCTCAGCCTCCCGAGTAGCTGGGATTACAGGCATGTGCCACCATGCCTAATTTTTGCATTTTTAGCAGAGACAGGGTTTCACCATGTTGGCCAGGATTGTCTTGATCTCTTGACCTTGTGATCTGTCCACCTCGGCCTCTGAAAGTGCTGGGATTACAGGCGTGAGCCACGGCGTCCAGCCATATGGCTCCTATCTCTATTAGTCTATAGTAAGTGTTTTCCTTGGCTCATCACTCCGCTGAAAGTGTTTCTTTTTTGGAAAACCTTGTCCCACATCTCCATCTGGCTACTCCTTCTTGTTCCTTAGAATCTTAGATTTGGTTTCTATTCTCCTGCCATTTGCTATCCTAATGCACATTAAACTTTATAGCAATTTCTTTATTAATCATTTGATTTTTCCCAATAGACTGTAAGCTCTGTGAACATAGGATCAACTATGTATTTTTTTTTTTTTTTTTTTTTGAGAAGGAATCTCACTCTGTTGCCCAGGCTGGAGTGCAGTGGCGCGATCTCGGCTCACTGCAACCTCCACCTCCCGGGTTCAAGCAGTTCTCCTGCCTCAGCCTCTCAAGTAGCTGTGACTACAGGCGCCCACCACCACGCCCGGCTAATTTTTTTTTTTTTTTTTTTTCAGTAGAGACGGGGTTTCACCTTGTTAGCCAGGATGGTCTCGATCTCCTGACCTCGTGATCTGCCCGCCTCGGCCACCCAAAGTGCTGGGATTACAGGTGTGAGCCACCGTGCCCAGCCAGAATCAACTATGTATTATCTGTCACTATCACACTAAAGCCTGGCACTATGCCTGACACACTGTTCATTCATCACATCTCGATGCATATTTGCTAAATGAACTCCTACTCACTGGGGAAGTTGAGATACAGACTTGCCCAGTTTAATCTAAGAGATCAGGAGCCTGGATTAGTGGTCTTATTGGCATGCTACAGGGAACTGGGCCCAAGAGCTCTGAGTTAACTTTGGACTTTTGTCACTAACTAGTTCTGTGACGTGTGGAAGTTTCCATTACCTCTCTGAACCTTAGTTTCCCTCTTAGCTCAAAACAGAGGAAAGTGAAACCTGGCACTCTGACCTCATGGGGTGAGAATAAAATCCAAATATATGTGAAACAGCTTGCAAAGGTATAAGAACTATACACATGGATGGTATCTCATTTGCCTCAAAATAACAAAGTTTCTCTTCAGCATGAAGATTCTGGAGCCTAGTAGATCTAAGGAGGCTTCGTTGTAGTACTTATCTGTTTGTTTATGTTTGGGCAAGTTGTCTTCTCTGAACTGAACTAATGAGGATAATAGCACTACTACTTTCCCAGGCCTCTTCTGAGGACTAAGTAACTCTAGTGATAGCAGTATATATATATATACTGTATATATATACAGTATATATATATATACTGCTATCACTAGAGTTACTTAGTCCTCAGAAGAGTATATATATATATATATATATATATATATATACACTGCTATCACTAGAGTTACTTTATATATATATATATATACTGCTATCACTAGAGTTACTTAGTCCTCAGAAGAGTATATATATATATATATATATATATATATATATACACTGCTATCACTAGAGTTACTTTATATATATATATATATATATACTGCTATCACTAGAGTTACTTAATGTGTGTGTGTGTGTATATGTGTGTATATATATATATATATATATATATATATATATATACACACACATTTCCATTATAAAACCATCAGATTGTGTGAGACTTACTCACTACCATGAGAACAGTATGGGGAAAACCACCCCCATGATTCAGTTATATCCCGCTGGGTCCCTCTCACAACAGGAGGGAATTATGGGAGCTACAATTCAAGATGAGATTTGGGTGGGGACACAGCCAAACCATACCAGATGGGGAAACTCAGATAGAGCAAGTAATTTGCCCAAAGTCACACATCTGGTGAATCATCCAGCCAGGACATATATATATCTACATATACATATACTATGAATGAAGCTATATATATAGTGTGTGTGTGTATATATATGTATATATGCTATATGTAGAGTATGAAGCAGTGCCTAGTGCATAGGAAGCACCTAATAAATCTTAGCCTTTTAATAATCATTAAAAAAAACCCCTCTCTTTACACACAAACACACATACCTCACATACCAATTCAACTTCTACACCAACAATTTTGGAGTTACATTATTTGGATGCATATTTTTGAAAATGTCACTAAGAATAAATATTACCTCATGCCCAACCTCAGGAGCAGCTTCTTCAAGCACAGTTACCTATAAACTTTGTACCAAATAGTATGCCCCTCCAAAACCAACAGACCCTTCTTTGTAGAAGTCAAGTGGAAGCAACGCTTAGAGGTATGAATCAGTGTGTCGCTCGGTTCCATGGAGACAAATCCAAGTAGGCACTGGCAGCTGTCCGGGTCCTCAGTGAGCTGAAGCAGGCCACATGGCAAGATAATTTTTAAAGTTTCTTAGCATCAATAAAACACCTCCTTTTTAAGAGCTCCATCTCTTAATTCAAAGTCGAAACCTTCTATTTTCCACTGCTCTGCTCCGCTGCTATTTCAGTTATTAGAACACCTGCTGTCTGAACGAGTTTGCCTCCCAAATAGCCGAATAATCAAAAGATGAGGAGACTTGCTTAAGCAGCAGGAAGGAAAACTGGTGAAAGAAAGAAAGGGTTGACAGGCAGCAAGAGGAGGAGAATCCAGGAATAAATGGGACAGAAACGGAGAGAGCAAGCAGGAGGAGTCCTGGCAAGATGGCAACAGTTTAGACCAGGACAGGAAGTGGCAAGAACAGAGAAGAGACAACACCACACTCAGGAGAAGGCAGGAGAAAAGGGAAGTAAAATTGCTAAACCCTCTCACTTGAAGAATATCAGTAAGGCAGTGGATTGTGGCAGTTAAAGCCATGACTTCGGACACATAGAACAGGGACTGAAAACTGTGCATACAAAGTATGCACTCAGTAAATGCTTTATAATAGATTATGAGCATCAGAATGGGGGTAAAACACTCCCTCCCCAAATAAATACTGAAGGTAGAGAAAACAGCTAAAAAAAAAAAAAAACCCTCCATATCCTATGGTCTTTTTTTTTCTCTTTTTTGGGGAGACAATGTTAGTTTTCTAATTTGCCATCTTCTTCAAACGCTGCTTTCTTCCCTTGTAGCTCTTCTACATGAAATCCAAAGATGACAGGTCCTTATGTTACAGTAGGTAGCTATTCAGAAATGAGCAGAGTAGGAGAGGCCTCCCCTGCAACACACACCAGGAATGTCAGGAGACCATCAGGTGATGGTCAGGCAGTGTTAACTGTCTCTCTAAAATAATAATTGGTCATGGCCAGTGCCAGGGAAAGGCACCCAATAGATGGGAAAGTCTCCCAACAGACAGAAACATCTGAAACTGGTGATCAGCAGCTTCCTGATAAGATCTCAGGAGTTGGGTGAATGGGCTCAAGCATGCGCACTAAGGCAAAATGGCAGATTACCTCCCTCTGGAACACTGGATTGGTAAGGGGAAAAGCACCTCAAGTGAGCATGTATACAACTTTAGTAAACACATTGCACATGTGGTCCCCCCCAAGTGCTGGCAGGCCACTGCTCATGCAGACAGCCCACCCCAAGGGAAGAATCAGGAAAGAACATAAGACCCCAGAGGTATGACAACATGGAAAAACCCCAAGTCAAAAGTCAAACTGCGCACTTGATCTCTCAAGTTGTCTGCTTGGCCCTCTTCCAAGTGCACTTTCCTTCCTTTCACCCCTGCCTTGGTCTCTCCTTCTGTCTTATGCCCCTCAGTTGAATTCTTTCTTCTGAGGAGGCAAGAATTGAGGTTGCTGTAGACCTGTACAGATTTGCCTCTGGTAACATACTTTGGTGCCACGTGACTCAGATACGTTCCGCTGCTAACACTTACAGTAGAAGGAGACATGGAAGCCATCTATCCTACTTCTGCAGAGCTGGAATCTCCTTCATATCATCCCTGAAGGATGTGCATGCTGGCACTGCCTACACTAGTCTGCTGGGGGAAATCCAATGCTTCCAGCAAGGTCCATTCTCTTCCTTGTGAACTGGATTATGAAAGTTCCTCCTCTTAACAAGCCAAAGCACTCTCTGCTGTTAACATCATCACTGGTCTTAAGACCTTCTGGAGTTAATTACAAAACCCGGATTTCCTCTTCCAATGTATATTCATTCAACACTCCTGCACACACTTTCATTGTATGCTTATTGAGAGCAGAGAGGCCATCTGTCAGGTTAATTTTTATCTTAGCAGGTTGCACAATACTTGACACACAGTAGGTGCTCACTAAGCATCTGAATGAATAAATGATATTCACAGAATCAAAGGATTTAGAGTACCTACTAGGGGTGGTAAACTAAATGCCTTCAGGAGTGCACGCAAGTGAAATACTTAAGAGGAAGGGCGTGGCTTGTGGCTAATTGAGGAGTGAATGTTCTGCCTAAAGGCATTTGAATTCAAATTGTTTAGAAGGGTTGATTAGCTGGACAGACCCTTTTACTGTTGGGTTGCAGCCTGCGGGCTCCTGGTTTGTGACTCCATTTTAACCTATCCCCACTTTTCCACACACACACACTTTAGGAATCTGAATAGTCTCAATTATATTCTTTACAAATGCTAACTCATGCTCAGAACATCCCTAAGGATAGGGAAAGCAAGATCATCAAAACTGTTCATTATTTAAAAATCTATTACTTTGAGCTGAAAGCTGCTTTGTTGAAATTTTTCCCAATTGCTCCTAGTCGTGCCCTTTGAGGGTGGCAAAACAAATTGACTTCTTTTCTGTTTGATTTCCCTGCAAATATTTGAAGATATTCACCACTCCTCCAACCTAAGTCTGCTCCAGATTAAAGTTCTTTCAGCCGTTCCTAATATCAAGATTATGAAACCTCCACTATCTTGACCACTCCACTATATCAATATTCCCCTCCAAAGTGTAGTGGCACACACTTACAGTATTATTAATAATAGTGGGCTCATGCCTGTAATCCTAGCACTTTTGGATGCTGAGGCAGGAGGCTCGCTTGAGCCCAGGAGTTTGAGACCAGCCTGGGCAACAAAGCGAGACTCCATCTCTACAAAAAAATTAAAAAATTGGCTGGGCATGGCAGCACAAGCCTGTAATTTTAGCTACTAGGGAGGCTAGGAGGATGACTTGAGCCCAGGAGGCTGAGGCGGCAGTGAGCCATGATTGCACTACTGCACTCCACTCTGAACAACAGAGTGAGACTATCTCCAAAAACAACAATACTGAAACATTTTGGAAAAGATCCAAATATATGACAATAGAAATTTAGTAAATTTTGGTCATCTTCTATAATAGAGTTTATGCGCCTATTAAACATTATGCTAAAGAGCATAGAAAAATATCCATATCAGAATATTAAATGAAATCACATTACAAAATGATGCATTCAACATGATTTCAATTTTATTTAAAACTGATTTGAGTAAGTAGAAAACTTAGCATGAAGACTGCATTGTCCAAAAATTACTTCAATAATCAAATAAAAACACAGGTTTTTTATTAAACATGATTTCAGAAATTAAAAATTTAAGATTGTAGCTCCTTTAACATTGAAGAGTCTTTTGTCAGTTTTTAAAGTCAGAGACCCATATGGAGGAGCTGATTCCAAAATCCATGTTCTAATTCCTTATCCCTTCTCCCCAAGATTTGAATACAGTCAGTTTGGGTGGGGCCTGAGCATATTTTTAAAAAGACTGTCAGGTGATTTTGATGAATACCAGTGGTTAAGAATTAAACTAGACAGATTTCTATCAATGCTGTCAAACAACATATACCTTTTCTTGGCAGCTGCATGACTTTTTGACTTCCTCTTGGAGTTAACCAAGACCCTGGAGGCTTGTTGTGATGAGCGTTGCTCTTGAGGGCTACTCCCCTCCCTGTATGCAGGCAGGTGGCTTTGTAAAACCTCAGGAAAGATACTGGCATTGATCCCCACACAATTCATGTTGCTACATTTGGCCCATCATCTAGAGTGTCAAGATCTTTCTTTTCTGCCTCCTCCTTCCAGCTGTGACTCATCCTAAAACTCAATCAGAATGACATTTAAGGTACTTATGCAAATCTCCTCTTTCCCAAGGTAAACATTCCCAATGTCATCAACCAGAAAGCCTAAGACATTTTTCTCTTCCCCACTGACTTGGACACCTGGCCTAGATGCTCACCACTTAGGACAGAGATGCTACCTCCATCCCACCACCACCATTTTTAAAACTTTGATGATAAATGTATTTATATGCAAATAAATTTGCATATATTTATAGTGTACAGTGTGATCTTTTAATATATGTGTGCATTGTGAAATGGTAAATCAGGCAAATTGATATTTCCGTCATCTCACACAATTTTTTTTTATTGTGAGCCTTTTCCCTTTTAATGTAGATCCTGGAACAGGATTTGAAAAGGCTCCAATTTGTTGCATAAAAGTCTCTAACTAGGGTTTTTAATGACTAAAGTAACATAGGCTTGTTGTAAAATATTTTTCAAAAATTTATGGAAACTCGTAAAATAAAAGTCTCCCCCATTTCCAAGCTCATTTTCCCAAGGCAATCACTATTCACAACTTAGTGGTATGCGCCACTTTACATCTCTCATCTAGGCTCAGTTTCATTTCTTTGACCAACGGTCAAATATTTCTGCCACCCATTTCATAACAATTTATTCTGATGCCAATTTAAAATTATCAAATCAGTTCATGACTCTGGCTCCCATAAAACACCATCCTCCCATTTGCTCACACTGCTCTGCACCAATTCCTTTTCTCCAAAGTCATGGATCCCTTTCCACCTCATGGCCTTGCCTATGCTGTTTTGTCTGCCTGGCAGGGCTGCCCTATGCCCAAACCTTAACTTTAAGATCACTTCTTCAGGGCAGCCTTCCCTGATCTTGTAAGACTGGGTCAGGTTATCTCAGCACAGCCTATGATGACTCCATTACAGAGGAGCCATCCTGCTAGGAGTTTATATACTCCTTTTGTGACTATTTGATCAAAGTACGTCTTTCCCGCCAAATTTTAAACTCTACGAGGGCATGGAAAGCTGTCTTGATAGCTGCTGTGGCCATAGCACTTAGTACTGTGTCTGGCACATAAGACAGCCAAACGATATTTGTTGAATAATTAATGAAATAAATTGCAAAGACATTCATCTATGCTAAAAAAAATTCACTGCAAAAAAAAAAAAATCACGAGGATTTTTATAATCCCTTCAACACAATCTCTGCTCCCTCTAACTTGGTGGTTGATGGGCATTTTCTCCTCACTCTTATTCCATATGATAAGATGTCCCCATCCCTGCCCCAAGATTTATAAGCCACTGAGCTCTTCTTGAAAACATATTGAAGAAACATCACCAACATTCACCCCATTGTTCCGAGGGAACTCACATATTTTGAGCACCTTACCATGTGCGGGTTCTATCCCCTTGCATCTTAAGTTATGTAATTTTCTCAGTGACCCATGATATAGTTTCATTTTTTCTACTTTACAGATGAGAAATCTGAGACCCAGAGAGACTAAGTAGCTTGGCTAAGATGATAGAGGAAGTAATGGTAGGGATTTGACATTAACAGGTTAATAGAAAGGATGCTGGCCTGGACATGAGGAGATGTGAGTTTTAGTCTATCTTCTTCCATGAATTCCTTGGGTAACCTTGAGCCATTACTTTAACCTCCAAGTTTTGACTCCCCGATGTAAAGATAGTGTCTGAAGAATTGGCACAAGGCCTGCAAAAGTTTCTGACCAAGGATAAAGTACAGCATGCTGTAAAGATGATCATTATGCCTCTTTCCCCTACCCTCAAGAACCAACAGATGGCCTTCTCTGCATTTGAAAATCAAACATTCCTACCAAGGTCAGTTATGCCTACAAATCAGTGCAGGCTTTCTTCTCGGGCACAAAATCTCCAGCTGAAAATCAGCTCTAATTCTTTCTCTTGCTCAGGCCTTGCTCTGAATAATATATTTTGAAAATGAACTATTTTGGGGCCAAGAATCTGTAAATCTGAGCTGATTCATCACTTTCACCACCAGGCTGCTGCTCTCCTGCATCTTCTGTGTTGTGAGATAAAGATGTTTTTTCTTCACTAACAGTTTCTCAGTGGGCTACATGGAGAGTTCTCCTTTTGTCATGAAAAGATTCTCTGCAAAATACTACAAAACCTAAGGATGAGCACATTCTCAAGAAATCATCTGGAGTAAATAGAACACTGGGGTGGGATGGGAGTATGCAGAGAGAGACACAACCACAGAACAGAAGAGCTGAAATGGAATACAACATGGCACCTCTCTTTGAATGTGGAGATGGCAAAGTGTCAACTCCTGACCTTCCTAACAAAAGAATAAGGAAGTGAAAAAGGTAATTCCAGAAAATGTACTATTTAAAAACTAGCTCCATCTAGCTTTGGAATAGTTATCGTTTCCTCCATAAGATTTAGCTTTCTATGTTTTTTTGTATGAATGTATATTAAAATGAATTTGCTTTTTTTAAAGAAATTACAGAGATACCCTTAAAAACATGCTAGGCAGATTTGTCAAAAATTAAAAATAGAACTACCACATGGTCCAGCAATCCCACTACTTGGTATATATCCCAAGGAAAAGAAATCAGTATGTCAAAGAGATATCTGCACTCCCATGTTTACTGCAACTCCATTCACAATAGCCAAGATAAGAATTGAATGTATAATACAATGGAGTACTATTCAGCCATAAAAAATGAAATTGTGTCATTTGCAGCAACATGGATGAGCCCAGAAAACATTATGATAAGTCAAAGCCAGGTACAGAAAGACAAATAGGCACACAATCTCACTCATATGTGGAATCTAAAAATGTTGATCTCAGAGAAGTAGAGAGTAGAATTGTGGTTACCAGAAATAGGGGATTGGGAGAGGTTGGTCAATGGGTACAAAGCCAGTTAGATGGGAGGAATAAGTTCTGGTGTTCTGTTGCACAGAAGGGTGACTATAGTTAACAATAAGATATTGTAATTTCAAAACATCTAGAAGCAGGAATTTTGAGTGTTCTCACCACAAAGAAATGATACATGTCTGAGGTGATATGTTAATTACCCTCATTTGATTATTATACATTGTATACATGTATCAAAACATCACATTGTACCCATATAGGTACAATAATTTTGTGTCAATTAAACATTAAAAAATTTTAAACACACAAAACAAAACAAAAACCATGCTAGGTAAAATGGAGCAGCCAGTTAAAGAATAAAAGCAATTGGCATGGATTCTCATTTGTGGATAATTGAGAATTGGCCAATAGTTTCCCAGGGGCAGAAAACACTCCTTCAGAAAACCTCCTGTGTTCAGTGGAATTTTAAAATGCAATATAAAAGAGCAATGTGATCACAAAAGCACACTACTGCAATATTATATATAAAAAACGCCATGCTGTTTGGGGATATTTTCTTCCCATTACTATTCCTCTAGGCTATACCTCTACTGAGCTCTAGACCATATTTCCAAATCCACTTGCAACACTGATATCTCCATGTGGAACGTCAGGCTGCTCAAACTCACTGAGTCCTAAATTGACCTCCGTCTCCTCCCCTCTCCAAATCTTCCTCTGCTGCTACTTTCTTCATTTAAGTTCCTAGGACTCCATCCGTCAAATTGCCAACCTAGAGACACAGGATTCATTCTGAGCACTTCTCAGCTGCACCATTGACCTAGATAGAAGCCCTACTAATTCTATCTCAAAATATCCCTCTCATAAATCTCCTTTTCCACGCCATGCCCTCTGCACTGCGCTAGTCCTGGGCCATACCATCTCTCACCAAGATTAGTGCATCGCCTTCTAATAGGCCTCCCTCCTTCCATCATTCCGCCTCCTTGACAGTGGTACATTCAGCCACACCCTGGCTTCTCACCAGGTCACTCACCACACATCACACACAACACAACCTTCTCACATACTAAAAAATATCCACAGAGAAACACACACAATACACAATCTCCAACACCTATATATATATCCACAGACAACACGTGCACATGCATGTGCTTACACACATGTACAATTGCACAAATCCTCAAATACATCAACCCACCTGCCATCCCTTAATACCATACTCTTCTCTCCCATTTCTAGATGTCTCTTAAGGCTATTTTTATCTTCTGAGACCTCCTTTCTTCACTGTCATACCACCCATTAATGCCCCCTTGAAGCTCTGATTTATCCTTGTAGATCAAGCTCAAAGCATGAGCCCACCCTCCCATGAAACAGCTAAGCATGGCTCTCCCTTCTCTGGTTGTCACAGCACTTTGTGGATGTATATCACAATGTACTAAGGTTTGCTAGCCCTGCCTCTAGGCTTAGCCCTGGAGTCCTAAAAAGCAGCAGAACTTAACAGCACAGGCTTTGGGGGCAAACAGAGTTGGGGTGAAACCTCAGTCATCTCTTACTAGCTTGGGAAAGTAAATTCCCTAAGCCCCCTTTTTTCTCACTTCAAAAAAAGATAATAGAGTTGAAATTAGAAATAAGTGAAAAAATTCTAACTAACACTCAGTTAAGACTCAATAAAATGGCAACTATTATTAAAACTATTTAGACCTCATGTGCCTAGTACTCTGCCAAAAAAAAAAAAGCTTAATTACATGAATGGATTTAACTTTCAGCTGGTTCAGTGTCATAAAAAGCATATTCAAGTATGATGCCACATTGTAAATTCCCATTTATGCAAAGTAAGCAAAGGAACTACTAATATTCATATTCACATTTTACCAATGGCAAAATACACACTGACAACGTAAGTAACTGTGTTCAGAACACACAGTGAATCCGTGGCCCAAGTAAGACTAGAACTCAGCCTTTGAGTGTTATTTCCGTGTAAAACATTGTCTCACATTTCAAAAATGAGTCCATCTAAAAATGATATAGCTGTCCAATCCTTTGTACTATGCTGTGTAGTTTTCCTAAATATGCTTATTTTACAAGAAAAGAAAGTTCGTAAAATAACAAATTGGTAAGATGCCAGAAGAAGGACTGGCTCCTCAATTTAGAGCAGAGCCTTGCAAATGAGGATGAACATTTGAAAGAGCGATCTTCTGGAAAGCATAACTCAGATTACATCATTTTCTTGCTTCTAAGCCCTCCAGTGACTTCTCCTTGCTCTCCAAATAAAATCACCCATCTTTTCATGGCCTCCAAGCCTCCATATGGTCTGGATCCTGCCTAACTCTCATACCACTGTTGTCTGTTTCAGTCATCATACTCAGGTTGCACTGGTCTTCTGTTTCTCATACTCTCCACATTCATTACTGCTCCAGGGCCTTTGCATTTACTATTTTCTCTCCAGGAAGTCCTCATTCCCTAAATTTTCTTCATTTTTGGTTTTTTTTTTTTTTTTGCTTTTTAGGTTGTCCTGTCAAGAATACTTCTCCATCTAATATATTTGTTTACCACCCACTCTCTATATCCTTAACTTGTCCTAATCTCTCCATACCATTTATCAACATATAAAATTCTCATTTGCTTTGTGGGTTCTTCCTCCCACAGATTATTATTAGAAAAGAGAGAAATCTTGATCTTGCTCACTTCTTTATGACCAACACATGAAACAGTGATTGATACATAGTAGATATTCAGTAAACATTTGCTAAATGAAGAAATAAGCTTCTTTTATCACCACTAAAGCACCAAGATAAGTCTTTCCGTGCCTTTGTCATCTAGATTTATATAACCTCCTTAAAACTAAAAGCAATGCAGTCCCCAAATTTAGAACTTGTAGGAAGAAGTGAGCAAATTGCAAACATCATTCTTACATCCTTGAGAAAAAAAGACTTTTGTTTTTCTTTATATTTAAGGAAAGCTGAGTCTTTTGGCAAAAGGGACTGTTTGGAGACACTCCCTCCATGTGAACCAAAAGGTTACACATGCTTCTTCTCCAGTTTGGAGCTCAGCCCCCTGTTCTGGTTTCAATCTGGAGATTTCATCTGACAGCCTGCATATCACTACCTATGGTGGACTTGCTCTGTGGCCAGAGTTTACTTCTTCTTCTTCTTCTTTTTTTTGAGATGGAGTCTTGCTCTGTCGCCCAGGCTGGAGTGCAGTGGCATGATCTCGACTCACTGCAACCTCCACCTCCCAGGTTCACTCCATTCTCCTGCCTCAGCCTCCTGAGTAGCTGGGACTACAGGCGCCCACCACAAGGCCCGCCTAATTTTTTTTATTTTTGATAGAGACGGGGTTTCACCATGTTAGCCAGGATGGTCTTGATCTCCTGACCTCGTGATCTGCCCTCCTCGGCCTCTCAAATTGCTGGGATTACAGGCGTGAGCCACTGCACCTGGCCCAGAGTTTACTTAGACGGCACACCACATAACGAGCAGAACGTGCACTGAGATGGGAAGAACAGATTTTCCAAGTAGTTTAATTTCGAGAATTAACTTAAAAATTATCTGGTAACCTCATTCCTAATGTCATAGTGCCACGTCCACTTTAAAGTTTAAAATCTTGGAAATGGATTCAATCATCCATGACAAACATATGTTGTTCTTCTCAAGCAGAAGTATAAAATAATTCTTCTCCCTAACTTTCTGAATTTTCCTTTTAATAACTTGAAAAAATAACAGCCCTTAGTAGCCCACCTGTGTGTTAACAGTGATTTTTGCAAAACATAGCCAAACAGAAGTCCCTGTTTGCCTCATTTCAAGTTAATTTGAAAAAGAAAAGTTGGCTCAACCAAACTTATGCTGTAATGGTCCTTGCTTACAAGTCAGCAAGTACCATCTGAAAGCTTAGGGGTAGCACTCCATTTCCCTCCTGGATCCCTGGTAGTAGATGTGCATGCAAAGTGAATGCAGGTACAAACACCAAGTGCTCTCCCAACAGGTTTCCACTGTCATCTTCTTCACTTATAAGCAGCTAAGCCACAAATTCCCCTCTATCAGATGTCACAGGAAGCTACACAAAGTAGGATTTGAAATGTATATATGTAATTATGTCAAATCTGATGGCAACATAATTTACTGAAGAGCAGAAAGCTTATTGAACATGAGGCTATTTCTATTCCAAAAGCCTAGAACATAGAGTCAGTCTCATCCTCCCAACCCAGCCTTAAAAATCAGATGGAGATTCATGACATGGAAAGAATCACAGGGAAGATGTTCACATTGGTAGTGAGTTTGCCTCAATTTGTGTTCCTCATGACCATCTCTAGTTTTCAGGCCAATAAGGGCAGATACTGCTGGTAGAGCAGCCATGTTATATGATTTCCAATTTGTGAGTTAGCTCTTTGGCTCCCTAGGGTACCTTCAATAGCTATAGAATTAGCATCTATTGCTTTTCATTTGGTTCTTATCATCACAGAAGAGGGTTGGCCATACATAGAATAGTTGAGTTTTGGGGGAAAGCATTGGGTAAGAGGAAGGGAGTATGCACTAGAAAAAGTAGACTCATGACACACACTGTGGTAGAGTGGTAATTTTTGAAACGGGCTTTAACAGAGATAGAAAGAAAACTG
The DNA here is from genome assembly GCF_000001405.40 of Homo sapiens. Taxonomy (NCBI): domain Eukaryota; kingdom Metazoa; phylum Chordata; class Mammalia; order Primates; family Hominidae; genus Homo; species Homo sapiens. Next base: position 146,824,667 of record NC_000005.10, read on the forward strand.
TATGAAAACTCTTCATAATAATTAATTAAGCCTCTCTTAGTCCTAAATTGAGAAAAATGCAAGAATCAATACTTTTTTTTTTTTTTTTGAGATGGGGCTGAAGTGCAGTGGTGCAATCTCGGCTCACTGTAACCTCTGCCTCCTGGGTTCAAATGATTCTTCCACCTCAGCCTCCTGAGTAGCTGGGATTACAGGTGCCCACCACCACACCTGGCTAATTTTTTGTGTGTGTTTTTAGTAGAGACAGGGCTTCACCATGTTGGCCAGGCTTGTCTTGAACTCCTGGCCTCAAGTGATCCACCCGCCTTAGCCTCCCCAAAGTTCTGGGATTACAGGCGTGAGCCACCGCACCCAGCCAAAAATCAATAATTTTAAATGTTTCATACTTATTGACATTAATGAAACCTCCTGAAAAAGCATTTAATGCAACTCCGCTGATATTTTAAATTTACGTTCCTCACATTACAAGGTCAGGTCAGTTCCCCTGGGTTTCACAGAGCCGACGTTATCACATAGACACGACTTTGTTCATGCTGTGTATGGAACAACCCTTCAGAGGGTTGCTGAGCTGTCCATGGTGCTGGGAAAGCAGCTGTTTCTCCTCTTTGGTTCAGCAGGAGACACACATTCAGAAATGATGTGTTATCTCACAGTGCAGTGGCCCACACTTCCATGTTTATTTGGAAAAAGAAAACACATAGTATCTCCTAGTATTCTGCTTTCCTAACAAGCTTTGATTTGTTTAGGCTACCTCAATAAAGTATCTCTTTTTACTCTTTTACCCTTCAGATATTAACAACCACATTGAGGTACATGAATTTGCACTTGCTTGCATTTCTATCATTGCACTTGCTTGCATTTCTATTTGTATCATAAGTGTTTTTTCTTTCCAAACAGACTATAAGTGTAAGGGTTAAAGAAATACTTATGGATGGATTGAAATAACTGAATTCAAATTTAGGCTCCTCCACCTATTAGCTGATAACCTGGTTGAGTCAAGTTACTTTTTCTGCCTCAGTTTCTTTAACTGTAAAAAGAGGTGATTGAAAGCCACTAACTTTTTGGAAGTGCTGTAGTTTAAAGTATGCAGTGCTATATTTTAAAGTATTTTGCAAACTGTGACATGCTATGACAGTGTGCTATGACATGCTATGAAAGCAAGCATTTATCATGCCACTTTTTTTGTTGTTGGTATCACATGTAGTAAGATATTCTTGACAGAGCATTAATAGCATTAATAATTGAAGTTTTTGTTGTCTCCTCCAATTCAGAACAGGCCTATGGGAATGAAGGATCCATCTCATGCCAGGGGAATCTTATGAGTTATAGATATAAGAAGAATTTCACTTGAAAGAAAGTAGAGAAGTGTAGAAGCTGTAAAATTTATATCCGGTAAATAATTCAAAGATTAATACCCAAAGTCTCAGTCATCTCTAGGCTCATCATCATTGCCACTTCCTCGGTACTTGGCATTTCTTTTTTAAAAATGCCCCAGTCATGATTTAATCTGAACACATTCTCTTTAAATGATCTAGGAATAATTAAATATCCTGCCCAACATAATAAAGGGTGGCAGAGACAAAACTTGACATCGGATTATTCTGAATTCAAATTCTCAACCATCATGCCTACAGCCTTCTAAATCTAAATGAGTCTTCTAGGTATAGGTTAAATTAGGAGCTGGCCAAAACTTCTTGGATCCCTTATTCTGAAGTAGAACCTTAGAGAGCCTAAGTCTAGCATTTTAGAGACCACCCTGAAAATAAGCTTTTTTAGGAGGAGGGGGATAAGGGAAAATTTGCTTTGTGAATCTAACCCAAGATAATCTTCAGTTTCCATGATGTAACAAACCAGAGGTTGCACAAGCTGCTGGAATCACAAGAACACTAACTTACCACCTACCAATTTACCAAGTCAGTATCCATGAACCAACTAGAACTTACTTTTTGTGCAGCATAAAGAAATTCAATTAAAATGCATTCTGGTGGCGTTTTCAAAACTCAGCAACTTTAATAATTACACCATTTAAAAATTGCATTTAGTGCCATTACTTCTCATCCATTTAAATCCTCCCCATTCTTAAAGATCCAGTTGATATTCCCCTCCCTCCAAGAACATTCACAGATGGCTCCAACTTACAGTAATTTAATCTTTCTCTGCATACATATCACTTCTGCCTACACCATACATCTGTCAACAAATCATCTATTGCCCTGGAATATCTGTTTTTTACCTTGCTATCTAACTTATATTAATTGGCTTTTCGAATCTATACCTTATGTTTTCAACCTTACTGGAACACTAGCTCATCACAGGTGCTCAATAAATATTTGAACTAAAGTTAGCACTTACATTTTATTGAAACTGCTTAAGTTTCTGCTTCTTCCCCATTCTTTTCCCCCATTTTAAGTCCACAAAGGTATGGCTACTTTTTCTGTCATAATCAATACCGTATCCTTGGGACCAAGGATATCATAGGGGCTTATGTGCATGCTTGGAATAACTACAGTAATAAAAATATGACCTAGCTGAATTGCCAGGGAATTAGGAGAAATTTTCAAATCTCTAGTTCAAGGAGATAAGCTATGCTCCTAAGTGAATTTATTTTATTTCAGATGAGAATCACTTTCAAAGTACCATTGGGAGATTTGTGTTTGTAAATTCTGTTCTCAGCTACAACAAAAAATGTAGCACAGACCATAGATCAAGGCATAGAGTAAGGTAAAATACAATACGAATAAAAGGGAAAGAGCACCCAGAACACATCGGTTATTTTCAAAATGTCTTATGTAAAGACTGAGGCATTATGCTTCAGCACAGAGCTGAGAAGAAATTTGCATGAACCCTTTCAAGAGCTTGCAAGCTGCCTTAACTCCATTTATTTATGTATTTTTCAGGAATGTTTATTGTGGTAGATGTTAGGGATAGAGAAGTGAACAAAACCAATATAGTCTTGCCCTCATAGAATCCACATTCTAACAAAATGAGAAAATAAAGGAAATTTCTCCCATTCATTTATATAATAAGTATTGATAAAGTATCGACTCCATGCACAGCATTGGGTTTCACTTTCCTGGCTTTGCTGCTCTGATATTACTGAGGGTAGAAGAGATGACACAAGCAGTTAATCTGATTTAATAAATCCTTTAATTCTGTCGGTAAATACTGGGAAGGAAAGGGGATCATGGAGAAAGAGGGCCCAGAAATAGACATTAAGCCCTTTTTCTGTCGTCTTCCTACACTTTAGTAATATTAAGACAGTTCCTTGAGAAAGAGAGCAATCTCTGCCTTGCTCAGGGGAAAAAGAATTGGGAGTCTCCATGGCCTAGTTGAAGAGAGAGAGAGAGAGAGAGAGAGACAGAGACAGAGACAGAGACAGACAATCATGTACGCTTTCTTTCATGGTGGCGTCCTGGCTGCTGCAATAGTTGCAACTCAAGGAGGTTAGGAGCAGCCCCCTCCTGCATGATCATGCATTATCCCATGAATTCTACCATCCATAATGCACATTCTCTAGTTGAAGGTTTTATTTTCCCTTTTCTTTGTTGTAATGGAATTTTCTATTATACCCTAAAATATTACTTTTACTTTTTTTAAAAAAAAAAAAGACATTCTCTTGCTGTTTCACATATAGTTCTTAGATTAATACTCAGATCCATTTAACATCATAAAAGAGAAACTTCTGTATCAATGACCAAATCAGTGGGTGAGATCTACAAACTAGAATCAGGGCTGGTGCATTGCTTTCAGAATGTTCCTTATTTATAGACAGCTTAATTGCATTAAGTGCCAAAGAATGTACTGCTTTCTTTGTAATGAGTTTTTATGGTCTTAGTGTTCAGAAGCTCAGATTCCATCTGTGACAGCAGAATGTTGTAGAATTCAGCTATTAATAGCTGCTGGTACACACTTACTCAGAGCTAAGAGGCCCAAGGCTGTAGAGACAGCCAGATGGAGATAATACCAGAGAGTGACTGTATGGACAAAAAGGATGATCTTTTTCCCCCCAACACAAAACAGACAACACTAAAAACATGACAATCCTGTTTTATTGCAAGCCAAACTCTCTGAAGAATTTTTTTCCCCCTCTTTGGAATTCTTAGGTCTGGTTCTAAATCACATTTGATTTATCACTGTTTCTGATGTTCAAATAACTCCTTACACAGGTTATAAAACCAAAAACATCCAGATGAGTTAACAACCATTATTTAGTAAAATGATACCAAGTAACCACACAGAAAATCAGGAATAATACAATTTGGCTATTATTCAAGGAAAAATAAACTTTGATACAGGACAGCCTTCCGAATCAGGAATATTTTCCTTAACATAGAGAAGAACGGGTAAGTGAGCTGAATAATACAGACCTTTTTATGGAAAGAAAAAATTTTTTAAAAAAACCTGCTTAATGTGATTTAGAGTGATTATGGCTTTAGTTCATCTTTATTCTAATAAGAGTAAGAAAATTATACTGCAAGACAAGGGTGACATGACCACCATATTTAATGTCATTACATTAATGAATGATTCTTATGGGCCAAAGAACACCAACTCTTGTTTTTTAAAAAATTATAATATCCTGCTAAGTAAATAAGAAAAAAACCTATTTTTTAATCTGTGACTCATTGGTAAATTGAATGGCTAAATTATATTTTGGTGGGAGTACAATTGTAGGTTGCCAAAGAAATGTGGGTTATATGCTTAAGCATAGAAATATTAATGGGCATGCTTGTGTGCAATGAAAAATGATATTAAAAAATGGGTAAGTGTTCAGCATATTTTGTTTCATTTGCAACATGAGTAAAATCACATTGTTCTTCTGAAGCCAAGCACAGCTAAAGGCAAGAGGCACAGATAAGGTGGGGCTGTGATGGGGAGCACTCTGCTGTCATGCTTTAAGGAAGTTTCTGGCAAACAGAGAATGTATGTTAAGTACCTGCAGTGGCCTATTTCATAGAGACACCATATAAAGAGTCCTGCAAAGCAAAACTGACTTATGTAAAAGAGGCGCAGGTTAAGGTTTCATACAGGTGGGTAAGAAAACCAGGATGTCTCAAACTATCCAAAGAATCTAAAGTCTATCCCTACAGACCTCCATTTTTTCACGTAACTACCCCTACTTTGTAGGAAGGACTTTTTTTTAAGTAAAAAACAGGCCTAAAATTTTGATAATCTATTTTCATTGCAGGCAAATTGGCTAGTAGTTTAGGTTCTAGAGTCACACTCATTGTGTTTCATGTTTGCCTCTTACTAGTTGTGTAAACCTGGGCAAGCTTTTGAAGTTGGTAAGCCTGTATTTTCTCAGAGGTAAAATAGATATTGTGAGAATACCTACATCATAGGATTGTGAGGATTATGTAAGATATTCTATGCAAAACATATAGTACAATGGCTAGTATACAGTCAATGCTCAATAGATGTTTCTTTTTTATTCTTATTTTTGTTATTTATTTACATTTTACTTCATTACTGCTATATGTAAAGTGCTTCTAATATTAGAGACATCTGGGTTTGACTTCTGGCTGAGAAACCATGATGAATCTTCTTCAGTTTACTCATCTGTCAAATAAGGCTAATCATAGATATGCCATAGGAATGTGATAAGTAAACTAAATAATTTAAGCCACACGTTTAACACAGTATCTGACACAAGCTAATGCCTATAAAAAACTAGCTGTTAGGATTTCAATCGTAGTCATATCCACTCAATAAGGTTAATGTGACACTTAAATGTGATAATGTATATAAAGCCCAACCAACAGTACCCGAACCTTAAATGTTACCTCACTCTTCCTGCATCTTGGTTAGCCACCTGCATGTATCACATAGTATTTTTAACCAATAGTATCTTCTGTATATTGGCTTTTTTTTTTTTTGAGATGGAGTCTCACTCTGTCGCCCAGGCTGGAGTATAGTGGCATGATCTTGGCTCACTGCAATCCCCGACTCCCGGGTTCAAACATTCTTGGCTAATTTTTGTATTTTTAGTACAGATGGGATTCACCATGTTGGCTAGGCTGGTCTTGAGCTCCTGACCTCAAGTGATCCACCCACCTTGGCCTCCCAAAGTGCTAGGATTGCAGGTGTGAGCCATTGCATCCAACCTCTATATCAGCTTTAATATTTACCAGTCTCCAAGTTCATTAGGTGACTTGCTACCATACTATCATTTCACAAAGCGATTGTGGTACAATTATGTACTGCATAACAATGTTTCAGTTTATGATGAACCAATGTGTGATGGTGGTCCCATGAGATTTTAACAGGGCTAAAAATATTCCTATTGCCTAGTGATGTTGCAGCCATCATAATGCCAGAGTGCAATGCATTACTCAGGTGTTTGTGGTGATGGTGGTATAAACAAACCTACTCTGCTGTCAGTTGTATAAAAGTAGAGCACATACCGTTATGTACAGTATGTGATACTCAATCATGATAATAAATGACTATGTTACTCGTTATGTATACTATACTTTTTATCATTATTTCAGAGTGTACTCCTTCTGCTTATAAAAAAAAAGTTAACCTTTATTAAAAAGTCTCTGGGTTGCTGAGCACAGTGGCTCATGCCTGTAATCTCAGCACTTTGGGAGGCTGAGACAGGTGGATTACCTAAGGTAAGAAGTTTGAGACCAGCCTGGGCAACATGGCGAAACCCCATCTCTACTAAAAATACAAAAATTAGCCGAGTGTGGTGGCAGGTGCCTGTAAGCCCAGCTACTCGGGAGGCTGAGGCAGGAGAATCACTTGAACCCGGAAGACTGAGGTTGCAGTGAGCCGAGATTGCGGCACTGCACTCCAGCCTGGGGGATAGAATGAGACTCCATCTCTCAAAAAAAAAAAAAAAAAAAAAAAAAGCCTCTGGGTTGATAGGTACAGCAAACCACTATGGCACACATTTACCTATGTAACAAACCTGCACATCCTGCACATGTACCTCGGAACTTAAAATAAAAAATTTAAAAAAGCATCAGGTTAGCCAGGCGTGGTGGCACATGCCTGTAATCCCAGCTACTCAGGAGGCTGAGGCAGGAGAATCCTTGAACCTGGGAGGCGGAGGCTGCAGTGAGCCGAGATTGTGCCAGCTTGGGTGACACTCCAGCTTGGGTGACAGAGTGAGACTTCGTCTTTGACAAAAGAATAAGCCTCAGGCAAGTCCTTCAGGAGGTATTCCAGAGGAAGGCATTGTTATTTTAGGTGATGACAGCTCCATGCATCTTATTGCCTTTGAAGGCCTTCCAGTGGGACAACATGTGGAGGTGGAAGACAGTGACATTGATAATCCTGACCCTGTGTAGGCCTAAGGTAACATGTGTTCTTTTGTTTCTTAAGGTTTAACAAACAAGTTTAAAAAGTAAAACATTAATGGGAAAGAGCTTATAGAACAAGGATATACAGAAAGATAAAAATTTTGCATAGTTGTGTGTTTGTGTTTTAAGCTAAATGTTATTACAAAACAGTCAAAAAGTTAAAAAAATTAAAAAGTTTATAAAGTAAAAGTTATAGTCAGCTAAGCTTAACTTATTATTGAAGAAAGACTTTTAAAAAATAAATTTAGCATAGCCTAGGTTTACAGTGTTTATAGCAGTGTACAATAATGTCCTTGGCCTTCACATTCACTCACTAGTCAGTGACTCACCCAGAACAACTTTCAGTCCTGAAAGCTCCATTCATGGTAAGTGCCCTACACAAGTAAGTGTGCCATTTTTAATCTTTTTTTTTTTTTTTTTTTTTTTTTTTTTGAGACAGAGTTTCACTCTTATTGCCTGGGCTGGAGTGCAGTGAAGCGATGTTGGCTCACCGCAACCTCCGCCTCCTGGGTTCAAGTGATTCTCCTGCCTCAGCCTCCCAAGTAGCTGAGATTACAGGTGCCTGCCACCACACCCAGCTAGTTTTTTTGTATTTTTAGTAGAGACAGAGTTTCATATTGGCCAGGCTGGTCTTGAACTCCTGACCTTAGGAGATCCACCTGCCTCGGCCTCCCAAAATGCTGGGATTACAGGCATGAGCCACTGTGCCCGGCCATTTTTAATCATTTATATCATATTTTTACTATGCTTTTTCTATGTTGAGATACACAAATGCTTACCATTGTGTTATGATTGCCTACACTATTCAGAAGAGTAACATGCTGTACAGGTTTATAGTCCAGGAGCAATAGCCTATACCATATAGCCTAGGTGTGCAGTAGGCTATACCACCCCAGGTTTGTGTAAGTACACTCTGGTGTTCACACAAGGATGAAATTGCCTAATGGCACACTTCTCAGAACATATCCCTATCATTAACTGACGCATGACTGTGTGTATATTAATATCACAAGCCCTTTGCAAACTAGATAGGGAAGGTATTTCATTCTCATTTTCATGCTTTAGTTAATATCAGAGAGCCACCAACTTAAAATATTTCCACATACTTCCAGCTGAAACTTCACAGGCTGCTTTCATTTTTTACTTAGTTTCTAACATTATGATTTCTGAAATTTCCACATTAGCTCATCACTTCAAAATGCCTTTAATGCCAATATATCAAGCCCATCATCAAACAGATCATCTTACATATTTGTGCAGTGTGTGAGGCTCTAAGTGAACACTTTCTACAAAGGGAATTTTTATCTACATCCCCAAGTAGAAGAGAGATTGTGCTGTGCTCCTTTCCTTCTCATGGAAGGTTTACTAATAATTTCATTGTCATCTTTAAGCCTTTCACTAGTCACAGCAAGAGTACATGCAAGGATCTAAGCAAACAAAGCTCTTAGGCTGCCTTGAAACAAAACCTGTCTGTACCATCATACTAAATTCCCCCAGCCTATTTCAACACTGGCAATGAAAACATGGCATTTTTCACCTTGACTTTACTTTCAATGTGACAAGGCAGTGTCTAACTTCAGGGCATTCCGTGGTTATGAAATCTTGACACCTCACCTACTGTGGGAATGACATGTTGAAACAGTTTCTCCATTCTCTGAGGCATTTTCATATTAAGCTCTGGTGAATGGGTATTAATGAGATGGTCATTGGAGTGTCAGGCGGGCCGTGTCTCTTCTTTTTCTGTCTCTCTCCCCCTGCCCTTCCCCATCCCATCCTCCTCCCCCACCCCCAGCTGCACAGCTGACAACTTCAAACATTTAATTACTGATCCCCTCATCCCCTAACAATCAATAGTTGGCATCCCCCAAAATCAAATAATATTCAATGTGCAGAGCTGTATTTGTTTTCACATAACACTGCAGGGAAATTAAAGATAACTCATCATGTGAATCAGGTTCTCTCTTTATGATTAAGAAGTGACTGCCACTTCCATGCACATCCTAGGGGTTACCTAACGTGGCTCTAAAATGTCCTTGGCAAATGTTCTTACTGCTTCTCCAATTACATTAAACTATGGATTGTCTAATGATTCTTTGGAAAAATATACTTTTATGATACCTTGAATGCTAAAAAGGATTCTTGTTATTTATGATAAATTACTTATCTTTTAACAATAGAAATAGTAACATGTATTGAGGGCATACACCATACTAGACAAGGTCCTAGGTGCTTTATATACATAATCCATTTCATTCTCATAGTAAGTCCATGGAGGTAAGTACCATTATTATTTCTCATGTTTTATGTAGAGGAGAACAATGACATTCTGATAGAATGGGTGACTTGACTAAAGTTACAACTAGTTAGTGGCAGAACTGGAATTTAGAATTGTTCTGTCTGAACCAAGAATCAAAAGTCTTAAACACTCCTTTACACTGCCTTTCTTGGCAAGTTGAATTATATCAAATGACTTTTGTTTTGGTTTAGCTATAAATATTTCACTTGTCTCAACTCATCTAGCACCTTTGTCATTCAGGTTCAGTTATCAAGGATCACAACTCTGATTGGTGCTCTGAGTGATAATGACTACATTTCCCATATGAAAAGTCATACATCTTTATTATTTTTATGAAAGTTCAGAGTCCTTGGATTGTGTTTTGTTGTTTTTTTCTTTAAGTTTAGGTTCTGGGAGTACACATGCAGGTTTGTTACATGAGTAAATTGTGTGTGTTGAGACTTGTCACCCAAGTAGTGAGGATAGTACCCACTATGTAGCCTTCCAATCCATGCCCTCTTTCCATCCTTCCCCTTCAAGCAGTCCTCAGTGTCTATTTTTCCCCTCTTTTGTTTCCATGAGTATTCAATGTTTAGCTCCACTTATAAGTAAGAACATGCAGTATTTGGTTTTCTGTTCCTGCATTAGTTGGCTTAGGATAATGGCCTCTAGCTGCATCCACATTGCCACAAAGGACATGATTTCATTCTTTTTTTATGGCTGTATTATATTCCAGAGTATAAATGTACCACATTTTGTTAGTCCAGTCCACCACTGATGGGCACCTAGATTGATTCTGGGTCTTTGCTATTATGAATAGTCCTGTGATGAACAAACAGGTGCATGGATTGTGTGTTAAAGGTGGATTTCAGAAATCATAATGAAAAATAATCTCGAAGATTTATGAGGATCTATTTTTTCACTTGTAGTTATACTGTAGCAGAAAAATTTTGATGACTTAATAATAATTCAATTTAATAATAAACAATGTATTATATTGTTTTTTCACTTATATTTTGAGGGAAAATATTAAAATATTTCCTCAAAAATACATCAAGAAACATACTGAAATTATGAAATATGGCCAAGTTAAATCAGAAATTTCAGGGAGTGTTTTGATTTCCCAATCCACCACTTTATGAGGAAGCATAGAGCCCACTTCAGCAGGTCAGTTGACCTGGGCCCCACCCTCATGAAGCATGTTGAGTTCTAGCAAACATGTACATCTTTGGTTTGTCACCTGTCCATACTGAACTTGGGGCGGAAAGATCACTGCTTCACACCCCTCCTTTTCCTCAGGTTTGCCAGTCTCAGAGAATTAGAACACTGCATAAAACCTTAGAACTCAGTGTATTCCAGCTCTCACAGTCTACTGATGAAGAAACTGAAGCCAAGAAAGGTAGCCACAGTGCCTGGGCCAGACAGACCCAGGTTCCAGAGCCAGCCCAACCATCTCCCACTATCCCACGCTTCCTCTCCAGCTTACACTGTACTGTACAGATATCGGTAAAGGAGTCATCATTTGTAAATAAGGCTGGCAATGTTCCCTCCTCCTAATGTTGTTAACCAGAAACTACTTTATTGTAAAGAAAACAGATGCTACTAATTCTGCATCAAAGACATCTTGGACATTATGCTAATTAGAGCCTAATGAAGTGGGTTGGCATCCCAGTTCCACCGATTTAAGCTATGGGACCAATTATGAAACTTTCCAAAGCCTGAGTTCCATTATTTGTAAGAAGGTGATGATAACACCACCAACCGCATTGGGTTGTTGGTGATATATATATGTAATAATTCATATATCTGACACATAATAAATATTCAATAAATATTACTTTATCTTATCATTTTGCTAAATTGTAACAGAAAATTCCCTATAAGGTCTTCAGAGTAATTCTGCCTACTATGCCCTCCCCATGCAGCTGCCAACAAATTTATTATAGTTGGTATGTCACTGGTTACGTTTTCCAATGTTTGAAAAAAATTCTACCTCACTCCCCATCCTTACCACACATATATCCCCCACCTACTTGGAGTATAAACTCCTGGGAAACCACTTACAATGTACAGTTTGGCTGTGGCTCACCACACTCTTCTCAAGGCTCTTCAGTATTGGGATGGATGGCAAGAATTGCATTTATTTTCTCACTTCTTTTGTTTAAGGTGCTGAGTCAGATTAAGAGATGGCACTGTCCCAAATTGCAACGAACTGGACTCCACTTGTATTTTGTAAAGTTGAGCTGACCCGGCTCAGCTCCTAAAAGAGTGCTGTTTGCCTGCTTTTCCGGGATGAATACTTTAGCAACTGCTGCTCTCTGTGTCTGGACTCACCTTTCAGAGAGACAGAGACTTTGAGGTTCTGTGGCTTTGCCTAATGAATAACCTGGTCTCTGTCATTTTCAAAATGCAAACATTTGTGGGACTCTGAGAACTGTTCTTTGTAGAAACAAGTCATTGCCAAAGTTCAGAGAGATAGCTACAGACACAGATGTAGTCTTAGGACATATTGATTAGCTTTCTGGCTAGATCTTTTTTAATGTAATGGGCATACTATCTTGGTGAAAGAAGTTGACTTTTTGACAATTTGCAGCCATGGAACTTGCCTTCTGCATCAAAATCATTGGAAGATTATGTTCCTCTGAAGTTCCTAATACCTCAGAAAACAGCTCCTGTCCATCCATTCATTTCTTCATTCAACAAATATGTATTGAACACTTGGTTTTAGGTGCTACGCCAACAACTAGCAGCACCAATAATAGTGATAAATAGTATCCTGGAAGAGTTTAAAATTTAGAAGGAAAAATAATCCACAAGTACAGACAGTTATGACTTAGGGTGATTTGATTTAGGATTTTTCAACTTTACGATGATGCAAAAGTGATACACATTCAGTAGAAAATGTACTTCGAGTATCCACACGATCATTGTTTTTTCACTTTCAGTACAGTATTCAATAAGTTACATGAGCTATTCGAACTTTAAAAATAGGCTTTGCATGAGATGATTTTGTAGTAGATGAGTTGTAGTTTAATGTAAGTTGTTCTGAGCCCATTTAAAGTAGGCTAGGCTTAGTTATGATTTTCAGAAGATTACGTGTATTAAATGCATTTTTTGACTTAAGATATTTTCAACTTAATGATGGGTTTATCAGGATACAAACCTGTGGTAAGTTGAAGAGCATCTGTATAGTATGTTAGTTGTATGGGGGTGGGAGAAGAAAGTGATGTGGCTATAAGGTGGCACAGTGAAGTGCTGGGACAGCACTGTTCAATAGAAATAAAATGTGAGACACATATGTGGTTTAAAATTTTCTAGCAGCCACATTAAAAAGTAAAAAAAGGTAAAATTAATTTTAATAATACATTTTCTCAAACTCAAGATATCGAAAATACCATTTCCACATGTAATCAATATCAAAACATTATTGTTGAGATATTTTATATATTTTTTTGTACTAAGTCTTCTAAATCTGGTGTGTATTTTACACTTTCAGCATATCTCAAATGAAATAGCAACATTTCACATGCACAAGACTCACATATCTTCTGATGGCTATCTTGTCGAATAGCACAATTCTAGGAAGTTCAAAAGGGGGAACAATTGCTTCTCAAATTGATGAAGGTAGAGAAGAATGGTATCAGAGAAACTGATTAAGCAGGGACCTGGGAATCTGAGTTGAGTTCCGGGGCATGTTTGTTCCCTAGCACCATGACCTACATGGCAGTGTCTCTTCTCATACTATTTTAAGAGTCCCTGGTAAGTAGGTTCTGTGTTCATATTCCTAACAGTGAGCCCCCTATGCCCCTGTCCTATGGCGTTAAAGAAATCTTTATATGTTGAATGAATAAATGAAAGAAGAATTTAAAAAATAGTTATCTACAGCTTGGTAGACCCTGTGTTGGTATTTGCATATAGTCTCTAATACTTATATTGTGACAAACTTTCAAGGAGCTACTAACATCACCATTTTATAAGAGAGAAATGTGAAATACAGGGTGGTTAGGGGATTTCCCAAGGTTACAGACTTAGAAGGAAGGAAGGGAGGCCGGGCTCACACCTGTAATGCCAGCACTTTGGGAGGCCAAGGTGGGTAGATCTCTTGAGGTCAGGAGTTCAAGACCAGCCTGGCCAACATGGTGGATCCCTGTCTCTACTAAAAATACAAAATTAGCTGGGCATGATGGTGGGTGCCTGTAATCCCAGTTACTTCGGAGGCTGAGGCAGGAGAATCACTTGAACCTGGGAGGCGGAGATTGCACTGAGCTAAGATTGTGCCACTGCACTCCTGCCCAGAGGACAAAGTGAGCCTCCATCTCAAAAAAAAAAAAAAGAAAAAAAAGAAGGAAGGGAGAGAAGAATGGGACAGAGTTACATAATGGGAAGGAAAGCATACAAAAAGAGGAATGAGGATAGACTAGACAGAAGAGTGAGCTACACAAGTGAGTTAAGAAAGTGATATGCTAACACATTAATGATTAATAGGTACGAATTTGTCCATCAAATCTTAAATAGTTCCTCATATATTATACCTTGGACCTCTCTTCTGTTTCTTCTGACAAGGTTTTCTTGAAATAAGAAACAAAAACAAATGACTGCCTTCCCAAGGCAAAGGGTATTTTGGGAAATCTGAAGCAGCGTTAGAGGTTTAGCCCAGTCTTCCTCACTACAGCCTCTTCAACATTTCTGAAAAGTGAATGTCCATCCTCCCTGTGAGAAAACCATCTCCCAAGACAGTCCCTGCCACTCTTTGATAGGCTGAACACTAGAAAATTCGTCCACATACTGATTTCCAACCTTCCCTTCTTATAACTTCCAATTAGAAGCTTGTTCTAATTGTGCCTTCCTAAATACTCTTCTTCATTCAGATATCATGTGCCTACCTAGTCTATTCGATCTTGTGGGGGAGGCAGGAAGGCAAACATTACTTATGCAATACTCAAGTCAAATACATATGGATTCAAACTGAGTCCTAAAATGTATATGTGGCCGGGTGCAGTGGCTCCTACCTGTAACCCCAGCACTTACGGAGGCTGAAGTAGGCAGATCACCTGAGGTCAGGAGTTTGAGACCAGCCTGGGCAACGTGGTGAAACCTTGTCTTTACTAAAAATACAAAATTAGCCGGGCATGGTGGCATGTGCCTGTAATCCCAGCTACTCGGGAGGCTGGGGCAGGAGAATCGCTTGAGCCTGGGAGATGGAGGTTGCAGTGAGCTGAGATTGCGCCATTGTACTCCAGCCTGGGTGATGAGCGAAATCCCATCTCAAAAATATAGTAAAATGTATATGCAATTTCCAAAAAATTAAAAATCATGTTTTTGTGTCATCTGGGAGGTAAGTATAAGAACCAGGGCTTGGCCCTATAAAATTTAATATTATCTCATTTTTACTTAAGAAATGGACTTGCTAAATCTGCTGACCATCCCAAAAAATCATCAGCAACTTGGAGAGTCAGCTTTACATTACAAACAAGTCTGAAAACTGGAATGATAAAAACCATGATGAAGTTCTAACTTGCTGACTTCTTGGCTGTGTTTGGACAGCCACAACTTCCCTGCCTTTCTAAAGGGGCAGAGAATAGAATGCGAAATGTCACCATTTCTACAATTTTATTCATCCTTCTTTCCAAACATTTATTTTTACTTCCTTAGGGTATGAGGAAGAGCATGTTCTAACACAATTGTTCTGAGTTGTTGCCAGGAAGTCAAGTGTATCTTTAGCATCACCTCTGGGCAAATAGTACAAACAGAGGAAAATGATGTTTGAGGCCAAATGTTGAAAACTTGAGACTTGTGTAGCTGAGCTAAAAGAGCAGAGAGCTAAAATGAAAAGTTAATTATGTTGATTCTGTTTTTTTCTATGAGAATTTCTATTTAAAGGAGCAGCAGTAGTGAAAACAGGATGGGCTTTAAGTACCAACAGCTTTGGGTTCAAATGCAGGCTTGTCAATTGCTGCCTGATTGAGTTCCCTTGAATATACATAACAAACATTTAATTGAGTGACTCCTCTGTGCCAGGCACGTTGTCCTTACAGAGCTTAAAGTCCAAGTAAGTTAATTACCCCTTGGAATCTTTTTTTTTACATCGAAAAGAAAATATAATACTATATGCAGGGCTCTTATAATTAAATGAAATGACATATCTAAAGTTATAAAGCCCAGTGCCTAGCATATAGTAGTTGCTTAATAAATCTTAGTTTCTTTTCCTTGTCTTCAGAATAACCAAATTAATCTCTCCTTTGAGTCAAACTGTGATTTAAAAGCACAGCCCTAGTACATCACTAAAAATAAAATCAACAGACAGTTCCACACATCTAGACACTCCTAAAATACCCAAAGGGGTTTGGAGGTCCATCAGCTGTGACAGGCAGACTTCAAAAAATCAGACTCAGATACTGCCCCATTCAAATAGTTCTATTTTGACTCCAATTTGTTTTTATACAAAACAAAAATAAACTGCTTTTCATTTTAATTACCAGCCAGCAAGTATAGTATATGTAGCATAGAAATCAAAGATATAAATGATGCTGCAGTATCAGAACTGCTCATTCTAAAACAATCTATTCATTGTCTGTAATGTGTGAGACATTGTGATGGTATTAGACTAATAAAAGAAACAAACACGTCCTTAATCTGATAGAGCTTACTCTGTAGGAAGGGAGATATACATCTACCTTTAGGGAGGCTAAACAAAGAGATGAAACAAGACAAATATGTATTAAACATTAGTGGCCAATATGCTGTATTACAAGCATTAAATTTTGAACTAGAGTCTCTAATGTAGGGATTCAGGAGAGGTAACAAAGTCAAGGAGACTTTTTGGGAAAAAAGTGGAATTTGAGCCTAGACACTTGAAGCTTATGGAGGATTATTCAATGCCTTCTATTATTCCTGTGCATAAAGATCAAATGCACCAAAACTCAAAGCAGAAGCCAGCTATAATAATGCCTTCTCTTTCTGAATGCATGTAGTTCTGCATGAACTGCTTCATTATTCACTAGTACAAATTTTACTTGGGTCCCATCTCATCCAAAAGGCAGCATTAACTACTCTTGGGTAAAAGGTCATTGGTTTTTATATCTTTGTAGAGTTTTTAAAGACGCTGTTCAGTCCAACTAGCTTCCACTGCCTCACATACACACAAAAGAAAGCAAAGAGAAATAAAGGAAGAGAGGGAGAAAATGCACTATTTGCATTTTCTGATTGTGAAAATTCCTCATTCCTACCTCCCAAACTTCCCTATGGGCAAGACGTAATCACAACCCAGACAGTGGATGCTTCCCCTCTTACTACCCAGAAATGGGAGATAAAGAAAATGTGGCACATATATACCATGGAATACTATGCAACCATTAAAAAGGATGAGTTCATGTCCTTTGCAGGGACATAGATGAAGCTGGAAACCATCATTCTCAGCAAACTAACACAAGAACAGAAAACCAAACACCGCATGTTCTCACTTATAAGTGGGAGTTGAACAATGAGAACACATGAACACAGGAGGGGAACAATACACACCAGGGCCTGTTGGGGGTTGGGGAGCTAGGGGAGGGATAGCATTAGGAGAAATACCTAATATAGATGACGGGTTGATGGGTGCAGCAAACCACCATGGCACATGTATACCTATGTAACAAACCTGCACGTTCTGCACATGTATCCCAGAATTTAAAGTATAATGAAAATATAAAGAAAAAAGAGATTTGATATCAGAAATCTTTTAAAATTTTAAATTGTACTTAGACTGGGCAAACTTCAGAGGTGAGTACTCTGAGACAGGGATTCATCCATACTCCCTAGCCACATCACTGTGAAGCCAAAACAACCACATTCCATTCTTGGCATGGAATACAACATCCTCCCCTTAAAGTACTGCACATTTATCTTCAGCTAAGTTGTGTACATTTGTTCACTCCAACCTTTACCTTCTTCCATCTGAAGTGCTTGATCAGCCACTGAGGAATCGACTTCATGGGAATTCATAGTCCAAAATTATATGGCCTGCTGTACATTTACAGCTTTCTTCAAATTCTCCCCGCTATGGAGAGGAGCCAGAGCTTTAATCAAATTCCTTCCCACCCCCACACATCCCCAAAAGTATAAGAGCCTATATTCTAAATCTACCACAGTCAACTTGCTATTTATTTCATTTCCAAATAACCATACTCTAACCATAATTCAAGAAAAAGGAAAAAAAAAAGACATACTTCAAAAAAATACCTCCATGCCCTTTTTTTTTTTTTTTTTTAAAGTTCAGGGTTACATGTGCAGGATGTGCAAGTTTTTTACATAGAAAAACATGTGCCGTGGGGGTTTGTTACATAGATTATTTCATCACCCAGGTATTAAGCTTGGTATCCATTCATTATTTTTCCTGGTCATCTAATTTTACCTCTCCTCCTCTGGTAGGCCCCAGTGTGTGTTGTTCCTCTCTATGTATCCGTGTGTTCTCATCATTTAGCTCCCACTTATAAGTGAGAACATGCCATATTTGGTTTTCTGTTCCTGCATCAGTTTGCTAGGGATAACGGCCTCCTTATCTGCTAATAACAACTAAATACTGTTAGAAGGTTTGTCTCTGACAGTCTCAGTTAGTAAATTATATTAAAATAATTTTGAAATGCAGTTTTTTTTCTGTTCTAATACTTTAAAATTGGCTGGGCGCGGTGGCTCACGCCTGTAATCCCAGAACTTTGGGAGGCCGAGGCGGGTGGATCACCTCAGGTCAGGATTTTGAGACTAGCCTGACCAACATGGAGAAACCCCATCTCTACTAAAAATACAAAATTAGCTGGCGTGATGGCGCATGCCTGTAATCCCAGCTCCTCGGAAGGCCGAGGCAGGAGAATCTCTTGAACCTGGGAGGCGGAGGTTGCGGTGAGCCCAGATCGTGCCATTGCACTCCAGCCTGGGCAATGAGGGCGAAACTCTGCCTCAAAAAAACTTTAAAATTATCCAGATGCCAGAATCAGTGAATAATGATCAATTTGGGTCTTGATTACATCTTTTTTTCAGTATCTAATGACACTTTGTGAGTATCATTGTAGCCTACTGAGCACTATACAAGGTGAAGTACATAAATCCAGACTTGGAAGCTTACAATCAAATTGCTTTACCAATAATGTATAATATAAAACAACTCCACCCTCTCTTTACCCTGCAGTGATAGAGTAGATAAGGTTTCAAATAGCCCCAAAGGGAACTTATTCCCAATGAGCTTAGATCTTATTTTATACATTGCTAAAATAGGGGATTTGTAACAGATTAATGTAGGATTAGAATAGTCACAGGTGTTCTCTCACACCAGAGAAAAAAGTACAAATTAGATGATATCATCTCACTGTCTATTTTGGCCACAAACTAACCCTTCACTTCTCAAACCCTCAGTTTATTCTTCTATAACTTGGGAATGGTTCTACTTGCTTCTTCTATCTTACAGAGTTATCATGACCCTGAGATAATGATTTCAAAAATATACTGAAAATGATGGTTTCCAATTTCATCCATGTCCCTACAAAGGACATGAACTCATCATTTTTTATGGCTGCATAGTATTCCATGGTGTATATGTGCCACATTTTCTTAATCCAGTCTATCATTGTTGGACATTTGGGTTGGTTCCAAGTCTTTGTTATTGTGAATAGTGCCGCAATAAACATACGTGTGCATGTGTCTTTATAGCAGCATGATTTATAGTCCTTTGTGTATATACCCAGTAATGGGATGGCTGGGTCAAATGGTATTTCTAGTTCTAGATCCCTGAGGAATCGCCACACTGACTTCCACAATGGTTGAACTAGTTTACAGTCCCACCAACAGTGTAAAATCATTCTCAGTAAACTATCGCAAGAACAAAAAACCAAACACCGCATATTCTCACTCATAGGTGGGAATTGAACAATGAGATCACATGGACACAGGAAGGGGAATATCACACTCTGGGGACTGTGGTGGGGTCGGGGGAGGGGGGCGGGATAGCATTGGGAGATATACCTAATGCTAGATGACACGTTAGTGGGTGCAGCGCACCAGCATGGCACATGTATACATATGTAACTAACCTGCACAATGTGCACATGTACCCTAAAACTTAGAGTATAATAAAAAAAAAAAAACATTAAAAAAAAATATATACTGAAACATCCAAAATGCCAGACAAATAAAAGGCTGTCTTCTCTCCTAGCTTCCTTGGATTCTTGCTCTTTCTCCACCTACACAAACTGTTGGCAGGACCCTCAGCAAGATGTCATCATGCACCTGTGAGCATTCATTTCAAGAACAGCCAACCATTTATCTGGAAAATCAGAAACCACAGATAGGGCAGAAGACCTGCATGCCCGGATCCATTCTGTGCAATTTAGTTTTTTGAAAACAAATTTAAGATTCCATGCAGAAAGCACCCTGAACACTGAAAGTATGCACTTCCTTTACAAAGAGCAGCTCAACAAAGCCAGCTGGGTTTAGCAACCCCATTTCTTTCTTTCTTTCCAGCACTTTGCATCTATAGATCAATATGTTGTCATTCCAGAACTTTCACTACCTTATTCTATCTTTCTCTCAATAACCTGTGAGGTTGCAGAACTTTCTTCCAACTTTCACTTATTGCATTTTTACCTTTAGCCTACACAGTGACCTGAGGTCAAGGCAGTCTTCCTAATCAAGAAGCCCCTTCCCCTAAAGCTCTGTAGATTTCAGAGCCCTTAGAATAACATTCCAACTCCATTCCACGGCTTACAAAGTCCATGAGATCCCACTTTTGGCCACTTCTTCATCTCACACCACTTTCTCCTTCCCTCACCAGCTTTCAGCCATGTTCACTTTTTGATTCTTTGCATATGCGACAAGCCTCAGGGCTCTTGGACATGCTGTTTCTTCTACTTGATTAGCTTTCCCACCAATTCTTGTATGGCTGGCTCATTGTCATTCTTTATCTCCCAGCTTATGTCATCTCAACTGAAATCATCTAAAGCCATCTCATCATTATCCAGTATCTCAACCTCTCTTTTGTTTTCATCATAGCATAATTTATGACTATTTCTTTTCTTTTCCTTTTCTTTTTTTTGTTTTTTTTTGAGATGGAGTCTCACTCTGTTGCCCAGGCTGGAGTGCAGTGGCACACTCTTGGCTCACTGCAAGCTCCGCCTCCCAGGTTCATGCCTGGCTAAATTTTTTTTTGCACTTTTAGTAGAGACGGGGTTTCACCGTGTTAGCCAGGATGGTCTTGATCTCCTGACCTCGTGATCCGCCCGCCTCGGCCTCCTAAAGTGTTGGGATTACAGGCGTGAGCCACCACACCTGGCCAATTTATGACTATTTCATTTTCTGTTTTATTCATGTCTCCTCCATAAAGGTGTAAGCTGAAGAACAGACACTGTGCGTGGTCAGCTCATGATTAGAGCTCCAGTGTGTGAACCATCACTCATGCTAACATAGTTGATGCTCCATGACCATACAGTGAGTGCGTGAAAAATATACATGGAGTGAAATAGGCAATTTGAGTATGTACACTAAATTCTGTTTCCCATGTGCATGTACTAGAATAGGAATGTTGATTAACTTGTTTTGAAAAAGAATTCCTCCAGCAAGTGTAAATCTAAACTATTTTTGACTAACTTTGGGAGCTCCAGACCTGTACTGTGCAACACAGTAGCCACTAACCACGGGCCACTATTGCTCACTTGAAATGACACCAGTCTGAATTCAATGTGCTGTAAGAGTAAAATATACACTGAGTTCTGAAGACAACATGAGAAAAAGAATGTAACATCTCATAATTGTCATTTTGATTACATATTAAAATAATATTTTTGATACATTGGATTAAAATATTAAAATTAATTTTATCTGGCCAGGTGCAGTGGCTCACGCCTGTAAACCCAGCACTTTGGGAGGCTGAGGTGAGTGGACTGCTTGAGCCCAGGAGTTCGTGACCAGCCTGGGCAACAAGGCAAAACCCGTCTCTACAAGAAATACAAAAATTAGCTGGGCATGGTGGTGTGCACCTGTAATCCTAGCTACTCAGGAGGCTGAGGCAGGAGAGTCACTTGAACCTGGGAGGCAGAGGTTGCAGTGAGCCAAGATTGCGCCACCACACTCCAGCCTGGGCGACAGAGTGAGACTCCATTTCAAAAAATAATAATAGTAAAAGTCAGGCACAGTGGCTCACGCCTGTAATCCCAGCACTTTGGGAGGCCGAGACGGGTGGATCATGAGGTCAGGAGTTTGAGACCAGCCTGACCAACATGGTGAAACCCCGTCTCTACTAAAAATACAAAAATCAGCTGGGCATGGTGGCACGTGCCTGCAACCCCAGCTACTCAGGAGGCTGAGGCAGGAGAATCGCTTGAACCTGGGAGGTGGAGGTTGCAGTGAGCCTAGATCTTGCCACTGCACTCGAGCCTGGGCAACAGAGAGAGACTCTGTCTCAAAAAAAAAAATTAATTTTATCTGTATTCTTTATTTTTTTTAAAAGTAGCTACTAAAAAATTAAAATTACATATGTGGCTTATGTTAGATCTCTTGGAATGATGCTGGTCTAGAATATTCCTCTATTCTCTCATCATTTCAGAGTTAATCTGATTTTAATGCTTATGACTTTTTCTTAAACCTGCCTATAATGGTATATATTGAGAGTGAAAAATATTTAGAAGTCTCAAAGCCACTGCCTTAAATTCTTATGTTATTCTACAGTATTCTTATCTCATGCAGATCTTAGAACATTGTTCAAGTATCATAAACTATAATACATCAGACTATGGGTGGGAAAACATCTTCATATAATTTTAGAATCATTATTTACACTACTGTTCAAATCCTTTAATTCTACTTCCAGAGCTACTACCATCATCTAGGCCACCGTAATCTCTCAACTGATCTGTATGACTGAAGTAACTTCCTAACTGGTCTTCTACCTCTATCTCATTGTTTTCCAACAATAGACAGTGTAAAAGTCTTACATGCTGCCTTCTTGCTTGACCTGCCTGTAGTTGTCCACTAACCCCAGGATAAAGTTCAAATCTTCAATTCAGCCTTTAATTCCTGACATAATAGACTTACTTCCTCCTCTTGCCTACTTCCTCCTCCTCTTAGGCTCCTCACACCAGTCATTCTGAACTCCACTGTTCTGTAAAGGTGCCATGCTTCTTTTGGTTTTTGGATTTTGCTCCTTTTACAGAACCCACATCCATTACTCTCCTTTTATCTGGTCAACTTCTACTCTATTCTCAGCTTAAGGTTAGAAGCAGCAGGTGTGTCTGGTACATAGGTGCCTGCCTTGCAAGGGAAAGCATCTCCTGGCCTCCAGGAACCCACCACAGGGCTTGTGCTCTGTTGGTGGTGGATGTAGAACACAAGCCACATGCCCAAACCTAGGCGTGCACTAAGCACTCTCCACAATTCTGCCACTGAATCCTCACCACAAACCTGTGAGCAGACAGCAGCAGCAGCATTTAAGTCCTGTGTGCCAAGACTTGTTTCAAGTACTTTAAATATATTTTCTCAGGCTTCAGGAAAACTCCCTAAGGTAGGTATTTACTGTTTTCCTATTATATTATTCTCTTATTATCCAATTCATTGATGGGGAACTAAAGCCCAGATGGATTTAGTAAATCACCCAGCCCCATAGCAGGGGATACGAGCTCCTGCGGCTTGGCTTGGCAGCCTATGTTGACTTGTGCAGGTGTTATCACCATTTTAGAGATGAGGAAACAAAAGCTCAGCAAGTTTAGGGAATTTTCCCAAAGTCACCATATCAGGATTTAAAAGACAAGTTAGATGCCACATCATGTTTTTCCCAATAGCTGTCCATACTCCGTCATTTTACCTGCGTTACAGTCGCCTACCAACTTACTGGCTCCCCCTACTAGACTGTATGTTTCTTATTCTTTAGTTTTTTTTATCTTATTAACAGATTTTATTTTTAAAAATAGATTTAGATTGACAGAAAAATGGAACAGATAGTACAGAGAGCTCTTCTATACCTCTTGCAGGATTTCTCCTATTGTGAATATCTTATGTTAGTGTGGTACGTTTTTATAAGTAATGAAGCAATATTGGTATGTAATCATTAACCAAAGTCCATAGTTCATTCAGATTTGCTTAATTTTCTAATGTCCTTTTTCTACTCTAGGATCCTACCCAGGATAGTACATTACAGTTAGTTGTCATGGCTCCTCAGGCTCCTTGAGGCTGTGGCAGTTTCTCAGACTTACCTTACCTTTGATGATCTTGACAGTTTTGAGGAATAGCAGTAAGGTATACTGTAGGATGCTCCTCCAGTGGAATTTATTTGATGTTTTTCTCGTGATTGAAGACCACAGAGATAAAGTGCCATTTCCATCCTATCACATCAATCAAAGGTACCTATATCAACATGCCTTATTTTCATGTTGGACTTGATCACCTGGCTGAAGAAATGTTTGTCAGGTTTCTCCACTGTAAAGTTACTCCCCTCTCCTCCAAACTGTACTCTGCACCCTTAGAAAGAAGTCATGATGTACAGCTCACCCTTAAGGCTTAGGGAGCTATGCCAACTTGCTGTCTTCCTTGAGGGTATGTTATCTGCACAATTTATCTGGAGTTCTGCATGGGAGATTTTCTCCTCCTCTCCTATTTATTCAATTATTTACTTATACCAGTATGAATTTATGCATATTGATTTTATACTTTGGGATAGAATTCAATGCTATATTTTATTGCTCGGATTGTTCCACTTTGGCCATTAGGAGCTCTTCCAGTTGATTTCGGTGTCCTTTTGACATACCTCCATCAGTGCAGGCTTTTTTCCTTTTTTTTCAGTACTTCTTTACTTTCTGGTTCTATAAGAGGCTCCAGACTCATATACTTCCTTTGCTACTAGTAGCATCAGACATTTCTTCAAGAATTCCTGGTTCCTTTTATTAAAGAATGGTTTTAGAAATCAAGATCTGGGTGCTAGTTGCTACTGGGATGCCATTTCTTTTAGGCCCTCTCAGCTGACACAGAAAGAAATATATGTGTGCATATAACCCTATGTATATCTACATAAATATTTCTATATGTAGTCACTTGTGAATATATAAAGTTAAGCAGGGGTTCTTGTTGATGTCTCTAACTTTAATTCATTACCACATGTAGCATTCTAACATCCTCCTCTTGCTTATCTGTAAATTCTCACTCCACTAGTGAGAAATGACTGTAAGCTTCTTAAAGGCAGAATTAGTGCTTTAATCACTGCTGTATCCCAAGTATAGTGCTTGGCACATATAATGTACATGTTGACTTACTGTTGAATTTACTCCATAATCTCAATTCTGGAAGGGACTACAGATAAATTTGCAAATGTTACAAAATACGGATTTCAAAGACTAAAATCACAACAATTTATTAGGGCAAACAGTACAAGAGGGTGCACTAACAAAGGTCTGATTTAAGTGCTTTTATTCAACCCAGTGAAGGGAAAATGACAGTAATACATCTAAGCCATGCAAAAAGGATTCAGGCTTCCTTGAAAAGGATTCAAGTGGCATAAAATGGTTTGTTTCTCCACAGCAATTTACATTTATTAAAATAGATAATAGGCATAATCATTGTCAAAATAGAGCTTCTACCCTGTATAATATCTTAATACATCCTCGAAGTTCCTGACAAACAGGCACAAAGCCATGGCAGATTAGAGTCTAAGTGGAGGATCACTCCAATAGCACAGCAGAAAAACCAATCTCACACTTCTAGGAAGGAAAATAAGACCTGAGAACAGCCTTTGAAGGTGGAGGGTAAAGTACAAAGGGAAAGGTGCTAAAGTGATGCATCAGCTGGAAGTATAACTGGGCTCTAATGTGACACTCTGCATTAACGATGCTAATTTATGTCTGGGTAAGCGTGTGTGGGTGACACAGAGGAATTTGAAGAGGTCTATATTATACCATGGGGGAGCTCATCTTGAATCTTTTGCCAGGGTACATGCTTTATGCAGGGACTGCTTCACGTGGGCATATATTATGTACATTTTGTGTCAGTTTCATCTGAGTAAATCACGTGTCTCTTTAGATCTATTCTAGACCCTTTCCAATCTATTCTTTGCACTGCAGCCAGAATAGTATTTTTGAAAAGCAAACTTGGTCACTTTCCCCAATCTTCCCTACATTTAAGCATTTAAATGGCTTCCTGTTACTCATAAGATAAAAAGCAAAAATGGCTCATATATTTTTGCAAGACTCTGCAAGATGTGGCTTCTGTCTAATGTCCATCCTGTGGGAACTTAAGCCACACTGGCCACCTTTCACTTTTTGAACACACACTCTCTCTACTGCTACTACCATAAAGCCCTTGTACATGCAGTTCTCCCTGCCTGGGTCATCTTCCCATCTCCTCTTCAACAGAGCTAACTCTTATTATGACTTTCGGATTTAGCAATTATTCTTTCACCAGGGAAGCCTTCCCTGTCTAGGTCCAATAATCCTCTTATTACACACTCTCAGAGTACTACTAACTCCTTCAGAGTGCTTGTCACGGTTGCAATTGTACATTTATCTTTATTATTCTTTATTAATATATTTCCCCAGAGGGTCTTGTCACTCCATATTCCTGGTATCTAACCCCATAGCTGGTATACAATAAGTGCCCAATAAACACCTATCAAGTAAATGTCTGAAAAATGACCACGCAATCTATCCATACTGCTGTAAAGACTTTCTAGAATATTAAAGTCCTCTTTGGATTCAGAAGAATATGTCACTTCACATAATAAATTTGATTGGTCACCCCAAGGATGAGTAAATAAACATCACTGCCAGGTTTGGTAGTTTCCAAATAAACATGAGGTCCTTTTTATCATATCGAAATGAATATTATTCAATATTACATAGAAGTGGACATAAGAGGACATGAAGAAACAATCTCATGCAGTAAAGGTTCACAATGGTGCCAATCATCTCCTAATCCTGTCCCTCAGAGATCTGTTTATTAAGTAATTTTTCTTTATTTCACAATATCTCAAATGCTACTATTGGGCTCAAGCTCTCATCATTGGCCTTGGATTTCATTCAACATTTAACAAATATTTACTGAGCATATTTACTAGATTCCAGGCACTGTGTTAGAGCCTGGGATACACACTAGGCAAGAGAGACAGGTGCTCACCTTCAAGAAGAGAGGATAACCAACACACAAATGAGTAAATAAAATGATTGCTGATTGCTATTAGTGCTAACAAGGAAAGAGATCCTGTTCCATGTGAGTGAGATCATGCCCATTGCTTCATCATGATTGTAAGTGATCCAAATGCCTCACTGGGATAACCTGCATCATTATTGCTTCGTGGTACCAGGTAGATCACAGTCTTTTCTTTTTACTTGATGAAGGAGTAAAGAATTTTCTGTTTTAATGCCATGGTTTCCTATAAGAATTTAAATATACTCACTTTCTCAAATTAAATAAGTGTAGGCAAAACACAAGGTATACCTTTTCTAAGGAGTCACTATAACACCTCAAAATCTCTATTGTCAGCTTTGATGCACCCCAAAAGATCAAAGTGCCTTGCTCTTTAAGATGCATATCTCAACAGAGCAGCTGTTTCATTTCAAGAGAGTCTTCATTTTTTTTTTAGTGATAAGTTTACAAGCAGTTGTTAGTGGTACAGAAAATCTTACGACATCTGTGGAGAAGTTGTAAATTTTTCAGATTGGGTTAGGATTCTCTTGATAATCATTAAAATCCTTGAGGTCTAGGATAGCATTTGGAGCATAATTTGACCTCAATTATGTGTTAAATGTTTGCTGAAGAAATGGTGATGCTTTGAGAAAATTAGCTATTTGAAGCATGAGACCAGAGTGGAGCTGAAAGAAAAAAATTAAAATTAAAGTGGCTCACTTATCAAAAACCAAAGCCACAGAGAAAGGGGACCAATAACAGCATCCTCTTCATTCCATTTTGATTAAGGCTGCAGGCTTATGAGGGGACAGGAAGCTGGGAGAATCTCAAGAAAAGAAAATGCAGTCCCTAAATGCCACAGCTCAAGAGGAATGCTCCAGCCTACTGTCTCCAATGGAGAAGAACAATCTGCAGATTGACAAAGCCCTCTGTTTACACTCCTGAACAAATAAACTAATCATGCCTTTGTTTTTAACCTAACAAATCATAGCCTGATTACAGGTCATTAGTGACCATTAATATGTGAAACTGTTTGCATTTCACTAGTATATCTGAATAACAGTCTTGCCTTTCACACTAGCTCAGTCAAGTTTCCAAAAGGAAAGCCCCGTTATCAGGCCACGAGCAGGACTTAAATTAACAATTAGCCTCTAGAATCGAACTATGATGCAGAAGAATTCATTATTTTGGTTCATTGTGGTTCCGCCTACTGTAGAACCAGTCTTTGCCTTTGTAGTGGAGACATGCTCTTTGTGCCAAAAGATTGTGTGACCACCTCTCTCCAAACATTCTCAACAATTCCCAATGACTGCTAATGTGTTGGCCAGCAACATGAACCTGCTTATGTGACAATAGTATAGACGGTCCTAAGTTCACAATACGATGGCTGATTAGAGTACAGATAAATGCAGGGAGCACATTGGGAATTATCAGAAACATAGAAGTGACAGGAAAAAGGTCTATTTGACAAAAAAGCGGAGGCAGAGTAGAGAGTATGTATACCTGAGTGAACCTGATAATCTAGAATTTTTAAAAGTGCAATTAGAGCTTTGGATTATCAGCATTAAGAGGCAAGATTCTTCAAAGGAATTGGATAATTGCCAAGCCTCCATTTCATTTTGTGCTGAGCAGTCGTCACAGAGGGGCATGGAGTGATTAACAGAGATTAAAGATCTCAGGAATGTTTGAGAACTTTCTAACATAGCAGTTGCCATTTAGGAGCAAACCCATGGTCCAACTTATCTAATGTTCTGTTGCTTCAAAAAAATGTCCCCTAGGAAATGCCACTTTTGACTACTAATGTGTTGAGGCCATAGAATTAGAGGCATTGCTAACAAATCAAGAAATGGCAGCCCATATATTGCTGCAATCATTTTTACTTTTTATTCTGGACTAGCTACCAACCACGTGATTCATGCCCCAGTTTAAAATGCATAATGATAGTATAGAGTTCCATGTAGTTTAAAAAGTCCTTTTAATCCATTATCCTGCTCATCTCTATATCAGCTTATGAAAGTTAGATTATGAATAGTATAGTAATGGTGCAAAACACAGGTTCTAAGTTAAACTTGTCTGTTTTCAAATCCTGGCTTTTCTACTGCTAATAAGGTGACTTTGAGCAAATTTCTTAACCTTTCTGAGCTTCTTTTTGCTTATCTGTGAAACAGATAATAATGATGCCTACCTCAAAAGGTGATTTCAAAACCCTAATTGAGTAACTAATGCATGTAAAGGGCTTAGTACACTACATGGCACATAATTAGTGCTCAATAAATATTAACTGCTATCATTTTTTTTTTCCACCAGCAGCAGTATCCACTATGGCCACCATCTCCATCTTCCACAGAATAAGGAAAATAAAATATCTACGATAGACTTTTTCCTGAAGTCACCCAATTACTAAATAACTGAGGTGGGACTAACCATCATCTTGACTACCATTCTCCCTGCTTGGAATACTTTTCATTCTTCTTCCCTCCTCCTCATCCTTCAGGTCTCAGTTTAGCCATCTGCTTCCTCATGAGCCCTGCTCTGAGCCCTCTTATGTCATTTCACATTCTCTTGTACTTCCTCCATCAGAGAACCTCTCATTCTGCATTATAATTGCCTGTTGTCCTGTATGTGTCCCCTACTAAACCACAGGTTCCTTAACAGTAGAGACCAGGTCTATATACTAAACCTTTGCATCCCCAGCACCGAGTACAGCACCAGACACATAGTAAGTGCACAATAAATACTTAATAAGTAAAAGGATGGATGCCAGACTCTTCATTCCCAATCTGCTGACACACATTAAATTATTATTTCACACTGGAATGGATTTTAGAAAATCAGAGAGAGCCCTACAAGGCTTCATGTCTTATACTGCTCTTAAATAATCATAATCTCATGTCAGAAATTCAAGGCAATTTTTAAAATACATAATATGTTACATATTTATGGGGTACATGTGATATTTTATTACATGCATAGAATGTATAATGATCAAGTTATGGTATTCGGGTTATTTATCACCTTGAGTATTTATTATTTCTATGTGTTGGGGACATTTCAAATTCTCTCTTCTGGCTTCTTTGAAATATGCAATACATTGTTGCTAACTACAGTCACTGTACTCTGCTATCAAACATTAGAATTTATACCTTTTATCTAACCGTATATTTGTACCCATTGACCAACCTCTTTTCATCAAGGCAGTCTTAACCAGATTCTAATAGATTCAATTTCTGAAGAAAGTAACTAAACTTGTGAAAATGACACCTTGAAGTGATTCTTACATTATATTAAAACACAAGCACGTGTGTATAGACACACACTCACCTTGTACCTCACACTGATCGCTAAGCTGTGCACAATACTTATATAGTCACCAACCCTCCAAATTTGGAGAAGGGCACTGTCTTTGTACTTTGAAGGGATTTTTCAGAAACATTTGGACTTGATGAGGCACAGTGAAAAGCAGGTATTTATCCTGGCTATTCTTCACGACAAGCTCTTAAAATTTGGACTCTGAACTGTCTCTCGCAGTTTTTATGTTTTTAGAAATTTTGAGTCTGATATGACACAAGTCGTAAAATTTGACCAAATAACAAAATACTTCCATTTTTTTTCTCCCTCCATCTTGGAGGAGGAATAGGGGGCATAAAAGTTGGAAGCTCCAGGGAAATCCACTCAAAGCTATTCAGTTTCATCTCATTAAAGTAACATCATCAAGGGCAAACCAAATAAAACTCAAACCCCCAATCAATATTATATTAGAATGCACTGAAAGTGTTACTTAGTTGGTAGGAAGGAAAAAAAATCGTACATTGAAATTACAACAGATGTAAGCCTTTTATTCAAATAGACCAGAGAGCAAAAGGTAATTTTTCAATAGCAAGGGAAGAGCTGAACTCTACCTCACATCACCAACACTATTTAAAAGCAAAACCTGCTCTTATTATTTTATATAAAAACACATTTAAAAATATCACCTGCATGGAGTCTCTATAAATGCATAATGCTAACATTGCATAGTTCCCTTAGGACACAAATGCCTCACACATCTTTATCCATAGTCTGATGGAGAATATTCACAAACATATATGCATACAGACACAAACACAGTATACATACACATACACACATACCTGCTTTTTGTTTTCTTCCCTTTTTGAACTGTGACCACCTTTTAAATTTTATTAGCTCTATGATAAAATATTTATCTAGAGCCTTTTTCCCTCTTCGTTCCTTTTATTAAAGGGAGCTCTTCTCTTCTGAATGTTGTACTCTTTGATCTCTCTCAGGGTTCATACAAACTCTGTTACAAACTCCACCTCTAAAGAGAATCTCTGATGATTCTCTTTCTTAAATCAAAATACAGTTCTTTTGTATTAAATTTTATTTTCCATTATCCCAAAATATAGCCAAATGTGGAGGCTGTAAAGCTAAAGCCTCACCACACACTGTATCGAGAAATGAATAAAAAAGCCTAGCAGAAGCCTTCATGCTACTTCATCCAAATCAAGTGTAACTACTTAGGAGTTAATAATGAAAGGGCTTTAGAATATTTGATACAGGTGAGAAGTTGTTTTTCCTACACAGTGATTTCTAGATCTATTTTCTCATTGGAAATTACCTGTTCAGTGATACCTTTTATTCTTCGTTATATTCAAAGTAAGATGCCCATATTGTCTTTCTTTGCCTCTTGACCCCAAGCTCTTTTTCTTTGTGTCTTGACCCCAAGCTCTTTTTCTTTGTTTGAGCAGTTAATATATCTACTTTGTTCTCTAGCTTATTCAACAAACCTAACATCAATAAAGCAGGCTCTATTCTTGTTTAGCCAACACTCTCTCTCCTGGTAATTTTATAACCAGTTATATCATCCCCATGTACATTTGGTCAAAATATGTTCTTGTTCTTAAAACAGTAAATCAAACTATGCTTCCTATGTACAATAACTATTTAAAAAATGTAAATTAACTTGTGTCCTACGGAACAAATTTTAAGCAACTGGAACTATTTAAAAAATGTAAATTAACTTGTGTCCCACGGAACAAATTTTAAGCAATTGGAACTATTTAACACTTCTATACTGCTACTTTATCAAGAAGAGTAGGTATAAATAATAATACGAATACCTTTATTTCCATAGGTGTTTTCATCTGGATAATTCATGCTTCATTATTGGGCCACTATTCTCTGTCTTGGGTTCTCCCTTGGCTCCTGTGACAAACATGGGGTTCAGATCCAGACTCCAGGAGGTAGTGATGCTTCAACTTTTGGTAACATACAGGTGCATTTACATACTTTCCACATACCCCCTACCATCTCTTTGGGAGAGTTTGCTCCAGGCCTGTCAAAATCCAGGCTAACAAGGTAACACAATCAACACTGTAAAAGCTTCCTTGCCTCAGCCCCGTCGACCTGAAGTGGACTGCCTACTCACTTGAGAAGACAGACAGAGAGCCACGGTCTCAAAGTGTTGCTCCTGATCATCATCAGCAGCAGTAGGATTACCTGGGAAACTGAAAAAATCAAACTCACAGGCCTATAGACCTATTCTAAGCTTGAGGGGGTGGAGCCTGGAACCTTGTATTTAACAAATACTTCAGGTGATTCTAATGCACGTTAAAGTTTGAAAACAGCTGCTGTATGACCTCTAGGGAGTTTTGAAGAGGCTGTAGTGATCAGGAGAGCTGGCTTCATATAGCCAAAGTAGGGTCCTGTGGACAGGATACTCAGCGTTTGGGGTAGGGTTTTATGGTGCAGGGCTAGGAGCAGTGGGTGAAAGAGAATGCTCTGGTGCAGAACAACTTCTATGCAATAGGAACTATTCAGGAGCAGAAGTAAGTCACCTCACTCGTTAGAAATGGCCCCATTTCTCTGCAAGCGTTCAGAAGTATGAGGTTATATCCTACGAGAAACTATGAAAAAGGTGATATAAGAAGAAATATTCAAAATAAACGTGTAAGATTAAAAAAAATTAGGCCTTAATGGGAAGCTTCAACATACCACTAATATAGAACAAAAGGTTCATAATTAGTCCATTATTGTTAATTTTTTAGTATCTTAAATTTATTATCCTTAAATATCCTGCTGATGGTGCATGGAGTAGATAATGAGTTTTAGTTTCCTCAATGTTTCATTTCATATTCAGAAAAAGAATCCAACCTAACAGATTATTTAAAAGAGATAAAATCACCACCAGCCAGTACTGATACTGGATCAAAGATTAAGGTTAGTGTATTAACTTATTTGTCCTCTGTTTTGTAATCAAAACAACTGTCTTCTAACGGTAATATCTTAAGACATATACATAACTGTACTAATTTTTTTTTTTTTTTGAGATGGAGTTTTGCTCTTGTTGCCCAGGCTGGAGTGCAATGGCACGATCTCGGCTCATTGCAACCTCCGCCTCCCAGGTTCAAGCAATTCTCCTGCCTCAGCCTCCCTAGTAGCTGGGATTACAGGCATGTGCCACCACACCTGGCTAACTTTGTATTTTTAGTAGAGACAGGGTTTCTCCATGTTGGTCAGGCTGGTCTCGAACTCCCGACCTCAGGTGATCCGCCTGCCTTTGGCCTCCCAAAGTGCTGGGATTACAGGCATAAGCCACCATGCCCAGCCAACTGTACTAACATTAATAAAAATACAGCTTAACATTTAGCAATTACTACCTACTATTTTCCTGGGACTGTCATGAGCACATTACAGGCACCGTCACTTTTAATACTTACAATAGCCTTATGAGGTTAAGCATTGTTATCTTTATTTTACAGATGAGGCACCTGGGCTTAGAGAGGTTAAATAACTTGCCCAAGGACTAGCAAGTGGTGGAGCCAGGATACAAACCCAGTCATCTCCAGAGTCTGTTTTCTTGACTACTTTTTTCATATAATTCTAAACTCTAGGGTTGGGAGGGTAAAAATGTATGTGGTCCAGTGCAAATAATACTTATGACCACTTAAGTCTTCTAAAACTACTAAAAACAACCAACTACTCACTGAATGTTTAATCTGTGTCAGGGACTGAACTAGCCATGTACAAGTATTATCTCACTTAATCCTCACAACAACCATGGAAAGTAGTTACTACTATTGTCTTAACTTTACATAGGGGCAACTGCAGTTAGAGGATTTAAGTAATGAGCCCATCTTCTTATCAAAGATTTCACTGCTTACATAATAAAATGGAAATGAGGCAAAAAAAATACACACAGTACTCAGTAAATGTTGTTTACTAGTCACTAGTAAATTAGTGACTAGTTTCTGGGGATCAGAATGGTGTTGGTGATGATCAATCCATTGTTTTTCTTACCTATTTTCTTGCTCATTCCAAATGGTAGATATCTGTGAGTTAGATACTTGAGCGCAATATACAGCCATGACATAAAAGTAAATCCACTGGCTTCTCTATGTCTTTATTATCACCAAACCCTAGTGCTTTAAGGCTTGCACCACTGTCCAGGAATGTGGTTCCAGAGACTCTTCCACTTGGCAAGAGTAACAATGAGTGACTTTAGGAATGAGACACAACCCATGCCCAAGCCCCAAAATCAAAGGTGTAAAGCACACCAAGTTGTTCCACCCAAAGAACCTTGTTCTAAAAATGTTAGTGGTCAGTGTCTTACAGAGAGTCAGCAAGCAGATGCACTTTTTTCCAAGACTATAAGATTTCATCTAGTTGGGAGTTTATTGATTTATCTGATATTCCAATATCATAGAAAGAGCTCGGTTTTATGAATCAGTCTCTAAACCTCAGTCTTTTCTCCACCATAAACTAGGTATGTGATCATAGACAAGTTGATTAACTCCACTGGATCTCAGTTTTCTCACTGAAAAAATGAGAATAAAGGAAATTTACTCTTTATATTTGTTGAGCAGAGTAGATAAGAGCTGTGAAAATGCTTTGCAGAAATACAAAACCCCTCCCACAAGTATAAGATGACATTACTATTTTACATAACTCCTTCCTTGCCTAATATTTAGCTGCTAATGTATCAACCTGTTTGGAGAAGTTGGTTTATTGAAGAACTAATTTAAAAGCAAGAGGAAGGGGCAATTCTTAAGAGTTGAAAACTATCAGCAGTGCCAAAGACAAC
This sequence comes from Homo sapiens, assembly GCF_000001405.40. Classification (NCBI taxonomy): domain Eukaryota; kingdom Metazoa; phylum Chordata; class Mammalia; order Primates; family Hominidae; genus Homo; species Homo sapiens. The sequence continues at coordinate 146,859,462 of NC_000005.10, forward strand.
TGAATTGTTTGATCAGTTGTTTTGATGGTTAAGAGGGAGTAAGATATTTATTACCTGGGTAACCAAATAATGTGCATGTTGCAAACCCCTGTGACATGCAGCTTATCTATCTAACAATCCTACACATGTACTTCTAAACCTAAAATAAAAGTTTTAAAAAAAGAGGGAGTCAAGAGCCAGTAAGCGTGGCAAACCCCCCAGATAAGTTCATGTTGGTATGAAATAGCCTGAGAAACCTTTCTGTGAAAGCAACAAGGAATATCACAAAACTACCATGTAAATGAACAGGACATAAATAGCAGCTCAACAACATGGGCTCTTTGGGTTTCTATTCAAATTTCAAGGTGCCAAGTCTCTTGCTTGTCTACATCAGAGAGTAGAACGTGGCCTATGTATAGATTAGAACATCAGGGAAAGGAGGTAGTATGAAGGACAGTTTTGTGTAGGGAAAAAAAAGAAATTCTATCTGAAGTTTACCTTGGAGAGATGAAGAAAATATGGTATTTAGCACTATTAAGTGTTTTTCCATCTTATTGGAGAGATTCAACCAAAAGGTATAAGAGCAAAAACACAAAAATCAGGAAAACAATTTTTCTAGTGATTTTACCTTTATCTTGGACTATGGTTTCCTCTCAAGGTATCTAGCAGATTAAAATTGCTTTGTGATGTGGCACCACCATCCTGCTTTTCCTTTTATAGCTCTCATCTTAAAACGTTTTACAGGTCCACACAAACAGGTAAAACAAAAGCCATCATGCTATTTTAAGTATACATTTTCCCTGGGCCTATCAAATTTAGAAAAGCATATTCACTCTTTCAAGTTGCTAGTTGTGGCTTGAACTGATTGCTTGATTAATCACTCAAACTCTGGCTCTAGACCATCTTACCCATGTTCCCTTTTCAGTATATCAAAAACAGAGGTCATGAGATTGCTTAGATCATGAAACCAAGAAAGGAAATCAAGCCTTTGACACAGAAAACACACCACACTTTCTAAAGCAAGATCATCTTATGAGTGGATGGTAGTATTCTCCTATGTTTCTCTGACAAAATGTACCCATACTCTGTCTTTAACAGCCTCATTGCCATACACTACACTTGACCTGCTGCCCCATATGCAGACCTCTCCAGTAGGTCCGATAGTCACTAATCCACTGACTAAACATTTTAAAACTGGCTTTGGCAAAACATGCCAGAAATTCCTTCAGGGTAATTAAAACCACCCTCTGTGTCAATAAACACAGACTGAAATCTTTCATGTGCAGAGGGGCTGGCTCTGACCCACTGGCTCTAGGACATTTTTTCTTAGATGAGTTTTCCATCATTGCAATTGATTTTCACTGACTCATCCAGACCGTTGCTCAGTCCCCTTATAAAATGATTGGCTGAGATCAGAGATATAGTCTTAGCTTTCTTGTCGCAGCCAAGACATAAGGACCAAAGGGGCTATAAATCTAAGGGCCAGGCTCATTGCTAAAGCCTTTTCACCCAGATCTTCAGGTGACAGACCTTAAAAAGGATTCTTGCTATAGAAGCTGACAGTCACAGTGTTCACTTATCACTCCTCTTCCAGCATTCAAACTGAATTTTTTCTTTTTTTTTTTTTTTTTTTTGAGACTGAGTCTCCTCTGTCGCTCGGGCTGGAGTGCAGTGGCGCGATCTCGGCTCATTGCAACCTCTGACTCCCAGGTTCATGTCATTCTCCTGCCTCAGCCTCCTGAGTAGCTGGGACTACAGGTGCCCGCCACCACGCCCGGCTAATTTTTTTGTATTTTTTGTGGAGACAGGGTTTCACCGTGTTAGCCAGGATGGTGTCGATCTCCTGACCTCATGATCCGCCCAGCTCGGCCTCCCAAAGTGCTGGGATTACAGGTGTGAGCCACCGCGCCCAGCCTAATTTCCTATATTTTTAGTAGAGGTGGGGTTTCACCGTGTTAACCAGGATAGTCTCAATCTCCTGACCTCGTGATCCACCCAGCTCAGCCTCCCAAAGTTCTGGGATTACAGGCGTGAGCCACCGCGCCCGTCGTCAAACTAATGTGTCTTCAAAGTAAAAGGAAGAACTCAGGTGAATATTCGCTACATTAATTCCCAGAGACTAGTCACATAGCAGACACTCCATGAATTGTTTCTCACCACAATGGCAGCCTTACTGTTTTTATTATATAAACAATGTATATATTTATTTAAAACTGTCATACATTATAAACAATATAAAAACAGTAGAAGTTACCTAAAATTTCATCAGCCTGAGTTATCAATATATTTTTGTTGCCATTTTTCCATGGAATTCTTTGTCTATACAAATAAAATTTTATATAAGAGAAATCATACTTTACATACCCTTTTTATCATGGATGAAGCTACCTTTGACTTTCTTTAAAATACAGCATTGTTTTTTTTTTTTTTTGGCTTGCTGCTTTCATCCCCCTCATAGCCAATATTAATAAACTTTCACATAATTTTTCTTATTGATATTATCATGTAATAACTCATATAATATGAATGAAGTTTCAGTTGCTCAGTAAATACCTGCTGAATGGTTAAAGAGTGAAAGAACACACGCATAAACACGAGTGAATGAAAGAATAAATAATCTATTATGATCTTAATTAGCCAGTACAGTTTCCAAGTGATTGCAGAAATCTCAGATCACATCTTTTGACATCTCCCCTGCATCTTTAAACTTTAGTTGGGGTAGGAGGACCTGGCTTTACCTCATTCAGAGGGACCTGCAAGTCTAAACTCCCAAGAAAAGAATATGTAACTGGCTGCTCTCCTAACTACAGAAATGCTGTTAATCTACTCTCAAATTGAAATCAAATTCAAAAACCATTACTAAGCACCTGTGTGCCAAGAACCCTACTGTCCTTTGTATGGTAAACTAGAGGGAAAGATGTGGTCACTGCCTTCTTGGAGTGTCTGTCTTGTTGGGGAGATGACGTGCAGGATCTGTGTCTTTAGATCTAGCTGTCTGAACTTGGACCTCAGTTGCCACATTCGTGAAATGGGGAAAATATCTATAAGCTCATAGGATTGCTGTGGTGATCAAACAACTTGAGGAATTCAGGAAAAACTTCACAGGAAAATGTGGACTGGAGGCAGGCCTTGCAGGTACCAGGGAAGGGGAAGCAGGAATGGCCTGGAGTAGTGAGGACCCAGCACAAGCCAGCCTCAATGCTTTGAAGATCAATTAGGAGAGACTTAAAAGATGAGAGGACAGGCAGGAAACATGAAGGTTTATAAGCACAGGAGAAAACTGTGAACAGACTAATCTTCTTAAAGGGTCAAAGAAAAGTAAATTTTTTTTTTTTTTTGCCTTTTCAGCATGTGCCAATGTCTACATCAAGGCCATTCATATGAGTGACTCAAAGGCAACCTGCTTGTCAAGTAATTGGAAAAAAAAAAAAAAAAAACCCTGGCTTACATAATGGGCTCAAATCCAAGTTTCTAAGACTTATAGGAAAAATTCTGATCAGAAAATTTCCATCTCAAATTGTGCTGAGGAAGCTTGAGGACTGAGTAAGCATGTTGCCAGCTGAAGTACAATACGATAATCAGACTGCTTTTGCTTTTTTTTTTTTCCACAGTGCACAGAGATTTGTAGGTCCTGGTGGGTGCTTACCAAGTTTCTGATCTCTGACCCCAGAAGGGGTCAGAGAACCTACAGAAAAATACATCTTGTTCACAAATGGAACTGCACCCAAAACTTTCCCTCTATATCCTATTAAGTGACCAGAAGGTCTTGACTTCTAAAACATAGTATGTCAGTTTCACCCAGGCTAATCCTACAGAATAGGAAAAGGGATTAGAAATTAGTCATTGCAGGATATGTCAGCTGGAAACACTAAACTGTCCTAATCTCTTCTGATAGTTCAGGGTTCTAGGGAAGCTCTTCTCTGCCTGTCATATCTTCTCCTTTTAAACTGGCACCATTGATGAGTTCCAGTTTGCATGTCCCTACAGATCTGCGCTACTCTAATTAATCCCACCTACCCTTGGCTCCAAGACAGAAGAGGAAGAGGATGAAAAGTAGATTTTAATATTGCACCCCCAAATCTCCATTGAAACTTGGAGTTTCTAGAAGATGCTTTAACACTTTTAGTCCTCTGAGAAGGCAACTGGGTCACCTACTAACCACCACAAATATTTATCCATTCAACTGCCCATCCATCCATCTATCCATCCATCCATCCATCCATCCATCCATCCATCCATCCATCCTTTAAATTTTATGTGCTTATCCTGCGTATAATTTTTAAAATATTGTATAAACTTTTTTAAATTAAAAAAATGCCTCAAAGAGCTTAATATTTTTATTTCAATAACCCAAGACACTTCAAAGAGGAAGAATGTTCTAAATAAATACTCAGGCTAAATGAATTGAGATTTCACACCGACTCCCAACTGTAACCCCCAAAGACTGCTGAAATGCAGACAGCCAATATACTTTGAAAGTGGACTAAAAATCGCTCACTGAAAATATGGACAGAACAAAAGTGGAAAAGGGCCATAGCAATTACAAAGGTATTCCTTGGAACAGCGATTTTAGAAGGAAATTTATTCCTATCATCTAGAAACATAATTGTTCATACCATTTAATCCAGTAATCTTGCCTTTAGAAACTTGTTCTAAAAAATAAAGACACGGTTTAGAGTCATGCCATTATTTATCTATTTCACAATTATTACAGCAATATTGGAAAGAATCTAAACTTCCATCATTAGGTGGCTAGTAAAATTATGGTTCAACTATAGAATGTTAACTACAGTGGTAATTTATAAGATTTGTACTTTTTATTTAGATTAAACAATAGTGCCAGTTTTGGGAGAAGACTAGAGATGTCTGGAAGTCTAAAGTCATTGATAGTTAAAGTCTAATTTTTTTCAGATTTGCCTGGGTTCAAATTTCATTCAACCACACATAGTATTAACCAAAAAAAAAAAAAAAAAAAAAAAAAAGCACAGCTTTCCGAAATGTCAAATTTGTACCCCATGAGAGACTAGCTCATTAAACAACCATACTGGTTGTCATACTGGGTCAATCATTCTTTGAAGTTACCTACTCACCAGTTTGAAGAAAATTAACATTTCTGGGTCACCAGGTTCCATATACTCATCTACAAATGATGCCCTGGAACCATGAAAGTAATTTTATTTAATATAGGTGGGCAACTGAATCCCAGGGTACAAACTACTCACCCATGTGCTTAATGGCAGAGGCTGAGAATTGAGCCTGCCTCTCCTCTCAGAAAGGGTCGAAGTACCTGGAGCTTTGCGGGGTAGAAGGGCAATGGGATCAAATTAAAATTCAATGGCTGTATCTTTAAGAATTTTTTCTCTGATCTTCACCCCACATAAGTTTCCTAGGATAAACTTAAGCACCTTGAAAATTTGTGACAATGTGAGGTGGAAGCAAAATATGGATAGAACAAAAGTGGAAAACGCCTACAGTAATTACAAAGGTATTCCTTGGGATAGCCATTTTAGAAGGTAATTTAGTCCTATCATCTAGAAACATAATTGTTCATACCATTTAACCCAGTAAGCTACTTTTAGAAACTTGTTCTAAAACATAACCAAAGACATGATTTAGAGTCTATAACATAACCAAATACATTATTTATATATTTCAGAATTAGTATAGCAAATATTGGAAATAATCTAAACTTTCATTATTAGGCAACAGGCAAAATTGTGGTTCAACTATAGAATATCATAGAAAAATGCTAACAGTTTGTGTCTGGGGCAAAAGCAAACAAACAAACCCTATAGATGATGTTGTTTTGCATAGAATCCTAGCATTCTCCATTCATCTCTCTCTTTGTCTCTGACACACACACACACACACACACACACACACACACACTGAGCCTGGAAGGAAATATAGCACATCAAAAATGTTTATAATGACTGTCTCTGGCACAGCTAGAAGTAAATTTGATTTTCTCTTTTAGAATTTTCTGTACAGTCAAAATTTTCATAATGAACATGTACTTTATTCTCTTAAAGGATCTTCCTTCTTTAACAGGTTTCATATTCATATTCACGTGTGTTTTTTAACGTATATATTCCCAATAGAAGGCAAGTTCTGTGAGAGCAGGGTCTACATTTAATTTTTAAATATTTTATACCTAGGTTTTTTAGCACAGTGCCTAATATATAATAAATGTTTTTAAAATAACTACTGAGTGAACTATTGGACAGACACTGATTAGAAGGGATATGGCTATGTGTGAGGACTCTAATGAGCTGTCAAACATTCATTCCATTACATCTCTAATCTCCAGCTCACTTGTTAAAACAACATGCCACCTTCCTCGCATACTTTTGCCTCCTAACATCACACAAGACTCTGCCTCCAATGAGGAAAGCCATTGCCACCCATCTCTACCTGCCAGCATCCTACCAAGGCCCCACCTCCCCACTTAACCACTTCTGGTGAGGTGAGCTTCCCTCTAGCACTTACTGCAGCCACTCACTTAGACGATTAATACTGTTTGGACCTCTATTAGGTTCCCGGTACTCTTCTAGAACAGGGGTCAGCAAATGATGGTCTACAGGCTACTCCTTGATTTTGTAAATAGAGTTTCACTAGAATACAGCCATGTCCACATACTACAATGGAAGAATTGAGTAGCTGGGACAAAGGCTGTATGGTCAGCAAAGGCTAAAATACTTATCATCTGACCCTCTACAGGAAGAGTTTACTGATCCCTGCTCTAGAACATCGACATAATTTTACAAAATGGAGATAATACCAAAGTTTCATTCTATTAGAATATTCATAGGCAATATGAGATCCAAAGTATATGTCCAATAACTTTGTACAGAAAAATTATTGTATTGTACGTCAGTTTGCTCTTAATAACATATATTTTTATGTCAGACATACCTGCATTCAAGTCCTGGGTCTGCTGATTGATACTGGGAAAGATGACACAAATTCTCTAAGCCTCAGTTTTATCATCAGCAAAGTAGAAATCTATTTTCTCTTTCACTCCATAAGTGTGTAATGAGTGCTTTTTCACCAGATACTATACTAGGAGATGGATAAACAATGGTGAATAAGATCTAAAGTCTCACCTAATTCAGCTCTAATTATACATACTTTTGAGGGTTGTGGTGAAGATTAAATTATATATATATACACACACGCAGATACATACATATATATACACACACATATATATGCACACAGAGGCATCTATATCATATATACATCATATGTAGTATACCATAGATACATAATACATAGTATATCACATAGAGTACATCCAGAATACTTAACCTGATTCCTGCTACATTGCAAGCACTCAGTATATAGTGGCTCTTCCTCATGATCATAATTACAGCAGAAGTCCTTTTAACAGACCTCCAAGTAGCTGACACTCCAAGAAGAAAAAGTGCCTTCCATTCTTTCTGTAAAACAGGCCTACAACATCCTTTATAAGTACTCACAGCTAATTGAGTAGACTAATCTCTGGTACATAGGCAAACTTCTGCTCCTTCAGGTTGAGTTGCATGTTTACTGAGAGTCATTTGTGTTTGTTTCCAAATCTCCTGATGCAAGTTATACTTGTTAGTTAATTAAATATCATGAAAGGTAATGAGAAGAATAGTGTTAAAAGGAGGATGATTGTTTCATATGAAAAGTCAGTTGAAGAATTTCAAAAGACTTGACAAAGCATTGTCAAATTAAAAGTAGGAGATATAAAAATTGGGGAACAATTACAAAAATCTAGAAGTATTCTGTAGTAAGATTGCTTCTGCGATATCTATGGTCTTGTTCAACCTCAAGGAAATCAAAATTGGGCATGGTCTTTGTCATTTGGGGGACAGTTCATGCAAGAAAAATATTACAACCCCTAATCAGCAGATCCATACTCAAAGGTAAGGTCTTGATTCTTCATCGGGCCTTTCATTGAAATTAGTAAATTTAAATGGTATGTTATTTTTTATGACTCCTTGCCTTAACTTTTCAAGTTTACTGTCAACTATTGGTCCCAAATGCATGGAGTAGAGAGGGAATCTTTTGTATTTATTTATTTATCACATATAAATAGTAACATGTTGCCTCATCCCCTGCCATATTTTTGTTGGCAAGAAAACACTCAGCAAGATGAAGTGACCTGCCCAAGGCCACAGAACTAGCATAGCCAGAGGTGTGTCTAGAGCCAGGTGGGCTCTGATTCCACCACTTCGGCCACCTCATGATAACAGAGAGATAAACAGGACACAGTTTCACGCACCCTGGCTTCTGTGGTTAATTATATTTTGAGAAGGACGGAGTGTCACCTGCCCAAATAGATGGAAAGACATTTGAGAACAAGACTATAGGCTTATACTTCACCATATGCCCCAGAACTTCCTACATAGCACTTGGCAATAAATAATTTTTGTTTGAATTGTTAAATTTTCTTTCCTACTTTATAATAGTGGAAGAAATTGGGGCCTTCCTGGTTTCTGAAAAAATTATGCTCCCTTGGAGTTTATAACCCCCACCATGGAGTATAAAATAACAGGAGAGAAATTCTATTGTGCCTGTCAGATCATGTCATTGAGAGCTTAACCTCATTGATTGGCACTTGCTCTTCCCCATCAGTGTGGCAAGATGAGCAGCACCCTGCTCACCAGATGGTTATTTGTTCCACCAGCCACCTTTGCTGAGTCCCTGATTCACTCCAGCCCAGGACTGTCTCCAGCATTCATGCTGCAAGGCAGCTCCTGCCAACAACTTTGCCAAATGGCTCCTCTCAAAGTCATGGCTGCCCAGACAGACTGGCTCCTCCATCTGCAGCAGCTTTTGGCAAAGAGAAGTTTCCCTTTCTGGCTCTGCCTCTTGGCTGCACCAGAACCTTCTTGCCAGAAGGATGATTTGACCCAGGAAGTACAGCCAGACCTGGAATTTCTGGGGTCATTTAAAGCCTATGGCCATGTTTTCCCAGTCTCACCCCTGAGGTGAACATCAGAACATATCAAAGAGACCTAGATGATCACAAATACAGAAATAATGCCTCATAGAAACTGAGAGTCAGAAAAGTCTGTAGAGAGCATGCCTTCCCTCCCCCATCTTCAACCTCATTATAGTAGCTTAGGAAACTGAAGCCCAGAGAATAAAAGTGACAAATTATGGTAGCAGGACTGGAATCCTACCCAGGTCTTCTGATGTGCATTCCACATAACTGCTTACGATACTGCATTGCCTTTCCATTTCCCCCCAGTTCATTTTCAAATCCTTGGTAGAAATTGGACCCTTGTATTGATTGATTCAGAAGAATATTTTTTAGAAAAATGAATCATCTTTTCCCTATCAACATCATAACTGTTCTTTTAAACAGGTGTTCATATACTACATTGTGATGAATTTTTGCCAAGTTTAAGAATACAGGGTTTGGAATCAGATAGACCTGGATGTGACTTCTGTTCTACTCACTGTTGTGTAACTATGGACTAGTAATCATATTATTCTGCTTTAACTTTTCATTTAAAGGGGGATAAGAACAGTATCAGCCTATACAAGTAAACTGGATTACATGAGAAAAATACTTTAAGGCTCTAAGCCTGTACTGGTGCACAGAAAGCCCTCCATAACTACCAGCAATCATTATTAATTATTAACATTCAAATCCACAATGGTTTTGGAAGACACAGTACTGGGCACATATGAATAGGTAGATCAGGTATTCTCATTCTCTACATTAGGAAATTCAGGTTCTTGGTTTAAATGACTGATCCAAGGTTACACAGAAAACAAATAGAAGACCACAGATTTCTGATTTTTTCTTGCCATTTTGCTAAGAAATGGGAACTGTCATCTCAGCTTTAAAGATAATAAAATCAGGAAGGAGGACATTTAAACAAAAACACATATACACAGATAATCACTGCAGCATCTTATGTAATATAAAAGCTGGAAACGATTTTCTATCCACAGGGAACTACTAAATAAACTGTGGTACTGTCATACTATGGAGCACCGTGCAGCCATTAAAAGGCATGAGACAGATGTAGGTGTTCTGATATGGAAAAATCTTGAAGACGTATCACTAGTAGAAAAACAAAGTGCAAATAAAACGGGCAGTGTGTACTCATTTATGCAAACATCCTCCCCAACTATATATCTGTACATGTATATTTAAATGTATGAATAGAAAGATGGCTCTGAGGAAGTCTACCAACTACTGATAATGGTAACCTTTGGGTAGGAAAGTGGGATGGGCATGGGATGGAGGGTGATTCATGCTTTATTTACTTATCATGCTTGAATCCTTTTAAGTAAGAAAGAATATAGTATTATTTGACTTATAAATAAAAACATAAAGGCAGAGGGAAATGTGAATTATAATAATGCAGTTGGCATGAACCAACAGACCTCCCAACTTGAGTGTCTCTAGCCCTAACCTGACTTCTACAAAGCTACATAAGCAATGTTAGTTTCACTGAGTTTCCTGTGTGGCTCTCCCACTGTGGTAGGGTCCTTCCTGGTGGTATTTTGTACTTAGGGACCCAAGTTCTATCTTTCAGACCACCTGGGAACTCTCAGCAGCATCTTGCTACAATATTCCCTATTAGAGACATTTACAGCTTTGCCACCCTCTACACCCTTGTGTGTCTGTAGAGGGACATCAAGCTGATCCTTCTACGTCAAGTGGAGGAGGCGGCCTGCCATTCTTTGACCACTTCAGGTTCATTGCTTAGCAAGGATTCATACCAGTGTGATAAGCAATGCTTGATGGAGGAGGTTTTCAGTTCCCCAGTGTTATGGACCAAATTGTGCCCCCCTCCACCCCAATCTATATGTTGAAGCCCTAACTCCTATGTGACTGTATTTGGAGATAGGTCCTTTAAGGAGATAATTAAGATTAAATGAGGTCATAAGGATAAGGTCTTATGGGGCTGGTGCCCTTGCAAGAAGAAAAAAAAATGCCAGAGATTGCGCTCTCTCTTTTCACACTTGCACACAGGAGAAAGGCCATATGAGGACCCAGCAAGAAGTTGGCTATACATGGGAAGAGAGAACTCACCAGAAACCAACCATGCTGGCACCTTGATCGTGGACTTCCAGACTCCAGAAATGTGAGAAAACAAAATTTCTGTTATTTAGGCAACCCAGTATGTGGCGTTTTTAAAAATGCAGTCTGAGCTGACTAATACACCAAGCACAAAGGCCAGTACACCTGAAACACATCCTCCCACAGGTAAGGTACTCTTCGCCACGCTCCGTCCAACAGACCCCATCCTTCTCAGGTTAAAACCTGTTCATAAGGGCCCCTCTAGATTCCTAAACTCCATACATCTTTTTTCCCCTTACACACAGACCCCCACCCCACTTCATTTAACATTTGTTGTAAGCGATCAAGTCATTTACCTCTAAAGCACAGAAGTGAAAGTCTGACTACCCCCATACAAGCACACACCCTTTCTCATTACCCAGGATGACCCTTTCTCCAAAGAAAGCTATGAACATTAACAATTAATATTTCCCACTATTAACTCTTTCCACAGTGAACTTGGAGCAGGAGAACTCAAAGGTTCCTGGGTTATTTCTGACAAAGTTCCTAGTGGACTTATAAAAATAATCTGTGCTTTCTGCGAGATAGTTATGTTGGGGCTGACTTTCAGCCTGATTCTAGAGTTCTATTGGAGTCAAAAGAAGGAAATTTGGTGGTAAAGATGACAAGTTGGGTGAAAGCAAAATCGTCTTCTTATTAATGGAAGATGAGGGGAACCAGCTGGAGAGCCACTCTGGCCAAAGTGAAGCCTCAGACATCTACATATTTATGTGCAAAAGAACATCTGCCATCCCACAGCTGCCTCCGTCATATTTCTCTTGCTGTGGCCCAGGCAACTATATGAGTTGTCATGAGCTGGGAAGAGTGGGTGCCTAGATGGCCCAGCGGGACCATCTCAGCTCAGCTCAGTCTGGGAGCTGCATGCTTACTGTCCTACACTGGGGATGAGTGACATGGAGAAAGCTATTCAAAAAACTCCAGCTAGTTCTCACATCTTGATTGCTCAATTCCATAAACATTTTTTTCTGTTCTTATTATATAACAGAAGAAATCTACAGGAGTAAGTCAGCTAAGAATTCTGTTACTGGGTCGTAGAATTCAGCTTCCTCCCTGTGGGATAATGGAAAAGGCCCAGAGACGTGCACTGCTGTGCTAGGAGAAGATAGATCAAGTAAATCCAGCAGCACCGACCAGGCGCCAATGGGATATATGTGGAGGGTGGAGCACAACTTGCATTTCTCCAAAAGATCCTGAGCAGCATGGGTGAGCAAAGAACATGTGCCAAGAATCCACACAGTCATGAGCTCTAATCTGGTTATGCCACTTACAAGTGAGTATGTTTGTAATACATGTGTATTTGTTATGCAAGTTCCTTTGGTTCTCTGTACCTTGAAATTTCTTATTTTAAAAATGAGGTTAATGCAACCATTCTCTCTGGGTTGTTGATGGAGATTAAATGAGTAAACATAAGAAATACCTAGGAAAATGCCTGGAATAGACAGTACTCGCGATACCTTAGTTTCTTTCCCTCAGCTAAGTGTCGAAATTGGACCCCTATTTCTTCTTAAATGCAAACGCCAAAGTCTAGGAATGTCAGTCTACAGCTGTGCTCTTTTCATTGGGCATTACCAATATTTTGACAGGACTGGCCTAATATTATTCACCCCAGGATCATTGGTACATTTCTGACCAGCACTCATAAAGGGCTTGGGATTGCCCCTGGGGACCTGGATGCTAATAATGAATACTTGCTAGTGATTTTCAATGCATTCTGGTTATTATGTTTAGTAGCAGAACATTTCCCATCCCCAGAAAGGTCATTTACAATAGTGTAAGGCAGCTACTTCTCACCTCGCATTTCAGGTTTCTCTGAGAACAGCAGAGAGCTCAAACATTCATCCATATGCATTGGAAACAGCATTCTGATCTGGCATTTGCATACAAATACCAAAGCAACTTAAGGAACTATGAGGCAGCTCTCCATCATATGACACTACCCCCTTTTATTTTTTCAATGCCTTCCCAGCATCTTCATATCAAAAGCCATTTTCATGTACCTTCCCAGCTTTATTCATTATAAGTTTCCCCTTTCTTGAGCTTATTTGGAATGGGGGATGGAGGAGGAATCTTTACTTCCTCACTTTTACTCTCTGTGGCCCTAAAAAGCTAATGTATTTCACAAATCACTCAGATCTCAAACCTGGAGACGTTCTAAACTCAACTCATCCAAGACTGGACTCTTCTTATCCTACCACATTGCTGAGAAATGGCCATATATTATAGTATTACTTGAATAATATCAGTGTGTGGTTATTTATGCTTACCAAGGCCCTATTCTATTGTGAGGTACTTTTTTGCTACAATTTCTTCATACCAAGCCAAGATCCACTTCCTTGTACTTTCTCACTCATTGGTTCAAATTTTGCCCTGAAATGTTCTTATCTGAGGCATCTCATCTATTCATACAGTTTTAAGTACCTTTAATATGCTGGTGATGTTTAATCTCAAATTTATTATCTAGTCCAGGTCTTTCTCTTGAGCTTCAGACCCAGAAATCCAATTGTCTACTTGCAAGTCTCACTGTGAAACTAGATGTCTCACTGTCTTCTCAAACTAATCAGTTTTCAGTCTGTTTCCGCTTTTAGTGATGCGCCCCATTATGCATCCATTTTCATGGCAAAATTCTGGGAGTTGTCCTTGACATCACCTTCTCCATCTGCACCCAATCATAGTAAGTAAGTGCAATGCAATCTTTCTCTATTACGTATCTTAAATCCATCTAATTCTCTCCATCTCTACTGATGCCACCATCCTGGAGCACACCATGACCTCCTAATTATCTCCCAACTTTCATTCTTTTTCATTACATGCCTGGCTCTCTAACCCCATCCTACACAGCAGCCAGATTAAACTTCTAGAAAAACAAATCTGATCATGTTTCCCTTTTCCTTAATGGCTTTCCATTCATCTTTGGATAGAGTCCAAACTCCTTGTGGTCAACAAGGCTTGATATGATCTGGTCCCTGAATACTTCTCCAGTCTTTTTTTCCCCCAACATTTTATTATGAAAATTCAAACAGACTGCAAAGTGGAAAAAAAATTACAGTGATTATCCATAGACCCACCACCTCAATTTAGTTATTAACTTTTTTTTTGAGATGGAGTCTCGCTCTGTCACCAGACTGGAGTGCGGTGTCGCGACCTCGGCTCACTGCAACCTCTGCCTCCTGGGTTCATGCGATTTCCTGCCTCAGCCTCCTGAGTAGCTGGGATTACAGGCATACACCACCATGGCTGGCCAGTGACTAACATTTTATACTTGCTTTATCATATGTCTATCCATTTACCCATCCCTCTCTCTTAGCATTAATCTTTCTTGCTTCTGGTACATTTCAAAATGAACTGCAGACTCCATTCTCATTTTTATCACTCTTCTCCCTGTTCCTAGCCATAGTCATCTTTCCATTCCTTGAATCAGTTAGGCTATTTTATCTCTCTGGGCTTTTGTACCTATTGTCCCTTCTACCTAAAATGCTTTCAGGTCTTGTTAATTGCAAATTCATCCTTTAGTTCTCAGTTTCAGCTGTCTGAGAGGCTGTCCTTGAACTCCCGATCTAAATTAGATCCACCTTTCCACCTTATGACCCCAAGGCATCTTGTGCCTTTCCTAAATATCACTTATCACAATTGGTAACTATATATTTATTTGCAAAATTATTTGTCTCATACTATCTCCTTTGCTAGATTGAAAGATCCCTGAGGACAGAGACCACGTCTGTATTGGAACATCCCGTATCACCTCTGCAAAACGTCAGTATTTGTTGAAGGAATTAAAGGCAGAATGAATCAATAATTGAAAGGAGCTACTTGGAATAGTAAACTTGTTCTTCCTTTAATATGTATAAACAAGACAGTTTTTTAAAAAGGCTTCTGAGGGAAGGTGGAACCCACTTGTTGCCAGAATATAACCAGGAAGTACATTAAGTAACAATAACAGCTATAATGAATTAAGGGTGGGCTTTGTATTAGGCATATCCCGAGTGCTTGAGTGCTTTCTCTGCATCAAATAATTTTTCTTTGGCATAGGTTCTATTGTTATTCCCACTTTCCAGCTAAGGAAACTGAGAACAGAGCAGTTATTTTAAAACACCCCATCTATGTAGAATATTTGGTCTATCTGTGGCCCCATTTGAAAGTAGGAAGATTAATCTAGAAAACTCACAGACTGCTATAATGGAGATAGGGTTTTACTTGGCTGTAACAGAAGCCTAAAAATATAGCAGGAAACCCACATATAGAGAGATTTGAGAGATGAATCCCTGGTTAGGAAACCTGGGGTTCCATATCTGAAAAAAAAAATCAAACCATTGTGTTGACTTTATTTTTGTGGGAAATTTCAACCCTACCCAAGGCCCTTCCTCTATATAACCCCATACACACACTTCAAATTTTCCCTGCAAAGGATTTTATGCCTGATGGAAATATAGCTTATACACTGAGATAAAACCATTGCAATCTTTCCCAGAATAAGAGCTGATGGTTAAAGGAAAATGAAGTAGTGCAGAATTTCCTAGTGGGAGAACCTGGCCTTCAGACACTGGCTTGAGTTTGAAGACAAGGTTTTCCATTGAATGTGTGACTTTTGGCAAATTAGTAACATCTTCAGACCTCAGTTGCATCAGTTTCCTTCTTTGAAAATGGAAATGACAACATCCATTTAACAGGGTTTAGATATATTGAAATGCTATACATAAAGAGCTCAGCACAGTGCTTGGAACATAGAAGATGCTCAAAGATGTTAACTTTAAAAGAGGAGGAAAGGTAGGGGAGGGTGGTAATTTTCATGCTCAGAATTAAAAAAAAGTCCTAGGAAATTTATTTATTAAATGCACACCATGCATTCTTTTGAGAAAGACAGAGAGAGAGAAAGAGACTGAGAGAGGGGAGCTTGGGTGAAAGTGTCCTTTAGCATTTGCATTGCTCTTAGCTGGATGAACTTGCCTGCAGTCACCACTTACAATGCAAATTGAGTTTAGAGTCCTTCACACTAACTACACAGCAAAAACCTTTCAGCTTTAAATAGAACACTGCAATGTGGAATGATCTGAGCAAACAGAAGAAAAATTCAGAAATACATGTGAAGGAGATATTTTGGAGGAAAAAAAAGAACAATCTGACATAACTGAGCAGGTAGGAGGAAAATGTAGAAATAGTAAAGGAAACAGAAAAGCAAGATCTATGGAAGGACTAGAAGCTAATTCCCCACCCAGTAAGAGGGTATAAGTTAATAAGGGGGAAGAAAACTTGTGGGGCAAGTCCCCAGTGAGGAGAATTTTTAAAAAGTCTTTTGATCTGGTGCTTTTTCAAGGTATACTAACACTTCTTAAGGAATTCATTGGAAGAACAGGGACTCTTCCCCCTCTGGCAACAAAATTGCATGAATCTTCCCTGAAACGAATAGGTCAAAACTGTAGGGAACTTCTTGTTCTATCCAACTTCTGGTATTTACATCGTTTAAGTTCTATTTTCCTTTTCTTTTCATACCTTCTCTAAGATCAGATTTTAAAACCTAGAAGCTTCTGTGAAATAAAGGTTTGTTAGTTTTGAGTGTGATTAGTATGTGTGTGTGTTTGAGAAAGAGAAAGAAATCTGAGAGGTTGATTCTCACATGCCAGAAATCTCATTGCTATAAACTCATATCTATTTTTGACTATGTGAACCTAGATATTCTATCCAGAATCAGAGTTTTCAAAAATGGAATAAAAATAAGAACAACGGTAATATCCAGGGCCCTGAAAACAATAAAGAATGCCATTTTTAACTGATTTCTTCACTTCACAATTGACACTCCTGTACACATAGCTCCACTCTGGGCATTTTCTCAGCTTGCTAAGTTTCTCTTGCCTGCATAATGTAATATACAAGAAAACATGAAGGCAGCTCTCTTTCTTTGTGGTTACAAACAGAAATAAATGTTCCCCCAAAAGCCAACAGACCCAAGGCCAACTTCTCTCTTGGATGACATGCTTAGATACAGAGTTAGTCATGTGCTATCAGGTCACTGAGTCAGTGACAAAGCACTAAGATTGAGGGAGAACATCTTACAATCAGGTTGCCATCATGCACAGAAAAAGAATCGGTAAGTATGGTGCTCTGTATAGGGGAGGGATGGGCTGCACATCTTAAAAGCCATCTCTAAGCTCCTGGAAGCCAGAGCTTACAACTCTGCTTTATCTGTCTAGCACCATGGGCATACTGGGCTTGATGCTCTCCAAAAATGATGACAAATGGAGAATATACTTTCAATAGCACTGGACATTCTTTCTGTCTAGAACTTCCAGGGATGTTTATAGAAGATGCCACCTTTACCCCCAGATGTGTGTGTGTCTTTTTATTTCTTTCAGAGCTTGAACTCTTTTACTCCCCCCATCACATTTCTCTAGCAGTCTTTTGATTTGATTAAATATTACAGAAATGTTAGCATCCAAGAATAATAATTTTAAATTAATACACCTTGCAACATTGTCCTAAAGCATTTCCACATACATTTTCTCGCATGGATATTACAATGTGATAATGCAACACTTTGTATGAGTGGCTAAGGATAAAAGGCCTACAGGTAGAAAATGAAAGCAAAAATGCAAAAGTTTTGGCACTGGGGGAAAAAAATGCCTCTACTCTCTATTCACACACAAAAGGCAGAATGAGATTCCACCTGCTGACTTTCCCTTCCTGCCCGCACAGCACTAGTGCTTATGTCAGAACAAGCTGGGAGAGAGGGAGAGACGACAATTTCACCTCTTGGCAAAGCTCAGCTTGCTGAACCCTTTTGCTTTCTGCTGGCTGTTGATTCAGCAGAAACTACTGCTGCAGAATTCATAATGGTGATTTTTAAAGGCCCCACCGATCGCGTTGCTCACCCCACGTGTCAGCCTCATTCGCTGCCCGCCAGAGCACTATTTCCCCAGCCACCTTTTTATTTTTGCTAATGCACTTCCAAAAGGAAAGAGGTTCGCCCGTCTGCAAAGGGCTTTTTGGGGTTTTGATTGTCTAAGCAGGTAACCTGGCCGGCCGGGGAGATGAATGGGCAGGAAATGAAACCTTGCCCTCCCTGCAGCCACTGAGAGACATAACATCGTTTCGCTCAGGGAGGGGGGACCAAGGTCCTACTGGGCCCCTCCCTTCTTATCTCCCCCCAAGACCCCTGCGAACATCTCGGGGAAGGGGTCATCTGCCTTCCTGGGGTCATCTTTCTGGGCGAGAGCCCCACCCTGAAAAAGCCTAATCCCTGAGGGCCATTTTAACTCCCGTGGGCGCCGGGTCCACCTGCTGCTGAACGCCGAGCTCGCCTCGCGGAGCCCGGATGGATGCGAGGTGCACTGGGGCTGCCGGGGCCAGCCGAGCCCCCGCCCCAGCCCTAGGGCCCGGAGGAGTCTCCGCCACTACGCGCCCAGCTGCCCAGGAAGCACAGTGATCCGCAACTTGCGCCCGGCCCCAACGGCGGAATGCGGCGGGGCTGGCGTTACCTTCGGTCGCATAGCTGTGGTCGCGCAGGAAACTGTTGTTGATTTTGCGGGTATCAATGTCCTCCTCCATTGACAGCAGGCTTACTTGCGTGGGAACCAGAAGCCGGCAGACAAGTATCCATGATCCCTCCCCGCAGCCAGTCTCACAGGAGAGGGGGGCAGGGGAGCCAGTGGGACTGCACCATGGTCCGAGCCTGAGGAGGAGACGGGGAGGCGGAGAGAAAAAAAATAAAAACCCGGCAATGGAGCTGTCACCTCCTCCACTCGGGTTCTGCGAGGCTGCGGCGGCTCCTCCCGCGCGGTGCGCTCACTCCAGCTCCAGTTCCCAGCGAGGATGCTGCGCCTGCCTCCGCTGCCTCCGGGTGCCAAGATACGCCGTGCCCCGAGGGGTCTGGTCCCGCCCGCCCGCCCCGGAGGCGCTCACAAGCGGGTCTGGGGAGATGCCCAACAGGTTCCCCTCCTTGGCAGCCGCTCCAAAATGCAAAAAAGATCCCTCCTCCCCCTGGGAGAGCGGGCAGCCGCGACAAAATGGTGCCTTTCTGGACCCGAGCTGCAGTGGCGAGATGGCAGGGACAGGATTCAGGCTTGCCTGGCCGGAATGAGGGTGCTGGTCCCACGGGAGGGCGGCTCCGGCAGGCGGGGGTAGGGAAGCTGGCGGGGAGCTGGGCAGGGCGCTGCAGCCGGCGCCAGCGCACTCACCCTCACACCCACACGCGCGCACTCGCAGCTGCTGCTGCTGCTGCTGCTGCTGCTGCTGCAGGAGGCTGGAGGCGGCTGGTGCATTAAAGGCGAGGCTCCTCCCAACCGCGTCAGCAGCCCCACGACTCTTTCCCAGCAGCAGTGGTGGCCGAGGCAGAGGCTGCGGCTGCTCTTTGCTGCAGTGGGGCGCATGCAGCCGCGAATCGGCACCTGGGCAGCAAGCGACTAGCTTGCAGGTTCAGGTGGAACGCATAGACGCGCTCTTCCAACCTCCTCCCCTCTCGCGCCACTCAGCTAAGGGCCACGTCTACGCTAGCACCCAGAGCCCCTAGCTCCCTGCCTTTCTCCGGACGCCTGAACTTGAGAACAGCAAAGAGAAGTAGGTTCCTTTGGATAGTCAGGAAGTCTACATCCAGGTCCCTTTTCCTCACCCTTATATGATGCATGTGGTCCCTTGGTGAATTTAAAGGGCGAGGTTTGGGGCTCGAAGCTTCAGAAAAAGAGGAGAAAGTGGGAAGTGCCGCTCAGAGCCTATCTTAAGCCCTCTAGTAGGAATAGGAGGGGGATCAGGGGCCAGAACTTTGCAACTGGTTCCCCCATTCCTAAGAGTCAAAATACCTTCTAACTGTAGGAGGCTGGTGTTCAATAAAGCATCTGTGTCTACACAGGTGGAGGAAAGCACCAGACTAGTAAACAGGATCAGTCTGAAAAAGTCCACTCTCCCTTGCAGTTTGCACTTCGTTTTGGACAAATTATTGCAGCCTCTCCGTTAGGTTTTGCTTGTGCAGGAACACCTTCTATTTGCTGTCAGCATGGAAGGTACATTGAAGCACAGAAACATAAGCATAAGAGCCCTGTGCCCACAGAGAGCCACTGCTACCCTGGGGGAATTTCAGGAGTCCAATTAATACAGAAAAGAGACCTGTCTTCCTACTTCAACTAGGAAGAAAATGTAGAATTCCCTCCCCACCCATGTTTTCCCAAATTTCAAACTCTACTTTTGAAAGAAAATGAGATTACTATTGTTATGAAACAACCAAAAACATTTAATGAAGCAACCCAAATCACTAGAAAGCCAATTTGGAAAAGACATCAACCCCAATCAGTAGAAAGCCAATTGGAAACGACATTTCCTAGGTTTCATCTTGTAGAAGGTATTCATTTCAATGGGTACCACTGTAGGGAGAGACATCAGCAAATGTTTTGCTCAGTTAAGCTCCACAAGTTTAGCTAGATGGGCCCAGAGGGACCTATGAGTTAATTATATACATACAATGCTTCGGCTAACACAATTTAGAAAGTATTTGAAGTTCAGAAAAATGGAAAAACAAGTCCTTAACTGAGGTTGGGAATTGTCATTAGATTTCCATGCAGTATGGATACTTCTGGTAGATAGAAAATGACATCTTCCTCATCTCCAGAAATTGACTGCATATCCCTGGGAGAAAAGAGCAGAAATGTTCCTTGACATAGTTATTTTGTGTGTGTGTGTGTGTGTGTGTGTGTGTGTGTGTGTGTGTGTGTGGTGGGGGGAGTTCAGTTCAACTTTCAATAGATTCTATTTTATTTTCATCTAGTGCTTAAGACTTATACACTTGTTTGTTCAAAATCCACATTTAAAATTTTAGTAACAGGTGAAGACGGGTACAAGTTGATTTAATCCACTTCAGTACAAGTTGTCGTGGCTGGTTCTTCCATGGGATGAGCTGTATCTATCACCGAGGTTCCAACATTCAGTCCTTTTGTAGTTACACATTGCAGCTTCTCTTGGATATTGGCACAATTTGGAGTAGGAGCAGAGTGGGGAAAAGCTAAGTTCATCTCTTAGTGAATCAAAATGATGAGAAGACATTGTGCCTTCGGTTGGAATGATCTTAAAATTGTTTCAGGAGGCCTTGGAATAGTATTTGGGAAAATTTCCCCTGTATCTTTCTGAATCAAGGGCTAGATTGGGACAGAGCTGTGTGATGAATCAGGTAGGCCCAGGCTCATTGGCCAGGCTGTGCTTGAGGAATTTTCCATTGTAACCAATGGGGAGAATGTCCCTTCCACAGATCGAGTCTCTGGGTTTATTTATTTTTCTTTTCACATATGCTGCAAACTTTCTCCTGCATTTATTCAACAGTCCAGGCATTTTTCCTAAGACACATGTTCTGAGAAGGCAGATTGGATAGGTCTCCATTGTTTAAGTAGATTTCAAGGTTTCCATTTGGCCAACTACTCTTTTCTAATATGAGAGAACTAGCTCATCCACCCAAAACCAAGGGGAAAAAAGCTGTTGGCTCTGTGCCATAACACAACGACCTGTGGTGGAGGTAAGGGAGTGAAAAGAGCCCTGTGCACCACTGTGGAGCTGGGGGGCGGGGTGGGGGAGAGAGTGGGGGAGATGGGAGTAGGCTGCAGAGATCAGTCTTCAAAAGACTCACTGGCCACTTCTCTTTTCCTCTAAAATGTCAAGTTCTTTCCAAAAGTGGTGGGCATTTCCGCATGCTATGTTCTTTGCCACTTCCTCATGTCTTGGCATTCAGCCTCTTAACTGTCCCTGCTTCGTTGAGGCATTCCCTGACCACACGATAGTCCTGACTTCCGGTGTTTTCTGCCTCCACATTTTTTTTTTGTCTTTTTCATGTCCTACAGCGTTTTATAATATTTGTTTACTTATTATTGTTGGCCATTTTCACTAGATCTTTTATTTTTATTTTCTTTTTTTATTTTATTTATTTTATTTTTCTGAGCCAGAGTCTCTCTGTCACCCAGGCTGGATTGCAGTGACACGATCAAGGCTCACTGCAACCTCTGCCTCCCAGGTTCAAGTGAGTCTCATGCGTCAGACTCCTGAGTAGCTGGGACTAAGACATGGACCACCACACCCAGCTAATTTTTGTATTTTTCAGTAGAGATGGGGTTTTGCCATGTTGGCCAGGCTGGTCTCAAACTCCTGACCTCAGTGATCTACCTGACTGGGCCTTCCAAAGTGCTGGGATTACTGGCGTGAGCCACCATGCCTGGCCTCACTAGATCTTTTCTATTGACTAACTGTCACTTAGTAGATGCTTAATTATATTTGTTGGAGACAAACATTTCTTAAACAAATGAATAAATTGCTGAATATCTTACTTTAATATTTAGGTTTCATACCTCCCCCCTTCTTAAAATTCATATTAAAATAATCTGTTGTGAGCTGGAAATTTTCTAGCTCATAAGCTGTATTCCTATTGAAATAATTGGTTCGATTTATTCCTGTATGCATATATACGATCAAAATTTACCAAGCAATTATGTAAAGAATTATTCTGGCCAGGTGTGGTGGCTCACACCTGTAATCCCAGCACTTTGGGAGGCTGAGTCAGGCAGATTATGAGGTCAGGAGATCGAGGCCATCCTGGCTAACATGGTGAAACCCTGTCTCTACTAAAAATACAAAAAATTACCCAGGCATGGTGGCACGCGCCTGTAGTCCCAGCTACTCGGGAGGCTGAGGCAGGAGAATTGCTTGAACCCGGGAGGCAGAGGTTGCATCGCACCACTGCACTCCAGCCTGGGAGACAGAGCAAGACTCCTTCTCAAGAAAAAAAAAAAAAAAGAATTGCTCTAGGTGCCAAGGATATAGATTTATATAAAACAGAATTTCTTTCTTCATAGAACTTAAATTCTATCATCTAATTTTAATAACGTGAACTTTCTTAGCAATACAGCAAATGCATTCTATATCGACAGACTATAGTGCAATGTTAAGTGCCAAGGCTCCGATATCATTTTCTGTCACTTATTTTTCTGTCCTCAAGCAAGTTACAAGATCTCCCTAAAGCATCATTTTCTTATCTATAAATTAGGAAAATGAATAGTATTTGTTTCATAGAGTTATTACAAGGATTAAATGAGATAATACGTGGAAAAAATACATTGCTATTACTATGAGTATTTACTTTCGTCATCATCACCATCATCAATGTTCAGCAAATGTGCAAGTACTTAACTATGTCAGACACTGGGATAGGATTATAGATTCAGCAACATCAGTGTATAAGATGTAGTCAGTCTCTGATGTCATGGAACTTAGTGTCTAATTTACAGTTTATGTAAAAGGGGCCATAGTCTTCAAAGGGGGCAGCAGAGGGAACTCTGAAAGACTGACCTATTTCAGGCTTGTGCTTTACATAGAAAAGGCCAATTACAAATACACAGCCTTCTTATGTTACCCAGTTCAGTATTGACAGCATGTGGATACATTCGTTTTTTTAACCACCCTTGTCATGGTCCCCTCCCCCAACACTCACATACCCACTCTTCCTTCCTTAGGCTAATGCTTCCTACACAGGAAACTTTTGGGTCACCCTGTCCAATTAGCACATTAAATATCTATAATTTTATTAAAACCTTTGACCTAAGCCAGTCTGGAGATTCTTAATAGAGGCTTTAGGTGTCAGACAGTCCTGGTTTGTGTCCCAGCTCAGGCATTTATAAATTTCATGACCTTTGGTGAGTAGTTTAACATCTCTGAACCTCTATATTTGCAAAATGGAAGAAAACAATAGTTGCTACTTCACAGGGTTGTTGGGTGGCTTCAGAGGTAAGGAAAGTGCTTAGTCCAGGTTTGGCTCAGAGCCAGCCTTCACTAAAATGACCCTTCTTCCTCCTGCGGTACTTCATGAGATCTCCCACTTGCAGAGAATTGGAGAGATGCACTCCAAGTCAATTGTTCATGTGAACAGAAGTGACCTAGAAACCTCAGTTTTACTGCCTATCAATCTGTCTTAATGAACAATTAGAAACTGGATACATGAAATTTTATCATCTTGCAAAAAGCCCTTTATAAACCATGAAGTCTCCTGCAAATGAAAGGAATCAGGATTATCTTCTCTTGGACTTTCTCATTATGTATGTGCAGACCTAGTCACATTTCTCTATTGTGGAATCATATGGAATTTCTCTCTATGATCACTAAGCACCAATTGCACAACTCTCTCTCTAAGGTGGTTTACGTGCTGTCTAGAGAATGACCTCTTGAATTTCTAGCAAGTTTGCAATTCCTGTTTGTGCATGCTACAACATGTAATGCCACATAAGTGATCCTTTAACGTGGCATTTAATCTGGGAAAAGAAAAGAAAACCTCTTGCCCTCAAAGTGTTGTATTAATTCTAGACTCTGGGGTCTTAATGGATTTTACCATGTAAATGTCTCTGCAACTGAAATTCAAGTACAGAAACTTATGAAAATACACAGTGGTACACTGAAGCTGGTAGGTACTGGCTATTGAGAGCTGATTTTGCTGATCACGTACATGTCTTTCTAGTTCTGCTTTGAGTGACATCATTAACATCAGAAATCTGCCATGGTAGGATATTTATATCACAGAAAATTAAAAAAAAACACTATGTAAATTCAGGGTTTTTTTTTTTTTTTTTTTTTTTGAGAGCCAGTTGTTAAACATTTACCAGCCTACCAGTAGAAACACATTACTTGCTGATGTGTCTTTCCCCTCATCTCTGTTATCGGTGCAAAGTCCCCTCCAATTTCTGTACAATAAATCTCCCAAGTTATGTCAGTTCCAGAGCATTCCACCATTCAACCAAACTTCTGCCATAATGTTAAATAACTCTTAAAATCCTACCTTTCCCTGAGGGTTTCCCATATCCATCAGAGGAAAATTGATGTCGTTGTCTGATCCTTTCCAGGTTGGTTATGAAATTGCCATGGTAGACTTGTGAGTAATTGCTTTTATAGGGCTCCTAGACCTAACAACGTAGGAATGTTCGGTCATGCCCACTCTCAAGGAATCATTCCTTTTGACTATTCAGGTTCTATTGTGACCTTAGTCTTGCCCTTGATTTGCTTCAATACTAAACAAAAATATCTACTGTGCGTGATTTCACTGACAGCTGTTTTACTTGTCTAGTTAGGATATTGATGCAAAGGGAGAAAAGTTACAAAACTCAAGAGTCTAGATCTGAGAGCATGAGATAAAACATCTTCTTGTACCTCTTACCATTCATTGGTTTTAGAGTTAAATTTAGGCTGTCCTGTGCAAGAAAGTTTTAGTTTACAGTATATTTGTTAGGTATAAGGTGAGAATTTCCAAAACCAGGTTAGCAACACTCCAGGGATATACTAGTACCTGACTACATTGCTCAAAGTAAAATTTTAGTATAATTTAAACAAGAATAACTATTGGGAAATGTCTTTCAAACCTTTAAAAAATATACCAAGAAATACCACTTTACAGAATTTATTCTAAGAAAATAACCATGGATGTGGGCAAAAATTTAGCCATAAAATTATTTCTAAAGAACATTGCTTATAATCATGAAAAACTGGAAACAACCCAAATGCCCAACAAAATAATTTGTTAGGCAAATTATAATGAGTTCATATGATGGCAAATTATTGATTCATTTATATAGTAATTATAGCTAACACTGAGCATCTATTATGTACTAGGCACTGTGGAAAGGGTTTTACTTGCATTGTCTCATTTTATTCTAACAACAGCCTCTATACAGTATCATCTCCATTTTACTGAGGCTAATAGAGGTAAATAATATAACCAAAGTCAGATAGATGAGAGCCTGGCGCCAACCCATGATCTGTCTCTACAGCCCATGCTCTTAACCACTGTGATTTGAGCTATTGTGAGTGTGTGTGTGTGTCTATTGCAGTGGGTTTAGGTCACAACAGAATCACCTGGAGGTCTCTTTCCAAACCATTCACCGCTAGATTCTTACTTGTCTCTCTTAGGGATAAATATTCTCTCAGTTGAAAATCACCACAATTGTGTTGGTGAGGATGTGGCAAAAATCAGAACCTTCAAATCCTACATTGCTTCTGGGATTGTATAACAATGCAGCCACAAATAGTTTGCCAGTTCTTCAAAATATTAAGCACAGTTACCATATGACCCAGAAATTTCACTTCTATGTATATATTGAAGAGAATTAAAAGCACGTGTTCCCACCAAAACTTGAACACAAATGTTCATGTAGTAGCATTATTTATAATAGCCAAAAAGTGGAAACAACCCAAAATGTCCATCAACTGATAGATGGATAAACAAAATGTTATATGTCCATACAATAGAATATTATTCAGCTGCAGAAAGGAACGAAGTATTGAAACATGCCACAACATAGATGAAACTTGAAAACATTATGCTAAATGAAAGACACCAGACACAAAAGATGACATATTGTATGATTCCATTTATGTGAAACGTTCAGAATAGACAACTGCTTAGACAGAGAAAGTAGATTAGTGGTTGCCAGGGACTGAGGATAAAAAAAAAAGGGGTGGGAATGACTGCTAAAGGGTTCAGGATTTCTTTTGCGGGTGTTGAAAATGTTCTAAAATTAGATAGGGGCGGCCGGGCGCGGTGGCTCACGCCTGTAGCCCCAACACTTTGGGAGGCCGAGGCGGGCGGATCACGAGGTCAGGAGATCGAGACCACCCTGGCTAACAGGGTGAAACCCCGTCTCTACTAAAAATACAAAAAAATTAGCCGGGCGTGGTGGCGGGCCCCTGTAGTCCCAGTTACTCGGGAAGCTGAGGCAGGAGAACGGTGTGAACCCAGGAGGCGGAGCTTGCAGTGAGCCGAGACTGCGCCACAGCACTCCAGCCCAGGCGACAGAACGAGACTCCGTCTCAAAAATAAATAAATAAATAAATAAATAAATAATAAAACTAAAATAAAATAAAATAAATTTGGAGCAATAGCTACGCAACTCTGAATATAATTAAAAACCACTGAATTGTATAGTTTAAAAGTTTGAATCTTATGGCATGTGAGTTAGATATCAATACAGCTGTTATTAAAGATAAAAATATCATCACCATCATAAACCACTGTTACTTATGGGGAGTATGGAGTATGCTATATCCTTAAGGTATAGCAGTGCAGAAACGCTTAAAAGTAGTGACAAAGATAGATGTTCATGATGTTCAAAAAATCATAAACCAGAATAAGCCAACTGCTACAATTTTTTGGTTAAAAAATGTGCATATGCTAAAAGGAATATATCAAAATATTAGCAATGGTTATGCGTAGTTTTCTTTTGTGTTCATGTTTTCGTTAAAATATTTTAGAACATGCATCATTTTAGATTTTTTAGATTATCATTTTAAACTTTTTTAGTAAAAAAAAAAAATAAGTATTTTTAATGCCATGAAATACTTTATAGGATGAAACTTGTATAGAAAAGATTAAACCATTTTCTTCCCACCAGGAAGTCAAGAGACACATAAAACAATTCTGGTCACATATAAAAACATATATGTGACCAGAATGTATAGAACGGCTCTGTGCAATAGAAATATAATGCAAACCACATTTGTAATTGTAAATTTTCTAATTTCCACATTAAAAAGTGAGGAAAAAAAGATGAAATTCATTTTAATATATTTATATTTGAATTTTTTGAAGATAAAATTATCTTATTTAATCTGTCAAAATATAATTTCAACATATAATCAATAAAGAATTACTAATGACATATCTAAATTCTTTTCTTATATCAAATCTTTGAAATCTGGTGTTTTACACTAAAAGACCTCTCAAATCTAGCTACATTTCTAGGGGCTGGTAACCATGGTTACCATATTGGACAGCAGAGGTACAATGGAACTGTTTCAAAATTTTTATTCCATTTGCAAAAAGAGTTTTAATGTGTTCTTTAAGAAATAAATTTTTACCTACTAGAAACTTGAATGTAATGCTAAAACCAAACCAAATAACATTAATCTGATAAGCCTCAAAACTATTTAAAGTTATACAAACTGAAGACGAAAATATATACAGACATACCTATATATATATATTATGCAGAATAGTAATTTTGAATCCAATCTGCATTTTCCCCTAAAACTAGTAAGCTGAATAAATAAATTACAAAAAGACCAGGATTCTAATAGTAAGATGATACCATATAACAAACTCAGACAAGAAAGATGTGATATATAATTCCATCACTGTTATAGTTACCATCCTAATAGGTCAACCATTTAGTTCAACATGTATACCTTCAATTCCAGCTAAGAGAAGAAGCCAAATAGCCAGATGTCACTGCCAAAAGGGCACTTTCATATCTGGGCATCTGGACACTATTATAACCAATGAAGGTGGAGAAATTTAAAGGTACAGTTTGTAGGCATCTAGTAGAGAACCATTAGTAGTCTTTTAGATTGTACTGGAGAGTAGAATGTTGTGGTCACATGATCAGTGGATTAATTTCTGAGGACTTATTGAATTAGGTATTCCATTGTCTTTAACTCATACATGCAAACAGTTTGTTTTGTATGCAATTGAGTACTCTCTCCTTCCTAATACAGTTTTTTCACTGATTCCTGGGCATTGCTCTCTCTTTATTCTCCTACTGCCTCAGTGTACACTCCTCAGGCTCACTTGGTAGCTCCTCACTGCTGTGACCTCTAAATGTATAACTACCCTAGAGTTCAAAGTTCAAAGTCCACAGTCCCACAGCTCACCACTCACATAACAACAAAACCCTAAATCTGAACTTTGAGCATAAACCTCTCCCCAGACCTCCAGAGCAATATCACCAGCAGCCAAGCTGATATTTCACAGGGTATAAGGCATCTCAATCCCTAATTCTGCCCCACAATACCCTGCCCCACCCTCCTGTTCCTTCATTCCACTCTCTCATTCCCATCTTTTCAATCCTGCCTGCTCTAACTTTGAAATATGTCCAGAATCAACCACTACTCACCATCTCCACTGCTGCTACCATGCTCCAACTATCATCCTATCTCACCATGATTATATCAATAGATTCGAACCAGTCTCTGATCCTCCTTCACCCCCAACCCCTACAGAGTAGTTTCCAGGCAGCAGGCAGAATGGTCCTTTTAAATGCAAATCACTTCATGTCACTTTTCCGCTCAAAGGCTTTTATTGGCTTCCTACACATTCAGACTAAAACTTTCTTAAAATGCTGGAAAGATTTAGCTCCAGCTATAGCTCTTTTTTTTAACTTATCAAATGCAGCACCACCAAATTTCACCTCCCCTCCCACCACCACCACTCCCTATAGACATGGAAGGAAGACAGGACAGGAAGACAGGAGAACACTCCCACTCCAAGACCTTTGCATCTTATGTTCCCTCTCTTTCAGACACCAGCATAGCTCAGTGCTTTACTTCTTCTGGTGTCTGTTCCAGTATCAACTTCACTGGGATACCTTCCTTGACTACTCTGTATAAAATAAATTAGCACCTCCATCTCTGCCCGTCACTCTCTATCCCTATATTGCAACTAGACTGTATATATTTATTTGGTTTTGGTTATTACAGCAGTAGAACATAATTTCCAGGGAGAGAGAAACGATTTTGTTCTCTGCTTTATATGCAGTACCTGGAACAGTGCCTGGCACTACTAGTTATGCTAATATATCTTTTAAAAGAATAAAAGAGTGAATATGTGTTTGCTCAATAATAAGGATGAATCACAAGGGAAAATTAATGAACAACAAACCTAGGATGCTTATGTAGTAAAGGGTTTACCCTTGCCTGAAGAGAGGCCTGGGTTTTGCCCTAGGCTTCTTGGAGGTAATCTGTATCATATATGACAGCAATGTCTTTGTTTAGGGTGAGGACTGGCTCCAGTGGAACTTAGGGTGGGGATGGCAATACCAGATGACCATGTGACTTAGGGTGGAAGCTTTGGGTCACATGGTTATCAGGTGACCTGAACACTAAGTTCAATCTTGTATATAATCAGTCAATCCATCATGTCTACATAATTGAGCTCTAATAAAAACTCTAAATACGAGGTTCAGATAAGTTTCTTTGGTTGACAATACTTTATGCATATTGTCACATGGCAGGAGGTTAATGGCAGGGGGGTAATGCATGAGGTCAATGGCAGGAGGGTAATGCATCCAACAATTGAAACGTTGCAATTGGAACTCTCCCAGGCTTTGCCTTATGCATCTCTTTCTTTGGTTTATTTTAATCTGTAACCTTTCCGTATAAGTCATAACCTTGAGTATAATCACTTTCAGTGAGTTCTGTGAGTTCTTCTAGTGAATTATCAAAACTGAGAATAATTTTAGAAACCCTCTGAATTTGTAATTGTTGTCAGAAGTTAGGGCAGTTTTCGGGATTCCACCCTCAAACTTAGCAGTTGTCTAACTCCAGGCAATGCTAATCATACATCTGGCAAAGTTATAGCTAAAAAATGGGCTTAGAGAGCATTAGGTCTAGCCCGTCATTTTGCTGATGATGAAAGCCTAGAGAAAAGATGCGACTTGCCCAGGTTACCTGGTAATTTGGTGACAGACGAGCATGAGACCTGGTGTCCTGAATCCCATGATCACATCCGCACACACACAATGGCTCTTCTTAACTTTTGTTTTGCGTCATATGCACCACTTTTTCTTAAGAAGGTTAATAAAAATTTATTGGACAATTAAGTTGGCTTAACTCTCCAGTATGTTAAGGTCAGTGTCAAGGGGAGAAATTACTACTGTCTTTCAAAACTCACCAGGGCCAGCCCTGGACAAAATTGTAAAGTAACACAGTTCCTCTTTTCTCCCTTGCCTCTGCTTTTAAGCCCTGTGATGGGCCAGGGAAGTGCTGCAGGAGGAGCTGTATCAGTCCTCCTGAGCCACGGCTGTAGAGGTCAGGTTGGAAGCCTTTATGCTCAGTTCTATTATCTTTAACCAGTTCTATTATCCTTCACCTACACCATCATGGTTTGCCACACTCTCTTTCTTTGGAGGAAATCTGAAAAGTATAGGCAGCTTTAGAAGCTTTGGGAAACAGCACGTGGTAAACTTAGTTCATCATGTGGGAAACATGTTGACAAATTCAAGGCATTATGCAAAAAAGGTTGTCAATCTGGCCATTACTGTACTAGTGTGATAAGTTACAGAAGCCAGAATTCAAGAGTTAGATGGACCTTGAACTTGTAAGCAAGGTTGTATATATTTTAAAACTCAATAAATATTTAAGGAATAAATATAGAGTAAAAATAATAATATTAAACATCCCACAAATAGAGACCTTTGCAATTTCCATTTGGTATCTGACAGCCCTACAAGGACTGAACAAAGGATGAAAACCCAAGTTTATAAATTTACAATTGAAAAGTAGCATAGGCCCTGAGCCATGACTTTAACATTTTAGGATCATAGATCCTTTTGAGAATTTAATGATTTCTCTCCCCAGGAAAACAGCAACAGCAACATAGTTTAGAGCACTTCCTGCTTCCAAATGCTGACTCATTATGTCTATTTCACAGATAGGAAGAAAAAGAGAGAGAGAGAAAAAAATAAGGCCTGGGTCCAAAGAAAGGTACACAGTTGAGTGCAAGTTTAGAATTACAGTGCTATCATGTCCCCAGCAAATTTTTTCGTAGAGAATAAAAGTGGCTGTCACAGATACAGCACTTAACTGGTAATGATATAAGGCCAGATGTGAGTCTCCTTTCTATGATGGGTCAGTAAAGTGTAATAGGCAAATGGTTAAAGGCATGATTTTTGAGAACCAGGCTACTTGAGGTCAAATCTTTACTGTGGGCAAGTTTCTTAATCATGTTGTGTTCTAATCTCATTTGTGAAACAAAGATTATAATAGGATCCACTTGTAGAGTAGTTGTAAAAATGGAATGAAATGCCTAAAGCAATGCATGGCACATAATCCACACCCAATAAATGTTTGCTCTTGGTATTAGGTGTTGGATACTGTCATTTTTGTGAACACTGTCATTGTCTACATGGATGCTAGATTTATTCACTTGTGTAGTCTTCACCCTTGAATTATGTTAGCAGATTTGCTCTTTTTAATTTTTTTTAAGTTAACTCAAAGACATGGTTTCATTATAAAGGAGTATGAAACTCATGTCAGTGGGCTTCTAATGGAGGTATATTCATTCAACATCAAATTTTTATTACCTGCCTACTATGTGCTTAGCACTAGGCTTTCTAGTTGCTTGTAAGGAGATTATGACTTGATTGCAAAGATAACTGTTAGTAATTTATGTGCGAATAAGAGACCAACCAAGTGTGAACTAACCACAATGTAAAAATGTAGAGGCATCTAGTGGAATGAGAATAGCTTTGACAGATAAAATAGATGATCAGAATACCTAACCTAGGCCTTGAAGCAAGACTGGCTACATAATTTGTGGGGCCCAAATCAAAAAAAGGGGGCATCTTTTGTTCTTAAAGTATTTGGAATTTTAAGACAGCAACAACAGAGCATTAAACCAAGCACAGGACCCTTCTAAGAGTGGGTCTTAAGACACTACACATCACATGCTCTGCCTTGAAGGATGGGAAGACTCATGGAGCGATTACCGTCATTAGCAGAGTGACACTTTCCAGACTGTCAGTCATGCCATTCACATGCCTCTGTGTCCTTTCTTGTACTTTTTCTCTGAAGCAAAATGTTTTTACTTACTTTTTCAACCTATGCAAACCCTACCTATCCTTCAAATCCCAGCTTGAGTCTGAGCTCAGAGGGAACACAATAGAATAAAAAGAGTCCCAGACTTAGAAGAGCAAAGGTCAATTCTGCATTCCATCAGCTCTAGAACTATGAGCAAATTCTCTTAACTTTTCTCATAGTGGGTTTGCACACATGCCACACAGGGGGATCAAAAGGCATCAGAAATGTAAAATAGCGTTGAAATAATAATTCCTCATATTGACAAAGAGCTTTACAATTTCCTGTAAACCCTTCCCTAGCTTCTGCAGGCTACAAATAGCTCTTGCTAAGTGTCCAGTGCCTGATTAAAATATACATGCACACATGCACGTGAGCACCTCTCTGTCCCTCCCACCACCTCTCTCTGCTTAGCATATATGATTTTTCTTATTATCTCATGTAACTTCTTAAGATCATCAGGCCTTCAGTCTTTACCCCTTCCAAGCCACGCTCCTCACTAAGTCAGTATGATCTTTCTAACTTATGGTTCCTCACTGCCTAGTGTAAAGTTTCCTAAATCCAATGGCACAGAATCAGTGTCTTTTGAGGCATTTGTTAATCAGTGTTCTGGGAAAAGAGGTGCAGTTTGAAAAAAAGCGTCATGCTATAGCCCTCTGTTGTAGGTTTCCAATGCACATGTAAAACTTCTGAGAAATCCTGCAATAAAAAAGTTAATTTAACTTTGTTCAAATCAGAATTTTTCATATTAATTTGTGCATATTTACATTTTATACAATACCTAAGTTCTGCAGAAACATTTTGTCAAATGCTGGCCTGCACTCAGGCATTCTGCTTGTTTTATAGAACCTCTAGGATCTATTGCTACCCTAGGTTTCTAGTTCATTTTCTGTCACCCCTTTCACAAACCCTATGCGCAGAAACAGTGGGCCATTTTCAGTTTCTTGAAGAACTCTGAGCTCTGCACCTGTTGTGCTCTCTGCCAAGAATGTCTTTCCTGTCACTCATCCATCCATTTATTCCCTCGTGATGTGTTTCTCTTCACTGAAGACCCAGCTCACTTGCTCTGTAAAGACATCTCTGACATTTTCAGTAACTACTGTCTCCTACTTCCAGTGGTTAACACCTCTAAAGAACTTCATATACAAAAATGATTCCTGAGCATTAATGAATGCTTTCTTTGTGTCAGTTATGTAGCTTTTATTTTGATGTAGACAACCATCTAAGATGATTAAAATAAGGTCTACTTTACAGATTAATAAATGCATGGATTAAGAAACCCACTTCTTTTTCTGCCTTTTGAGTGGTGCCCACCATCGACCTAGCTGCCCCATTCCAGAAACACAGAAGACATTTTGAAAATCTTCCTCTACCCTACATCCAGTCAGGTGTCATGTCCTATAAATCCCAGATTCCTAAACAACCTTAAAACCTGTCCATAGGCCAGGTGCTGTGGCTCACACCTGTAATCCCAGCACTTTGGGAGGCTCAGGTGGGCGGATCATTTGAGGTCAGGAGACCGGCCTGGCCAATACGGTGAAAACCCGTCTCTACTAAAAATACAAAATGAGAACACATGGACACAGGGAGGGCAACATCACATACCAGAGGCTGTCAGTGGGTGGGAGGAAAGGTGGGGAGAGCATTAGGACAAATACCTAATGCATGCGGGGCTTAAAACTTAGAAGACAGGTTGATAGGTGCAGCAAACCGCCATGGCACAAGTATACTTATTTAACAAACCTGCACATTCAGCACATGTATCCCAGAACTTAAAGTAAAATTGAAAAAAAAAAAAAAAAAGCCGGGCATGGTGATGGGTACCTCTAATTCCAGCTACTCGGGAGGCTGAGGCATGAGAATTGCTTGAACCCAGGAGGCGGAGATTGCAGTTAGCCAAGATTGCGCTGCTACACTCCAGCCTGGGCAATAGAGTGAGACTCAGTCTCAAAACAACAACAATAACAACAACAATCTGTCCATATCTATCCATTTACGCTGCTACTAAGTTAGCCTGGATCAGTATCATCTCTTGGCTGTGTTCCTGCGGTAGCTTCTGGGCAAATATTCCACCTCCATGTTACCACAAGTACAATCATTTCCTAAAGTGCAGATCTGATCATGCCAATTGCCCTGCTTAAAGTTCTTGAGTGCCTTCCCATAACTCTTAGGAAAGGAATCCAAGGCCCTTAATACAATGTAACAGATCTTTAAGGATTAGCTACTCTCTGCTTTTCACCTATATTTTGTTATTAATTAGGATCTCATAGTCTACACAGGAAGGCTTGCAGAGCCTATTGTGATTTATAGGCCTTGCCAAACATTCTTTTGCCTCTGGACTTTATTTTTATTTTTATTTTTGAGACAAGGTCTTGCTCTCTCACCTAGGCTGGAGTGCAGTGGCACAATCATGGCTCACTGAAGCCTTGACCTCATAGGTTCAAGAAATCCTCCCACCTCAGCCTCCTGAGTAGCTGGGACCACAGGCGTGCGCCACCACACCCAGCTAATTTTTGTGTTTTTAGTAGAAACGGGGTCTTCCCATGTTGCCCAGGCTGGTCTTAAACTCCAGGGCTCAAGTGATCCACCTGCCTCGATCTCCCAAAATTCTGGTATTACAGGCATGAGCCACCACACCTAGCCTGCCTCTGGACCTTTGTACACACTTTTTCTACTTCTTGAAATTCTCTTCATTCTCCTCCTCACTCTGCTAATTCATGAGCTTCCTAAATGTAGGTCAAGGATAGTGCTCTTCCTCTAGGGCGCATAGCATCTTGACATCTTTTTCTCTCCTGTAAGCTCTTTGGGGCCAGGGCTATACCTTAATCATGATCTTATCTGTACCTAATATGGTGCCGGCCCTAGAACTGGCATGGAATAGTCATTTGTTGAATGCCTGAATGAATCAAATAATGAATAAATGAGTAAATGAAAGCAAAACTAAAAGGACAGCTTGGGGTATTACAAGAGAAGGAATTTAGAGCTTCCTTTCACACATCCTCCTGCCTTTGTCCTCTATGTCAAAATACATTGTCCTCCTTTCAACTCCCCGAAAGCTCCATGTATGCTCCACCTGAAAAGCCTTTGCATCTCCAGAGTGTTTCTTCTTCATTCACCCACAGTTAATATCTCTTTATCCTTCACATTTCAGATTAGTCATCTTTTCAAGAGGAAAGAATTCTTGCTGATGCAGACAAGTCGGCCCCCTGCCATACTGCTCTCATAGCACCAAGTGTCTCCTTCATTACTTTCACCACAGTGTAGCTCTACATCTATGTCTATGAATGTTTATTTAGCAAAAGTTTCCTCCAATACTCAGTAAGCTCATGAAAGAATCATGTCTGTTTTTTATTCACTATTGGATTCCCAGTGCCTAAGTACTGACACACAAAAGTTTGTTAAACTGATTCATGAATTAAAAACAGTAGTTTTTAATCTCATCAGCAGTTTTTTGTTTGTTTCATCACCGTGTACATGCATAGTAGGGTTCAGTAGGTAAGGGCTGTTTGTTAAATGAGAGACTATAACTGATTTCTTTCCCCAGTTTATAAACAGTTGTTAACTAGTAATGGTTGAGATAAAAAATTTTGTTCCTACAAATTTAGTAATATTTGCATATTTTCATACTATTTTGTAATATGTTTATGGCTTCTCTTGAAATAAATGTCAAAAGAATTCCATCTGCCTAGCTCCTGGACTCCACCTCATTAGGAAAATAAAGAACCACAAAGTCCATCTCCACCACAGGAAAGGACAATAGCTCTAATTCATAAATTCCATAATGTGTACATAATTGGAAGACATCAAAATATGTCCTGTCACAGACCAGTCCGTGATTCTTCAATAAGAAATTATGAAAATCGCAAAACAAACTGTCCAAAGGGGTCATTACTGTTTGACAATTCATCGGGCTAAATAATATTGTCTGAGTGGTCGCCTGGCTCTGTTTGACCTTAAACGAAGGCAGAGGAACTGAGAAATACATTAAAGAAAGGCTATGGTCAGGCTTTTGGAGTTACACAAACTTTGATATGTCTGGGAAGAAGTGCTTTTTTACCCCCATAATTTTAAGAACAGGGTAGGCAATGACATTTTAAAGCCTGTTTACCTCATAATCAAATCATCCACAATTTGATAGGTGCTTACCAAGTACCAGGTATTATGCATGTCTTTATGCTCACATTAACTCTATCTCTCACCATCACCCTGAAGGAGGTATTATTAACTATCATTGAGGCAACTGAGACTCAGAGACCTGAACTATCTTAGAGAAAGTAGAACATGACTGATGTGGGGCTCAAACCCACTGTTACTTGACTCTACTCAATAATGATTCCACTTACATTTCTCTATGCAAATTTCTGTTCCAGCCTTCCACTCAGTAAGTACATACTAAGTATTTATCAAAAAGAATCAAAGTGCCATAATTCCCATAATCATTTGAAAAGAACACCTAAACAGTCACCAGGATGATTTTTCTCTCAAAGAAGCTATTCAGTTTGAAATGCCCTGTGGTGGTGAGATCTTACAAAATGATAAATAAACCCGTAGACATTTTGTTGTTTAATTTTTTAAGCCCATTTCTTTCTTCCTTTTTTTTTTCGGTGATTCACTTTCCTGTTATTCAGAACATTACACACCTACACACATCAAATAAAACTGAATATTCCAAGATTTAAAGGCGTTAGTGGGGGTTGTCAATACATGAAAGCAGAGAAGCTGTTTAGTATAATTGGGGAAAAGTGGAGGCTCAGACTGTCAAAAAAAGATGGCTTTTGTACTTTAAAACTAAAGTTCCAGGATATAGAAGTGGACCAGCTAAGAAATGCTGGCTTAGCCTCTTAAGAAGGTAATGATCCTCCTTGATTTAGAACAAGCAGAAAAAGAAAATTAAGGTCAATGATGAACTGAGCATATATTTGTCATCTCCTTTTCCCAAGATCTCTTTAAAATGATAGTAAAGAAGCAAAGCAGATACAGCCCCAGAACAATGAAAAGAATATAAAGAGGGTCATTAAGTGAACGATGCATTTCATGTGTTTCTGAGAGAAGACAGGTAAGTGGAGGAATGATGACAGATTGAGGGCACAGCCAAGGAGGGCCCCCATCTATCTTGCAAAAACCTAGAGAGAGTTAGGATTTAGAAATGCCAAAGATGATGTGGGATGAAGGGTGAAAAATGGAGCGGGTGTGAAAAGGGATTTACCTGCCCCCCGTTCCCACTGTTTAACTCTTCTCATCACACCCTGGGTGGATACAATAAAAAGTTCTTCCTTTTGAAAGAAAACTAAAATGGTCTGGGGTGGACTAAGGTCACAAGTGTGGGAGTTGGGTCTTCAGAGCAAAGTGCTCTGCATTTTGGAATTAGGGACTACAAAATACAAGATAATCTCTGTGCCTACTCACTGTATAATGAAACCCACCAGTTGGTAAGTCCTATTCATATTCATTTGACAGTTCTACTGATTCATTCTCACATATGACTTGGCAATGGAAGATCATCTACTCAATTGAGTGAAACCTACACTGTGAGGGGAAAAAAGAACAAGATAAACAAATATAAAAACATATACTGGAGACAACAGGGATACTTTTAGGGCCAGAAATAAATAAATAAATCCTAATTTGTATGTGCAGAAACATTTAAAAGGAGAATAAACCTACAATTCAAGAACCGGATGCTATACAAAGAAGGAAAACATAGAGAATAAGAAAAAAAAAACATGGAATTAAAAAATATGGCAAATTTATTTTTAAATTATTAGAAGGTTAAAATATACTGGTCAAGGAAATCTCTTAAAAAGTAGGAAAGGCCAGGCGCAGTGGCTCACGCCTGTAATCCCAGCACTTTGGGAGGCCGAGGCAGGTGGATCACCTGAGGAGTTTGAGACCAGCCTGGCCAGCATGGCAAAACCCCGTGTCTACTAAAAGTACAAAAATTAGCCGGGTGTGGTGGCAGGAGCCTGTAATCCCAGATACTCAGGAGGCTGAGGCAGGAGAGTCTCTTGAACCAGGGAAGCGGAGGTTGCAGTGAACTGAGATTGCATCACTGCATTCCAGCCTGGGCGACAAGAGTGAGACTCCATCTCAAAAAAACAAACAAACAAAAAAAGTAAAGATCAGATAGTTGTAGATATGCAGCATTATTTCTGAGGGCTCTGTTCTGTTCCATTGATCTATATCTCTGTTTTGGTACCAGTACCATGCTGTTTTGGTTACTGTAGCCTTGCAGTATAGTTTGAAGTTTGACAAACCTGAGAAAAACAAGCAATGGGGAAAGGATACCCTATTTAATAAATGGTGCTGGGAAAACGGGCTAGTCACATGTAGAAAGCTGAAACTGGATCCCTTCCTTACACCTTATACAAAAATTAATTCAAGATGGATTAAAGACTTGAACATTAGACCTAAAACCATAAAAACCCTAGAAGAAAACCTAGGCATTACCATTCAGGACATAGGCATGGGCAAGGACTTCATGTCTGAAACACCAAAAGCAATGGCAACAAAAGCCAAAATTGACAAATGGGATCTAATTAAACTAAAGAGCTTCTGCACAGCAAAAGAAACTACCATCAGAGTGAACAGGCAACCTACAAAATGGGAGAAAATTTTCCCAACCTACTCATCTGACAAAGGGCTAATATCCAGAATCTACAATGAACTCCAACAAATTTACAAGAAAAAAACAAACAACCCCATCAAAAAGTGGGCGAAGGACATGAACAGACACTTCTCAAAAGAAGACATTTATGCAGCCAAAAAACACATGAAGAAATGCTCACCATCACTGGCCATCAGAGAAATGCAAATCAAAACCACAATGAGATACCATCTCACACCAGTTAGAATGGCAATCTTTAAAAAGTCAGGAAACAACAGGTGCTGGAGAGGATGTGGAGAAATAGGAACATTTTACACTGTTGGTGGGACTGTAAACTAGTTCAACCATTGTGGAAGTCAGTAGGGCGATTCCTCAGGGATCTAGAACTAGAAATACCATTTGACCCAGCCATCCCATTACTGGGTATATACCCAAAGGACTATAAATCATGCTGCTATAAAGACACATGCACACGTATGTTTATTGCAGCACTATTCACAATAGCAAAGACTTGGAACCAACCCAAGTGTCCAAGAATGATAGACTGGATTAAGAAAATGTGGCACATATACACCATGGAATACTATGCAGCCATAAAAAATGATGAGTTCATGTCCTTTGTAGGGATGTGGATGAAATTGGAAATCATCATTCTCAGTAAACTATCGCAAGAACAAAAAACCAAACACCGCATATTCTCACTCATAGGTGGGAATTGAACAATGAGATCACATGGACACAGGAAGGGGAACATCACACTCTGGGGACTGTTGTGGGGTGGGGGGAGGGGTGAGGGATAGCTTTAGGAGATATACCTAATGCTAAATGATGAGTTAATGGGTGCAGCACACCAGCATGGAACATGTATACATATGTAACTAACCTGCACATTGTGCACATGTACCCTAAAACTTAAAGTATAATAATAATAAATAAAAAAGTAGGAGAAAAAGATAAAGCCAAAATATCAGAGATATACAAATTAGGAAATTATTCTATGAAGACTAATATCCAATTAATAGAAGTATCAGGAAGAATTAGGAAATCAAAAATAAGGAAATTATTAAAGAAATACTTGAAGAGCTATTTCCCAATTGAATAACAGGAGTGTTCGAGATTAAAAGGAGCCCTTTGTATACCCATATTGGTTATTTTAAAAGATATATAACTACATAATCATTGTGAACACTAAGGATACAAAGAAGATCCTAAAAGTTTCCTGGAGGAAAACACAGGCCATATCTATGTTAGTAACTATCAGATTGTCACTGGAAAATTTCTTCAACATTGGTCCCTAAAAAACAATGAAATGACAGCTTCAAAGTTCCATGAAAGAACAACTCAAACAAGATTTCTATACTCAACCTACCAACTGACTGAATGGCTGGGGCTGGGGAACCGGAAATTTATTGAGCCATGCCCTTCCTTTGCTAGATGCTTTATTGTGATTATTAACACTCCTTTAAAGGAAGTATTATTTTTGCCATGCACAGACAAGATCCACTAATAGGTCGACCCAAGGAATAAGTGTCAAAAATAAGTGCCACAGTCAGAAAACATACCTGAGCCAATCTGCTATTCTTCTTCCAGAGTATATCACTGGGCCTTTGAACACACAAAGACAGGCCAGCTCATAGGGAAAAGAAGATACAATGTAGAAACAGGGAGAACCATCCACTCCTGGGACTTTGAGGCAAGGTTAGACTGTTGCCATATGTAAAGGAACATTATGTCATTGTTGCTACCTTGGCAAATTTCAAAGGTTATTGTTCCAGCTTCCCTTCCTTTTCTTTCCTTTCTCCTTTCCTTTCTCCCTTTCTTTCTCCTTTCCTTTCCTTTCTTTTTCCTTCCTTTCTTCCTTCCTTCCTTCCTTCCTTCCTTCCTTCCTTCCTTCTTTCCTTCTTTTCTTTCTTTTCTTTCTCTCTTAAATTTTATTTTAAGCTCCGGGCTACAGGATGTGTGCAGGATGTGCAGGTTTGTTACTTAGGTAAATGTGTGTCACGGTGATTTGCTGTGCCCATCAACCCATTACCTAGGTATTAAGCCGGGCATGCATTAGCTATTTTTCCTAATGCCCCCCTCTCCCCGTGCCCCATCCCCATGCACTGGACACCCCCCAGTGTGTTATTGTTCCCCTCCCTGTGTTTATGCGTTCATTTCATTCAGCTCCCACTTAAAAGTGTTTAATTTTCTGTTCCTGCATTAGTTTGCTGAGGATGATGGCTTCCAGCTCCATCCATCCCCCTGCAAAGGACATGATCTCATTCCTTTTTATGGCTGCATAGTATTCCATGGTATATATGTACCACATTTTCTTTATCCAGTCTGTCATTGATGGGCATTTGGGTTCATTCCATGTCTTTGCTATTGTGAATAGCAGCTATATTTTCTTATGTAAACATAGCTAAAGATATTTTACAAATTGAGGCACACCCAGTTTTGAAGTTGAATATGACCAAGAAGCTTCCATTACAGATAGTTAACTTATTGGTGCTAACATAAAATATCTGTACAAATAAATTCAAACAGTGGCTCACTCCTGTAATCCCAGCACTTTGGGAGGCTGATGTGGGAGGATCCCTTGAGCCCAGGAGTTCAAGACCAGCTTGGGTAACATAGT
Organism: Homo sapiens; assembly: GCF_000001405.40. NCBI lineage: Eukaryota > Metazoa > Chordata > Mammalia > Primates > Hominidae > Homo > Homo sapiens. The sequence continues at coordinate 146,901,321 of NC_000005.10, forward strand.
GAGACCCAGGCTCCACAAAAAATTAAAAAGAAAAATTAGCCAGGTGTTGTGACATGCACCTATCATCCCAGCTACTTGGGGGACTGAGGTGGGATGATTGCTTAGGAGGTCAAGGCTTCAGTGAGCTGTGTGATCGTGTCACTGCACTCCAGCCTGGGTGACAGAGTGAGACCCTGCCTCAAACAAACAAACAAAAACCAAAATACAAACTCCCCTACATTTCCAATGCTATTTCAACCTATCTGTTGAATCTCATTCATAAGCTCATGAAACAAATATTCATTATACCTGAGGTCCTAGATGCTGTGTCAACAACACAAATTCCCTATCCTCATGAAGCTTTCAGTCTAGGAAGATAATGAAGAGAATTTGGTGAAAGAGAAGAATGCAAGCAGGAGGAGGAAGATTTACTTGGTTAGAGTGGTCAGGAAAATACTTTCCATTGAGGTAACAATTCAGTCGATTCAAATAATCCAGTTATGTAATGGTCGGTGTGATGAGTGGTTGCATTAGAAGGAAATGGAATAGTAGTGCAAACACCTCAAGATGGGAAAATGCTTGGAGCGTTCAGGAACTGAAACTGTGCCAAAGTAAGTGAGAGAGGATGGCCAAAGATGAAATTGAAAAGGTAATTAGAGCCATAATTCACGGGGCCTGTAGGCTATTGTAAGAAATTAGAAGACAATTCAAAGTGTGATGAAAAAATCTCTGAAGAGCTGAAAGCACAGCAAGGACATGAACTGATGTATGGTTGCATGTTTGACTTACCTAAAGACCTCACCATGTGCACACTCCACTGGCATCTCAGAATCAACAAACACAGACATCATCTTCCTTGCCCCCAAAGTCACCATTTCTTTCTATTCCTCTCCTCTCCCCATTCCTTTTCCAAATATTTATTGAAAATCAACTCTGTCAAAATACTTCCTGAGTCCCTATAGTAGTCAAACAGCAAAATATTGTCATCTCAGCATTGTTTTATTTCCTCACCCACACACCCACACAACTACATCCTATGAACTGTTCTGCAAAATGTCTCTCAAACTCTGCCTAGTTCAAGCTTTTATTACGACTCATCTAATATAAATAATAATAGCAATAATAATATTGCTACTACCCACAACAATTATTACAACTACTTCTAATACAAATAATGCTTACCATGGATCAGGCTTTGTTATATGCATTTTACATAGATTAACACATTTAATTGTCACAAAAATCCTGAGGTCTGGCTCTAGATATACAACTACACACGGCCTCGTTAAAGTGCTCTTAACTGGTTGCCTTTTCTCTGTCCTCTTTCTAATCCATCCTACTCATTTTATTGACAGACTAATTGTCCCCACACAAAGATCTGATCAAGCCAAAAGCCATCTGTGGTTCCCCAGTGCATTGAGAACAACATTCAAACTCCTTAAGCTGATAATCGTCCTCCCAAGATCTGGTCCTAATCTATACTTCCCAATTCAGAGCACACCTCTTCTCTACACATAACAAAGTTTTGCTACACTGGAATCAGTTTATTTCTAATTATTTTCAATGCACTAATTCTCAAATTGTGGTATGAGCACCTCTAGGGATCCCTAAAATTGCTTTAGGAGGTCCATAGATCAAAACCATTTTCATAATACGAAGATGTTATTTGCTTTTGTAACTCTCATTCTCTCATGAGTGTACAGCAGGGTTTCCCAGGCACTCTGTGATATGCGATATTACAACAGACTGCAGAAGCACATATGAGAACCTGTCTTCTATTAAGCCAGATGTTAAAGAGATTTATAAAAAACATAATGTAATGCTACTCTTCTATTTTGGGGGATATATATAGTAATTTTTCATAAAAGCATGCCATTGATGTTAATATGTAATGAGTTTATTATTGTTATTTTTAATTGAATTAATAAATAATTTAACTGTCAATAGACATTAACCACATTAATTAAAGAACTTTGAGGTTCTCAATCATTTTTAAGGTTATAAGGTGGTCCTCAGACCAAATAGTTTAAGAAACACTGTTTTTTTTGTTTTTGTTTTTGCTTTTGTTCTTTTCTTTCTTGCTTTCTTTCTCTTTTTTTTTTTTTTTTTTTTTAGAGACAGAATTTCACTCTGTTGCCCAGGCTAGAGTGCAGTGGTACAATCTTGGCTCAGTGCAGCCTCTACCTAGCAGGTTCAAGTAATCCTTTCACCTCAGCCTCCTGAGTAGCCGGGACTATAGGTGCATGCCACCACACCTGTCTAACTTTTAAATATTTTTTGTTGAGATGGGGTTTCGCCATGTTGCCTGGACTGGTCTCAAACTCCTGGGTTTAAGTAATCTGCCACCCTTGGCTTCCCAAAGTGCTGGAATTACAGGTGTGAGCCACCATGCCCAGTCAAAAGAACCACTGTTCTAATGCTTAAGAGTACATGCTTTAAAATCAGATTGACCTGGAGTTCAAATCCTAGTGATACTGATAATTTTTTTGACCCCAGGAAAGTTAAAGTTGTATCAGAATACTCAGTTTTCTCTACAGCAAAATGGGGATAATAATTATTGACCTTACAGGGTAATATGAGCAAAATGCTTAAGCCAGAGTTGGCACACAGTACCAAATGGTGCCAAATGATAGATTCTTCCCATTTCATGACTAACATAATGATCATTATATTGTCATCTTCTAAACATGCTCCGGGGTTTCCTGGCTCAGAGTAATTAGTGATATTCTTGTCTCTGCAGGGATTGTCCTCTCAGAGACTTGTCTAACTACTGAGAGCCAACTGTAGTAGGCTAGTATTTGTAGAATGCAGACATCACTCTCTCTCTCACTCCTATAGAACCAGAAAGACCAAAGTATTGTATTTGTTCTTGAGTTTCTAACTCATGAACTGTAAGAGTCTGGTGCCTAAGAAGGAGAAAAAAATTTTTGAAGATCAAAATCTTGCCTTTAAATACTGATCCACAGTTCCTAAAAGTATGAAAGGTCAGTATTCTGGGGAAGAAAAAGGAAAGAATGCAAGTTTATTATATAAGAACATTATTATAAAAGGAGACCAAAGTTTGACCAAGTGGCAGAAAGTAGGAAATCAATAGGCTTAGTCTAGAGATTAAATATCTACTCAGCCTCTCATGAGGCTTATCAAGCCCAGTCCTGGGGTAGGAGGTAACTAATGGAACTAGAGGAAAGTTGTAGAAAATTCCACAGGCAGTATTGGGAGCGTGTTCCCCGAGTCCTAAAGTATAGCCCAGAGAGGTTGTAAGCTTCTTGGAGAAACCTCATGTCTAACCAATATGGTGCTTGAGTAATGGTTGTAACCACTGATCATACAGACTGGCTGAAGACATCTGCTTGAAGTCCTGTAGCCTCAGTATAGAATGAAAGAGACTGCTAAAAGTAGCTTCATCTCCTTGAGAGAAAAGCAGAAACAGTTAAGAACACAGTGATGAACCCAAAGGTGCCAGGAGTCAAAATGAGGGCACGGACATGGTACTGGAGGTCATGGTAACACCACATTTAACAGCAGCAGGTTAACATTAACATGAGGAACCAGATACAAAAAAGTCACACCCAAGCCAAGACTGGGAGAAAACATATACAAAACATGTTTGCTAAGGAACTTATATTCAGCCTATTTAAAACAACTTTTACAAATCAATAATTAAAAGACAACCTGATAAAAATGGGGGCAAAATATCTGAACAGAAATTTTACCAAAGGATATATATGAGTGGCAAATAAGCACCTGAAAATATGCTCAACATTATTAGTCATTAAGGAAATGAAAGTTAAAACCGCAATGAAATACCATTGCATCTCTACTAGAATTGCCAAGACTAACTATGTCAAGTGTTGGTGAGGACATGGAGCAATTGGGACTCTCATACTTTGCTGGTGGGAGTGGAAAATGGAACACTGGAAAATATTTGTTATTCCCCTATAAAATTAAACACACACCATTCAATCCACTCCTGTATATTTATTAGGAAGAAATAAAAACATATCTCAATCTACTCCTCTCCTGCATATTTATTAGGGAGAAATAAAAGCATGTCCACACAAACATTTGTACTTGAATGTTCTTGTCTTAAGTTTGAAATTTTTAAATTTTTAAATTTTTATAATAGAGATGGGATCTCACTATGTTGACCAGGCTGGTGGTCTTGAACTCCAGGCCTCCAGTGATCCTCCAGCCATGATCTCACCTTGACCTCCCAAAATGTTGGGATTAAAGACATGAGGCACTGTTCCTGGCCTGAATGTTCTTAACAGCTTTATTTATAAGCCAAAAACTGGAACAGCCCAACTGCCCACCAACTAGTGAATGGTATAGTACATCTATACAATGTAATACTACTTAGCAATTAAAAGGAACTCACTCCTATTAAATACCCTCTAAATAAATCTCAAAATCAATGTGATAAGTGAAAGAAGTCAAACAAAAGGCTAAGTGCAATCTGATTTTATTCATATAACATTATAGAAAAGACAAAACTATAGAGTCAAATGGCAGATCATTGGTTGCTAGTGCCCAGTGGTGGTAGGTTGGGATTGATTTCAAAATAGCAGGAGTCAGCTTTTGGGGATGATGGAAATGTTCTCTGTGCTATCCAGTATGGAAGCTCCCAAGCCACATGTAGCTACTGAAATTTTAATTACATATAATTTAAATTAAATAAAATTTAAATGGAAATAAAAGTTATAATGGAAAGCTTGTAAGCAGGATTGAAACAATTTGGACATTTGAACCTATTTTTTCAGCTGTGAATTTTATAAGTTCTAAATAAAAATTAAGTATTTCTAGTAAAGATATATTGTCTGAGTTGAGATATGTTGGAAGTGTAAAATACACAATAGACTTGAAAGAATGGATGTGAAAAAAGACATAAAGTAGCTCCTTAATATATTCTTATATTGATTCCATAACAAAGTGATAATATTTGAATATATTAAGTTAAAGAAAATATATTATTAAAATTAATTTCACCTGCTTCTTGTACCATTTTCCATTTATTTATTTATTTATTTATTTATTTATTTGGAGACAGAGTTTCACTCTTGTTGCCCAGGCTGGAGTGCAATGGCGCGATCTCGGCTCACCGCAACCTCTGCCTCCTGGGTTCAAGTGATTCTCCTGCCTCAGCCTCCCTAGTAGCTGGGATTACAGGCATGCGCCACCACGCCCAGCTAATTTTGCATTTTTAGTAGAGACGGGGTTTCTACATATTGGTCAGACTGATCTCGAACTCCCGATCTCAGGTGATCCGCCTGCCTCGGCCTCCCAAAGTGCTGGGATTACAGGCGTGAGCCACCGCACCTGGCCTTTTTCTTTTATTTTTAATTGACACATAATGATTATGCATCATCATATTTATGGGGCACAGAGTGATATCTCAATATATGTATCTTTCTTCTACTTTTTGGAAATGTGGCCACTGGAAAACTTTTAAATTATGTACCTGGCTCACCTTATACGTCTATTGGGCAGTACTGTTCTACCTCATGACTGTGGCAGTGGTTACAACACTGTATGCCCTTGTCAAAACATATTGAATTGTACATTTAAAACTAGCACATTTTTTGAAATGTCAATTGCACTTTATGCAGCTGATTAAATTTAAAGAGACAATCTACTTCTAAGAAGACCAGCCGAGTTACACTGTAGCAGGAGACAGGATGAGTAACACAGGAAGGGGGCGCTGCAGGGACAGAGGCCTAAAGGGAAGACCAGGAAAGGCAAGAGGCTCCTTGGCTGATTGTGGTGAGGACAGAAGATAGCGCAGGATGCCATTCCGACAGGGAAGTAGGAAAGTACAGGAGGCTTTTGTGGGTGTAAAATGGAATGTTTAGAGCCTAAATTATCAGCTTAAGTCTGAAAACGATTGTATAAGCATGAATTGGCTAAATTACATTTTTTTTTCCATCAGCAGATGTAGAAGTTAAAATCTAGAAATAAAGCTGCATTTTTGCACAAGCGAGCTGGGGGATTATTACAACTACGTATTTTAAGCCATCTATGTGCATTTTCCTGAAGCTCAGCTCAAGCAGCTCTTCTCCCAGAGCTTCTTCAGGACATTGGTTAAAATGAATGTGTTCCCATATGAGCGTTCCCAAAGTTCAGCTTATATTCCTATTATGGAAAATTTCATGTACCCAGGAGCCAAAGAAAGTGGAATTAATGTCCTTACAGAAGGGCAAAGTCTACAACAGCATCTCTGTGCTGCCTGGTCATCACCAAGTTGGAGAAAGGGCTAAGGGCAGGTGTACCTGAACATCCCCCCTGAGGCCAACCCATCAGCTATAGTGTGGAACACACTGTGCCTCACACTGTTTAAGTTCTCTACTTGGGAGAAACCCCCTTTTCCATTATCCTGTATAAATGCTGTTGATTTGTCAAGGCCCAGCTAAGTTTTTGTCTTTTCCCATACCACTTTCATTTTCTACTGCTTTGAAATCCTACACTACTTTACTGTTTAGCAATTGTGAGTTATTAACTATTGGGTCCTGTGTGTTTATTCTGTCTCCTCAATCAAATGGTGAGGTTCTTGGGGGCATGCCTTTCATTTCCATAGTATGCAGTGGTTTGTTAGTCTTTCAAACTGGCTGATCAAATGTTGGCAGCATTGAATTCCCTAGAAGGAAAAACCATGTTGTTCTTCCTTATTAATAAATATGATCATAGAGAAAAACTGCCGAGCAGAACAGCAGCAGCAATGATTTTATGAGCATACCCACAGCCACGTTCTTTACATTAATTCTCACGTTTTGTCTTCTAAATCAAACTACATGATACCTATAACCATGGTTCCTCAAGTGACTGGAGGTACCCCAGGGCACCACAGTGAACTTACAGGAAAGCCAAGACAGATTTTAAAGTTTTGAGGGAAACACTTCTGTGATACACCATGCAAAATATTAGCTTGAAGTAGATCACAGTTGCAACATTAGATTGTACTACATGACAGATCTTTGTAAAGGTTGGTTGTGATGAAAACCAAGTATGGTGCAAAATTCAACATGGAAGAGAAAAGTCTGATTCCAAGTTTCAAGGAATTATGCAGTACTCAACAGGCACACATATTCTACTAGTAAGTTCTTGGTGTTTACTTAAAAATTAAATTTTTTTTTCTTTCAATATGTATATTTTTCAAAAGACTCCTAAATTTTTTGAACATACATATGTATACAGCTGTTTGGGCCTAGCTACGTAATAAAGAAATTGTTAGATTTTTTTTTTTTTTTGGCATAGGGGTGTGTTAAACAATTACTGAGACACTAAGGGCTCCATTAACAGAAAAAGTTTAGCAGTCTGCACCCTGTAAGGCTCACATCATTGTTTTCAGGTTGTAGTTGAAGAAGGTGATGACCTAGAGTGTTGAGAAACTTCCCAAAGGCCCTACACTAGTCAGTGTCAGACCTAGGATTCAATTCCAGCTTCCCCTCAATATAAAACTCATGCCTTCTTTCTTCCTTTCCCGCCCTCCCTTCCTCCCTTCCTCCCTTCCTCCCTTCCTTCCTTCCCACCCAGGGTTTTGCTATGTTGCCCAGGCTGGAGTGCAGTGCCGTGATCACGGCTCACTGCAGCCTCAAACTCTTGGGCTCAAGTGATCCTCCTGAGTTGCCTCCCGAGTAGCTGGGATTACAGGGGTGGGCCCTGGAGCTCAGATCGTGTTTTTCATCCTGGGTTTACTTTAAGATCCTTCAGATCAGCTCCTGGAGGCAGCCACCAAAGAGAAAGCAGATGGTCCATGGAGAAGTAATAGTGGGAGAAGATTTCCCCTGCAGCTAAGAGAGGGCAGTGGGAGGTCACAGAAAGTAGCAGGGTGAGTGACCTTGACTGTTTCTGACCACCAGCTATTACCACAACATAAATTTACACTGAGGAATTAAGAGACTAACTAGGGGTTCCATGGGGAGCTCATCCATCCTCCTAGACCATGACATTCCCCCACACTAACATCAGAGGGAAGAGTGGGTAACTTATCAGTAAGTAGAGCAGTTCTTGAATTCAGTTCATTTGCTTCTGGGATATTCTTGGATTTTTATTCCAACCCCAATACACTTCAAAGAATGACAATGTGACCCTTTTCTTGTCCTAATGATCTGGGAGCATTTTCCTCACCATTATGCACATGTTACTACCCTCTTAAGAGGTCAGTAAAGCTCTTCATTTCAAAACCTGATTTATTTGCATTCATAATCTCCCTGTTAGCTAGGCAATCTGCATAATAACCTGGCATGAAATATTTTTAACCAGGCTTTCCAAAATATAGAAAGAAGCCTTCCTAATAATGGAAGGCATTCACTATCTTAAACTGGAATCCATTTACAGATTAAATTTGCCAAGAGGTCAGCTTGCAGCTGCCACTGTGTTGCAAGCCCGCATGTCCTCTGTGTCACATCCTGTGACATATCTTGAGAAGAGTCAGGGTCTTTTCCAGTCTGCTGGTTCTGTGTTTCAATTAGAATAGATTTAAGAGTCCCCAAGCTCTGGTTTCTAGGTGGCTTTGCACAATATTATTAATAATTCAATCATACCTATGCTGATAACAGATTACATTTCTACCATCCCACAAAAAAGCCCAAACAGATTAAGGACTACCCCTATGGCTAATTTCTTTAGCAGTTTCATATCTGATTGACATCCATTTATCTAATTGCAGCTAGAAGATTTAATTTCCATTTCATTGGCTTAAAATTAATAGGAAAAACCTGTTTACTTTTTAAATATTTGACTCATCCTTTCTCATCTCCTGAATAATGTTGAGATAGTCCATTCTATGGGATGGATTCTACAACTTATCAGTTTTCATTCTCTGAATTCATTTCAGGCAAGCCTAGCTATTTACAATTTGAAGTCTAACATAAAATTTAATCTTTCATTGCAAGTAATTTCATTTTTCACGAGCCTAATAACAAGAAGGTAGCAGGGTGTTCATTTAGAATTTCAAAAAATTTTGCAGATAGAAAAAAATTTGAAGGCTATACAGCTATGGATGCAAAAGCTAGTTTGATCATTTATGAGCTACAATGCCCAGAATAGGTTACTTAACTCAGATTTGAGACAAGGATGAGACAAGTGTAGTGCCTCAAGTGCAAGATTTAAAGGAAGTGCTCACTCTTGGTGTTATGCAAGGTTGGGAGAGCACATGTACAAACATGCAGTGAATACCTTTATCCTTAAATTTTGTGCCATATGATTGTTGCTTCCTTTACTCTAGTCCTGGGAAGATCTCTGACCATTAGTTGCCTCATCTGCAAAAGGGTGATGGTAATAGCAACCTTCTTCATGGTGGTGTAGTAAGGATAAAATAAAATAATTCACTTAAGCACTTAGAATATTGCCTGGTACATAGTAAGCACTTAATAAATGCTCCATGATGTTACTGTTAATAATACATTACATTGTATTGTACAATTTGATCATGTTACCTATAGTCTTTCAGAAGTTTCTTACTTTTTTAAGAAAATGTATAAAATCATATTTTTAAAAAGAATATAGTATAAAATCATTAGCATGTCCCCCAAACCTAGCATAATCTGACTCCATGTACTTTTCTGTCAATATCTTCTAAAGCTCTCCCTGAATATCCCACTGGTCTTCCTTTGGGTTCTTAAATAATTTATGTTCCATATTCGTCTACCTGTCACAGGGCTTCTACATAGGCTGTTCCCAGTCTAAAATTCTTTTCCATCCCTTTTCATATAGTTAACTCTGCCTCATCTTTTATATCATAGTTCAATCATCATTTCCTTAGGGCCCAGATCAGATTGTCTGTTAGACACTTTCTTTTTTTTTTTTTGAGATGGAGTCTTGTTTTGTCCCCCAAGTTGGAGTGCAGTAGTGTGATCTCAGCTCACTGCAATCTCTGCCTCCTGAGTTCAAGCAAAGCTCCTGCCTCAGCCTCCTGAGTAGCTGAGACAACAGGTGCACACCACCATGTCCGGCTAATTTTTGTATTTTTAGTAGAGACGGGGTTTCGCCATATCGGCCAGGCTGGTCTTGAACTCCTGACCTTGTGATCCTCCCACCTCAGCCTCCCAAAGTGCTAGGATTACAGGGGTAAGCCACGGTGGCCAGCCTCTTGACTTTTAAAATAAATCACAGTTGGTACTTATGGATTTATTTTTCTGATTATTGGATTACTTTCTCTCTATGCCACTAGATGCTAAGTTAGTTCCAAGAGAGCAGAGACCTTTCTGCTTTGGTTGGCAATTTATCCTCACCACAGTAGCCTGCAATCAGTAGGTGCACAATAAGTAATTGTTTAAAGAAGGATATAAAAATAATATTGCCACTGGCTATCCTAGCCAGGGACGAGGAAGACACTTCTTCACATGGGAGACTATTGCCTTTTGGATTAAGAGTTCTTACTGCTTGTCTTCCTCATAGTGAACCCAAATACCTCTTCCCTCTATATGGCCACACCTAGGTCCAATTTTATTTCATAAGCAACCACTTTCTTTGAACATTTTATTAGTTCACAAATACTTGTCAAGTGCCTAGAATGTGTAGCACACTAGGTTTAGTTGGGTATATACAATGAATAAAGGTACACTTCCTATACTTAGGGTTTTTTCAGCACAGTGGAGGACGAATCACATGCACAAAGCTCTGATTTAAGAAAGTGTAGAGTGTATATTCAGTTCCCTAAGAGGCCAGGTGCAGTGGCCCACGCCTGTAATCCCAGCACTTTGGGAGGCTGAGGCGGGCAGATTGCCTGAGCTCAGGAGTTCGCGACCAGCCTGGGCAACAAGGTGAAACCCTGTCTCTACTAAAATACAAAAAAGTTAGCCGGGCATGGCGGCATGTGCCTGTAGTCCCAGCTACTTGGGAGGCTGAGGCAGAAGAACTGCTTGAACCTCGGAGGTGGAGGTTGCAGTGAGCCGAGATCGCGCCACTGCACTCCAGCCTGGGTGATAGAGTGAGGCTCCGTCTCAAAAAAAAAAAAAAAAAAAAAAAGTTCCCTAAGAGAGGTACAGCATACCCTAAAGAGAGTGACCTTATCATCTGAGGAATCAGTGGCCACTTCCTGAATGAGGAGATTTTCTGAGGTAACATCTGAAGAATGAGTGGGAGGTATACACATGAAGAGTAGTGGGGAGAGAGTGAGCATTCTGAAAGAAAGAATAGAGGGGGGATATTTAGGCATTCTGCATACTTGCAGAGTTGACATATCCACGATCTCTTGTTCTTTCAACTTTTCTTTTTTCTTTTTTTTTTTTTGTTTTTGAGACAGAGTCTCCCTCTGTCGCCCAGGCTGGAGTGCAGTGGCACGATCTCGGCTCACCACAACCTGGGTTCAAGCAATTCTCCTGCCTTGGCCTCCTGAGTAGCTGGGATTACAGGCGTGTGCCACCATGCCTGGCTAATTTTTTTTTGTATTTTTAGTAGAGACGGGGTTTCACAATATTGGTCAGGCTGGTCTTGAACTCCTGACCTTGTGATCCGCTCGCTTCGGCCTCCCAAAGTGCTGGGATTACAGACGTGAGCCACCGCACCCGGCCTCTTTCAACTTTTGATTCATTCATTCATCTGCTTATTAATTCATAACAAACACCAAGTAAGTCTCTTCAATGTGTCAAGTACTACCGTCATATGGAAAAAAGACTAGTCCAAGCTCTTCTGGGGATTATATGCTGGTAAGTTCAAATCCTATCTATAGCCAAGAAACTCTCACCTAACTTGCAGAAAATGTTGTTAAAAACACTATGTGTTCAGCCCTGTAGGCAGATACTTGCCTAATGCTTTATTTCAGGCTTTTTTGGAATGCAGCTGTCCTCTGGAGGCCCTGTCTGCCCATGCAGGTAAGATGTTCTGAAGGCAAGAATGAGTTTATATTCGGCGGAAATAGTCTATTTCCTGTGATTTTAGAAGCATAGAGTCAAGTGCTTAAAACAGAAACAGTGCCAAATAAATGTTTGTCCTTGTTATTATTATTGCCTCTTCAGGATGGTAGGAGAAGGCAGAGGGAAAGGATTGATGCTTTGGAAGAGGTAGTCTTCACACGCAGCCATCCCATGTTTAAGAAAGGCAGGGAGGACTCCAAGGGTCTTACTCTCTCCCATTACAGTGTCTGGCCATCTTAGCCCACACTTTCAAAGTAGCCCTACATCCAAGGCAGAAACATGCAAGGAAGTTCTATGCTTAGTAAAAATTGAAAGAAATAGAGGCCAACATATAGTTCCAGTAATGACTGAAATTCTATTTATATTCTAGGCCTCTTTACTTTTTGATTTTCTCATTTTCAATGTTTTTTTTTTCAAACATCACATTAAAACAGCTCACTCGGTCTCTTGATCTCCACTTTGCCTTTAGCTGAGGACCCCACAAGACATGGTTCTTGGTTTGTATGCTCATCTTTATTTTGAAAAACATAAACTGAATTGAGAGATGCAAAATTTGAGGAACGCTCTCTAATACCATAAATATACATTGATTGCTGCCCAATCATTCAACTTTAAGGACTAAAAGCTAAACTCTTAAATCCTTTAGTGAATTAAACTGCAAAAAGGGATACTTAAAGGTGATGGGACTATTTACTCCCCATTTACCTCCTACGTCCTACTAAAATGGACCTAGCTCAGTGCTTTTCACTTACTACTTACGTGGTCTTTGGTAGGATTTTTGTTCTGGCCAACCCAACTTCAAATCTATGAGGTTATAAGGAATCAGCAAACAAAATGACATATGGTGGAGAGCAGGTGGCTTTGAGAGGCAATATTAACTATGTATATATGAAATCACAACAACTATAAATATTTAATTTCCAATGTTTGAAAGAGAAAAGAGGGTTTCTTTGAAAGTGGACTTAGTGCATATGTAAATTAATTACAATTCATGACATTCATTATTTCAGAAAATGATGCAATAATTTAAAACCAATATTGACAGTTTGAATGTTACAATACTTTTAAAGATTTATTGCCATACATTTTCTTTTCCCGTTAAAGAAGACCTTCTATTATGAGCAAGATGAAATGCAAAATAGAGGCCACATGCTTTCTGCTTGTCAAGCTTGTGTAACTTGGACTCAGAGGAGAACATCCATGGGGTCCTTTGGGAAGCAGTGGTTAGGGTGGTGGCAGTTTACACAATTGTCCCACTGCACTGCATCCTGGTACGTCATTACAACCTATGTAAAGATCACCTCCAAAATTAATGATTTGTATGCTTTCCTGGGCACCATTCTAATCTCTGGTGATCTTCAACTTTAGTATGCATCTGTATCAACAAATTTGATCTCCTGACATAATCAGCTTTTAAAAGCACTTAAAATCTGGGAACCAATTAGGCATTCATATGGTGTAAAGGAGCTATTGCTGCAAAAAAATGTTGTTGGCCAGGTTGGCCCTAATTTGAGGATGAGACATGAGTAGATGGGGACACTGGCAAAGAATAAAGGTCATATGTTGATGAATAAGTATAGGGTTGGGTTTTATGAACAAAGCCATTTCTTTGGCTACATAATGTAGACAGCAGATTTGGTAGCCCAAATGGAAGATCCAAGACCTAGTGGGAGTTGGCATATCTTGTGTGGTACAATTTAGGGCCAGGGTACTTAAAGTCTTTCTCTAGCTCAAATGTATCTCCCCTACTAGTCCTCCACTTTCAGTATTCGAATCGACAGTGGCTTCCAAAAAGGTCATTTTCATAAAGATGTTCTGGTTAAAATGCACACATTAGAGAGCTAAAAAATCAAGATGTTGTTTTTTCTCTTTTCTTTTATTCTCCATATCAAATTTAACAGAAGATTCAAGGTTTTATGTACTACATTGCTCTCAGATATATCCTTATCTATCTTCACTACTACCAGTCTGGTCCAAGCCACCATCATCTTTCATCTGGGCTTGGTAACAGCCTCCTCACTGGTTTTCTTACATCTAATTTTGCCTCTTGAAATTTGCTGTACTCTGCCAAGTAGCCAGGAAAAAATTTTTAAAATAAATGTGAATCAGATCATGTCATTCTTCTACTTAAAATCCTCCAATGTCTGCCACTTGGATTCGGAGAAAAATTCAAATTGCTCACCCTGGCATTCAATGCAAAACATTCTTCTTACAGCCCTTTGCATGCCCAGCTCTCTCTCATTCATACATCATCTTCCCCTCCTACTCAATAAATCCAAAGAAGTCATTCTACCTATGTACACACACACACACACACACACACACGTACACATGTGTGCAATTTACATACCCCTCCCCCACTGCTATTCCTTCATAACAATTGCCACTATGTGAAATTTTAGCACTCCAGGCATTCAGCCCTCTGTCCTGAAGATGTTGTTCCTTTACCCTAAGTTTAGCTGTCACACTCAGGTGCAGAGTTAGAGAAAGAAACATAATATTTCCTTAACGACTGACTCATAGATTCACTGGCCTTTGTTCCTTTCCAGGTTACCATTCTATTTGGTTTATATATTATGCTGCATTCTGAGCCACTACAACAAAAATCACTGTTATTGGGCCCTTCTCCTCTGCCCAAATTCTTGTGCTTGCCTCCTCCTTGCTAATATTTAAAAATCATTAACCAAGACAAAAAAAATCAATTTCAACACTGTTACAACATCTTTGTCTTCTCATCCTTTTTTGCAATGAAACTCTTTTAAGAAAACTTACTGCCTCATTACTCTGAATTCTCACCCTCCAGGGGTGATGGAAAAGTCATGTTTTTAGAAACCGGACTTGTAAGACACGTGACTTTCACTTTGGGGTGAGTTATGTTTCCCATTAAACTAAAAGCTCCTTGAAGACAATACATTAGTATAGCATCTCTAAAGAAAATAAAAAATTGTATCACTTTGAAGAGGTTTGTACAGCATCTGACCCACGGTTTGTACTTAAATATCTGTTTTGAAACACCACATTACCCACAACAAAAAAATGCAAAGGGTTAGTACTTTTAAAAGGCATTTCAATTTTTGAGTTATTCAAGTTCTTTTCATCCCAGAAGAGTGAAAAAAAAGAAAATTCTAACCACATGTTACCACCGTTTTTTTTTTTTTTGACGACTCAGAGGAAGTTCTATCTCTTTGAGTATATAGTAGGTCTCATTATATATTTAATCAAATGATTTCAAGTATGAATGCTGGGCAGAGAGTGACAGAGAGAACTAAAGCAGGTGACTTTCCTTCATTCTTCTTTATCTGTCTTGGTTGCTATTGTACTCCTACAGCCAAACTCAATATCTGACACGTGACTGGCACCTGAGGTATGTGAAATAAATGAATGAATGCATGCAGCTAATACATGACAGAGTATTCCAAGCCAGGTTTTTTTCTGATTAAAAACCCGTATCCCACAACTAAACTGTATTGACTTCCCTCATCCATCTGAGTGAGTCCATACTCACTCAGCTCCAAACAGTAGCTCCAGATTCTTGCTATGTAGTTGAGTGTTTAATGTTTAATCTGTAGACTATGCCAGAATAGCAACTCTACAGGTGAAAAGCTCAGTAGTTTCAATTTTGTGACTTGTAGTAAGAAAAAAAGTTGGGCACTGAATTAAACATTTATTTAGAAAATTAAATTGAACCAGTTTGCATATCATGGCAGCCACTGATATAGCTCTGCCTCTTAATAGCTGTGTAACTTTTGATAAGTTACTTAACATCTTAATCATGAATTTGCTCATCTAAAAATTACTTATACAAATATAAGTAATTACCAAAGGTATTTTTGTGAGAAGTAAGAAAACGAAGGTAAAGTACATAATGTGTGGCATGTAATCAGGCCTTAAGTGAAGGTTATAGCAATTATTACAAATAATCCCTATATTATAGGAATTATTTGGGTTTCTGAAAAGGTGGCTGGGCAGAAAAGATGAACAATCTCTTCCTTTGAGTCTATTTGCTGATTTAAATTTAGTGGCAAAAGCAAGCTGCATCATAGTTGCTCCTGTAATAACCAGCGACATGGGCTCTACACCCTGCCTGCACAGGCTGTCTTTGCTGTGCACTATAAAGCCTTTGCCAGGCCCAATACAGTGTGAGGCACACAGTGGGTGCTCAAGAAATGCTTGTGTTTTCCGATGCCACTTTTTGATCCTTGCTATATACCCTCCTCGACTGCCATTATCTATGTTTGTGCTTTTGTCACCAAGCGCCTACCTCAGTAAAAGGTCATTCCTTGTACAGCATTATATATGAGCCTCAGAGCCAAAAAAATGTTTATTCTGCTCATTGGTGTCTATCAATTTAAGAAATCCATTTTATAAATAAGGATCTTCATTTATATAGAGGTTCAAAGTTATGCCCAAGGG
The DNA here is from genome assembly GCF_000001405.40 of Homo sapiens. Classification (NCBI taxonomy): domain Eukaryota; kingdom Metazoa; phylum Chordata; class Mammalia; order Primates; family Hominidae; genus Homo; species Homo sapiens. Next base: position 146,917,562 of record NC_000005.10, read on the forward strand.
CACACAATTAATGGTAGAGTTGGTTCTAGAACCTAATTGACTTGGTCCCTTCACATTTTTTATAAATAAGGTGGGTTACAAATAAATAAATATGTATCTTCTGCCTCCCAGTTAATATTCTAATACCACAGTGGCTGGCAAAATCAACCTCTTCAATTCTTTAGTTCAATCTTATTTCATAATCTATCTGTAGCAAGATCTGAGGTGAAGCAATGTGAGCAGTCTAATGAACTTAGAAATGATACATTTTGCTTTCCTCACCTTTTACTGAGTCCTGTTGTTTTATTTGCTACTCAAGGATGCGAAGTATCTGTTTAACAGTAAAGTGCCAAGCAATCTGACATCTCCTCCTGATTAAAACAGAGTCATCTCAAATACAGATGGATACATGTCATTATGCAAGCTATCTGCTTTTCAGAGCTGCTGCCTCAAACTTCCTGCAGTAAGATGCCCCCTCACACTCCCTGCAGTCCCCCATCCCTGGCACTGGCTTTCCTTGAAAACATATAATCTTGTCTACCTGCATTTTTGTATGTTTAGGCTCAAGCAAAGAATCCATTATGAAAATGACAGAACTGCCAGAAAGAATTATGACTTCACTGCTTAACAAGCTGTGAATTCACTGTGGAGGTAGCAAGGCAGAGAAGCAAAGAAACAGGAGGAAGAATATATATGAAGGGAAACTCGCCTTGGGCTCTGCACTACTGCAAGTTGAGAATGGTTTTCCCAGCCTTTCAGGATTTCCATGTTTGCTCCACCACAAACTACCTAAGTTTCTTTCCATAGTATGGGGCAGGATTTTTGCCTTTTACCTAAAGTTGGTAATACTTAGAATGATGAAGTTGATGATAATGGCAGCTTGCATTTATTGAGAGGTAAATAGGTACTAATAGTAGGCTAAGCATTTGTGAATATTATTTTATTCAATATTCACAACTTCTCTATATAGCCCTCTCATTTAAATCCTTTAAGGACTTCCCATTGCCTTTAGGATAAAGTCCAAATGTTTTAACATAGTTTATGAGACTCTCTGAGATTCCACAAACTTTTGCCTCTCTCTCAACCTCATCTAATACCACTCTGCCCCTTTCTGGATGGGTCTGGTCTCATCTATACTTTTGGTTCTTCCTGTGTTTATACTTTGTCTTGCCAATAGGCCTTTAAATATATTCCCTTGTAACCACATTTCTCCCACTAGTCACCTGATTATCTCATACCTCCCTTTAAGACCTTACTATTTTTTTTCCTGAAGAGGCTATCTCCAGTTTTCCCTGTTGTTTGCTTCCAAGGTTAAAAAAGAGGAAAAACTCTTTTGTAACTCAATACTTGAAATGACTATTTAAATTGCACCTTTTCTGCTAGATTTAACCTCTACGAAGGCTGACACCGTGTCTACTAATTCACAGTTGTTTCACTAGCCTCTAGCTGAATGCCTGACACGAGTAGACTTTGAATAAATAATTAGAAATCAATTATATGCAAAACCTATATATGAAAGTTCCCATTTCCTAGATGAGGAAACAGGTTAAGAGGAGTTAAATAACTTGCCCAAAGACATAATTAGCATATGGTGAAGCCAAGCTTTGAATCAAAGACTGATGTCAAAACCCATGTTCACAATTACTCTACAGCACTGTCTTCTCAAAATTCCCTCCAGCTATCACAGGAAAAATAAAGAATATTTCTACAGGATATTTGTCTTAGAGAAAAATTTAGTAGAAAAAGCTCCCAGGATTCAGGGAGGTGATCTTTTTCCCAACTAATTTCAGAGCTACATAAAAGAAGCTCAGTGATTTAATATCTTTCTGCACCCTGGGCCTGATGGTTTACCTCCCCAAAATCTGGTTTCTGTTTCTCAACTATAGGTGGTAGTGGATAACAGGCAACCTATAGCTACAGCTGTTAGTCCTTCCCACAGATCAACATGCAAAAGAGAAAGTGAGTTTCTCACATTCTGAGAGAGATGTTGCCCAGGCAACAAAGACAAAGCCAGAGCAACAGACCACCCAGCTGAGACAGGCTCTGTCTTCCGCACATTCTCCCATACCAGCGCCCACTTCTGTGGGGCAGCAGATGACTATGTTCATACACCCTTTTAATGGGGTGCCCCTGAAGGACTCACCTGCCACAACTGGACACAGTTGGCAAAGACATCTCCATGGACAGCCCAAACAATAGCTCCAGATTCTTGCTATGTAGTTGAGTGTTTAATGTTTAATCTGTAGACTATGCCAGAATAGCAACTTTACAGGTGAAAAGCTCAGTAGTTTCAATTTTGTGACTTGTAATAAGAAAAATAGTTGGGCACTGAATTAAACGTTTATTTAGAAAATTAATTAAACCAGTTTGCGTATCATGGCAGCCACTGATATAGCTCTGCCTCTTAATAGTTGTGTAACTTTTGATAAGTTACTTAATATCTTAATCATGAATTTGCTCATCTAAAAAATGGGCTTACAAATATAAGTAATTACCAAAGATATCTTTGTGAGAAGTGAGAAAACAAAGGTAAACTGCATAATATGTGGCACATAATCAGGCCGTACATGAAGGTTATAGTAATTATTACAAATAATCCCTACATTATAGGAATTATTTGGGTTTCTGAAAAGGTGGCTGGGCAGAAAAGATGAACAATCTCTTCCTTTGAGTCTATTTGCTAGTTTAAATTTAGTGGCAAAAGCAAGTTGCATCATAGTTGCTCCCGTAATAACTAGTGACATGGGCTCTACACCCTGCCTGGCACAGGCTGTCTTTGCTGTGTGCTATAAAGCCCTTACCAGGCCCAATACAGTGAGAGGCACACAGTGGGTGCTCAAGAAATGCTTGTTGAGGCTGTCAACCATGGGCCGTGCAGGCAGTTTAAAGCACAGTAGGCATCTGGATCTTTAAAGGAAATTGTACCGTTCTAAGAGTCATTAAATGAGTTCTTCAGGGAGGGCAGTAACAATATGCCACCTGATTGCTTTGTTCAGAAGTGCTTTCCGACTGAGTTAACCTACTAAAGATGCTGTTCTTTGCTACATAACTTCATGACTGCCAGTCCCTGCTAGGAAGTGGCTTTTCATGATGGCTTGCTGGTACGTGTGTACATGGAAGGAAGAGGCTGGCTACGGGGGAGAGAGCCCCAGAGCAGAATGAAGCTCCTGCCAACCTGTTCCAGCACACTGCTCCAGCACACTGTTGTGTCCTTTTATGCTGTGTGTGTGTGTGTTTGTTTTGTAGGGGAGTGGGTGGGTACGTCTGCAGTATCCCCTACGTTTGAAAAACAGGTCTGAATCTCATAGAATTCTGTTAGAAAATCATTCCTCAAGCATAACTTAATTTTCTGAAAGTATTTTATCCTTTGACCACCAAAACCTCTTTGGAGAGAATTAAAATGGAAAAATGTGTTAAGTAAGTACATCTCTAAATTAAACCATTTCTGCCTGGGCAGACCAAATTAGTCTTTTCTAGGGTGCAGGGTACAGTATGTTGTCTCTGGTCTTTGTTCTTCAGTAAAAGACTTCAGAGGGAAAAACTATTCTAGAGTGAATAACCTCCAAATGTTAATTTTGCAAAACTAATACTAGTGACTCATTAATATTTGTAAATCATCTAGATTTTGCTATTTTGAAAAACCCCATAAAGTGCTAATTAATAAAAGATATCATGTCTTATTAATGTTCACATAGTAATTACCAAAATCACAAATTCATCTGCTAAGTAGTCAGCAAACAAGACAAATGACTGTGCTCAGCTGAACAGATTATCAAATGCCTTTGGGAGTACAACCTGATAGCCCCAACTAAACCATGAATCAAGCAGCTACTCCTTTTGCCACATGGACAGGCAACAACAATTTCATCTCTCATGTGAGGTGGGACAGAGCAGTGGAGACATCCAGCAACTCGCATTCCCTAGAGCACACGTGCTTATGCAAGTGTCAGCATTGCTCGTGTATCTTTCTCTTACAAGCTTTTACTGACACTTAAGATTTCGTTTCTTAGAGAGACATGAGAAAAGACTCAAAAGATGTCACCTAAAGTTAAACATAATCCTGCTAGCTTCTGCATGTAAAATACATATTGGTGAGCCTTCTCAGCTCTCAAAATGGAGAAGAAATTTCATCTTCCTGTGAACTTCTATATCAGTTCATCTCTGCTTCTCTGTATCAGTTCATCTCTGTTTCTCTTCTGACACTCATTACCTGTACACATTCCACACCTCCTCCCCTAGAAAGGCATCTTAAGAACAGAGACCATGTCTCACTAGCCATTCAAGTATAACAACAAGTACTACTACTATTAATTATTTAGATGCCTACCATTTCTTATGGCTATAAATGTGCAAGTCACTTGGATGAGTGCTTTAATTTATTTAACTTTTATTTCTTCTTGTCATTTAATATTTACAACAGCCACTTAAGGTAGGTATATCTTCACTTTACCATGAGGCAAATGAGGCTCAGAGAGGCTGAGTGACAGAACTGGGATTCATCCCTAGGTCTGAAAGATTCTAAAGCCTTTGCTAAACTGTATGCTAAACTGTACCTATGCTAAACTGTACCTATCCAATATGGTGCCTAGTTGAGGGTTAAGTACATAGCAGACATTGATAAATATTGGTAGAATGAATGAATACCTTAATATCAATTAGCTTCTGCATCCCCTTGGTGGTTAAGATTAAACCTTTGCAGTTTCTACTTTTCTGTTTTCTTCCAAGTGTGCATGATATCAAGGATTATTGTTAGTACTGTGTATCAAAATGAAAGCTCACCTTACCTTTTTTATATCAGAAAATAAACACCTCTCCAGGACTCTCCCTCCTAGCTCAGAGACTGCCGGGATGATATTCACTATTGGACACATTTGATGGCTTTTCATTTGTATTGGTGTTACTCACATGTTGGACTGTAAGCTAGATGGTAGGAAGCAGCCTAGTGTTCTTGGCATCTCCTCCCAGCTCTCTTCAACATCCTAGACTCCACAGCACATGGGGCGGGGAGCTCAGGGTCTGGTGGCCACTGACTTCACAATAGTCAATGTTTCCTAATGGTGGGATAATAGGCTTTTGCTAGTTTAACCCTCTCAGCACATAGCATTCTCCCACTATCCTGGTAACAGTACCTTTACCCATATAGCCCATGTGCTTGGAGGAAGTACACCCTACTCTCAGTTCTAGAGTAGAACTCTGGGTGGTTTAAGCCCATCAGCACATCCCATTGGCTTTGCTGCAGTGATCAGTTAAAATCAGAAGACTCAGTTCAGGCCAGTGAGAAACAAGGAGGTGTTTGCTGGGGCTTCTGGGAAAAAATGCTTCCTGGCTCAGAGAACTACGAGGGAAGAGGTTCTCTCTCCCTGTTGGAGATTCATGTAGAACAATAAAGATCCGGAAGATAGTGGAAATAATTTTGGAAGTGTAATGGAATTCAGCTTTAGGAGTAAGCGAGATGTCATAGGAAGCCAAGAAGAAAAATGGAAAAAAGTATTTCATTTGATGACATAGGTGAGCCATGTAATCAAGCCTTGCTCCAAAGCTTTGACAGCTCCAGGTTTTTCCGCTACATGAGAGTCTAAATTTCTTTTTTTGTTTAGCCGGTTTTGAGCCAGATTTTCTCTGACTTGACACTAAAAGATTCTCAATATATCTAGGTGACAACTTTGATTGTTTCATGCTCATCCTCATATTTACTCTTCTTTTTCCAGAAAAACAAGTATGACAGAGGTCTGAAGGACCAGAGGGGACCACTTATTAGCTCATCACAAACTTGAAACAGGCAAAATGTACCTGTCAGAGCCTAAGTAGAACTGGATTGCATGATGTATGGCAGTGATCTTCCAGAGCGCTCTCAAGTGTGTTTGACACGAGTGAACTGTGTTCGAGTTGATTCTCCCTATGGCAGTCCCAAAGCCTAATTATGAAAACACGATAAGATCATTGCACAGTTAGACCATTGCACCATTGGCATTCCTAATAAACAGATCAGCTTAGCCCAGCACGATCCCTAGTGGGTTTGTCGGAAGCCCTTCTTGGGTTTCACAAATACTAAACATTTTCAAAGGAATTAGTGAATGGTAGGAGTGCAAATTAATTCAGCCATTATTGAAGACAGTGTGGCAATTCCTCAAAGACCTAAAATCAGAAATACCATTTGACCCAGCAATCCCATTACTGGGTATATACCCAAAAGAATATACATCATTCTATCATAAAAGACACATGCACACATATGTTTATTGCAGCACTATTCACAATAGCAAACACATGAAATCCACCCAAAGGCCCATCAGTGATAGACTGGATAAAGAAAATATGGTACATATACACCGTGGACTACTATGCAGCCACAGGAAAGAAGAAATGGTAGTTTGTTCCTTTGCAGGGACATAGATGGACCTGGAGGCCATTATCCTTACCAAACTAACACAGGAACAGAAAACCAAGTACAGCATGTTCTCATAAGTGGGAGCTAAATGATGAAAACATATGGACACATAGAGGGGAACAACACACACTGGGGCCTTTTGGAGGATGAAGGGTGGAAGGAGGGAGAGGATCAGGAAAAATAACTAATGGGTACTAGGCTTAATGCCTGGGAGATGAAATAATCTGTACAACAAATCCCCATGACACAAGTTTATCTATGTAACAAACCTGCACTTGTACCTGTGAACTTAAAATAAAAGTTAAAGAAAATATCAGCTACTTAGATAATGATGTTCTTCTCTGACACCCCTGTGCTGTCTTTGCTTACAAGGACAACTGCAACTGAAAAGCACAAAGTCAGCACAAATAAGAGAATTACAGGTTTCAATGCAAAACCATCTTCACCAAAGTATAATGGTAGCTGCCTGAAGTTGAAGTAACAGCTTGGATCTGGTCTCTTGGACTTCTGATTGTGAAGGATGGGCCCTTCCCAAGTACTGGAGATTTTAAGTACAAGGATAAGAAAGGACAGGACAACAGGAGTCACCAAAGGGGGTTATCCAGAGAGTGAGAAAATGGGATACAGTAGCCTCTTGCTTTTTATTAGGGCCAGCTTCATAGATGAACAACTTGTGCAGTCACACAGGACCCTGTGGTCAGAAGGGCCTCCTTGTTTAGGTTTATGATCTGCTTTCACCATCCTGAAATTTGAAATACTTTTTGAATAAGGGACCATAACTTTTCATTTTGCTTTGTGTCCAGAATTATGTAGGCCATCCTGCTTGTTATAGATTTTTATTTCCCTCTTTACTAAAAATCACAAGGAGCAAAAAGAATGTGTTAGTTTGCTGAGAATGATGGTTTCCAGCTTCATCCATGTCCCTGCAAAGGACATCAACTCATCCTTTTTTATGGCTGCATAGTATTCCACGGTGTATATGTGCTACATTTTCTTTATCCAGTCTATCACTGATGGGCATTTGGGTTGGTTCACCATATGCGTTTTAATGTATCATGATCTTCTTTTGGTTAACAGTAATTTAACTCCAGAAAATACAAGAAGTTTGCTCCAATATACTGCCATTCCCTCTTCCCTCCTTTGTGCTATTACTGTCCTATATATTAAATCTATACATGTTACAAACCCAACACTACAGTGTTAAAATTATTGTTTCACACAGTCCTATGTCTTTTAAAGAAATTGGGAAAAAGGAGAAAAAATATATTTTATGGAATCTTTTATACTAACATAGTTATCATTTACAGTGCTCTTCATTTTTTCCTGTGGATTTGTGCTATCATAGAGTACCATTTCCGGAAGGCCTTCCTTCCTTTGGTACATCTTTTAAAACAGGGCTGCTAGCAATACATTTGCTCAGTCTCTGTTTATCCAAAAATGTCCTTATTTTGCCCTCATTTTTGAAGGATAGTTTTGTTAGATACAGAATTCTTGTTTGACATTATTTTCTTTTTGCAGTATGGATGTGCTATTCTTCTTCCTTCTGGCATCCATGGTTTTAGATGAGAAGCCAGCTTAATTGCATGGATGCTCACCTTTCTATGGTGCGTGCTATTCTTCTTGCTGCTTTCAAGATTTTCTCTTTGGATTTGGCATACAACAGTTTGACAATGATGTGTTCAAGTGTGGATCTATTTGTATTTATCCTGCTTGGGTTTCTTTGAGCTTCTTGGGTGTATAGATTAATTTTCTAAAAAATCAAATTTTGGAAGTTTTGGCCATTATTTTTTCAAATAGGTTTTCTGTCCCTTTCTCTTCTCTCCTTCCGACATTCCCCTGACATGGTTGTTTCTGTGCTTGAGCTTGTCCCACAGGTTTTTGAGGGCCTGTTAATTTTACTGCAGTCTGTTTTCTCACCATTCTCTAGATTGAGTAATTTCTATTGATTTATAGTTCACTGATTCCTTGTCTCTCAAATCTGTTGTTGAACTCTCTAGTGAAAAATTTTAAATTACCATTATTGTACCCTTCAGCTACAGAATTTTCACCTGGTATTTTTAAAATAAATTCAATATCCTTATTAAGAATCTATTTGTTGATCTCTTGTTACCCCACTTTTCTTTAATTCTTTAAACATGGCTTGCTTTAGTTCTTTGGAAATATTTATAATAGCTGCCTTGAAATTTTTGTCCACGAATATTTGGTAACACAGAGTTTCTATTAACTGTTTTTCTTTTCTTGAGTATGGGTAACACTTTTTTTTCTTAAAAATGGGACATTTAAGATAACACATTGCAACGACTCTGAATTCTGATATTTTTTTTCCCTTTATGGTGGTTGTTGCTGGTATTTTGTTTGTAACTTTCCTGGACTAAATCTGTGAAATCTGTTTCCCCTAGGCTACTAATGCCTATGCTAGTCTAAAATATATATACATTCCTGATTTTATTTATTTATTTATTTATTTACTTTTTTTTTGTTTTCGAGACGGAGTCTTGCTGTGTCACCCAGGCAGTGCAGTGGTGCAATGTCAGCTCACTGCAAGCTCCGCCTCTCGGGTTTATGCCATTCTCCTGCCTCAGCCTCCTGAGTAGCTGGGACCACAGGCTCCGATTTTATTTTTAAACTTGGCTTGCTAGAGGTTGCTCCTGTGTCTGTATAGCCTTAGTGGTCAGCTAATGATTGAACATCATTTATGTTCAAACACCTTAAACCACTAAGATTTCCATCCTTTGCCCTTTTTCACCTATTTTCAGGTAGAGGAGCATATACAAAGTTCAGGCTCTTTTCAAGCTCCCCTGAGTCTGATATCTGCTGGACCTTTTTGAGTCTCCTATGCACATGCATTGAGACTTTGGGTAAACCAGAAGCATATAAAGGGCTTCTGTCTCTTCAGTCTCCACTGCCCATATGCACAGCCTCAGCCAGCAATATGCTGTCTCTGATCACAACTGCAACTTCAGGCTGATGGAGCTGATGGCCCTCCCAACTCACTCCCATCCAAGATGATCATTTCTATTGACAACTTTGCTTGGTGTCTGCACTGCCCAGCTCTTCAAACTGGTTGAGTCTCCTTCAACATCTACAGAGAAGCTACTGGTCATCATGGCTTGCTGTACCTTGGCAGAACCTATAGGCTGGGTTGAGGTGGATGAGAGGAGCCCTAGGTCAGAACATCTCAGATTCCCAGTGTTCCTGAGTGATGTCCCATGATTTTTAAAAAATAAACACGTCTCAGGTTGTCATAGGCCTTTGGCTGATTTCCAGAGCACAAATAGTTGAAGTTTCCAACTTTGCACAGCTCTATCATTGCATTTTGGGAAGAGGATTTACCCAACCTCCTCCTAGAGTCATAGCTAAAAGTCCACTCTTTGCCTTGGGTTTTGACTCGTCTCTCTCTTCTTCCTTCATTTTCCCCTTTCACACACTTAAGTCCAACACTTGCTAGTGGCTCTAGAGCAATAAAATCTTTCTTGCACATATAAGATAACTTCAGCAACAGATTATATAGTACTATTGATATAAACCACGCAGATTAACTTGCGGCAAGTAAAAGCATTCAGTGAACTCTCTAAACACCGCTTGCCATCTATCCTTAGGCTTGTGGCCTTTCCTGCAGGCAAGGAGTGGTGGATATCTGATGCTGCCTGCATGCTGTTACACCTGTCACAACTCTAGCACACATCACTAAATGACTGCAACTTTCTTCCCCACTAACCCTAGACATGGTCTCAGAATCTTCCTCAGACAGAACTCCAGGCAGCCATTATATGGATCAGAAGATGAGACCTTGTAGCCATACTTTCTTCTTTTTTTTTTTTTTTAGATGGAGTCTCACTCTGTCACCCAGGCTGGAGTGCAGTGGTGTGATCTCGGCTGACTGCAACCTCTGCCTCCTGGGTTCAAGCGATTCTCCTGCCTACTCTCTCCTGTTCCCTGAGTAGCCGGGATTACAGGCACCTGCCACCATGCCTGGCTAATTTTTGTATTTTTAGTAGAGACGGGGTTTCACCATGTTGGCCAGGCTGGTCTCCAACTCCTGACCTCGTGATCCACCCGCCTTGGCCTCCCAAAGTGCTGGGATTACAGGCCTGAGCCACCACACCTGACCACCTTCAAGTCCCCAAAGCTGAAATGTATAATTCATCGCACTATCTGCTGTGCTTCCACATATCAGTCAAGGCTTGGGGTTGGTTTCCTGAGGAACATGTCTTTTTTTACTTGTGCCTCAAGCTCAGCTCCTGTGACAGTTTTTCTTCTGAACCTTTGCACTTATTCCTTTGGTGATTTCATCGATTTTCATGATTTTAAATCCCATCCATTTATTGGCCCTTTTTAGGTTTATATATATATTTTTTTAGATCAGATCTCTCCCCCAAACTCCAACTCTCTACATGCCATCTCCACTTGGAAATCTAAAGGACACCTCTAAGTCACCATACCCAAAACTGAACTGTTCCCACCTGGGGCCTCTTCCACCTATAGGCTTTTTCCATCTTGATTGATATTAATTTATCTGCTCAGATGCTCAGACCAAAAAAAAAATCAAGTTATTCTTAATTCTCTTCATTCTCTCTCATACCATCAGGAAATTCTGCTGGTTTTACTTTAAAAATGAATCAGAACCCTGTGCCTTCTTACCACGGTCACTGCTACCATCCTAGTCTGAGAAATACCATCTTTCACAGGACTATTGCAACTGGTTTTACTACTTCTAACTTTGATCTCTCATATTCCATACTCAACATGGCACCCAGAGTGATCCTTAAACCCTGGTATACTATACTCAGCATCGTAGCCAGAAAGATCATTTTGAAAAATGAAGCTGATCATATCAGTTTTCTACTCAAAACATTCTGGTGGCTTCCCATTTTGCTTAGGGAAAAAGCCAAAGGCTTTTCAGTGACTTACAATACTCTTCATAGTCTGTCTTGCCACCTTCTTCAATTCACTCATCTTTCACTACACTGCCTCTTACTCCTTTCCAGCCTTGCTGGCATCCTTAATGCTTCCGGAAAACATGATACTGGCTTTTTGGAGCCTTTGCATTGGCTATTTTCTTTTCCTGAAATCCTCTTTCTTCAAATATCCAAGTGACTAATTCTCTCACTTCCTTCAAGTCTTTGCTCAGATATCACCTTCTCAATGACGCCCACCCTGTATTTATAATTGCAAACCCTATCCTTCCCATCTGTGTGTCCCCACTGCCCGCCTACCTCTCTCTTCTTCCACATCCCTCTCACTCATTCCCACATTTCTGTTCTTTTCACAGCATATTACTTTCTACTATATGATTTACTTATTTCCTATCCTTAATGTTTGTCATCTGTCTCCTCCTTCTCTAGAACGTAACTCAAAATGGGTGGGGACTTTTGTTCAGTGACATATCATTTCACAGTTTCTAGAAATGTGCCTGGCATGTAATAGACATTCAAAAAACATCTGTTGAACGAACAAGTCAGCAGTGGTTCTATGGTTCTGATATAGTTTTAGAAAACATGCACCAAATGTGAGAACACTTTCCAAAGAAATGTCAGGAGGAGCATAGGTAAAAGAAATGTCAATAGACTCCATGAAAAAGAAGAGTCCATGGCAAAAAGAAAAAAAGAAAAAAATTGATTGGGAAATGATGGATATAATATACTTATCTTGGTCAATCATGGGGTACATTAGCATAGTAAAAGTTATGAGAAGTCCTACAGGAAAAAAATGGGCTTAATTTTATTATTTAAAAAAAGAATTCAACACAAGCTCAAACTTCAAAAAAAAGATCTCTATATTACATTGTATAAATAAAATAAGCAGCAGTTTTGCGTGTGGGCTCTGGAGATAGACTACTAGGGTTTATATCTTGGCTTGCCATTTACAAGAGTTATTTGATATCTCTAAGCCTCTGCTCTTTTATCTGTAAAATAAGGTAGTATGTATATTACAGGTTTGGGGTTAGAATTAAGATAATATAAGTAAAGAGGGCCTAATACATAGTAAGAACTCCCACAATTTTACAAATTAAACAATGATATAAATGCCTGTGATCTGCCAGTTATTATCCTTGATTCTGGGGATACAGATTAGAAATCGGTCCCTGGTCTCACAGAATTTATGTTCTGTAGGCAGAAGACAGACTAGAAACGCATAAACCAATAGATGAACATTTTCTGATAGTGGCACTATTATGAAGAAAATAAATCAGGGTTATGTGATAGAAAGAGTGGAATGGAGGGCCGCTTTAGATTGAATAGTCCAGAAGGATTTTCAGAGGAGTGGTTGCTTATACTGAGAGCTGGTCAGTGAGGATCCAGTCAAGCAAGGGTCTCTCTGGAGGGACAGCAGCACAGGCAGAAGGAACAACAAGGACAGATGTGTCAAGGGAGGAATAAGCTTGGCTTGCTCAGGATTAGATAAAAAGTCCATGTGGCTGGTCATGTGGAGTGCTGGAGAAAAATAGCATTTTTTGTAGCTCTAAATAACACTAACCCCTCTGGGTCTTTATTTGTGGGATGACTTTTCAATTTATAATTCTTTCTTGGGGGAAAGAAGAGAGGCCCTGGAGGGATTGTGGCAATGGCCCAGTGGTCTGGATGGGAAGAGAGAGGCAATGATCACAGTTCTACAATTCAGGGAGAATTGACTAGCCTGTTTTGAACAGGCTTCCCAGGTTAAGGTGGTAATCTTTTCTCTCCACCATTCACAAAAAGGGCAGTGGGGTTAGGTGGACATGAAGTGTCAACTCAGAGGATAAGGGAATATGAATTAAAAATGCAGAAGAAAAAGCTTGTACCTGGGACTCATTGACATTGTGGTTTCTCTTGAACCCTGATGCTCTCATTCTTGTTGAAGCCTAAGCTCATTTCTCTTTGTCGATATTAGAATTTTATGTCTAAAATTTCTTTTTTATGTATTCTCATTCCACCTTTCTCTTTTTGGAATGCAGAGACTAGTCTCTTGGAAATAGCTAAACATCCAGGAGAATGCTTAGCAAATACCACATGGTATTACTTTTAACTTGCAAAAGCTTAATTGCTCACCATATTATAATAAAGATCCCCTCACGTGTCCAGTGAATGTAAATTCTCACTGGTGTTCCAGCTAGTTGCCTGAATATTTTGTTTGCTATTGTGCCAAAGATAATTTTTTTTTTAGTGCTCTTCTATACTCTATAGTTCTATACTCTATACTTCTATAGTTGAGCTCTTCTATGCTCAACTATAGTTGAAAGGAGGAGAAAGTGATATCTCTGTAACGCAAGCCAGAACCTTCCGCAATAATACATTGGCAAGTGGTAATGTGATGAAAATGTTTTAGGTTTAAGATGTTTCCCATCTTAGTGTTTCTGAGTGCAGATCCAATCTGCTTGTTATTCTTCTGCTACACAATGGGAAATGGAGGTAAGAAGATTGCTGACCTCCCTGCAGCTTTGAGACAAAATTTCTTGACTGCTAGCTCACAATAGGCCTTCTTGGAACTGTCCGGAAATAGCACCCTCTCTCAATAATCTCTTCTTTCTAAATGGGCAGTGCTGTTTTGATCAACTTAACCCCAGTCAAGGGTACCCTATAGCACCAATTCAAAGATTCAAGGGTTGACTGTTTGCTTATCGAGATTTACTCAGATGTCATCTTCCTTCCTTCTTGGCTTTTGAGGCATTTCATTATTCCTAGCAACTCTAGTCGAGGGTAAACAAGAGGCACTGGGAATAAAATTGAAGTCACTTTTAGCTTCTTATTAGCAGGTATGGGAAAAACCTGGGGATAAGTTGGGTGGGTGGTAGAAAGGACTGAAATTGTCCAAAGTGAGGTTTGAGAAATATCTATGTGTTCTAATTAGCCCCACCTTAGCTTTTTCTTTCCATAACATAGTTTACAGTGAGTTGACTATAAATGGAAAACACTTCTTAATTCTCTTAACAATTAATAAAGAAGTTACTTTCCTATATAATGTAGAAGACTAATTTAAAAGAGAATTGTGTGTGAGTGCACGCATGGCATATGTGTGGATGCATGCACATGTGTGAGTGAATGGATTCCCCCAACCTCCAGCAGCATATCCATGTCTGGTCATCAGCAATAATCTGAAATATTTCCTGTTATTCTTCCTGAAACACCAGGAGAATTTCAAACTCTTTGAACCTTCCTTAGTATGTTTGAACTGAATCGTTTAGATTGGCCCACCCATTCATTCAGTAACTATTTACAAACATCACTCCCTTTTATTTGTTTGTTTTCCTTAAATTAGGTCAAAGTCATCTCCAGGGAACTGGGATTCTTGAATTCAAGGCCTATTGTATTTAAGGTTTATCAAGGTATCAGCCTGTCCCTCAGCTTTCTATCCTGGTTTGAAAGGATAATTTGAATTACCAAAGATATTAAATTGATATGGTTTGGCTGTGTCCCCACCCAAATCTCATCTTGAATGGTAGTTCCCATAATCCCCACATGTCGTGGGAGGGTCCCAGTGGGAGGTAATTAAATCATGGGTGTGGTTACCCCTATACTGCTGTTCTTGTGATAGTGAGTTCTCAGGAGGTCTCATGGTTTTAAAAGGAGCTTTTCCCCTTTTTGCTTGGCACTTTTTCTTGTCTGCTGCCACGTAAGACAGGCCTTTGCTTCTCCTTTGCCTTCTGCCATGACTGTGAGGCCTCCCCAGCCATGTGGAACTGTGAGTCCACTAAACTTCTTTCCTTTATAAATTATATTTCCTTTACAAAGTGTTGGGTATGTCTTTATTAGCAGCATGAGAACAGACTAACAAACAGATCTTTGGACAATAGATTCCATGAAGAGACTGAAGACTCTAGTGGCCCAGGTGGCTGAATCTTCTCCTAGCTTTCTTCTTCTTTATATACATCCCATTTGTGATCATGATAAACAAGGTCAAAGAGCAGTGAGAAAAGGAAAACTAACCACCTAGTATATGCAGAGAGATATCAAATGCTGAAGTAGATCAAGAAGACTTCCTTGAGCAAGGGGGCAGAGGAGAAAGCTATATCTAGCAGAGATATTACAGCTGTGGAGGTATCAAAGAAGCTTTGAGAATCTGGAAGGACAGCCCAGGAAACTGTTTCTTTACCTGTACCAGCACTAAGCATGCTAAAATATTCACGTGGGAATTATATCATATGCTGTTTTAATTAAAGCTGGTTGTATTCAACCTTGGAATTGTAACTAATTCTGTTTGCTCTTTGAGAAATTCTTATATATATTTTTAATATCCTTTGCTTCAGCAGCTGAGATTTCAAGTAACAGGGATTGGAAAATAATCCCATGTGTTTCCAACCAGATGAATTTTTTGGTTGTAAAGTTATTTCCTAAGATTTTTTTTCAATTAACATATTAGATCCTTGAGGAATATCCTGGATAAACGCCCAAGTTGCTCTTTGGTTAAGTAGAATAGCACAAAGTCTGTATCCAGGGAACCCAATCCTCTGATTACAGAGCAGGTCAAAGCTGCACCTTAATTATTTCTTTAAAAAATCAAAAGATTTTGAAAATGATTATTAGGGAGTTTTTATTCCCATTCTCTCTCAGATAAGTATTTTGTCTATGACACCTGATTCTTGAGAAAAAAACAAGAGAAAAAAATAAAACCTATTATCAACCACACTTGGGATACCATTAAGGGCCACCTCACTTTATTCTGAAATTTCTACTTCAGGGAGATTACCAAGCTTCCAGAGAGAAGCAAAATGAGACCCATTTAAGAACATGTGACCTATCGTGACAAACGGAAGTTCTTTTTTTTTTTTAAGTTTTTTTTTTCTTTTATTATTATACTTTAAGTTTTAGGGTACATGTGCACATTGTGCAGGTTCGTTACATATGTATACATGTGCCATGCTGGTGCACTGCACCCACTAACTTGTCATCTAGCATTAGGTGTATCTCCCAATGCTATCCCTCCCCCTCCCCCCACCCCACAACAGTCCCCAGAGTGTGATGTTCCCCTTCCTGTGTCCATGTGGTCTCATTGTTCAATTCCCACCTATGAGTGAGAACATGCGGTGTTTGGTTTTTTGTTCTTGTGATAGTTTACTGAGAATGATGATTTCCAATTTCATCCATGTCACTACAAAGGACATGAACTCATCGTTTTTTATGGCTGCATAGTATTCCATGGTGTATATGTGCCACATTTTCTTAATCAAGTCTATCATTCTTGGACATTTGGGTTGGTTCCAAGTCTTTGCTATTGTGAATAATGCTGCAATAAATATATGTGTGCATGTGTCTTTATAGCAGCATGATTTACAGTCATTTGGGTATATACCCAGTAATGGGATGGCTGGGTCAAATGGTATTTCTAGTTCTAGATCCCTGAGGAATCGCCACACTGACTTCCACAATGGTTGAACTAGTTTACAGTCCCACCAACAGTGTAAAAGTGTTCCTATTTCTCCACATCCTCTCCAGCACCTGTTGTTTCCTGACTTTTTAATGATTGCCATTCTAACTGGTGTGAGATGATATCTCATTGTGGTTTTGATTTGCATTTCTCTGATGGCCAGTGATGATAAGCATTTTTTCATGTGTTTTTTGGCTGCATAAATGTCTTCTTTTGAGAAGTGTCTGTTCATGTCCTTCGCCCACTTTTTGATGGGGTTGGACAAACGGAAGTTCTGAGGTGTCCTAGAGTTAGAAGAGGTAGTTTTTCATAAGAAAAAAAAAAAAAAAAAAAAAAAAAAAAAGAACGTGTTTGGTGCCTGGGGAGACTTTGGCCTCAACAAATATACCTGTAGCTTTTCTAGGTTTAGCTGTAGCCTAAAATTTAAAACTAAATATTTGAAAGTTGCATCCAATTTCCTCAAAGCTGAAAGAGAAATCAGAGACCAAACTCTTTTTTTTTTTGATTGAAAGGTGTTGCTGAGGTGAACAAGGACTATTATTCTAACAACATAGAGCACGTTCTTCCAGATCACCAGCTGATAATGTCTGTAAATAAGGAGGGGTAATCTGAATGTAGAATGATGGAGAAGATAGAATTTGCCTTTGGTATGGAAAAAAAGATGGGAAATTATCACTTTTCTACTGCAAAGCATTCATACTCCATCAGTTACCATTGATTAATTTATGCATTTATTTATTTTCCCTACAATTATGTATTGAACTTATATTAGTTTCTAGGCATTGAAGATTCAACAGTAAATCAGACAGACTTAGATCCAGTCCTCAAAGTACTTAAAATCTATCTGTGCCTCTCAAAATTCATATGTTGAAATCCTAACCTGCAAGGTGATGATATTACGAACTGGGGCCTTTGAGAGGTGACTAGATCATGAGGGCAGAGCCCTCACAAATGGAATTAGTGCCATTATGTAATAGGCTCCAGATAGATCCTCATTCCTTCCATCATGTGAGGTACAGCTAGAAGGCACTGTCTATGAGCCAGAACACAGGCCCTCACCAGACTCCAAGTTTACCAGCACTTTAACCTTGGACTTTCCAGCTTCCAGAACTAGGGGAAATAAATTTTTGTTGTTTATAAGGTACTCAGCTTATGATATTTTATTATAGCTGCCTGAATGGACTATGACACTGTCTAATGAAGGACACAGACAATGATCTAAGAGTAATTATGCCATGTAATCCATGCCAATATGGGGGAATGCCAAGTAGCTCTGGGAGCACTTAGCAAGGCCACCCAGCAATATGTGGGGATGGTGGTAGGCTGTCAGGAAATATATTCCCTGAAGTGGCATTTTATCTGAGGCCTGAAAGTGTGAGCCAGGTAAAGGAGGATTGAAAGTAAAGAGGGCAAGAAAAGAGAAAAAAAGTTCTCATAGTATGTTGGAGAAACTAAAAGAAGTTTGATATGTCTTCAGTGTAAAGTTTGGAAAAGGGTAGTAGAAAACATGGCTAGAGGAGGGAGCATGTCTTAAAGCTGTGCCAATCTGAGACCTAACTTTTGAGGTCTGCATATGCTTGGACTCAGATAGAGCTGGGTTTGATTCCCAGTTCTCATCTTTCCCAGCAACTTAGGCAAGTTATGCCACTTCTAAGACTCATTTTCCTTATCTATATAATGGGGAATATACCTACTTCCTAGGATTGCTTGGAAAATTAAATGATGGAGCATATTTGTACCTGGCAGATTGGAGGTATTCAGTACATGGGAGCTACAGCTGTTGCTGTTACTACAGTCAAATAGAATGGCATTCCAACAAGGAATAATGTATCAGGAAAGTAAGCTCTGCTGCCATCAGTTTAGGCATCAGCAGAGCCACATATGTTGACATTTTGGGGTAGGGTAACTTCCTGATGTGTCTCAGTATCTTATCTTTTGAGAGTTTAGCCCTATCCTTTGTTTCAAGAAAGCAAAGATTTCCTGCTGTAAGCAGTGGAGTCATTTGATACAATCATTGTGCCCATCCATTATTACACTTTGTCCTGGTCATTCATGCTGCCTAAGAAGATGCCTAAATGATCATCCCACTCCCCCTCTGAGTGGGCATAAGAAGTAAATGAAATAAATTAATGCAGTGGTTGCTAATACCTATGTTACCTTCTTTTTGTTATCAGCATTAAGACTCCTTGTAAGCAGGAAAAGAAAAAAAAAAAAAACCCTAGACAGTTATGAAGGATGGTTTCTCAAAAAAAAAAAAAAGAAAAAACAAGACATGTCTATTGAGATTTTTACAGTCGTTTTGATTGCTTTTCACATCACTAGGCTCAAACAAACAGAACCTCTCTGTACAGAGAGATAGTAAGAGGACATGCACAAAGCACTAAAGCTCTCTCTGAGCCAAAAAAAGAAGCCTGTCATTTCATTTCGTTTAGCCCCTACGGCTGTGGGCTTGGTTTTTCTATGTTAATACTCTAACACACCTGTACTGAGAATTTACTCCTTGCCAGGTAACTGGGGATCATAGAAATAAAAGACATACTCTAAGCCCTCCCGAGGTCCTTGTTCTGTTGTGGGAGACAAACCAGTGAGCCAGGGTTTTTTTTTTTTTTTTTCTTCAATGCTGTCTAATGGACAGTCCCTGTACTAAATGCTTCATATACTTTATTAAAGTCCTCCAAATCATTCTTCGAACTAGACAGTATAAAATTCCATTTGTGGATAAAACAATTGAGATTTAAAAGTGGTTACTAGGCTAGGTGTGGTTGCTCACGTCTGTAATCCCAGCACTTTGGGAAGCCAAGGCGGGCGGATGACCTGAGGTCGGCAGTTCGAAATCAGCCTGGCTAACATGGTGAAACCCCGTCTCTACTAAAAATACAAAATTAGCTGGGCGTGGTGGCGCCTGCCTGTAATCCTAACTATTTGGGAGGCTGAAGCAGGAGAATCGATTGAACCAGGGAGGCAGAACTTGCAGTGAGCCGAGATCATACCATTGCACTCCAGCCTGGGTGACAGAGTGAGACTCCGTCTCAGAAAAAAAAAAAAAGGGGGGTTACTAGTAACTTCCCCACAGATAGATAGGTAGTAAGTGGCAGAGCTGGGATGGGGCCAGGGCAGTCTTGCTTTTGCACTTTATGTCACGCTACCTCCACACTCCTCACAGTCTGTCAGTGGGTTACTTTGATATGTGTTATTAAGGGGTTACTTAAATACTAAGTACTGTGGAAGAACTGTGGGTCCACAGAGAGGAGGGGCTTTTGACAGAAGGCAGAGAAAGAGAAAGATGGAGTCAGAACAACTTGCCAAGGGAGGTGGCCTCTGCTCTGAGATTTGAAGGCTGAGCAGGGGTTGGCCATGTAAAAGCGTGAGGAAAGGAGACATCCTTTGAGCTAGAGTGAGCCGCAGTTACACCTTCACGGAGGCTTAGAGAACAGGATGTCTTCAAGGAGCTGCAGGTCGCTCGGTACAGCTCTTGGTTATCTGCAACAATAGAGGGAATGTGTGGGACAGATGATCTGAAATTTATGTCTGTTTGGCTTCTGTATGTACAATGTTTTTATTTATTTATATTCTGCCTTGTTCCACAAAGGTTTTGAAAGAAAATTCATTACATGGTTTTTATGCAGTGACCTTCCTAATTAAGTTTTTCTCAGCACTGTCATGTTCGTCTTTGTATTCCCTGAGCCATATGCAGAGAGACTTGAACAAAAGTTGAATTGAATTTACATACTTTGAGCACTCTGTAAGCAGTTAGCAAGGGCAACTGGTCCCAGAAGCTTGTGGGTGGAAAGGAAAAATTTTACTGGGCCAAAACGTAAAATTGCTTAGATTGAGGTACCGTATTTCATGGATTCCAACACACTATTGATTATAGGGTATGCTGTTATTAAACTTGAAGTGCTATCAAAAAAGAAAAAATCCTGTTCATTAAATTATAGCACAATATAAACTCACTATCTATTGCAAGATGTACTCTGATTTCAGATATATTAAATGTGGAAAAAAATGTGTCTTTAAAGAGAAAATGCATGGTGATGATATTAACTCCCACCCCAAATGGTCAGAAATTCTAAAATGTACTGATTCCCTGGTTGACATGAGAGAAAATGAGAAGTCTTACACATTTCTGGATGGCAATTTGCCCAACAACCTAAGCCCAAAAGATTCTGCAAACTCTGACCTAGCAATTATATCTCTAAGTCTGTGGGTTCAGTTTTTCTATGTAAAAAATAATTAAAGTTAAAGAAATACTAATTTAAATTTAAAAAGTTACATTGCATTTTAAAAATCAGGTAATAAAGTATTTGTTATAAAATTACTCCTGTGAAAAAATATATTTACATTTCATGTTTACATAGGAATTAAAATCTTGAATGACATATCAAAATGTTGACAGAGATTGTCTGGATGAAGCAATTTTGGTTGATCATTTTTATGTTCTAATTTTTCAAAAATTGGAAAACTACTGGTTAGATAATAGCCTTTTTTTTTTTTTTTTTTTTTTTTTTTTTGGAGACAGAGTCTCCCTCTGTTGTCCAGGATGGAGTGATGGAGTGCATGGAGTGCAGTGGTGTGATCTCAGCTCACTGCAACCTCCACCTCCCAGGTTCAAGCGATTCTCCTGCCTCAGCCTCCTGAGTAGCTGGGACTACAGGCGCATGCTGCCACACCTGGCTAATTTTTTGTATTTTAGTAGAGACAGGGTTTCACCATGTTGCCCAGGCTGGTCTCGAACTCCTAAGCTCAGGCAATCAGATATGGGCCTTTAAGTAGACAATACACATGTGAATATTGGAAAATTAACTCCCTTGTCTTAGCAACTTTATTTTTTATGAAGTAGGCTCCTGAATCTTTCCTGTCTCATCAATGAGTCTGTCCAGGCTCCAGGTGGTTCCAACTGAGGCCCTGGTTAAAAGGGTGTGAAGATTATTTGATTCCCAATTGGAAATACAGCTTTATCACCTGGAATTTTCCCTTAAAAGTTGATACCTAAAAGGAGAAAATAAAAATAAATACTTCTACCTCAGGGTACCAGAGGGTCTGGGGAATGAGATCTTTATGATGTAATCTTAGTCTGAGGCAAACTGTGAGACCCTGAGCACATGCAAGTCACGTTCAAGGTCCTGCGAGTGGGAAAGAGGGTGATGAGCAGAAGTCAAGCTTAGGCTTCAACTTTTGCCATCGCTTAAATGGTAAATCCTCCATCTCTAAGAGTCACACTGCTACAAATTCACAACTTTTGTTTTGTAAGTCATTCATAATTCTTCATAAATGTTTTTTCTAAAAGACAAACTTTTTGGTGGCCTAGGCTCCACTTTAAGGGGAAAATGCAACACTGACTATATCTATTTATGAGGTGAACTGGACCTCCTGCTTCATAGAGGAAACATTTTTGAATGGTCAAACATAGTATTCCTGCTTGAATAGGAAAAATTGTAACAATGCATTTGGTATTTGTATTTTATCCCCAAATTAGTGAGTTGCCTTTTTGACATTTTTTTCAAGGTAGCTTTATATTTATGTATAGCTTGCTTTTAAAAAATAAGCTGTTCTTATACTTCCCAACATTATATACCTAACTGTTCCTTAATTTAAAGCTCAGCTCATGTACAAGTTTTATTTTGCAATCAAGTTTTATTTACTTGTTTATAGAGTTTGGCTTGTCATTGCTTTTTGTCAGCTCTGCAAGGTTTGAGCCATTTGTAATCTTTGAATATTTACATAGTATCTATCTACCTACACCTATTTTTTATATAATGTATGGCAGTTGTAACCTAAAAGAGTAAAACAAAGATTTCAAGTGCCATGGAAGTCTAGGTCAAGAAGAGATGAGTTAGCATTTGGTGAACAAAAGTATTCTAGTGGGCATCTACTGTCTGTCTTTCTTGCATCATTTTCTTCTTTCTCTGGATAGCAGAACTCCATGTTGATCTTTCCACTCCACTTTGTCTTAATAGAGCTACAAGTCTCAGAGCCCTGCCCTCCTGGCTGCAGATTCAGGCCTGGATGATTGAAGCGCCACATCTACTTGGCCAGGATAGTTGATTCAAATGTGAACATCTATTCCAAATCCAACAGAGAACTTCTCTGGAATATTTATATATGGACACAGAGAAAGGAGAATTTTTCTCCCTTTTTTGCTTTCATTTTGGATTGTGAGCCATAAGAATGCCAGTCAGGAGTTATACCTACTTGTTCTGGCCAGATGGAAGAAGTCCAGATGGAAGAACATTTGCTAGGGGAAAAAAAAAAAAACATAAGGCTACTGCCCAAGGAGAACATATCTAAAAAGGGAGCACAGTGACACATATTTAATGAGCCCTTAGAGACTGAATGCCACCTCTACCCTTTGATTTCCCAACAAAATCCCTTTTCCTTTTCTTCGTATAAACTTGATAGAATTGGGTTTCCGTCATTTGAAACTGCCCAAGTGCTTGACTAATCCTTGGCCCCTTAGTTATCTTCCAAATCACACTAGGTGCATACATATCCTCCCCATGCATCCACAGTTGTCTGTGTTCCACTGAATTCTCTATCATATGAGCATCCAAACAGGTATGATTTTATTAAATTAGTATCAGTGTAGTTACTCTAAAGAGAATATGAGTGATTTCAGCCTAGTATATTTTCCATAAGCCGTAGCCTTCTCCTGGAAGTATTCCTTGTTGAATAGTTCTTTGCCCTAGTGTTCAGACTTTAGTACTGGACTAGGACATTTGTCCACCGCTGGTGCATTTAGAGCCTCGATTTTACATTGCTGAAGACCTAGCACAATCAGAAGGAATGAGTTTCCTGGAGACTTGTCTTCTTTGTTCTCAAGATTACCAAAGGCCATTTTAGAAAGAAAATGATTATGAGGCTACATGAAATGCAATAAGATTTTATAGCAATCAAGCCTGACTTTGGAAGGCAGCTGGAAAACAGGACACTCCTCCTCCCACCCTTTCTTCTCCCCAACAAATGCCATATGTCTGTTCACAATGCATTCTGGCTAACTGCTATGTGGTTGACCTTCGATACTGAAAAAATACCAAAACACTTGGGACCTAATTTTCCTTTCAGCTCATTGTTATAGTCACATTTAATATGGTTGAGGGAAAACATGAAAATTATGACAAACCGGCCTGAAATTCTTTAAGGTAGTCCATCAATAAGACAGATCTCTGGATAATTCATAATACTTGTGATGGTTCAGAGAAGGAGGAGTCTTTGGGGCCCTTGAAAAATGATGCTTCTGTTGCTTAGGGGTGTGTTCAGAACCACATCAGCATTTATGTCATCTGTAGAAAAACTAAAAAACATTAGGTTGGTGCAATTACTTTTGTGCCCACCTGATAGAACCTTTCCACTTCCTTTTTCTATGAGCAATTAATTCAATTTCAGATTACTATATTGGATGCAGAACAGTTAATAGAGGAGTTTGCTAGTCCATGTGTGGCATAGCAGAATGAAGAGACTTTTTATTGCATCTGTATAGTAAATGAAATTTCCTCCCCAAATTAAAATAGCTTTTGTGTTGGTTTCTTAGGGCTGCCATAACAAAGTCACAAACTAGGTGTCTTAAATGACAGGCATTTATTCTTTCACAGTTCTGGGGACTAGAAGTCTGAAATCAAGGTGTTGGCAGGGGCAACCACCCTCTGAAACCTGTAGAGGAGAACCTTTTATTGCTTCTTCCAGCTTTTGGTGTTTGCTGCCAATCTTGGCATTCTTTGGCTTGTAGATGCCTCACTCCGGTCTCCGCCTCCCCAGTTGCATGGCCATCTTCTTCCTGAGTGTCTCTCTTATGAGTACAACAGTTATATTGGATCAGGGCCCACTCTAATTCAGAATGATCTCATTTTAACTTGATTTTTCAGATTACATGCGCAAAGACTCTTTTCAAATAAGATGACATTCTGAGGTGCTATGAGTTAGGACTTTAACATATTTTGGAGAGAACATGATTTAACCCTTAACAGCTAAATTGTTGCCTGATTGTAAAACTAATACAATTAGTGAAAAAGAGAGGTATAAAGAAGAAATTAAAAATCATCTAGATTCCTCCCACCAAAAATAACCATGTTAACAATTTGGTGGATGTCTTTTCAAATATTTCTCAAAACAAATGTTCTTTTCTTATACCGTCAGAAATAAGTCAAGTTCAAGGACAGAAGCAGTTGAAGATGTCTACAGTTTTGTGCAAATTATAACAAATGATGCTGTGATGTGTCTTTCTTCTTTCACTTTTTAGTTGCACTTGTGCAATTACTTCTTTAGGATAAATGCTTAGAAATACAATGTCTGTGTAGAAGAAAAATATGCATTTTTATACATATTATCAAGTTATACACTAGAAAGAATGGAGTAACTCCATTCCCACCAATAATGCATGAGAACTCCTGTTTCTCCCATCTTCTTTGTCCTTTAGATTACAAGTATTAGTATGATATATGTTAAAAACTTTAAATTTATGAATATTTCTATGTTCTCCTATGTGAAATTCTAAATCATGGCATTTCTTTATTCTTAGGTAATAAATGTGAATCCATAGTTTTTTTTTTTTTGAGATGGAGTCTCACTCTGTCACCCAGGCTGGAATGCAGTGGCATGATCTTGGCTCACTGCAAGCTCCACCTCCCAGGTTCACACCATTCTACTGCCTCAGTCTCCCGAGTAGCTGGGACTACAGGTGCCCGCCACCACGCCTGACTAATTTTTTTTGTACTTAGTAGAGACAGGGTTTCACCGTGTTAGCCAGGATGGTCTCGATCTCCTGAACTCGTGATCCGCCCACCTGGGCCTCCCAAAGTGCTGGGATTACAGGCGTGAACTACTACGCCCGGCCCAAATCCATAATTTTAATCTAGTATTTTCACACTTTGATAAATTTCTAATTCTGACCCATCCACACATGTTTTTAGTACAGGGTATGGAATTGCAATCCAGAGATTCTGATTGAACTGAGTTTTATTTCTTTATTAAGTCACTCAAAATTACATTGTTTGGGAATGTGAATGGGAAATTTAGTGTGTTTCCTGTTTGCCTTTCCAAGAGATCAGTTTCATTTAATCAAAGGCCTTGTACTAATTCACAGAAAAATGCATACTCAAAAAGTAATCAGGGACATAATGTTGAGCCATGGTAATAAGCAGTACTTTTAGCTTCAGTACTCATAGTTAATTGAATTTATCAACATTCTTGCTGTAACTAAACCCTTTTCTCTCCCATTCAGCCCATGAGGTTGTAAGAAAGTAAATGACATTACAGGGTTAATCTTGACTCCATTTTAATGTGTTTTCTTTAAATTGCAATCTTGGCACATTTGGGCCTTTTGATTATCAGTAGTTGAAATTACTTGCCAACCATCTTTCAACTCTTTAGAATGGACTTGATGTTAAGACCCCTGGTTTAGAGAGGCACTCATTTTTTTTTTTTATAGCAGAAAGGCATAAGCTCAGAGAGAAGTATTCTTTCCCCAGAGAAAATCTGTAAGGAGTTATATGAGAGGATCCAAATCCAGCTTACTGAAACAAGCACTGTTTTCAGATAAAATGAAGACAATATCCCTTCGTATCTCTTTCCGTGATCCTTCACATGGATTCACTATTGAGGAACACTTGCTCCCAAAATACGCCCTTCTTCACACTGGCCTTTTACTGCTAACTTTGTATTGGATTGGTGGGTGATTCTGTCTATTCTTTCAGCCTCATTGACATGTGTTCAAGGAGAGGCAGCCCCAACACCTTGTCTCAAGTGGATGACATTTCCTGTCAGTAACTTGCTATTTAGCTACAGAGACCAGCCTCCTCATCCTTATCTCTTTAAAGGAGTAAATGAATACAAATTAAAGTTTTAATCTCAGACTGTAACATCAATAGTATTTTCACTACAAGTAGTTCCATAATGGTCTCATTACTGCTCCTAAGTGCAATACGCTGAGACGTCTAAATTGCCGATTGCCACTACATATATTCTTTGAGAAAAGGTATCCAGGTAACCATGGCAATTGTGTCTCCAGGCAGGATGGGAGTGGGGTGGGAAACTATTTCATTAATTGAAGGGAAGAGATTGAAAAGAGATTTTCAAGCTTTAGATCAGAGAGAGAAAGAAAGAAAAGGTAGATCCCACAACCTTATTTTGTTTTCATTATTAGATTATGCAACCCAAGGAAACGCCAAACGATTTGAAAGGTTCAGAGAAATCACAAGATTAAATAACAGCAGCATTCTTAGCCTTTCCACATTATTACAGTGGTTGACCTGTACCAGATTTTCTTTGGCTGGGTTTTATATAGTTTGATTGAAATTCAATATATCTCCTGAGAAAGCAGAATTGTGTCCCATGATTTAAAGAGAAAAAAAAAGGAAGAATACTCACAGGAGCGGGAAGACTGTGTAGGTGGTATAAGAGCTCTATTTATTTCAAGTTGATAGCACCTGAAAAGGCTGATTTTATCAGTAAAATTCATTTGCAACCTTGCTTCCCTGCCCTTCCTCCACCCTTGGTAGTCCTCAACCTTTAAAACAATTTATTAAAGGTAAAGAAATACTGTGATGAAAAAAGGGCATCTAGATAATAGGGAAGAAGAAAACGAATGTCTGATCTGGTCTCTCAGAGGAGTCTAATAGTTTGTTTTCATTGAAAAGGTATGGCAAATTAGTGATTAGATCAGCTTCTGTTATTTAACCAAAGATGCCCTCTTGTAACTTACTGTGTTGACTCTTTGACAAATATGTTCTAACTTAAGATTTGCAAAACCCTCATTTACACAGATAGACAAACTGACTTCTAGTATACGTTAGCCATAGTTGGGGAATTATTTTTCAAATTAGGCCAACATACAGCACTTTAATGACCCATGTTAAATCTCTGTAACTCCTGATGAATACCTGCTTTGTACTTCCTACACACTATACTATCTAGTTAATTCAGGAAGAAAAATAGAAGACATTAGATGCAACTATTACCAAACAGGGTAGTGAGGACTTGGATATGTTCTTCAGGTTCCTTCCTCAAAATTTAAGTCCACTTTTCATCAATCACTGGGAGAGGCAATGTAGGAAAATTTATTTACAGAAATGAGGAAAGCAACCTAAAACTGGGTGGATAATTATTAACCAAATGGATTTTATTTTAAAACAAACATTTCTTTTCTGCCAAACAGATTTTTATCTTGGAAAGCAAATACTTTTCCAGAATTGGGCCAGAAATCATGGTCTGAATTGTAATAGTTGTTTGGGCACTGTCCAAGTCCGATATATTGACTACCTTGCTCCCCACTGCAACCCAGAGGCTTTTCGTAACAAGAAGCTAAAGTTGTGCTGCTATAGCAGCTGCTGATGATGTTTTTTAAGGGCTGTGTGCCCAGGGTGCACCCACTGGAGAGGCAATAGGAAATAAAAATAGCAATTTGTTTTCCTAAAGTTTAGAGGACAGTGGGGGAAAGCATTTTCAGCCTTGTCATCAGGGATAACATAGTTTTATATTGTGTGCACATAAGTCTAATTTTTGAAGACAGAAAATCATTGTGTAAGGCAATTCGATTTGAGAAAGAATGTTACTGATGGTATGCAAGAAGAACCATTGTTTCCAAGAATGAGCTGAGACACGTGTCAGATCTTTCTAATAGCCAGGTGTTACTATGGACCCCTGCCTAATGGTCAGTGTGTCGTCAGCTGCTGGCAACTCTTACCTTATAAAGACAAATATTGGGATTGTGCAGAGACTGAAGTGTGACCAGAGGCTGAGTGAGATTTGTTACATTTGGGCTATCGATTCTAATTCACAATTTAGTTTTTGAGCCAAGCCAGCCGTTAGTCATGTGGATTCTATAAAATGATTTATCTAAAATCTCTTTATCCCTGTGTTCCCTTTTAACGCTGTAGCCGCTTAAGCAACAGCTTTACACAAAAGGACATACAATTAGCTAGTAGCGAGTATAGCCCAACTACCCCTGTGCACACTTCAGCAATCAACTTGAAGCAGTACCAGATGAAGAGAGACAAGTCTTTTTTTCCCATCTTTCAAAGGTGGCTCTGATATCTGTCTTCCCCCTGTCCCCCCACCACTGCTTGGAGTATGATAGGACAACAGCAAGAGCTCACATGCCAAGTGATGCTTGAATTCATGGTAATTGCTCCTCCTTCCAAGTTCTGGGGTGTAAGTTAGAGTCTTTCATTGCAAGTTTCATTTTCAAAAGGCAGTGCAATCAATAGTGTTACTTTTCTGAGTCCCAAGTCTGTTGCTTAGTCTCAGCATCTCTGATGACTGTGGGTCTATTAGCATAAGCTAGAACTGTAAGTGGTGAATATTTTTATTATCTAAAATTACACTAGAACTGTTAGGCCGAAAGATTACAATTTGTCACTGAATGTGGATGTATGGAGAATTGTATGTAGAGTATATAAAATCTTTTCTATGTCTAATTTGCATTGCAAATTGAGAAGCTAACCAGAGGTCTTGAGGAAATAACATAAATAAAACATGGCTTCACTACTGTAAATGCTCAATTCATGCCAGAGGAGGCCGAAGCCATTACAGAAGGATTGTTTCCATCTAAACAATTCCCATCTCACACACTTCCCTTCTAAAGTGGCTGCCAATAGGACGGGAATTGGGTGGTTGGGGTAGGGGTGGGGGTATCCGTTTAGACAGCTTTAAAAAATACTCAGCAGAGAAAGCCTGAGAGGGTGTTTCTCAAGAAAGCCAAAGTCAAGGCTCAATCCTGCATCTTGTTTTATGTTGAACATCCTCACAACTGAAGGAAAGACAGCAACCTGCTCTTCAGTTTCAGCCCCAAGGAACCAGAGATCTACACAAGGTCAGTAATCAGACAAAGCTCATTACTAAACGTTTAGGGAAAAATTCCATAATATGAGGCAGATGCCTTGGTTAGTTTACAGACAACATTCAGGATCTCTCAAAATGTGAACTTCAACTTCAGTGGATATTTGTTATATTTCTGCACAGCATTTATGCTCTCTTCTTGTGACAACAGCACCCCAATTCTACTTTGGGGTCTATCTCTTCATTATTCTACCTGCATGTGCTTTGCGCCTACTTCATAATTTCCAAAGCCTGAATATGTGGTTTAGACATCTGTGCAGTCTGCCCTCTAGTGATTGGATCAGGATCAACAGGGACCAGCACGTGACTGAAATCTGGTCAATGAAATTCATTTCCTGTTTTTTCTGGAACTGTTGGAGAAGTGGACTGTCTCAGTCGCTGAGCTTGGTGCTTTGTGTAATGAGATGATTGAGGCTTGGAGCTGCAGCCAGAGAACAGAGCCAATGGGACAGAAGCCAAGTTGAGAGGCCAGAAGAAAGACACAAGGTGCCTAACTAAACATATGGTTTAAAGCCTTATATACCTGGGGCCAGCCCTATTTTGTGACTGCTTGATGAGGCAATACATTCTCTTGTTGCTCAAATCACTTAGACTTTCTGTGAGAGATCTAACGGCCATATGCACCTTTCTCACCACTGTCCTTTCACATCTCACCATCTACCACTTCCTTCTTTGGAGCCGCTGTAAGTGAACTTGGCTTAGCCATGCAACCCTGTGTTCTCATGAGTCCATGCTTTTGCTTATGCTACCACTTCATTAGGAATGCCCTTGCGTTCTCTTCTTTTCCTCAAGGCGAAATCCCACTAATCACCTTTCATGTTCAACCCAATCACCTTCTCTGTAAAGGGATTCCTAATGAAGTGGTAGCATAAGCAAAGGCATGCACTCATGAGACCACAGGGTTGTGTGGCTAAGCCAAGTTCTCTTCATTCATATTTTTCCCCTACTCCTCTCAAGGCAAAATTTAAAACTTGCCATGCTGTGTTCATATAATCGTTTCCCTTACCCTATAAACCCTTAACACTTTATGCAAATACTTTTTGAGACTGTCTGTCTCTCCCATGAGGCTTTAAGACTGGGGACTATGTTTATTCAACATTCAGAGGCAGGAAACATTGTTACGGGCATGAGCTGTCTTTGGATGCAGACTGCCTGGGTTTAAACACTGGCTCTGCTGCTTCCTAGGTGTTTGGCTTAAATATATTATCTACTCTGTCTGTGCCTTGGTTTCCTCATTTATACAACGAGGGATAATGTTAATACCTATTTGTCTTATAGGTTAGTTGGGAGGATGAAATGACTTAATGCATGTGAAGTCCTTGATACTGTTCCTGGAAGATGGTAAAATTTCAATAAATATTAGCTATTATTATTATATTTCTAGTTTCTAATAGTGCCTGATGTAGGTACACAAAAATATAAATGTAACAATGAAAAGAAGGCTTAAATTCTTTAAGTCTTATATATTAAGTAGAAAACAAAGGGAAAAAAAGAAATAACTTAATCTTTATAATTTTGTTTTCTTAAATTCATGTGTTCCTATGAGAAATCATGAATCATTAAAGGAAATTTGGCTGATTTGGGGAGATTTGTTCATATTCATTCATTTGGTGCAAAAACTTCTATTAAGAGGGCATTATGATTGGACTTGAGAGTTAAAATTAAGATAATATCCTTACTTTCAAGAGGCTCATGGTTTAGTAGATACATTTGACAGGTAAATAAGTAACTATAATTGAGTGAATGTGCAACAACAGAAGTATGCACACATACCATGAGGGCATAGAGTAATGTTTCCTGAAACTGCTGTACATAAGACTCATCTAAGGACTTTGCTAAAAATCACAGAATCTCAGAAAGGGCACCCATGGAGCTTCTGAAACACTGGGTTTGGGGTCATGTATCTGTACTTGTAACAGAACTTCATGGGTAATTCCTGGCATAAAAGACAGGATAATAACTTTTTGCCTGAATAGGTCAAGGAATGCTGCATGGTGAAGGTGATACATGTGCTAGGTACTTACAGATGATTAGGAGTTTGCTAACATTTGACATGAGTGGTACTATTAAGCTTCAAGAATAGTTTTTTTTTACAATCAACAAAGTGAAGAGACAACCAACATAATGGGAGAAAATATTTGCAAACTATCTATCCAACATGAGATTAATAACCAGAACATATAAGGAGCTCAAACAACTCAATGGGAAAAAAATCTAATAATTTGATTTTAAAAATTGACAAGAGTTCTGAATAGACATTTCTCCAAAGAAGACATACAAATGACAAATAGGCATATATAAAAGTGCTCAATGTCATTGATCATCTGAGAAATGCAAATCCAAACTACAATGAGATATCATCTCACCCCAGTTAAAATAAAAACCAGTTATAATGGTTTTTATCCAGACAGGCAATAACAAATGCCACTGAGGAAGTAGAGAAAAGGCAAGCCTCTTATGCTGTTGGTGGGGATGTAAATTAGTACAACCACTAGGTAGAACAGTATGTAGATTCCTCAAAAAACTAAAAATAGAGCTACTATATAATCCAGCTCTACCTAGCAGGTATATCCCCAAAGAAAGGAAATCAGTACATCAAAGAGCTATCTGGACTCCCATGTTTATTTCAGCACTATTAACAGTATCAAAGATTTGGAAGCAGCCTAAGTGTCCATCAACAGATGAATAAAGAAAACATGGTACCTATACACAATAAAATACTATTCAGCCATAAAAAAGAATGAAATTCTGTCATTTGCAACAACATGGATGGAACTAGAGTACATTATGTTAAGTAAAATAAGCCAGGCACAGAAAGACAAACAATTGAACTCATGGAGACAGAGAGTAGAATGATGGTTACCAGAGGCTGGGAAGGGTAGTGGGGATAGGAGTGGGGATTAATGGGTACAAAAATATAATTAGAAAAAATAAGTAAGAGCCAGTATTTGATAGCACAACAGAATGATTACTGTCAACAATAATTTATTGTACTTTAAAAAATAGCTAAAAGGATATAATTGGAAGGTTTGTAACGCAAAGAAATGATGAATGCTTGAGGAGATGGGCACCCCATTTATCCCGATGTGATTATTATGCATTGTATGCCTGTATTAAAATATCTCATGTACCTCATAAATATATATACCTACATTTTACCTGTAAAAATTAAAAATAAGGCAATCAGGGAACTTTGAACATGATAGATAATTTATGTTAAAGAAGTACTGTTAGCTTTTTAAAGCACCATTAAAAAAATGAATAGCTTTGCTGATATCACTGCCAAAGACAGAGCACAGAGCCTGACAGTTGTTCTACTTATCCAAAATTATGTCACATTTTTTAAAAAAAATTTAAGTTTCAAGTTGGCAGCACAGTGAATCACCTGGAAAGACCTTGAAATATGGTGACATTTGGGGCCCATCCCCTGAAGTTCAGGTTCAACTGCTCTGAGACAAGGCCAAACATCAGTACTTTTCCAAGTACTGACAGCTCTTTTTAATGCTTTTAAAAGGTAGTGAAAATAAATATACAGCCAAAGAGTCACTGTTTAGGCTGTACATAGTATCCCTAGAAAGACTCTAAGTGCTGGACCTAACATCACAGGTTGTATGCTCCCAGATGCCAAGACAGACCAAGTCTCTTGCTTGAATAAATGTCAAAAGAGGGTGACTAAAGTCATGGTATAATTTCCAAGGTTTACATGAACAAATTAATGCTGTTAGCACAAAATAGGATACAAACAACATAGGTATGCCATTTACCAGGTAATTAACAGATATATAAGAAATATTTAATTCTTAGTGCCAAAAATTTTCGGCAATATGGATAAAACACTAAAGGGTGTAAATACAGTCATCTTTAAATCCTGGTATACTATGATGGTATACAACCTCAGGTAGAGATAAGGTCAAGCATCTAAATTTGAGATTTTTCATGATTGAAAGACCCAGGCAAATGGCCCTTCTATCTAAGACCTCACTTACCACTTGGCAGTTCTTCAAATTCACTCCTGGAGATGAACTCCAGATTTAAATAAAGCATTATTTCTGAGAATGGTACTCTGGAATCTCTTTTTTGTTTGTTTTTTTTTAATATCAGCTTTATTGAGGTATAATATACAATAGAATGTATGCATTTTAAGTGTACAGTTTGATGGGTTTTGATAATTATTATACCCATGTAACCAGTAACCACCAACACAGTTAAGATATAGAACATTTCCATTCCCCGTTTAAAGTTCCTCATGCCTTTTTTTTTTAAAAATTAAGTTCCAGTGTATATGTGCAGGATGTGCAGGTTTGTTACATAGGTAAATATGTGCCATGGTGATTTGCTGCACCTATCAACCCACCACCTAAGTATTAAGCCCGGTATGCATTAGCTATTTTTCCTGATGCTCTCCCCCATCTCCCGACAGGTCCCTCCCAATAGGCCCCAGTGTGTTTTTCTTCTCCCTGAGTTCATGTGTTCTCATTGTTCAGCTCTCACTTATAAGTGAGAACCTGAGGTGTTTGGTTTTCCGTTCCTGTGTTAGTTTGCTGAGGATAATGAGTCCAAGCTTCATCCATGTCCCTGCAAAGGACATGATCTCATTCCTTTTTATGGCTGCATAATATTGCATGGTATATAGGTACCACATTTTTAAAATCCGGTCTACCACTGATGGGCATTTGGGTTGATTCCATGTGTTTGCTATTGTGAATAGTGTAGCAATGAACCTATGCATACATGTATCTTTATAATACAATGATTTATATACCTTTGGGTATATACCCAGTAATGGGATTGCTGGGTCAAATGGTGTTTCTGGTTCTAAATCTTTGGAGAATCGCCACAGTGTCTTCCACAATGGTTGAACTAATTTACATAGAATCTTTTTTTTTTTTTTTTTTTAAAGCTCCTCAGTGACTTAATGTAGGTGATCCACCCTGGCATTAGAGGATCATGGAAATTTATAATCTTTGGCACTTTTGTAATGCTAAGATTCTACAAATAAAATTCTACGTATATGAGTAAACTGAAAATATTATTATCATGATCTTCAATATCTTCCCATGGGAGTAAAGGAATAACTCTCCCTTTCTTTCTTGCCCTGTTGATTTTTTAAATCCTTTTTTTGGGATGACCAAGTCCTTTGTAATGATCACTTATTATTACAAACCAAGATAAACAACACCATAAAGTACTTGTGGTGATTTTTTTTTCTCCATCCATTCACTCTTTTTGACAGACAACAGCATCCTGCTGGGGCACCTCTTTTCCATCACTGTGTGTGATCTTAGTGAGGCTGTCAATCAGGATGCCTTGAATGTGATCCAAGTTAAAATGATCACGTTGTCTCTCTCAAGACTTTGGGTATTGAGCTGAGCTACACAAGGATGGGGAAAAAAAGTTGGGGTCGATTAATTCCTGGAATAGCTTTCAGATGGGACAGTCAATTGGATACATAGACACCCTAGCTGCCCAGTTCCAACCCTTTCTCAGCTAGATTTTCAATGTGCTGAACTACCTATGTTCTGCCAACAATGTCCTGTTTTGCTAGCTTTAGCCAGGATCAGTTTCCGTTGCTTGCAACTGAAGAACTCTATAAGGTACAATGTTATAAGAAAGGCAGTAACACCATCTGTATAGTCTGGAACCGCAGGATCTGGTCTGGTGATAGATTATAGCTAAGGTCAGTGGAAAGTGTGAGCGAGTGAGATTATGTGATTAACCTTGGCTGCTAGGTATGTGAGAGTCATAAGCTTTAGCAAATGGATGACCTGGATGGTTATCCACTTCAGACAAAATGTTAGCAAATGAATAGAAACAGCAGATAATAAGTGAGAGGGGTAGGGGACTAAAATCATAGTAAGTTTAGGCAGATAGCTGCAAAGTTTCAAAATAAAACCCATCTCTGAGGTTAACAGATAAAATATGTAAAAATGATAAACAATATTTAGAATCCCTGGCTTCACAAGCCAAAAGCTAAATGGCTGATACTCAGTTACATGCCCTCCTGCTAATCAAAACAGAGCACTGAGTTATAAACTAGAAAGTGTAGTAAGAAATGCACATGAATCTGCATCTGAACAAAACTACTGATTGTGAATAAATCTGCAACATGGCTTCTGATAAAGCATTTACTCTCCTCATTTGCTCGACCTGTAGCTGTTGCATTCAAAATACATACACATATACTTACACAGACATATTTATATTTGCAATTTATAATATGTCTGAAATGTAATACTCCAGTTCATTTGCAAGGTTGCTACCAAGGTATACGGGGTATAATTTTATCATCCAGGGCACAATGGATACACCAGCTCCAAACATAGAAGTCACTGAGTTGCCATATATTACTATAGAACAAGCATTTTATTTCAAACGATGGGAACCTCACATAAGTTAGGGGAGGAAAGGCAAAAATGAATTCAGTGGTGTTAATGGAGTTGGTCAAATACTTGTTATTTAAGTCACAAAAAGATATAAAGTGATACAAAACTGAATTTGCTAAATTATCAGAAGAAAATGAATCCCACCAAGTGAAGAAGTTAATATGGCAAAATGGCCAATG